>NC_000005.10:52609807-53234807 GCF_000001405.40 Homo sapiens | reverse complement strand
CAATTAAGTGCACAAATAGTCATTTGCCCTTTGAGCAGGAAGCCAGTTTCTCCTATTTCTAAATGCCAGTTGAATAACTGCTGTTGGTCCTCACCTCCACGTTCTGTCGTTGTTAAGGACTGTTTCTTCATTGATTGCCAGAAGGCTGTCCTTTTGTGGTGGTGTCACAAGGATGAAGTGCTGTGGGGGCCAGTGTATCTAGAAGTGTCCCAGACTAGCAGGGACATCACTGCAAGAGGACAAGATTTTTCCTATGGTCTGCTGAATTATTAATGCCACTCCTTTCCTATTTAAAGGTGCCATAGTTTGGGGGAAGAAATTACATAGTTACCTTAGGTTTAAGGTCACTGTACTACTAATTCACATTGAAGCTGTTCCCCCCACCCCCAATCATACTCACTTAAGTAGAGTAGTTTTTCCAGAAATCTGAAATTAGCTTTTACTAGTGAATCCTCAGACATATGGTTTAGCCTGAATCACAAGCTAGATGCCTCCCTTCCTCAGGACAATATTATTTTGGAGACCTCATTGTTGTTCTAATTCTTACTAATTCTTATGTTCTTAATCCACTCCAATGGGTCTCCCTAACTTAAAGAATCACATTTGGCGACTAATCCTGGAAACCTCTGGATGCATTGTTGAAATGAATCTACCATTTTCCCCATGATTAACTTCTCATACTAGCTCTCTCACAAGACAGAGCAGTTTTGATAAAGTCCCCAACATTCTGTAATAGCTAATTCCAGGGCAATGGGCATCTTCTTGCTCTATATAGCAGTAACCAAGAGGGTCATCCACTCATGTGATCCTCACAAGACAACAAAATAGCAATTTTTCTCATTTAAGACAATACATTTCTCAACAATAAAAAGACAAATAACCCAGTTAAAAATTGGCAAAAGATTTGAATAAACATTTCTCCAAAGAAGATGTACAAATGGCCAATGAACACACAAAAAGATGCTCTACATCATTTGTTGTTAGGGAAATTCAAATCAAAACCACCATGAGCTACCTCTCACACCCTAACGTTAAGATAGCTATAGTCAGACTGGGCATGGTGGCTCATGCCTGTAATCCCAGCACTTTGAGAGGCTGAGGTAGGAGGTTTTCTTTTGTCCAAGAGTACCAGACCAGTCAGGGCAGCATAGTGAGACCTTGTCTCTACAAAAAATCAAAAAATTAGCCAGGGATGGTGGTGTGGTCCCAGCTACCCAGGAGACTGAGGTGGGAGAATTGCTTAAGCCCAGGGGGTCAAGGCTGTGGTGACCTGTGATCACACCACTGCACTCCAGCCTGGGTGACAGAATGAGACCTTGTCAAAAAAATAAAAAATAAAAAAAGATAGCTATAATGAAAAAGACAGACAGTACAAGTGTTGATGAAGACGTTAAGAAATTGGAATCTCCATACATTGCTAGTGTTGTAAAATGGTGCAACCAGTTTGAAAAACAGTCTGGCAGTTTCTCAAAAAGTTGAACATAGAGTTACCATATTCAGGGGTGGAGCTGGCAGGACTCCCTGGGCCATTTCAGGGACTTTTGCAAAAGATCCCATGACACGGAATTTTGAGTTCTTAACCAGTCGAGTTAAGGATTCAAAATTAACCACTCCAAGGGAGGATTGAAAAAAGAACCACTTTCAATGAAAAAAAGAAAGAAAGGGGAGGGGGTAATACAGGGATATAAGCCCTAGCCACCTGAGCCAGCAAAGGCAAACCTTCCAGGTCCCATTCCACCATGTGGAAGCTTTGTTCAATGAACTGCACTGCTGCTCACTCTCCTGGTCTGTGGACTCTTTTTGAGCTGTAACACTCACTGTGAAGGCCCACAGCTTCATTCTTCAAAGTTAGTGAGACCATGAACCCATCAGCAGAAAAAACTCCTGACTCATTGTGAGGGCTCATCCAGGATTTCCAAAGTGGTGAGTAACATTGGATGGACCTCTTTTGCTTGCTACTCTGCTCTATTTTTCTTTAGAATCAGGAGCAAACACTAGGCACCTATTGGCCATTTAAAAACGACAAGCATGGCTGCCAGACTAAAGACACGGGTGTAAGTCTTTCTGAGAAAAGGGTCTGTAACAACCCCCAACTCTTCTGAGTCGGGAGCGTTGGTTTGCCTGGAACCAGTTCCCACTTTCGCTGCATTTTCTGGGTTGAACTGAGGGCTGGCCAAGGGTGGAAAACAGTAGTCCTGAGCTCCTGGCACTGCTTGGTCAAGATCATGGTGCTGTGTGAAACCTTTGTTAAGCAGCTGCCCAAACGTGCTTCACCCGCCCTTCTAGACCCATGCCTCCGGGGTCCAAACATCTGTAGGGAAGACTTTCTTGAGACCGTGTCTTCCAGGATGTTCTCTAACCCCGGGATGAAAACCCTCTGGATTAGGAATCTAAAACAATTAGGATGCCAACCCTCAGATCCATGTTCCTGGTGTCCCATCGCTTATCCTTATGTAGATGGGCAACAATACAAATATACAGGATCTGTTCCCCATATTTGGCACCCGAGACAACACTTAGGACACTATAGTGTGTGCCAATGGTTACTGGAAGGCTTAGGACATTTATCCTTCTGTTGTCCCCACCTCACTGGGAACCATTTCACTTATCATCTCTCTTGTTTGGGATCAGCAATCCTAACTATGGAGCTCTTCCACTCAGGGTACCACTCGCACTTATGGGAGTTAAGTAATATAATAGACCATTGACTGGGAAATCAAAAGTCATATTCTTATGATGGAAAGTGGGAACAAAAGGCTAGTACACGAGATGTTATTTCAGCCTTGGTCCAACACCCTATTGCTCCCCACCTTAAAATTGCTATGTCTATGTACAATCTTTAAGGAGTTTGTCTTATTGGGGCAGTTTCAAACTCAGAAATGTGCTAACTAGAGCCTCATTAACCACCTAAGAATACACCCCAGACTTAGAACCCACTCACAGGAACAAAAACTGTTCCAGGCACACTGGTAAGAGGCCAATAAACCCAGCAGCCTGGCCTCCTTCTTTGTGGCTAAGAAGGGAGGGAAAAGAGTGTGGTTGAAACTGCTAAGTCAGTAAGCACAATTAAATGTGATAAGCAGGGTTCCATGGGTGATTGTGCACCCTGGAAAAAGGACACTAAAACAGTAGGGGATGCCCTAGTACCAGTGTACACTGGGAATGACTAGGGGTGCAGGCATCCCTATGCTGTCCTTTTAGATGGGAGATATTTCCTCCAAAGTAAAGTCACCCCTAAGGTGTATTCTGAGTAATTGGGACCAATTTGATCCCCAGACATTGAAGAAGAAGTGGCTCATGTTTTTCTGCAGCACTGCCTGGCCACAATATCCTCTTCCAGGAGGAGAACAATGACCACCTGAGGGAAGTATAAACTATAATACCATCCTGAAACTAGAGATCTTTTTGTAAATGAGAAGGCAAGTGGTGCAAGGTATCATATGTTCAGACCTTCTTCTCATTAAGAGATAACACATGATTGTGTAAGACATATAGTCTGCACCCCATGGGGAGTCCTCAAAGTCTACTCCCATACCCAGGCCACCCCATGGCTCCTTCTCCTACTAATGCTGAACCCTCTCTGGCCTCTATGGCCTAAAAGGGAACAAATAAAAGAGCCTCCAAAGAGCCAAAAGACCCCATTGGCCCACAGCTATGTCCTCTTCAAGCTGTAGGAGGGGAATTTGGCCTAACCTGAGTACATGTTCCCTTTTCCCTCTCTGATTTAAAGCAAATTAAGGCAGACTTAGGAAAGTTCTCAGATGACCCCGATAGATACACAGATGTCCCACAGGGTCTGGGACAATCTTTTGACCTTTCTTGGAGAGATGTCATGTTATTGTTTGATCAGACCCTAAACTCTAATGAGAACAATGCTGCTTTAACAGCAGCCTGAGAGTTTGGGGATACCTGGTACCTCAGTAAGTGATAGAATGACATCAGAAGAGAGAGAGTGGTTTCCTATGGGCCAGCAAGCAGTCCCTAGGATGGCTTCCCACTGGGAACCTGACTTGGATCATGGGGCCTGGAGATGCAAGTATTTACTGACCTGTATCCTAGAAAGGTTAAGAAGAACTAGGAAAAAGCCCATGAACTATTCAATGATGTCTACAGTAACCCAAGGGAAGCAAGAAAACCCTACTGCCTTCCTCAAAAGGCTGAGGGAGGCTTTGAGAAAGCATACTCCCCTGTCACCAGATTCCCTTGAAGGCCAGTTAATTTTAAAGGACAAATTTATTACTCAGTCAGCTGCAGATATTAGGAAAAAGCTCTGAAAGTTAGCCTTGGGCCCCGAGCAAAATTTAGAGGCATTATTAAACCTGGCAACCATGGTGTTCTATAGTAGGGACCAAGAGGAACAAGCCAAAAAGGAAAAGCAGGATAAGAGAAAGGCCACAGCCTTAGTAATGGCCCTCAGCCAAACAAACCTTGGTGGTTCAGAGAGGAGAAAAATTGGAGCAGGCCAATCACCCAGCAGGGCCTGTTATCAGTGTGGTTTACAATGTCACTTTAAAAAAGATTGTCCAGAGGGCGGAGCCAAGATGGCTGAACAGGAACAGCTCCATTCTACAACTCCCAGCATAAGCGACAGAAAAGATGGGTGATTTCTGCATTCCCAACTGAGGAACTGGGTTCATCTCACTGGGGAGTGCCGGAAAGTGGGTGCAGGACAGTGGGTGCAGTGCACCGTGTGTGAGCTGAAGCAGGGCAAGGCATCACCTCCCCTGGGAAGCACAAGGTGTCAGGGAATTTGCTTTCCTAGTCAAAGAAAGGGGTGACAGATGGCAACTGGAAAATCGGGTCACTCCCACCCTAATACTGCACTTTTCCAATGGGCTTATCAAATGGCACACCAGGAGATTATATCCCACACATGACTCGGAGGTTCCTACGCCCATGGATCCTCGCTCATTGCTAGCACAGCAGTCTGAGAGCAAACTGCAAGGCAGCAGTGAGGCTGGGGGAGGGGCCCCTGCCATTGCTCAGGCTTGAGTAGGTAAACAAAGTGGACAGGAAGCTCGAACTTTGTGGAGCCCACCACAGCTTAAGGAAGCCTTCCTGCCTCTGTAGGCTCCACCTCTGGGGGCAGGGCACAGACAAACAAAAGACAGCAATAACCTCTGCAGACTTAAATGTCCCTGTCTGACAGCTTTGAAGAGAGTAATGGTTCTCCCCGCACACAGCTGGAGATCTGAGAATGGGCAGACTGCCTCCTCAAGTGGGTCCCTAACCCCCAAGTAGCATAACTGGGAGGCACCACCAGTAGGGCAGACTGACACCTCACACGACAGGGTACTCCTCTAAGACAAAACTTCCAGAGGACCGATCAGGCAGCAGCATTTGCAGTTCACTAATATCCACTGTTCTGCAGCCACCACTGCTGATACCCAGGCAAACAGGGTCTGGAGTGGACCTCCAGTAAACTCCAAAAGACCTGCAGCTTAAGGTCCTGACTGTTAGAAGAAAAACTAACAAATAGAAAGGACATCCACACCAAAAACCCATCTGTATGTCACCATCATCAAAGACCGAAGGTAGATAAAAACCACAAAGATGGGGAAAAAACAGAGCAGAAAAACTGGAAACTCTAAAAATCAGAGGGCCTATCCTCCTCAAAAGGAACACAGCTCCTCACCAGCAATGGAACAAAGCTGGACAGAGAATGACTTTGACGAGTTGAGAGAGGAAGGCTTCGGAAGATCAAACTACTCCGAGCTAAAGGAGGAAGTTCGAACCAATAGCAAAGAAGTTAAAAACTTTGAAAAAAAATTAAACAAATGGATAACTAGAATAAACAACACAGAGAAGTCCTTAAAGGACCTGATGGAGCTGAAAACCATGGCATGAGAACTACGTGACAAAGGCACAAGCCTCAGTAACTGATGCGATAAACTGGAAGAAAGGGTATCAGCGATGGAAGATGAAATGAATGAAATGAAGTGTGAAGAGAAGTTTAGAGTAAAAAGAATAAAAGGAAATGAACAAAGCCTCCAAGAAATATGGGACTATGTGAAAAGACCAAATCTACATCTAATTGGTGTACCTGAAAGTGACGGGGAGAATGGAACCAAGTTGGAAAACACTCTGCAGAATATTATCCAAGAGAACTTCCCCAATCTAGCACCGCAGGCCAACATTCAAATTCAGGAAATACAGAGAATGCCACAAGGATACTCCTCAAGAAGAGCAACTCTAAGACACATAATTGTCAGATTCACCAAAGTTGAAATGAAGGAAAAAATGTTAAGGGCAGCCAGAGAGAAAGGTCAGGTTACCCACAAAGGGAAGCCCATCAGACTAACAGCGGATCTCTCAGCAGAAAGTCTACAAGCCAGAAGAGAGTGGGGGCCAATATTCAACATTCTTAAAGAAAAGAATTTTCAACCCAGAATTTCATGTCCAGCCAAACTAAGCTTCATAAGTGAAGGAGAAATAATATCCTTTACAGACAAGCAAATGCTGAGAGATTTTGTCACCACCAGGCCTGCCCTAAAAGAGCTCCCAAAGGAAGCACTAAACATGGAAAGGAACAATCGGTACCAGCCACTGCAAAAACATGCCAAACTGTAAAGACCATCAAGGCTAGGAAGAAACTGCACCAACTAATGAGCAAAATCACCAGCTAACATCATAATGACATGATCAAATTCACACATAACAATATTAACCTTGAATGTAAATGGGCTAAATGCTCCAATTAAAAGACACAGACTGGCAAATTGGATAAAGAGTCAAGACCCATCAGTGTGCTGTATTCAGGAAACCCATCTCACATGCAGAGACACACATAGGCTCAAAATAAAGGGATGGAGGAAGATCTACCAAGCAAATGGAAAACAAAAAAAGGCAGGGGTTGCAATCCTAGTCTCTGATAAAACAGACTTTAAACCAACAAAGATCAAAAGAGACAAAGAAGGCCATTACATAATGGTAAAGGGATGAATTCAACAAGAAGAACTAACTATCCTAAATATATATGCACCCAATACAGGAGCACCCAGATTCATAAAGCAAGTCCTGAGTGACCTACAAAGAGACTTAGACTCCCACACAATAATAGTGGGAGACTTTAACACCCCACTGTGAACATTAGACAGATCAATGAGACAGAAAGTTAACAAGGATATCCAAGAACTGAACTCAGCTCTGCACCAAGGGGACCTAATAGACATCTACAGAACTCTCCACCCCAAATCAACAGAATATACATTCTTTTCAGCACCACACCACACCTAGTCTCTCAGATCACAGTACAATCAAACTAGAACTCAGAATTAAGAAACTCACTCAAAACCGCTCAACTACATGGAAATTGAACAACCTGCTCCTGAATGACTACTGGGTACATAATGAAATGAAGGCAGAAATAAAGATGTTCTTTGAAACCAATCTGAGAATGAAGACACAACATATCAGAATCTCTAGGACACATTCAAACCAATATGTAGAGGGAAATTTATAGCACTAAATGCCCACAAAAGAAACCAGGAAAGATCCAAAATTGACACCCTAACATCACAAGTAAAAGAAATAGAGAACCAAGAGTATACACATTCAAAATCTAGCAAAAGGCAAGAAATAACTAAAATCAGAGCAGAACTGAAGGAAATAGAGACACAAAAAACCCTTCAAAAAATCAATGAATCCAGTAGCTAGTTTTTTGAAAAGATCAACAAAATTGACAGACCGCTAGCAAGACTAATAAAGAAGAAACTAGAGAAGAATCAAATAGACGCAATAAATAATGACAAAGGGGATATTACCACTGATCCCACAGAAATACAAACTACCATCAGAGAATATTATAAACACCTCTACACAAATAAACCAGAAAATCTAGAAGAAATGGATAAATTCCTCGACACATACACCCTCCCAAGACTAAACCAGGAAGAAGTTGAATCTCTGAATAGACCAATAAAAGGCTCTGAAATTGAGGCAATAATTAATAGCTTACTAACCAAAAAAAGTCCAGGGCCAGATGGATTCACAGCCAAATTCTACCAGAGGTACAAGGAGGAGCTGGTACCATTCCTTCTGAAACTATTCCAATCAATAGAAAAAGAGGGAATCCTCCCTAACTCATTTTATGAGGCCAGCATCATCCTGATACTAAAGGCTGGCAGAGACACAACCAAAAAAGAGAATTTTAGACCAATATCCTTGATGAACATTGATGCAAAAAGCCTCAATAAATACTGGCCAACCGAATCTAGCAACTCATCAAAAAGCTTATCCACATGATCAAGTGGGCTTCATCCCTGGGATGCAAGGTTGGTTCAACATATGAAAATCAATAAACGTAATCCAGCATATAAACAGAGCCAAAGACAAAAACCACATGATTATCTCAATAGATGCAGAAAAGGCCTTGGACAAAATTCAACAATCCTTCATGCTAAAATCTCTCAATAAATTAGGTATTGATGGGACATATCTCAAAATAGTAAGAGCTATCTATGACAAACCCACAGCCAATATCCTACTGAATGGGCAAAAACTGGAAGCATTCCCTTTGAAAACTGGCACAAGACAGGGATGCCCTCTCTCACCACTCCTATTCAACATAGTGTTGGAAGTTCTGGCCAGGGCAATCAGGCAGGAGAAGGAAATAAACGGTATTCAATTAGGAAAAGAGGAAGTCAAACTGTCCCTGTTTGCAGATGACATGATTGTATATCTAGAAAACCCCATCATCTCAGCCCAAAATCTCCTTAAGCTGATAAGCAACTTCAGCAAAGTCTTGGGATACAAAATTAATGTGCAAAAATCACAAGCATTCTTATACACCAATAACAGACAAACAGAGAGCCAAATCATGAGTGAACTCCCATTCACAATTGCTTCAAAGAGAATAAAATACCTAGGAATCCAACTTACAAAGCATGTAAAGGACCTCCTCAAGGAGAACTACAAACCACTGCTCAGTGAAATAAAAGAGGATACAAGCAAATGTAAGAACATTCCATGCTCATGGGTAGGAAGAATCAATATCATGAAAATGGCCATACTGCCCAAGGTAATTTACAGATTCAATGCCATCCCCATCAAGCTACCAATGACTTTCTTCACAGAATTGGAAAAAACTACTTTAAAGTTCATATGGAACCAAAAAAGAGCCTGTTTCACCAACTCAATACTAAGCCAGAAGAACAAAGCTGGAGGCATCATGGTGCCTGACTTCAAACTATACTACAAGGCTACAGTAACCAAAACAGCATGGTACTGGTACCAAAACAGAGATATAGACCAATGGAACAGAACAGAGGCCTCAGAAATAATGCCACATATCTACAACTATCTGATCTTTACAAACCTGAGAAAAACAAGCAATGGGGAAAGGATTCCCTATTTAATAAATGGTGCTGGGAAAACTGGCTAGCCATATGTAGAAAGCTGAAACTGGATCCCTTCCTTACACCTTATACAAAAATTAATACAAGATGGATTAAAGACTTACATGTTAGACCTAAAACCATAAAAACTTAGAAAAAAACCTAGGCAATACCATTCAGGACATAGGCATGGGCAAAGACTTCCTGTCTAAAACACCAAAAGCAATGGCAACAAAAGCCAAAATTGACAAATGGGATCTAATTAAACTAAAGAACTTCTGCACAGCAAAAGAAACCACCATCAGAGTGAAAAGACAACCTACAGAATGGGAGAAAATTTTCACAACCTACTCATCTGACAAAGGGCTAATATCCAGAATCTACAATGAACTCAAACAAATTTACAAGAAAAAAACAAACAACCCCATCAAAAAGTGGGTGAAGGACGTGAACAGACACTTCTCAAAAGAAGACATTTATGCAGCCAAAAATCACATGAAAAAATGCTCACCATCACTGGCCATCGGGGAAATGCAAATCAAAACCACAGTGAGATACCATCTCACACCAGTTAGAATGGCAATCATTAAAAAGTCAGGAAACAACAGGTGCTGGAGAGGATGTGGAGAAATAGGAACACTTTTGCACTGTTGGTGGGAAGGTAAACTAGTTCAACCATTGTGGAAGTCAGTGTAGTGATTCCTCAGGGATCTAGATCTAGAAATACCATTTGACCCAGCCATCCCATTACTGGGTATATACCCAAAAGATTATAAATCATGCTGCTACAAAGACACATGCACATGTATGTTTATTGCGGCAGTATTCACAATAGCAAAGACTTGGAACCAACCCAAATGTCCAACAATGATAGACTGGATTAAGAAAATGTGGCACATATACACCATGGAATACTATGCAACCATAAAAAATGATGAGTTCATGTCCTTTGTAGGGACATGGATGAAGCTGGAAACCATCATTCTCAGCAAACTATCACAAGGACAAAAAACCAGACACCACATATTCTCACTCATAGGTGGGAACTGAGCACTGAGAACACATGGACACAGGAAGGGGAACATCACACACCGGGGACTGTTGTGGGGTGGGGGGTGGGGGGAGGGTTAGCATTAGGTGATATACCTAATGCTAAGTGACAAGTCAATGGGTGCAGCACACCAACATGGCACATGTATACATATGTAACAAACCTGCACATTGTGCACATGTACCCTAAAACTTAGAGTATAATAATAATAAAATAAATAAATAAAAAAGATTGTCCAACAAGAAATAAGCCACCCCCTCGCCCATGTCTGCTATGTCAAGGTGATCACTTGAAGGAACACTGCCCCAGAGGGTGAAGGTTCTCTGGGCCAGAAGCTCATGACCAGATGATCCAGCAACAGGACTGAGGGTGCCTGGGGCAAGCGCCATCTGATGTCATCACCCTCACAGAGACCTGGGTAAGTCTGATCATTGAGGGCCAGGAAATTGACTTTCTCCTGGACACTGTCATGGCCTTCTCGGTTCTACTCTCCTGCCCTGGATGGTTGTTCTCAAGGTCTGTTACCATCCAAGGGATCCTGAGACAACCTGTAACCAGGTATTTCTCTCACCTCCCTTAGCTGTAACTTGGAAACCTTACTTTTCTTGCATGTCTTTCTCATCATGGCCGAGAATCCCACACCCTTACTGGGGAGGGACATATTAGTCAAAGCAGGAGCTATCATCTGTAGGAATACAGGGAACAAAACACCTATCTGTTGTCCCCTACTTGAGAAAGAAATCAACCCTGAGGTTTGGGCATTAGAAGGACAATTCAATGAGCAAAGAATGCCTGTCCAGTCCAAATCAAACTAAAAGACCTCATCTCTTTCCCTTACTGAAGACAATACCCCCTAAGACCCAAAGCTCAAAAGGGATTACAAGGTATTGTTAAACATTTAAAAGCACAAGGCCTAGTAAGGTGTTGTAACAGCCCCTGTAACATCTCAATTCTAGGGATACAAAAACCAAATGGTCAATGGAGATTAGTGCAGGACCTCAGGCTCATTAATGAGGCTGTAATTCCTTTATACCCAACTGTACCCAACACTTATACATTACTCTCTCAAATACCAGAAGAAGCAGAGTGGTTTACAGTCACGGATCTTAAAGATGCTTTTCTGTATCCCTCTACACCATGACTGTCAATTTCTATTTGCCTTTGAGGATCCCTGAGATCAAACATCTCAGCCTACCTGAACAGTCTTGCCCCATGGATTTAAGGATAGGCCTCACCTGTTTGGCCAAGCATTGGCCCAAGATTTAAGTCACTTCTTGCACCCAAGTACCCTAATTCTTCAATATGTGGATGACTTACTTCTAGCTACCTGTTCAGAGACCCTGTGCCATCAGGATACCCAAGACCTTTTAAACTTTCTAGCTGATCGAGGTTACAAAGTATCTAAATCAAAGGCTCAACTTTGTTTATAGCAGGTGAAATACCTGGGGCTGGTTTTGGCTAAAGGAACCAGGGCTCTCAGCAAAGAATTTATCCAGCTTATACTGGCTTATCCTTGCCCTAATACATTAAAACAGTTATGAGCATTTCTTGGAATAACCAGCTTTTGCCAACTATGGATCCCCAGATATGGTGAAATGGCCAGGCCACTTTACACTCTAATTAAGGAAACCCAAAAAGCTAACACCCATTTGATAGAATGGGGACTAGAGGCAGAGGCAGCCTTCAGAACCCTGGAACAGGCCCTAACACAAGTCCCAGTTTTGAGTCTACCTACGGGACAAAATTTCTGTTTATATGTCACAGAAAGGATGGGACTAGCCATTGGAGTCCTTACCCAGACTCGAGGGACTACCATACAGCCAGTAGCATATTTGAGTAAAGAAATTGATGTGGTCACAAAGGGTTGGCCTCATTGTCTCTGGGTGGTAGCTGTGGTGGCCATTTTAGTATCAGAGGTCATCAAAATAATACAAGGGAGAGACCTCACTGTATGGACTACTCACGATGTAAACAGCATACTAACTGCTAAAGGAGGTTTGCGGCTGTCAGACAATCGCCTACTTAGGTACCAGGCCTTATTACTTGAGGGACCAGTGCTTCAGATGCACACTTGTGCAGCTCTTAACCCAGCTACTTTTCTCCCAGAAAACGAAGGGCCAATAGAACATGATGGTCAACAGGTCATAGCCCAAACTTATGCTGCCCAGGAGGATCTTCTAGAGGTCCCCTTAACGAACCCTGACCTCAACCTACATACTGAAGGAAGTTCATTTGTAGAAAAGGGATTATGAAGGGCAGGATATGCCATAGTTAGTGATAAAGCAGTACTTGAAAGTGAGCCCCTTCCCCCAGGGACCAGCACCCAGTTAGCAGAACTAGTGGAACTTACCTGAGATTTAGAGCTAGGAAAGGGAAAAAGAATAAATGTGTAGATGGACAGCAAATATGCTTATCTAGTTCTACATGCCCATGCTGCCATATGAAAAGAAAGGGAGTTCCTAACCTCTGGAGTAACACCCATTAAATACCATAAAGAAAGTATGAAATTATTACAGGCAGTGCAAAAACCCATCAAAAAGGCCATCAAAAGGAAGCAGAAGGAAATTGCCAGGCAGAAGCTGAGACCAAAGTCACCACAAGACGGGACCTCCCATTAGAAACACCTATGGAGGGACCCTTGGTACGGGATAATCTCCTTCAGGAGGCCAGGCCCCAGTATCCCCTGCAGAAACAGAATGGGGACTTTCATGTGGACATAATTTTCTCCCCTTGGGATGGCTAGCTACTGAGAAGGGAAAGGTGCTCATACCCACAGCTAATCAATGGAAAATACTAAAAACCCTTCATCAAACATTCCATATGGGTATTGAGAATACCCGTCAAAAGGCCAAATCTCTGTTCACTGGATGAGATCTCCTTAAAACTGTCTGGCAGATAGTCAAGGCCTGCAAAGTGTGCCAAAGGAATAACTTCTTGGTTCATCATGAAGCCCCTCAGGGAGAACAAAGGACAGGGCACTACCCTGGAGAGGACTGGCTGTTAGATTTCACTCGTATGCCTAAGTCACGGGGACTTCAATACTTATTAGTCTGTGTTGATACCTTCACAAATTGGGTTGAAGCCTTACCCTTTAAATAGAAAAGGCCCAGGAGGTAATCAAAGCCCTGGTTCATGAAATAATTCCTAGGTTTGGACTTCCCTTTAGTTTACAAAGTGATAATGGCCCGGCTTTCAGAGCCACAGTGACTTGGGGAATTTCCAAGGTACTAGGGTTACAATATCACCTTCATTGCACCTGGAGACCACAATCCTCAAGGAAAGTCGAGAAGATGAATGAAACACTCAAAAGGCACTTAAGGAAATTAACACAAGAAATTCACCTCCCATGGCCTACCATCTTATCCATAGCATTATTAAGTGTCCAAAATTCTCCCCACAAGATAGACTCAGTCCTCATGAAATGCTATATGGACAGCCTTTTCTCAAAAACAACCTCTTTCTTGATCAAGAAACTACCAACTTAGTCAAGGACATAACTTCTTTGGCTAGGTACCAACAAATCCTTAATACATTACCTGAGGGATGCCACTGAGAAAGGGAAAAGGATTGTTCCATCCTGGGGATCTAGTATTAGCCAAGTCCCTCACCTCTACCTCCCCATCCCTGGATCCATCGTGGGAAGGACTGTATTCAGTTATCTTCTCCACTCCAACTGCAGTCAAGGTGGTTGGAGTAGAGTCTTGGTTCCATCACACCCAAATCAAACCTTGGATGGCAACCTGAAAAACCTGTGGAATCATCAGCCCGGGAATCTAAGAGTCAGTCAGACAAACCTTCTTAAACCTGCAAGCCATTGGAAGACCTATCTTCTTTCAGAAGGAAAAACCACAGGAAAGTAATTAGTGCTCATAAGTTCTACCTCAGTTCTTGTTTTAAAAACAAAATGTACTCTAACATCCTAACTTTCCTTACCTTTGCCTAAGTCTTAACCTTTTCCCACTCTACCTTTTCCCCTAAACTTGAGGGAATTATAAACATGTCCTCCCAGTTTTTATTTGAAGCACATCCCAGCCAGAGTAAGTCTTCCTGATGGGTTTGCATGAACCTTAATTCCCCCTTATGTACAGCAGTTCCAGCCACCCCTTAACATATGGGTGGAAACCTCTTTGGCCTTATTCATAGCTAACACTTCTAAGGGCCCAGGATTTTTTCATCCTAGTGATAGGTCCAATTTCCCCAACAGGGCTCAAGCAGTCTTAAAAGCAGCCGCTGCCATTCTCTGACAATTCACTATATCAACCAACACAATCATAGGTTCTGTGGGCACAGTAACCTCCTTCTTTTGACCTCCACTCCTTTGTATCTTCTGTCAAGTGTTTCCAGGATCACAGGATGTGGGACACGTGGCTAGCTGCAACTATATGCTTGCCTTGGATATAGAGTCCAAATATTCTAATTCCTACAGTACCATTAATGGCACCCCCACGTTTGGTGGAAATAAACAAGATCTCCTTGGAGATCCCATTTCAGTCACCTATCCATTAAGATTTAACAACCCAAGCCAGATAATTCCCCCAGCAGAGGCCAAAACAACAAGCAATTACTGCTGGGGCAGACTTCCCTTTGCCCAGGTTATTCCCCTCTGGGGACTTTTTCCCTCTCTCACAGGTGAAGGGTTAAAACCCCATTGCTCTCTCTTCCTGTCCCCGGAACAGAAGTTTTTCTTAACGCAGCTAGCCCTTGGTTTGCCTTAGAGGAACCCCATAATATGTCCTTGTCAAATTCTATTCAGCTCCAACCTCTAGGAGTGGCCATTTGTCCCAAACCCTCAAATCATGAGAATGAGAAACTAATGCAGACTGACCTCAGCCCTTATTAGATTTTCAGCTACGGGGTGTGTAGAATCCTGGCAAGGAGTTTTCTTTGTGTGTGGAAATCCTTCTATGTTTGCTTCCCCACCAACTGGATGGGAACTTGTACTTTAGCCTACATTGTAACTCCTCGACTTACTCCTTTTCAGAAGAGGCAGTAGCCATGCCCATTCATGCTAAGCTTCAGCCAAGAGCAATCTCACTACTTCCTCTATTGGCTGGTTTAGGTTTTACTACCACCCTACGAACTGGAACCGCTGGACTCACAGTGTCCTTGACACTCTCTAAATAAGTAAGAGAAAGCCTAGATGAAATCTCTGTCCAACTTACTCAAATCCGGGACCGAATAGACTATTAGCAGCTGTGGTTCTCCAGAACCAGTGAGCACTAGATCTCCTCTCTGCTGAAAGGGTAGGAACATGCCTTTTTCTGAATGAGGAGTGTTGTTTTTATGTCAATAAATCATGCATAGTCAGAGATGGAATTAAACGACTTCAGGATAGAGGCAGCAGACTACACGGTGGGACAACTGAAGCTACCTCATGGTTCTCACAATGTGTTCTCCCCTGGCTTCTTCCATTTCTAGGTCCCCTCCTTATGATTATTCTACGAGTAACCTTTGGCCCATGTCTTTTCAATTCCCTAATCTGTTTCATTTCTTCATGAATAGAATCAGTGAAACTACAAATGGTACTGCAGATGGAACCTCGGATGACTTCAACCAGCACCTATTATCAAGGACCCCTAGACTAGCCTGCCAGCCCATACCCAGATATTGACACCCAAACCACCTCTCATGAGGAAACCTCAGCTGCAGGGACCCTTCTATGCCCCTACTCAGCAGGAAGCAGTTTCAGCGGTCATCGTCCCACACCCAACAGCAGTTGGGCTCTCCTGTTGAGAGGGGAGACTGAGGGGTAGAGTTGGTGGGACTTCCTGGGCCGATTGAAGGACTTTTGCAAAAGACCCCTGTGACTCAGGGTTTTGAGTTCTTAACCATTCGAGTGAAGGATTCAAAATTAACCACTCTGAGGGAAGATTGAAAAAAGAACCACTCTCAATGGGCAAAAAGAAAGAAAGGGGAGGGGGTAACATAGGGATATAAGCCCTAGCCATCCGAGCCAGCAACAGCAACCCTTCTGGGTCCCCATCCACCACGTGGAAGCTTTCCCTTCACTTTGTTCAATAAACTGCACTGTTCCTCACTCTCCTGGTCCATGGACTCTTTTTGGACTGTTAACACTCACCACGAAAGTCTGCAGCTTCATTCTTCAAAGTTAGCAAGACCACTAATGCATCAGCAGGAAAAACTCCTGACTGAATATGACCCAACAATTCCATACCTAAGTATATAGCCAAGGGAAATGAATTCATATATCTTCATGAAAACATGTACACAAATGTTCTTAGGTTATTCATAATAGCCACAAAGCAGAAACAAGTGGATAAATAAAATGTGGTATGTCCATACAACAGAATATTATTCAGCCATAAAAAAGAATGAAATACACTTTGTCCTCAAACAACACATGTTTGAACTGTGAAGGTCCACCTGTACACAAATTTTCTTCCACCTCTGCCACTCCTGAGATAATGAGACCAATCCCTCCTCTTCCCCCTTCTCCTCAGACAATGTGAAGACAGTAAGGATGAAGAACTTATATGATGACCCATTTCCACTTAATGAATAGTAAATACATTTTCTCTTCCTTGTGATTTTTCTTAATAATATTTTCTTCCAGCTTATTTTATTGTAAGATAAATATATTTTACCGATTGTATTGTGTAATACATTTAACATGCAATATAGGTATTTCTATTGTGTATGTTATCAGAAAGGCAATTGGTCAACAGAAAGCTATCAGTAGTTAAGTTTGGGGGAGACAAAAGTTACACTGGAATTTTTGACAGTGCCAAAGGTCAGGGCCCCTAACTCCTATATTGTTCAAGGGTCAACTACACTGATTAATGCCACAATCAGACAAGCCTTGAAAACATTTTGCTAAGTGAAAGAAGACAGACACAAAATGACAAATATATAATTCCATTTATATGACATGTTCAGAATACACAAATCTGTAGAGACAGAAAGTAGATTAGATGTTTCCAGGGGCTGGGAGCAAAGGAAAAGGGGAGTGACTGCTAATAATCATAATTTTTTTTTTTTCAGGGTAGTGGGGGCAAGTCATGAAAATGTTCTGAAATTAGTTAATGGTGATGGCTATGCAGCTTTGCAAATATACTAAAAACCACTGAATTGTTAACAGGATCACTGTAACAGGATGAATCTTATGGTTACATGAATAATATCTCAATTTAAAAATAGATTATGCTGTTTCAAGACATTGAATAGTTTGGTTTTAGCTCAACTAATGAGTTATTGTTAATGATGTTTTAGAAGTGATGTTACATCTAGAAATAGAAAATGAGAGAGATATTCTGCATAAGGTAAACTCTGGTTTACTGAATGCCCCTTCAATCTGCCCTCTCCACACCATATGGATTTTGCATTATATGTCATTACGTTAGAAATGTAACTACTTCCTTTCCAATTGGTCTATCCAAGGGATCCACAAGTAATCCCACTACAACAGGAAGACATTTTACTTTAAAAAAAAAAAAAGCTTACCAAACAGGTAAATCTTTAGGGAGTTTACACTAAATAGTGAAATTTTGTGATTTAAAATATGGTAACATTCACAAAGATTGATTTGCATATACCTTAAGAAACATGTGACCAAAAAGTCACCAGTATATTATAATCAGTATTCTGAAAGGATTTGTGAACTACAGCTCCAGGGCAACATCTGGCCTGCAAAGGCACTTGGTGTGGATTTCAGGATATTTTGTAAGCCAAAAAACTTTATAAAAATTCTGAGTTGATGTCTTCTTTAACAAAATTGAAAGACCTGGCAATACTACCTCTATTTTATTCCAAGAAAAGAGTGGGCTGGAGGTAAAAAGTGGCTGCTGCTTTTGGATGGGGCAGTCAATTTCTACTTTGCCACAGTCCCTGACATTCCCTGTTGATCACACACTTAGCCCATGTCATACATTTACACCAACTCCCTGATTGTTTAGGCATTTGGGGTTATGACTTCTTCTGAAATTTTGAGGGCATCAGAACTTTTGGTGTCTTTTTTTATTCCACCTACCCATTTTTCTTTTCTTTTTTCCCTCCCTTCCTTCTTTCCTCTGTCCTTTTTTTTCTTTCCTTCCTTCTTTCCTGTCTTTCTTCTTCTTCTCTCTGTTTCTCTCTCTTTCTCTTGGTGCATACAAATTTGTGTTTGTCACCTAATTAGCTCAGATTCACAGAACAGTTGGATTTAGGCTCATTAACACCTTTATTCTTTTTTTTTTTTTTTATCAGTATAGCCTGACTTAGAGAATGTGGCCGTATAAAAACTCTCCAGCACAGCTTTTCATGCAGATCACAGAGATTACTTTCTTTCTCTATTATGTTAAAATACTTAAAAGACTTTTATTATACTGGTAGTTATAAAGGCATCTCCATTTCCTGTACCACTTTAACTAAATTAATCACAGTAATGAACTTCCCTGTCACATTATTCAAGCAGAAGCACAAAGTAGAGACACTGAGAGCTTGGGTGGCCAACAAGTTTGGGAATGTTGGATAATTTTCATAGGGAAGGATGAGCTGCCCCTTACTAAAACATACATTTTTTCATGTTGCCTGCTTCAGTGAGACAAAGGAAAACACACATAAATGTGAATCTAATATGAGTACATGTTCAGTTCTCCTGGAAGGAGACTCTGGGACTGAGTTTAGTGTGTAGGATATTTACCTAGGACTATGCTGGAATCAACACTTATCCAAGGGACACATCAAGCTGTGATGCAGGCCTGAGGAACTTTAAGCCAGAAAGATCCTTGAGAGATGTTCCTCATCAGGCCAAGATAGCCAAGACTTTATGCTCCTGTATCAAGAAGTTATTAGCTGTCAGCTGCTCCAGGAATGACATGACCTTGGTTGAGGAGACTTTTTTCAAATGAGACAGTCCCTGAAGGGAATGATAGCCCTAGTTGTCTTCTGGCAAACCCCTGTAGCTGAGGCAATGGTTCCTTCACTGAAGAGGCATCCAGGTGGTACATTTTAATCACCACCACGGATGATATAGAACATAGATGTCAGTTTCAAGCAATCATTTGATGAATCCATTTGTAGGTGGTTTATAACTGTATTAGTTCATTCTCATGCTGCTATAAAGAACTGCCCAAGTCTGGGTAGTTTATAAAGGAAAGAGGTTTAATTGACTTATAGTTCCACATTGCTGTGGAGGCCTCATAAAACTTACAGTAATGAAGGCACGTCTTCACAGGGCAGCAGGAGAGAGAATGAGTGCAAGCAGGGGAAATGCTGGATGCTTATAAAATCACCAGATCTCATGAGACTCACTCATTATCACAAAAACAGCATGGGGAAACTGCCCCTATGATCCATTTACCTCCACCTGGTCCTGCCCTTGACATGCGGAGATTATCACAGTGACATTTGGGTGTGAACACAGAGCCAAACCATATCAGTGAATATAGTAGGTATTTAGGTGGAATGGACTTTATTTTATTTTCAATCACTTGATGACTGAATTTTAAGTCTCTCTCTTTCTTTCTCTCTTGCTTTTAAGCTGGGAGTAAAACGTGCAAACCAGTACAAACTGGGATGCCAACAACATACATGTCAACTCTTTTGTAAAATCATAATTAGCCAGTCTAGGAATCCTATCACCTAAATACCAATACTCATGTTAAAGCTGGTGAGAAAAGCAAAATAAAGCCAATAAAAGCTACTCTGGAGGCTGGGTGCAATGGCACATGCCTGTAATCCCAGCACTTTGGGAGGCTGAGGTAGGCAGGCTTGAGGTCAATATTTTGAAACTAGTCTGGCCAACGTGGTAGAACCCCATCTCTACTAAAAATAGAAGAATTAGTTGGACCGGGCACAGTGGCTCATGCTTGTAATCCCAACACTTTGGGAGGCTGAGGCGGGTGGATCACTTGAGCCCAGGAGTTCGACACCAGCTGAGCAACACGGCAAAATCCTGTCTCTACCAAAAATACAAAAATTAGCCTGGCGTGGTGGCCTGTGCCTGTAATCCTAGCTACTCAGGAGGCTGAGGCAGGAGGATCGCTTGAACTTGGAAGACAGAGGTTGCAGTAAGCTGAGATCGCGCCACTGCACTCCAGCCTGGATGACAGAGAGAGACCTGTCTCAAAAAAAAAAAAAAATTAGTTGGGCGCGACAGCAGGTGCCTATAATCCCAGCTACTTGTGAGGCTGAGGCAGGAGAATTGCTTAAACCTGGGAGGCAGAGGTTGTAGTGAGCCAAGATCGCACCACTGCACTCCAGCCAGGGTGACAGAGCCAGACTCCGTCTCAACAAACAAACAAACAAACAAACAAACAAACAAAAAGCTACTCTGGAAACATTCCTGATCCCCCTCTCAGGAAGCACAAGCTATTCAGGATCTGTCACAAGGGTGCTTTAGGTCTTCAGGAACTGAGCTTTTGTGAGTTTGAGTGATAGGACAGGCAACGGCTCTCTTGGATCTGTACTCACTGAAGCACAAAGACTCCATGAGCTGGCTGGGTGATGACTACTTATTTCTTTGATCTCTTTTATCTCTTTCTCCCTCTTCTCATTCTCTGAGATCCTCCCAAGAACATGTCCCAGTATTGCTGTTGCATTTTGGATAACTCAAACAATAATTCATAAATTCTGATTTATATGATCTCCAGTATATATTTTTTAATTTCCTTAGGGAATCCCAAACAAAATAATGTTTTTCCTTTCTGTGCTTCATTTGAAATGATCTACATAGAAAAGTCTTCAATAGTAATCCTTATGTTTTGAAAACTAAGACATTGTTTTGACTTCAAAATAATCTAAATCTTTGCTTCATAATTACACTAGTATCTTTGCAAATGTAGAATCTTTTATTAAGGCTTTTCCTTATTTTATTAACCCTAAATATGTATTCATGAATAAAAATTATGTTACACTTTGAAGTACTATTAAGCTTTCTAAAATTTTATTTCAAGCATATTTTGAACATTAGTATGCTCAAAATATACGTAGTCACTTAAAATAGCTCCCAACACAGATTTATAATCAAATTCAAGACTAACCGAAGCAAAATAAGAACTTGGAATACAAACTTAAGTCAGATTATCTTTCTGCAGCAAGTTTGCTCGGAATTATTTTCTTCACTTTACTTTGAGGATGAAGCTCTGATTTTTCTTTGTTTTTTTGTCTTGCCCAAATTCTTATCTAAGGGGTCTGGGGAGTCATGCCCTACAAACCATAAATTCTCATCAGATGGGCTTTATTTGACCCTGTTTATCATGATTTACCTTCCAACCTATCTCTGGCATAACAAGAAAGAAATCAAAATGTTTTACCCCATAATATATTTCCTTACCATACCTTGAATTTGCCCTGCAAACCCTTTTGTGGGAAAAATCCACATTCTCTAGAGAATCCCATTTCCTCTTTGTTTTCCTTCCTTCCTTTCCATATCCAGGGGATAATCAACTTAGAGTCAGGTACCCTTTTAAGTCAGATAAATATTTTACAACCTTCTGTCGCGAAGTCTGCTGTCTGAGAGCTTCCTCGGCACAATAAAACTTATTCCCCACAATCCTTGATCTTAACCTGAATGCTTCCTTTCTATTGATTTCAGATCTTCAGATAAACTCAACCAATTGTCAACCAGAACATGTTTAAATTTACCTATAGCCTGGAAGCCCCTGCTTTGAGTTGTCCCACCTTTCTGAACCAAACCAATGTATTTCTTAATTGTATTTGATTGATGTCTCATGCCTCCCTAAAATATAGAAAACCAAGTTCTACCCCAATCACCTTGGGCACATGTTCTCAGGACCTCCTGAGAGCTGTGTCATGGGCCATGGTCACTGATATTTGGTTCAGAATAAATCTCTTAAAATATCTTACAGAGTTCGACTCTTTACATCAACAATAACTTGGCGCCCAAACACATGGGACCTCAGAGAAGATGCAGGACTCCGAAGGAGTTGCCCAAACTTGGAGCTAAGGTACCAGCGGGGCCCATTAAAGCCTGTCCAACTTAGAGCTTCTCCTCTGGTGGAACTGGTAAGTCCTGAGCCCTGGACCCCCCTGGTTGATAGTCAGTCTTTGATTTATTCTGAGCTGGTTTTCTCCTAGGAAATTGTTTAAGGATCATAGTTGAGTTTGGAGATGCATTCTAAAGGGAATTCTATATTGCTTTTTATCCTAAAATTTATCTTGATTTGGTTTTTCTGTGTGCATTTTCATGAGGAATGGAACTGTTGTTTTCACAGATAAATGAGAGACTAAGTTTTTCAGCTCCAAAGAGAAAGGGCATTTGTTCCTCCCGGCCGAAAGGTGCCCCTGAGTGACCAGGGGCCTCCTGGGAGGGTCTGGGGGGTTGACCTCCCATGATGTGCAGCAGCCCTGCAGGGAAATCCCCAACAAGACTTAATTTTAAAATGGCTCATCCAGGAAATGCATATAAGGGCTGATCACCCAGAGTTTTGAGCCCTCTCATAGGTCATAGACCTCTGGAGAGACAAACTGAGACATGTAAGAGGGTGGAAATGACTCAGTGGTGACACACTGTGGAGTGCTGTCCACAAGGAGCATGCATCCATCCACCACACAATAACCCTAGGCTACAGCTCAGTTCCTCCTTTTAAGAAAAAAAAAAAAAGCGGGAAAAGATTTAATAAGTAGAAAACAAGGAGAATAACCCACTTTTGGGCACTTCATAGGTTTTATGGCACCTCTACTTGACAAAGTTTATGTAAAATGGAACTAATACAGTCTTTGTGCACATTTACATTAGGGAGAAAAGAATCCTAGGGTAGACCTACAAACTATAGAGTACCTAGGTTCTGTTTTCTCTTCTGCCTGCTGTAAGTCTGCTGTAACTTTTCTACTGAGATAAAAACCACTGTTCAGATCTAACAATGTTTTTGCAAGTTGGCAAAGTTGTATTTATCTCATGGCTAAAGTACTGAAGTAATAGCTATGGGAGCTTTGTATTTGTGCGTGTATATATTTAAAGGCCTTTATAATAGACTTCTGTAATTTTATGTTCAATTGGCAACTGAATCCGTTTTAATTTCCCTCTAGCACACCAGACTAATTTTGCTATCTCTTGTTCACCTGAGTTGCCTTTAATATGCAAATTTAAGGCCATTTAGCTGACAACTGCTTAGGGTTAGATTTTTAAAAATAGGAAAAAAAGGTCTTTATGAACCTATAGGATATGCTTCTATCAGTATGCCTAATACATCAACATATTTATGTGTGTGTACACAATATTTTCACTAGTAAAAATATATGAAGAGCTCTAATTAACTGGCTATAAAAAATGCTTAAATCAGATGCTAAAAAAAAGAGACTAGTCAAATGCTTTTCCAAGTTCACATGACTTAAGTAAAATCTTTACTAAATAAGTCAGCTTTGAAATTATTGGTAAAATAATATCAGCAATATCTTTAGAATTGTAAACATTTTGTTTACATATATTAAGCAAGTAGTTTCATGTTTATTCCTGCAGAATACTGTATGATTTGCCATAAGGGTTATAAACTATGAAACCCAGCCCAAGACAGAATGATCTTTGCTTGTACATGCTTATGAAATATTGTTGGCTTAAATGAAAATAGCTAAATATTGAGTTGTTGGTATAAATACCCTTAAAAGTAACCATAAGTTTTATTACTTAAGTAAATACATAAAATTCACAGCTATAAAAATGGTTAATAGAAAAATAACTTTGAATATTGGCTATTATAGTTTTTTTTGTAAATAATCTAGGTAAACTATTAAATTAATCAGGTAAATGTAATGGAATAAATGCTTGTAAACAAACTTGTCATAATTTAGGATCTAAGGTTATTAATTGATATTAAGTATCTGGGCAATTTCCAATTTAAGAATTACAGGAAAACTTTTTTTTAAATGTTCTTATTAAAGGTAAAATATCTTTGTCTAATTCAAAGCTTATTTAAGGGTTATGTATGAAGTAAGGTAAAGGAATCAGGAAATAAGAGCTGTCAAGAAAGATATAAAGAGGCATGTTTAGTTAAAAAAAGAGGTGAAAAAGGAAAGTAATTTTATATAAGAAAGAACCTTGTGTGGTGAATTTTTGCCCTAAAATAAAATAACTGGATTGTTCAAGAAAGAGAGATATTTAGGGTAAAACAAAAAGTCTAACTTCTGTGAATGGTCTGTGTAAGTCATAATAAGGTTAGTAAAATGAATTTTTAAGGGGTTGTATATTTCAGTTGGCTATAATTAAAAGGAAATCATAATAATCTTTATAGAGATGGGTCTTTAATATTTAAAAAATGCACAAATACAAAACTAAATAATTGATAAAAACAAGATTTTATTACAAATATTGACTTATTTGTAATGCAAGATATTTTTAAATTTTTAAATTCTATAATCTGTTTTTTAACATTCTTCAGATTGATATCTTAAAAGTGCCAAGCTTTCTCTTTTGAAAAGGCCTTGAATGATGGCTCTCTCCTTCACCTTTTGTTGGCTCCTGTAACTTTTACTAATTATCTGCAGTAAGGGAGAAAAATTGTTTCTTAAAACAGGCAAATAATGTATCTTTTGAACATGCCTTTTATTCTGCATGCCTGTTATATCTCTATCTTTATATGTGTCATGTAGAGGTGATATTTCACTACCAAACTGCATGAAAAAGTTCTAATCACTTAACTTACAAAAATGTAAATGCTTACCAGATTAGTAAAAGCTAGCTCAGATCTCTTTTTATTTACATAACTTTGGTAATATTTGGTAAAAATTAATTTGGTAAATTTAATCTCCAAATTGTCCAGTAGTTTAAAAACCTTAAAGTCATGTTTAAATGCTTGGGTTTTTTTCCACAGAAATTTGGGTTACTAAAAAGTTAAAATAGTAAAAGCATGAAATGTGCCTTTGTTAGAATTTTATAAACACAAGGATGTCAATTCTCAAAAAATATGTTACTTTTTGGTTAAGAAACTATTTAAGAGTTGCTTTATAAATGAAGCAAAATTATACAGCTAAAATGAAGAAAGTTATACAGATAAAATGAAATAAATTTAAAAAAACAAAAGCCAGGGCATCAACAGTTAACTCTGAGCCCTGTGGTTACCAAGAAAATAGTTGATATGGGAGAACAGTAAAACCAAGTAACCATTAAAAACCAGAGGGTGTAATGCAAAGGAATTTTTCCAGTTTGTAGATTGGTATCATTCAGTTTCTTTAAAAATGGTGGATTATAAAAATAACCACTTTAAGGACCAAATTTTTAATTTTAAATGCTAGAGAATTTAGGAGCTTGCTTGGATTAATGCAGGACCCACAGCTCATTACTGAACGAATACTGAGTATATGTGACCCAAATGCACAGGGTGTTATTCCTGAGAAAGTAATCAGCCTAGTGGACCAGATAATGCCATTATAAGGTCTGTTGGCCTTGAGAAGGGGACTGCCCAACTTTCCCTATAAAATACCAAGTGAAATACCCCAGATGAAGCAGTTAATATGTTTCATATGCAAGCCATGTGGGACTAGATTTATGATAACTGGGATATCCTCCCACCAAATATGTTCATTACCTGGGTCATGGTAAATTTGGGGGTTAAGAGGGCTCCTTTTACATGGGTGCCCCTCCCACAGAATCATAGGTCTGTTTAAGAAGCCTTATCAAGTCTGCTGTCCCTCATAAGTCTTACAGATGCAACTCCCTGACGGGAACCCAAACCCTTTTCACCAGACAAGGTAAAATAGTTTAGGGCAAAAAAAGGCTTCCTGGGACCAGAACAGAAAAACATAAAGGTTAATAGAATTATAAAATGTAATGTTTAAACACGCTTTATGTAAGGTAGTTGTAACCCCGTTTACCTAAATGTCTTATGAAAATGGGTACTATATCTAACTGGGGGATGTTTTCCCCTTTCTAGTACTACAAAACTGAAGACATGTCAACCTGCTCATGTAAATCCTCCACTGCATAGCCTTTTGTGTAATGCATTTATCAGGGCTGATGGCAAAAACTATGAGTACTTTTCAATAACACCGACTGAGCTAGAGAAGTTCTACTTGATGAGGCATTTACTGCCTTGCTGTGAAATATTAACTGAAGCTACCCCTATACTAATGGAAAAAATGTTTCCCAAAGAGTTTCATGATAAAATAAAAAATGGTTTACATACATCTTGCTACCTAATAAGCAGAGAGCCTTTTTCCTAGGACTAATTGTGAGAAGCTGCTAAACTCTATTTGTCTATCTGTTTGGTTTGTAAATAACATTTCCAAGGTAAACAAACATCTTGTCTTAAAAGCTGCTGCCCTGGTTAAAGGAGGATCAGGAAAATCTTTTTCTTTTAAGTTGTTTGGGTAAAGTATGTTTTTGTAAGCAAATTTACCTTTCTGAGTTCTCCAAAATATAGATTGTAATTTTATAACAGTATAGTTGTCTGCATGAGTTCAATAATAGTTAAAAAATAATTGTTTTAAGGGAAGAACATGACACTTAATACTAGATTTCAGCCCTAACATTTTAAGTGCAGATTAAATAATTATTTCTTGGCTACAATAATCCTCTAGAAGGTACCAGATTATAATTTTTCTTTATATTTTTAGTTGGTGCTCTAATGGAATAGGTTTCTTTTTCTATTCTAACATATGAATTACTCTTATAACTGTCAAACTATAAATGTTATTTATCTCTCCTTGTTTTACTTCCAAGGAAACCAAAATCATGGTATTCTGAAGATCAGAGATATGAATCTCCCTCATTTGGCATCCCCTGGCCCTGGATCTGTTTCACTGCTAATATCCTGCAGCCAAAACTATACAAGCTGCCTCACTCTAGGCCCAGGTACTATCGTGGAAGAGGTGGGTGCATAAAATTGTAAGAGCCATTTTGAAGGATAAAATTAGGTCAAGATCAAACCCTCCAAATCCAAAAGATGGTAAAAAATGCCTAAACAGCTGGTAAAACAAGTTTAGTTGCCTTCTAAATTATTATGTGTCACTTTTGCATCCACCCCAACCATAAACATTTTCTGCTTACTATAAAATTAAAGGAAAATATTTCCTAACAGGATAAAATACCTTGTAACAAAGCCTCCTGGGTATAATACTCCCAATTATGAGTTGTGGAGATAAATCTATCTATCTATATTTTTATTTTTCAGAACAATGTTTATGTTTTGTATAGTTAATTGCTATAAGTCTGTAACAGAAATGAAGCTTACAGTAGCTCAACACATAAAAGTTAAAAATAAGTCAGTCTTGCAACTTTGCCTTTTGGTTTTATCGTTGGCTTTATTTATTGAGTTATTTATTTTTTGAGGGATAAACAGTCTTTATTGGGCTCAGAGCAGGAGTATGTGGGTCTTGAGTACCTCTGTGTATTTGTCAATTTTCTTCTCCACTTTCTTTTCAGCCTGTTTCCATAGCCTCATGAGCTGTTTCTTTCTCCGGTAGTGGATCTTGGCCTTCTCCTTACTCTTCTCTTCCAGGGTGGCTGTAACTGTCTGGCACTTCCAGCCAACCTCATGAGCCAGGTGCCCCAGGTAGACAAACTTTCTTGTAAGCTTCAGACGCATGACCTTGAGGGCAGCAGGAATCATCATCTGCTTTTTCTTGTCATAGGGCGGTGGGGTGCCGTCAAACACCTTGAGGCAGTCCAGGGAGGCCTGGCCTCCTTGGTCTTGTGAGGCAGCATGCCTCGCAATCCGCTGGAAGATGCAGCTGGGGGCCAGGAAGTGGTGGGGGCCAGGAAGTGGTAAGTGCTTCGGGAAGGGTTGCTGTTCATCCCTTTGAGGAGGAAGGCCAGGTACTTCAACTTGTTTCTATAGACATTGCCAGAAATGTTAATGCCCCTGCAGCGTATGACCCCCACCTTCTAGCCTGCTTAGCCACCATGGCAGTCAGGAAGCCCGGGAGATGGCTTCGACCATCAAGCTCCAGGACCTGCCCCTCCACCATCTTCAGCAGCCACCTGGGAAAGGAGTTCCCTGTTTTTAGATGAAACAGGGAAGGGTATGGGGCCCCCTCACCCCTGAGGTACATCTGCCAGATTTCCCTGGAACCCTGTTTGAAAACCACAGATCAAGTTCAATCCTCATTGTCCATATGAGGAAATGGAAGCCAAAAGAATAGAAAGGACCAAGACAACCTTGTGCAGAGGGAGCAGCAGGATTAGGACTTCACCCGCCTAATTCTTGGGGTTCTGCTCTTTCCTGCTCCCTACTCTGCTATGAAGAACAGAGCCAGGGTGTGAAGTTACAGGGGCTGTGCAGGGTCTGGCCCAGGGCTGTAGGGGACCATTTGCCACAAGAAGCCAGTAGCCAGGTGTGGTGGCTCACACCTTTAATCCCAGCACTTTGGGAGGCCAAAGAAGGTGGAAGGCTTGAGCCCAGGAGTTCCAGACCTGCCTGAACAACGTGGCAAAACCCTGTCCCTACAAAAAACACAAAAACAATTAGCCAAGTATGGTGGCACATGCCTGCAGTCCCAGCCACTTGGGAGGCTGAGGTAGGCTGTAATGGGCCATGATTGCACCACTGCAATCGGGCAGCATAGGAATGAAGTATACTTGCCAATCTTGCCCGGGTACCTGGCCCCAGGCTTGGTGGGTAGGAAAAGGCAGTGGCTGGAGGGAGCCCTTGGGTGACACTCAGTTGGCAGATAGAGCAGGACTGGGTAATTTCTCGAACATGGCTGGAAAGGTGAGGACAAGTGAGAAAAGGGTGAAGTTGCAAGAGAGGTTTGTAGCCAACATGGAAAGAGTTGTGGAGGCTTTGGAGGTGAGGAAGACTTTGAGAGTGAGGAAGAACGAAGTGCCTTCCTTGACACCATGGTCCTTGCTTTTGAAGGTTTTGGGCTCAGAAGTCCTGCTTTTCTTCTGAGGAATAGAGAGGAAAGAACAAGGACAGGGACAGAAACTGGCCTTGCATGGGTTGTAGGGCTACTTGTTTGGCTACCTGATCTGCTAGCGCATTTCCAGCCGATATAGGATTGTCTGGGGTTTGGTGGCCCCTGCAATGAATGATGGCAACTTTCTGTGGGTGCCTGGCAGCTTGAAGGAGTTTATGACAGGAGTGTTTTTTGCAGTTAGAAAACCCCGTTCTTCCCAGATGGACAAGTGTGAGTGTACTATGTGGAACACATAATGAGAATTTCAATATATGCTGATCTGTTGTCTGGCTGCTAGAGTGAGAGCTCAAGTGAGGGCGATGAGTTCAGCTTTTTGGGAGGCTGTGCCTAGGAGGAGCAGCTTGGCTTCAATAGTGCTGGGGGTGACACTGTAGCATAGCCAGCATGTCGGCATCCTTTATGTAGGAAGGAGCTGCCATCTACAAACCAAGTAAAGGAGGCACCTGGAAGGGATTGGTCTGTTAGGTTTGGAAAAGGTATAAGAAAGGTTTGAACAGTGTTCACACAGAAGCGTATAGGGTCTTGGGTGTTTGTAGCTTCAGGTAAGATTATGGCCGGGTTTAGATGGGAGCTGGTTAGCATGGTGATGTGGGGAGTTTCTACGAATAGAGCATACAGTTGGAGGAGCCATGGGGCAGAGATGAGACCTAGTACACTGCGGTAAGCTAGCACATGTCTTTGATGTTAAAGGTTGAATAAACAGTTAGGTTGGCATGAAGAGATAGTTTTAGGCTTTCAAGGCTGAGGACAGCAGCTGCTGCCAATGCTTGGAGGCAGGCAGGCCATCCAAGAACTGTGGCATTGAGCTGTTTGGAGAGGTGGGCAGCAATCTGGAGGGTGGATCCCTTAGATTGGGTTAGAATACCTAGTGCATCTCCATGCCATTCATCAGTATAAAGGGAGGAAGGTTTGGTGAGGTCTGGGAGAGTGAGGACAGGGGCTGAGGTGAGAGCCTTATGGAGTAGATGAAAAGGTTGGGTAATAGGCTGTGCAGGGTTTAAAGGTTCCTGGAGAGGGCCTTTAGCGGCTTGGTATAATGGTTTGGCAAGTAGAGTGAAGGAGGGGACCCAGAGCCTAAAATATCCTGCTAGTCCTAGAAAAGAGAGAATTTCTTGCTTAGTCTGCAGAGGCGGGAGGGACTGGAGGAGGGATATGTGGTCGGTTGTGAGCCCTCGGGTTCATGGGGTAAGTGCTAGGCCTAGATAGGTGACTAAAGGGGTGCATATTTGTGCCTTTTTAGGGGAGACCCAATACCTCCGCTCTGCCAGGAAATTTAAAAGAGAGATAGTATGGGTGTTGCAATCCTTTTGAGAGGGCTACAGAGGAGCAGGTCATCAACATATTGAAGGAGAGTGGACAGTTTTAGGGGTAAGGTATGGAGGTCACGAGCAAGGGCCTGTCCAAAAAAGTGGGGGCTGTTTCTAAAACCTTGAGGCAGTATGCACCAGGTGAGCTGACATGAAAGGTTGATGTGGGGTTTTCCCACATGAAGGCAAAGAGGTTTTGGGAATCAGGATGTAAAGGAATGTGAAAAAAGTATCCCTTAGGTTTAGAACAGAAAAATGGGTGGTATTGGAAGGAATTGCAGAAAGTAAAGTATATGGGTTAGGAACTACTGGACATACAGGGAGTACAGCTTGGTTAATGAGCCTGAGGTCCTGGACTAAAGGATAAGTTCCATTGGGCTTTTTTAACAGGTAGAACTGGTGTGTTAAAAGGGGACTTTGTTGGGTGGAGTAGGTGACTGGTGAGGAGGTGAGAAATGATAGGCTTTAGGCCTACAGGAACTGCATGGGGGATTGGATACTGCTTCTGTGATAGGAACTGGGTGGGCTCTTTTTATTTATTTATTTATTTTTGAGATGGAGTCTCGCTCTGTCGCCCAGGCTGGAGTGCAGTGGCATGATCTCGGCTCACTGCAAGCTCAGCCTCCCAGATTCACGTCATTCTCCTGCCTCAGTCTCCTGAGTAGCTGGGACTACAGGCGCCTGCCACACGCCAAGCTAATTTTTTGTAGTTTTTTAGTAGAGACAGGGTTTCACCATGTTAGCCAGGATGGTCTTGATCTCCTGACTTCGTGATCTGCCCGCCTCGCCTCCCAAAGTGCTAGGATTACAGGCTTGAGCCACCGTGCCCGGCCTGGGTGGGCTCTTTAAGGGTAATGCGGACGGGGCTGTGGTGTTCTGCCACTGAGGGTGTGGAAGTATCCCAAACAGCGGGGATAACTACAGATGGGGGATAAGGAAAGGTTGCGTGTTTTAGGGTGGGAGGTTAAAGGAGTAGAAGAAAGCTAGAAGTACCTGAGGGGTCTGGGTGGATGCGTTGGGTACTATGGGGAATGTGGAAGTGGAGAGTAGTGTGGAGTTTTGAAAGGCTGTCTCTGCCTAGGAGTGGAGTTGGGCATGACAACAGGACTGAAAAAGAGTGAGTGAAGGAAAAGGTGTGCAGGGAGCAGAAAAGTGGAGGGGGGTGCTCGGGGTTTGGAGACTGGTCCATCAATTCCCACAACAGAGACTTGGGAGGACTGGGTGGGTTCTGAAAAATTAGGTAAAGCAGAGTAGGTTGTTGTTGCCCCAGTATTAATTTAAAAAACATATAGGCCTACCTGCCACCAGCAGGATTACCCTTGGCTCAAATGAAGAGATGGCAGTTGCTGGGGCTTCCATTCTAGGGCACCGTCAGTCTTCAGCAGCAAGGCCGATGAGATCCGAGTAGGAGGTTTTGGCTGGCTCAGGAAGGGATGGGGGTGGTCCTTCTGGGGGCTGCTCACAGTCTGACTTCCAGTGGGGTCCTCTGCAGAGGGGGCACAGCCTGTTGGGCTTACCTGGGTTTGGGCATTGTCTGGACCAGTGGCCTTCATTGCTGCACTTGAAACAGGCACCAGGTGGAGATGGATTGCTAGGAGGCTTCCGTGTGGAGTTGCGGCCCCATGGCCTGCAGGGCCCCTGATAACGGAGGCAAGCGTTTGAAACTCTGCCTGTTTTTGCCTTTTACTTTCCACGTCACTATTGTTAAAGACTTTGAAGGCTAAATTAAGATGGTCTCATTGTGGGGTTTGAGGGCTGTCGTCAAGCTTCTGAAGCTGGCGCCGAATATCAGGGGTGGATTGGGAGATGAACCAAAGGTTTAAGATAGTGGTTCCTTCTGGGCTAGCTGGGTCTAGGTTGGTATGCTTTCTCATGGCTTCAGTTAAATGAGAGAGAAAAAGCGCTGGGTTTTTGACAGGACCTTGGGTGATTTCTGAAAGTTTTTTATAGTTGACTGCTTTATGGGCACCCTTTTTGAGTCCTGCAAGGAGACACACAATCATGTGGTCTCGATGGTGGCATCCAGGGGCTCCGTCTTGATAATCCCAGTGGGGGTCCTGGTTGGAGACTGGCTCTGCACCAGTAGGCTGGACAGGAGCTTGGTGATGAATTGTATCAGCATGTGCCTGAACTAGGGTCCAGATACAGTCCAGGTCTTCTGGGGTGAGGGTGGAAGAGAGGATAACATAGAGGTCATGCCAGGTTTGTTCATAAGACTGGGTAAGGTACTGAAGCTCTCTAATATAAGAGGTAGGTTCTTCTGGTAATGAACAAAGTCCTTTGTTAATTTGAGAGCGATCAGTGAGGGAGAAGGGAACATGAACTCTAACAATACTTTCAGTTCCTGCTACTTCCCAAAGGGGGCACTGTAGCACAGGCACTGAAGTAAGGGTGGGGCATGGGCCAAAGATGGTGCCTGAGTGAGTATGGGTGGGATAAAAGGAAGAATCTGGAGGTGGTTCCTGCTGAGGGTTTGAAGGGGGAAGTGGGGTTGAGTTAACAGGCAGTGGAGGATAGATAGGGGTGTAAGGTGGCGGGACGGGTTTACAAGCCTCAGGAGAGGGAGATGGGGGAGAAGAATGGGTACAGGCAATACTAGAATTGTCCTGAGGAGGGGATGGTGTAGAAAAAAGAAGTGAATACTGCTGGCTGGGAAGATGGTGACTGGGAAGATGGCAGCTGAGAATATGGCAGCTGAGAAGATAAAAGAGGAGGCTGGCGGGGGGCGGTTAAAGAAGATAGTTGAGAGGGAGAGGTAGGGGTTGGGAGGGGTGGGCAGCAGTCTGCTGGATCGATGGAGGAAAAAGAGGTAGGATTGGGAGGAGAAAGGCGATCTGGGCAGCGAGAATGGAGGAGAAAGATTTGAACAGGTGAGCAAGAATTGCAGAGGTCAGGTTGTGATCTGAGTGCAAAAAGGCCCGGACCTAAGGAATTTCTCCCCATTTCTCCAGTCGTCATCAATAATTGCTTAAATCAGTTAAAATTGTAAATTTGGATGTTCCATTTGTGGGCCATTTTGACCCATTATCCAATTCGTTTTGTGCCCAGACTGAATTGCATAAAAAGACAAGGCGCTTAAGGCAGATATCTTGCTTGAGGCCTAAGGTTTGTAGGTATTTTTATGAGGCAGCCTAGAGGGCTGTCCTTTGGAATGGAAGACTGGGAATTTCCCTCAAGGGAGGGTAGGTTTGGGAGAACAGGGAAAAGGAGACCCATCTTGGATGGCCAGAGGGAGACAATAAAAGGAGCAATTGTCCTTGCTGTCTTTTTCATTCCCGGAATGGGATCAAATGGCTTAGAGGTTTCTCCCTAAAACCAGATGATCAGTGAGTACCTGGCACATGCCCACGCCTTCTTGGACCAACGTTGGATTTTCGGACTGGAGAAACCAAAAGAGGCCATGTGGATTTTTTCCTGTTTACTGGGCTCCCAGGGAAACTTACCAGTAGGCGAGATCAGTGACCAATGTGCATGCACAGAGGCGACTGGAGGCTGAGGAGCTTCCTTTGTCTGGCTGCTGTGGCCTGCTCTCTGGGGTGGAGGAGTAGGTCCACAGGGGACATGGACTGGAGTCCCTCCTGGGTTTCAGCACCAGACACAGGGCTCTTGTATTGATTCAAACCCCAAGAGCACGCCAACAAACAACACAAGGCGGTGTGGAGGAACACACTGTTTTAATGAGTGCCTGGGTGCAGGTGGGCTGAGGCCTAAAATAGCGTCACCCCCAAATGAGGACGGGACAGGGGTTTTATAGTCTCCTGTAAACAGGAAGTGTCTCAGTCTGATGTAACTGCTACGCAGTACCCAGACGGCCTCTCTGTTAGTCTTCATGGAGTCTTCTGGCCAGCTCTCTTCCTGCTTTTGCTATCTTGCTTACACTGCTGGCGCAAGTCGTCTTGCACCTTGGGACTGGGCCTGAAAAGGGAAGAATTATTCATTCCCTTAAGCTTTCAGGCCCTGGGGAGAACCTTTCACTAGCTAGAAGGAGCCTGAAGGAAATCTGGTTTCAGCATAAACATGATGGTGGATTTCACAGTGCCACAGTATTGTCAACTTTTTTAAACTTTACTTAAAATAATAATTTTCAGAAGTAATGAATGCCTGTCTACATCCATTCTTTTCTGGCCTAGAACAATTAACTGGCTATAAATCTTTTGACTCTTAAGGCCCTCAGCCATAGGGAGTCCTGCCAAGACAAAAAATGACACTTTAGAATTATATGACCTTTCATGTGACAAAACCTTTTATCTCCCAAATACCAATATATGATGCAATACAAAAGTGGGGGTGGGGGAATAGATTTGTCTACTGTTAACAAGTCTATAACAATTTAGACACCAAGGACCAGGCATTTCTTGCATTTAATTTATACCCTCCTCAGGATGCTATGCCTATGGAGATAAACTGGCCAGAGAAGAGATTAAATTTATTAAATTCTAATTTAATGTTGGTTCCACAATTTCCAAATAAGATTTATCCTAGGGTTCAAATAACCCTTAATAAGGAAGGTAAACACATTGTGGGTCTGATCAAAGAATATGGTGATGCATGCAGGGTTTTCTTCCTGGCAATTGGGTTGTTAATTGCCCTCTGATTCTACCTATAACCTTGGATGCCCAAATCTTCACTATGTTTATGCTAGACATTTTCTTGTAAATGTTATGCCAAATAGAGCAGAAGGAAAGGCACAATTAAAGACCCAGGTCATGATAGCTCAGAAAATAGATCTGATCCGGGATTTTTTTTTTTTTTTTTTTTTTGTCTAAACCATAAGCCTGACTCCATTTTACCCCTTAAAGAATTGGCTAGTACATCAGGTCAGGCTGTGTCCTCCCCCCATTTTCAAATCGCTAATACTTAAAACTATTACCGTCAAATGAGAGGACTCCAGGAACAAGACTTCCTAGCACTGTGGGACCCTGCCGGATGGCCAAATCAGACAACTCTAGGAATGAGCCTTCCTAGCACCGTGGGACCTGCTGCTGTTTGTTGGCCTGCACATGCATTCTATGGAATGCCTTTTAGCCAAGAGTGGGGACTGAGGACTAAGCTCTGATTTTTTATTTTAATCTTGCCCAAATTCCTATCTGAGGGGTCTGGGGAGTCATGCCCTACAGACTGTAAATTCTTGTCAGATGGGTTTTATTTAACCCTGTACGTGGTGACTTACTTTCCAGTCTGACTCTGGCATAACAAGAAAGAAAATCAAAATGTTTTATCCCAAAATATATTTCCTTGCCATACTTTGAAATTGCCCTGCAAAGTCTCTTGTGGGAAAAACCCACATTCTATAGAGAATCCCATTTTCCCTTCGTTTTCCTTCCTTCCTTTCCAGATCAAGGAGATAATCAACTAAGAGCCAGGGACGCTTTTAGGTCAGATAAGAAATATTTTACAATCTGGTCTCTCTGAAGTCTGCTGTCTGAGAGCTTCCTCTGCACAATAAAACTTATTCTCCATAATCCTTGATCTGAACCTGAACACTTCCTTTCTACTGATTTCAGGTCTTCAGATAAACTCAACCAATTGTCAACCAGAACATGTTTAAATTTACCTATAGCCTGGAAGCCCCCACTTTTAGTTGTCCCACCTTTCTGAACCAAATCAATGTGTTTCTTAGATGTATTTGATTGATGTCTTATGCCTCCCTAAAATATATAAAATCAAGCTGTATGTTGACCAGCTTGGGCACATGTTTGCAAGACCTGAGAGCTATGTCATGGGCCACGGTCACTCATATTTGGCTAAGAATAAATCTCTTAAAATATCTTACAGAGTTTGACTCTTTTCATCGACAACTTCAACTGTGGACTTCACATGTCTGTTTTTAGTCCCAGTGCCTTTGATATTCAAGAAGAAATTGTCCTCAACAGGATAAAGTGTATTTCCTTAAAATATACAGTTGCATCAACTGATTTATTTGTATTTTTATTACCTCTGTAGTCCAGACTACTTATAAACATTCATTAATCAGCAGTTTGTCCTTAGTTCAAGTATTTCATAATTTAAAAACTGTAAATCGCTTTGGAGTGTACTCTCATCTCTGTGCTTACAACATTTTGAAATATTGACAATGTGTACTTAAAGATGGTTTTGATCATTATAAACTTAGTTCCATTCATCTAGTTACAATACATAAGCTATGATAGCCATAAATATATCAATACAAAGTGAATGAAAAGGCAATATTGGTTAAATATGAATAAAAATGCCAATGAAAACTTGCATGCCAGGAGGTCATTTGAGGGTGATTTTTACATAAATCTTTGGCTTGGGCTTGTTAGTGGGCTGGGTTGTAATGGAAGCATGTTGCCCAAGTGGCATGGAAAGCTCACGAGAGAATAGCTTAGGAATGGAGAGGTTAAATGACAAATAGAAATCATTCACCTATTGAGTTTTATCATGTACAAAAGGCAACATTTAAAAATATATGACTTTTATTACATTTGCTCAGTAGGAATAACTTATTTCTCCACTATGTTGCATTACTATATCTGCATCATCCTCTTTTTTTGCATGCAGGGAAATGCTGGAGAAGTAGCAGGAAAGAGGCCCTGGCCTCCATAATCACTGTTCATGGAGGGGAGAAAAGGAGAAAAAGAGGGAAGAGAAAATTCACAGATAACTATAATTTCTCTACCATATCACTGAGAAAATAGTTTATTTCCAGTAACATTGACATAAAAAGAGAATAAACTCATACATTCCTGATAACTTGGAATTGGCAAGAAAGCTTACACAGGCTTCTTCTAATCATGTGGTAATATCATGTTAGGTGGCAGATCCTTTAATTGCCTTAATAATTTGTGATCCCTGTGGTTAGATAGACTTTGTAGATGTGAGATGCATAAAAACATATTTTGTTATCACACAACATTTTGAGTTTGCTTTTTCCATATAACCTGAATGCTTTTATCTGTCTTCTGTGTCTTAGAGATGAGTAAAAACAAAAAAAAATCCACTACTTTTATAGTACTTTGTCCTCTGTTCTCTGTTTTACATCCACTTTTTTATAGTTTTTTTTTTAACTCTTCAGAAGAGATTTCAAACTTTTCTTCACAGAAGATTTCAAATTAAGACTGCTATTATTTTTTTGAGGCACTTTTTGAAGACCCCTCTCTCCCCACCAGTTTGTGTTTGGTACACTGTAGATGCTGTGAGGATTTAATCAAATTAAAATATGTGTTTCCTACCGGGGTCAACCATAGCCTCTGAAGATTCTTTGTGCAAATTTGACAAAGGCACGCCTTCCCTGGCAGTTACAGCTCTGCACAAGGGTATGAAGCCTGGAGAGCAGAGTACAGACTAGATTTCAGACCCTGCTTAGATGTTAGCTGGGTGCTTAACTGGAGAAAAAAAAAAAAAAAGATTTGTAACACCGTATGTCTGACATGAGACAGTGGGAAGATCTGATCCAGGTACTCAGGATTCCAGGTGGTAGAGGCTCTCTCACTGTGTCATGATCCCACCTAGAATAGTCTTAGTGAGTGTCAAGGAAGGGGAGAAGAGACAGAGGGGTAAAGAGCCAGCCATGCTTTGGCCTTCTACCCACAGATCATTGGCAGGACTAGCCACATGGCCTTGCCTAACTCCAAAGGGGCTGAGAAATCCAGGAGAGCAAACAGAACATTTTGTGGGCACTATTATCTCTACCAAAGCTACAAACTTTGAGGGATATATTTTTAGATGTTTTTATCCCTAGAGTACTTAGCATAGTGCTCTATACACAGAAACCACTCAAAATATTCATTATACTGAATTCATTAAATTGTTTGACTCAACCCATTTTGCTTTTCTTTTGCATGTTGTTTGCCTACTTTAAAAGGAAACCTGGCTTTTTGAAAGCCTCTTACTTCTCTGTTGGATCTATTGCAGAAAGGTGACACACAAAGCAATGCACATTGATAAATTTCCCTTTGGGACTGTCTAGAAGCTGTGACAGAAAATAATAAAGTAGAAAAAGAGAAATAAGACCTCTTACTTACCTCTCTGTATTAGAAACAAATTCTTTAAAATAAAACTGAAAACAAAGATGAGGAAAGAGTAGGAACTGGTTCTCACCATGAGATACTGCTACTAACAAACATAGGAAGACTCTTCTCTTTGACAAAACATCTGTTTGTTGTTGTGTAGACATGGCCTCTCCGATGTGATCTTCATTTAAAAGTATGTTATTACATATTGATCTATGACTAAAGGTTACACGTGGAATCTTGTGAAATTTACTGATGGCTTTATCACTGGGAGGTAGAGCTTAAAATATTCGAGTAACTCTCAAGCTAAATCTTTGAAGCTGTGGGAAAGGAGCTGAAGTTGGAAACACACATGTGCTCTATCCACATCAGCAGAGGTATTTTGTGTAAAGTGCAGGAGTACTCACTCATCTAGCTGTGAGAGAACTCATCTATGCCCACTCTGGATGGGACTGATATGGGAAGTGGAAGGAAATTAGGGAAGAAACAATCTTTGATACCATTGACAGCCCTTTACCCCTTGGTCTTTTGAGTTTCTTTCTTTCTTTTTTTTTTTTTTTTGTGACTTTAGTTCCTTCCTGCTTCTACTCTTCCCTCTCTAACAATTTTATTCCTCTTTTCCTGCCCTGGCTCCTAGACAGTCCTCAAGGAAATGTATCAACATACATAGCTTTATGTGTCACCTTTCTGCAATAGGTGCAATCTATATTTGCAAGCAATAAATGTAGGACTTCAGTTTCCCAGTGCATAGCATCTAGGAAATTATGAACATAAATTTCAAAAGTTATAGGTCTGATCTGGCTTTGATATTATCTGTCATTGGGGTTTGGGGGCAAATTATTTAACCTCTCTGAGCTTTGGTTTCCTTTTATATGAAATAAAAATAATAAATGCATCTTGCTTATACTTGCAGAGCTGTTGTGTGAGTAAAGAGTGAAAACGGTGAGAATAGACAATTTAATGTACAGCCAGTCCTATAAAAAATACTCTAAATATTACTGAGAAAAAAAATCTGAAGCTATAGCCCTGACGACTGTTTCTAGAATCAGTTCTGAATTTCCACCTATTTACTCGGTATCTGCCTCCACACTTGAAAGCTATCTTTAAACACCTTAACTTCAACATCTTCAGAAGCAAATTCTATCTCCCCATTTCCCATGATATTTACCTTCCCCTTGTCCCTCTCTCGAGCTTCCTCCATTTGTCCATGTCATCACACCCACCCGTTTTTTTTTCACCTGGAAGCCTGTCATCTATAACTCATCTCTCTACTGAACACTCATACTTGCCTTATCCAATCAGTTTACAAATCTTGTCGATATTTCCTCTAAAATGCTCCTGAATCTATACACCATTTCATTCAGATTGCTACCACTCTTCTGTCCTGTTCAGATCCTACCCATTTTTCTTCTTCCTCCAGCCTGTCATCAGCATTTTACCTCTATATCAGTGATGATTTACCTCTATATCAGTGATGATTCATTATGGGAAGAGATCAGTGGCTGCTTCTGGTCCCTTCCCTTTGGCAGTGACTGTGGAGAAAATCTGTATATTAGATAGATCCAATACTTTAGTCCCTTCTGATCTGAACATGTGCCTCAGCGTCTATAGTCATAATATACTTCAGTCAACCAAAAAAAAAACCTGTTAAATAAAAATACAAAGGTATTTTTAAGCTCCTGGTACAGGAGTTTGGTGCATAATAAGCCTATTCGAGGAGGAAATGGGCTAGTATCTTTCCCTTTAGTGCAACTAACATTTTACCTGAAACCAAGGAAGGGATAGCTGTAAAACTACAAGACTATACTGGTGTCAATCGCTTCCATGTTAGTAATGTCAATGCATTACAATGGGGTTTTTGTTTACTTAAGTTCAGGCAATGGTCTCTGCATCCTAGGTCTTAAGCTGTACCTCCTTGTGCCCTGACATATGTGCTCATTGTGAAAAAATCTTGTGTTTACTTTGTGAGACCAGAAATGAAGATAAAACAAAAAAGCCTCAAAACTCTCTAGTGTGTTTATGATTTCATCTGTGTATCTCCTGAAAAGCCTTGTTTTTCACTCATGATGTAAAAACTTTCTAACCAATTAAAGACAACTTCGGGTCTCACACATGCAAACTGAAGAGCTGTGCTTTCTTCTCCACGTGTTTCACATTAGACCAGTTTGTTCATCAGTGAGAAACAAAGTGGTGGATTGAGTTCCTGGCAGGGGCTAATCTAGAAATATCAAAGTATTGAAAAATTAATGCAACATCAAAACTCAGAGTCAACAAGCTTCCTTTCACTTCAGAAACACTAATATACCACTATGGAAAATCCCCAGTGACATTCCAAGGAGTGGTGTATCTTTGTATTTCCAAAATGCTAGTTTTTCTACTTTCAGTTTGAGTGAATGACTACATAGGCACTGACCTTTTGAGTTTTATCTTACTACTGATGCTGAGCTAAATAGCCATTTCAGGGTTAAATTTGTCTTCTTCTTGAGATTGTTTCTGTTTTCTACCAAATAATATTATAAAAATCAGTTGCAGCTTCAAAACGTCTTAGACCATTTATTCATTTACTTTCAAGAAAAGCCTTTCCTCTTTATGAGCAATAAAGAGATGATAAAATTAAAAGTAGAGGATATTTGCATAGCTCTTATCCTGTGCTAGTCATTGTTCTAAGCCCATTACATATGTTAACATATTTAATTGTCACACTAACTCTACAAAGTAGATATCATTATTATACCCATTTACCTATGAAGAAAGCAAGGCAGCATAGAGAAATAAAAAGGGATGGCTCCCCATCTTGCATCTCATCTTGTTCAAACATGAGACTCCAAAGTTCCTCACTTTTATGAATGGTAATTTATTTATTCCTGTCTTTATTTAGGAGTTGACACAGCATACATAATTCATTCAACAAATATTATTTTGGCACAGACTGTGTACCAAACACCAAGTAGACTTACAGAGCAAAGATAAAGGCATGGTCCCTGAGGAAGAAGATCTCCTAGTCTAGCAAGGGAGACACCAACCAAAGGACAATTGTATGTGTGAGACCAGAGCAAAGGATCATGTAAATGAGACTCCTGAGCCAGGGATGGAAGCCAGGAAGGAAGGTGGAGTGAGTGACCCATGTCCTGAAGGGCAAGTATGAGAGGGAATGTGGCTCAGGGAGCAGAACGTGGGGAGTAGGAAGCTGTGAAAAGACATCTGAGTAGGTTGGTGTGGCTGGAGTACAGGCTATGAGAAAAGAAGTTGGGCTTTGGAATTTCCCTGAACTTCACTTTTCTACTAATTTGTCAGGTGACTTAGGACACTTATTCTGACCCTTGGTTTCCTCATCTTTAAATGAGAAATGATAGTTACCCCAAACACTTGTCATAAGGATTAAATGAAATAACGTATGTGTATTAGTTTCCTGTGACTGCAATAAAAATTAACACAAACTCGATGGCTTCATGCAACAGAAATTTATTCTCTTATAGTTCTGGAGACTAGAAGTCTGAAATCAGCATCAGTGGGTTGAAATCAAGGTGTCAGGAGGGCTGCACTCCCTCTAGAGGGTCTGAAGGAGAATTGGTTTCTTGTCTCCTTTAGCTCTTGCTAGCTGCTGGCAGTCCTTGGCTTGTGGCTGCATCACTGCAATCTCTGCTTCCATGGCCACATAATCTTCTCATCTTCTTTAGTGTAACCCCCCTCTGCCTCTCTCTTATGAGGACACCTGTGATCACATCTAGGGCCCACCTAGATAATCTAGGATAATCTCACCCTCTCAAGATCCATCTGCAAGGATTCCTTTTCCATATAAGGAAATATTTAAAGGTTCCAGGGATTAGAACATTTCAGGGTGGTGGGCAGTTATTCTGCCTACTACACTATGTAGAGGATCTATGCATATCAGAGGTCCTCAATACATGCTAATTTGCACCCTTTCTGTATTATACTTGTGCTGGGGCATCAAAGAGCCTTAATCTGAATGGTTAGACTTTATACCTGCTGGCCTTTCTTTCTATTCCTAAGAAAGGGTTAGACAGCTTTGGTCTTCCAGACAAACTTGTCAATATAAAAATAAAAAGAACACAAAGATGAATAGCTTTGTGATAATGCAGGAAATAATTTTTGTTTATTTTGCTAATGCAGACTAAACCATTAAGATTACTATGTTGAGGTCACAATGGTGGTATATTTCAGAGAGGGCTTCTTTTCCACAATTTATATTCCAGGCATGGCAATGGGCTTTGTGTGTGATTTAGAGTAGTTATCTATTGATCTCGTTTTCTCTAAGTGTTACTCATTCTCCTTTGCCCATCAGCATATGGGAAGAATAATCATTGCAAAGGTCAAGTAGCACTTAGGAGCAATTTAAGAGTCAAAGCACGAGGCTACAAGCTTGGGGATATTGCTCAACCTTATACAGACTCATCAACCCTTACATTTATTTTGACAAAGAGATAAATATTTTCATAACTCACTGACCCTGTCAAGAGAGAAAATCGCAAGGATTTGAGATAAAATATTTATTGCCCTGAAAAAGTAAAAATTTAAATTCACTTAGAAAATTACTGTTAATGGGCTCCAGTCTACAGCTCCCAGCCAGATCAATGCAGAAGGCAGGTGATTTCTGCATTCCCAACTGAGGTACCCAGCTCATCTCATTGGGACTGGTTAGACAGTGGGTGCAGCCCAGGGAGGGTGAGCAAAAGCAGAGTGGGGCATTGCCTCACCCGAGAAGCACAAGGGGTTGGGGAACTGCCTCCCCTAGCCAAGGGAAGCTGTGAGGGACTGTGCCATGAGGAAGCAGTGCACTCAGGCCCAGATACTGTGATATTCCCATGGTCTTTGCAACCCACAGAGCAGGAGATTCCCTCAGGAGCCTATGCCACCAGGGCCCTGGATTTCAAGCACAAAACGAGGTGGCCATTTGGGCAGACATTGAGCTAGCTGCAGGAGTTTTTTTCATACCCCACTGGTGCCTGGAATGCCAATGAGACCGAACCATTCACTCCCCTGCAAACGGGGCTGAAGCCAGGGAGCCAAGTCATCTATTTCAGAGGATCCCACCCACATGGAGCCCAGCAAGCTAAGATCCACTGGCTTGAAATTCTTGCTGCTAGCACAGCAGTCTGAAGTTGACCTGGGACACTTGAGCTTGGTGGGGGGAGGGGCATCTGCCATTACTGAGGCTTTACTATGCAGTTTTCCCCTCACAGTGTAAACAAAGCCACCAGGAAGTTTGAACTGGGCAGAGCCCAACATGGCTCCACAAAGCTGCTATAGCCCAACTGCCTCTCTAGATTCCTCCTCTCTGGGAAGGGCATCTCTGAAAGAAAGGCAGCAGCCTCAGTCAGGGGCATATAGATTAAAACTCTCATCTCCCCCGGGAAAGAGCACCTGGGAGAAGGGGCGGCTGTGGGAGCAGCTTCAGCAGACTTAAACGTTCCTGCCTGCTGGCTCTGAAGAGAGCAGTGGATCTCCCAGCACAACGCTGAAGCTCTGCTAAGGTAAAGACTGTCTCCACAAGTGGGTCCCTGAACTCCATGCCTCCTGACTGGGAGACACCTCCCAGCAGGGTTTGACAGACACCTGATACAGGGGAGCTCTGGCTGGCATCTGGTGGGTGACCCTCTGGGGCGAAGTTTCCAGAGGAAGGAACAGGCAGCAATTTTGGCTCTTCTGCACCCTCCACTGCAGGGTGTGGAGTGGACCTGTAGCAAACTCCAGCAGACCTGCAGCAGAGGGGCATGACTGCTAGAAGAAAAACTAACAAACAGAAAGGAATAGCATCAACATCAACAAAAAGGGCGTTCACACAGAAACTGCATCCGAAGGTCACCAACATCAAAGACCAAAGGTAGATCAATCCACGAAGATGAGGAAAAACTGAAAATTCCAAATACTGGAAGGCCTCTTCTCCTCGAAAGGACCTCAACTCCTTGCCAGCAAGGGAACAAAACTGGACAGAGAATGAGTTTGATGAATTGACAGAAGTAGGCTTCAGAAGATGGGTAATAACAAAGTACTCTGAGCTAAAAGAGCATGTTCTATCCCAATGCAAGGAAGCTAACAACTTGAAAAAAAGTTAGAGGAATTGCTAACTAGAATAACCAGTTTAGAGAAGAACATAAGTGACCTGATGGAGCTGAAAAACACAGCACGAAAACTTCATGAAGCATACACAAGTATCAATAGCTGAATTGATCAAGCAGAAAAAAGGATATCAGAGATTGAAGATTAACTTAATGAAATAAAGGGTGAAGACAAGATTAGAGAAAAAAGAATGAAAAGAATGAACAAACCTTGAAATATGGGACTATGTGAAAAGACCAAACCTATGTTTGATTGGTGAACCTGAAAGTGACAGGAGAATGGAACCAAGTTGGAAAACAATCTTCAGGATATTATCTAGGAGAACTTTCCCACCTCGCAAGACAGGCCATTCAAATTCAGGAAATAAAGAGAACAACACAAAGATACTCTTCAAGAAGAGCAACCCCAAGACACATACTTGTCAGATTCACCAAGGTTGAAATGAAAGAAAAACTGTTAAGGGCAGCCAGAGAGAAAGGTCTGGTTACCCACAAAGGGAAGCCCATCAGACTAACAGCAGATCTCTCTGCAGAAACCTTACAAGCCGGAAGAGAGTGGGGGCCAATATTCAACATTCTTAAAGAAAAAAAATTTCAACCTAGAATTTCATATCCAGCCAAACTAGGCTTCATAAGCGAAAGATAAATAAAATCCTTTACAGACAAGCAAATGCTGAGAGATTCTGTCACCACCAAGCACTAAATATGGAAAGGAAAAGCCAGCACCAGCCACTGCAAAAACATACCTAACTGTAAAGACCATTCAAACTATGAAGAAACTGCATCAACTAACAGGCAAAATAACAAGCTAGCATCATAATGACAGGATCACATTCACACATAACAATATTAAACTTAAATGTAAACAGGCTAAATGCCCCAATTAAAAGACACAGACTGGCAAATTGGAAAAAGAATCGAGACCCATCTGTGTGCTGTCTGAATACATGCAAAGATGCACACAGGCTCAAAATAAAGGGATGGAAGAATATTTACCAAGCAAATGGAAAGCAAAAGCAAACAAACAAACAAACAAAAAACAGGGGTTGGCTGGGCGCGGTGGCTCACGCCTGTAATCCCAGCACTTTGGGAGGCCAAGGCGGGTGGATCATGAGGTCAGGAGATCGAGACCATCCTGGCTAACAAGGTGAAACCCCATCTCTACTAAAAATACAAAAAATTAGCCGGGCGCGGTGGCGGGCGCCTGTAGTCCCAGCTACTGGGGAGGCTGAGGCAGGAGAATGGCGTGAACCCGGGAAGCGGAGCTTGCAGTGAGCCGAGATTGCGCCACTGCAGTCCGCAGTCCAGCCTGGGCGACAGAGCGAGACTCCGTCTCAAAAAAAAAAAAAAAAAAAAAAAAAAAAAAAAAAAGGGGGTTGCAATCCTAGTCTCTGATAAAACAGACTTTAAACCAACAAAAATCAAAAGAGACAAAGAAGGGCATTACATAATGGTAAAAGGATCAATGCAGCAAGAAGAGCTAACTATCCTAAACATATATGCACCCAATACAGGAGCGCCCAGATTCGTAAAGCAAGTCCTTAGAGACCTACAAAGAGACTTAGACTCCCACACAATAATAGTGGGAGACTTTAACACCTACTGTCAATATTAGACAGATCAATAAGACAGAAAATTAACAAGGACATTCAGGACTTGAACTTAGCTCTGGACCAAGTGGACCTAATAGACATCTACAGAACTCTCCACCCCAAATCAACAGAATACACATTTTTCTCAGCACTACATCACACTCATTCTAAAACTGACCACATAATTGGAAAAAAACACTCCTCAGCAAATGCAAAAGAATGGAAATCATAACAGTCTCTCAGACCACAGTGCAGTCATATTAGAACTCAGGATTAAAAAACTCACTCAAAACTGCACAATTACATGGAAACTGAACAACCTGCTCCTGAATGACTACTGGGTAAATAACAAAATTAAGACAGAAATAAATAAGTTATTTGAAACCAATGAGAACAAAGACGCAACGTACCAGAATCTCTGGGACACAGCTAAAGCAGTATTTAGAGAGAAATTTATAGCATAAATGCCCACAGGAGAAAGTGGGAAAGATTTAAAATTAACACCTTAACATCACAATTAAAAGAACTAGAGAAGTAAGAGCAAACAAATCCAAAAGCTAGCAGAAGACAAGAAATAACTAAGATCAGAAGTTACTAAGATCAGAAATAACTAAGACAAGAAATAACTAACTGAAGGAGATAGAGACATGAAAAGCCCTTCAAAAAGTCAATGAATTCAGGAGCTGGATTTTGGAAAAGATTAACAAAATAAATAGACCGTAGCCAGACTAATAAAGAAGAAAAGAGAGAAGAATCAAATAGACACAACAAAAAATGATAAAGGGGATATCACCACTGATTCCACAGAAATACAAACTACCATCAGAGAATACTATAAACACCTCTATGCAAATAAACTAGGAAATCTAGAAGAAATGCATAAATCCCTGGACACATACACCCTCCCAAGACTAAACCAGGAGGAAGTTGAATCCCTGAATAGACCAATAACAGGCTCTGAAATTGAGGCAATAATTAATAGCCTACCAACCAAAAAAAGCCCAGGACCAGTTGGATTCACAGCCGAATTCTACCAGAGATACAAAGAGGAGCTGGTACCATTCCTTCTGAAACTACTCCAAACAAACAACAGAAAAAGAGGGACTCCTCCCTAGCTCATTTTATGAGGCCAGCATAATCCTGATACCAAAACCTGGCAGAGACACAATGACAACCAAAAAATTTAAGGCCAGTATCACTGATGAACAATGATGTGAAAATTCTCAATAAAATACTGGCAAACCAAATCTGGCAGCACATCAAGAAGCTTAGCCACCATGATCATGTTGGCTTCTTCCCTGGGCTGCAAGGCTGGTTCAACATACTCAAATCAATAAATGTAATCCACCATATAAAGAGAACCAATGACAAAAATCACATGATTATCTCAATAGATGCAGACAAGGCCTTCGATATAATTCAACACCCCTTCATGCTAAAAACTCTCAATAAACTAGGTATTGATGGAACGTATCTCAAAATAATAAGAGCTATTTATGATGAACCCACAGCCAATATCATACTGAATGGGCAAAAGCTGGAAGCATTCCCTTTGAAAATCAGCACAAGACAAGGATGACCTCTCTCATCACTCCTATTCAACATAATATTGAAAGTTCTGGCCAGGGCAATCAGGCAAGAGAAAGAAATAAAGAGTATTCAAATAGGAAGAGAAGAAGTCAAAATGTCTCTGTTTGCAGATGACGTGACTGTCTATTTAGAAAACCCCATCATCTCAGCTCAAAATCTCCTTAAGCTGATAAGCAACTTCAGTAAAGTCTCAGGATACAAAATCAATATGCAAAAATCACAAGCATTTCTATATGCCAATAATAGACAAACAGCCAAATCATGAGTGAACTCCCATTCACAATTGCTGCAAAGAGAATAAAATACCTAGGAATCCAACTTACAAGTGATGTGAAGGACCTCTCCAAGGAGAACAACAAATCACTGCTCAAGAAAATAAGAGAGGACACAAACAAATGGAAAAACATTCCATGCTCATGGATAGGAAGAATCAATGTTGTAAAAATGGCCATACTGCCCAAAGTAATTTGTAGATTTAATGCTATCCCCATCAAGATACCATTGACTTTTTTCACAAAATTAGAAAAAACTACTTTAAATTTCATATGGAACCAAAACAGAGCCCATATAGCCAAGACAATCCTAAGAAAAAAAAAAAAAAAACAAAGCTTGAGGCATCATGCTACCTGATTTCAAACTATACTATAAGGCTGCAATAACCAAAACAGCATGGTACTGGTACCAAAACAGAGATATAGACCAATGGAACAGAGCAGAGGCCTCAGATGCCACACATCTACAACCATCTCATATTTGGCATACCTGACAAAAACAAGCAATGGGGAAATGATTCCCTATTTAATAAATAATGGTGTTGGGAAAACTGGCTAGCCATATGCAGAAAACTGAACCTGGAACCCTTCCTTACACCTTATAGAAAAATTAACTCAAGGTGTATTAAAGACTTAAACATAAGATCTAAAACCATAAAAACCCTAGAAGAAAACCTAGGCAATACCACTCAGGACATGGCCATGGGCAAAGACTTCATGACTAAAATGCCAAAAGCAATGGCAATAAAAGCCAAAATTGACAAACGGGATCTAATTAAACTAAAGAGCTTCTGCACAGCAAAAGGAACTATCATCAGAGTGAACAGGCAACCTACAGAATGGGAGAAAATTTTTGCAGTCTATCCATCTGACAAAGGGCTAATATCCAGAATCTACAAATAAACAAATTTACAAGAAAAAAACAAATGACCCCATCAACAAGTGGGTGAAGGATATGATCAGACACTTCTCAAAAGAAGATATTTATGCAGCCAACAAACATATGAAAAAAAGCTCATCATCACTGGCCATTAGAGAAATGCAAATTAAAACCACAATGAGATACCATCTAATGCCAGTTAGAATGGTGATCATTAAAAAGTCAGGAAACAACAGATGCTGGAGATGATGTGGAGAAATAGGAACGCTTTCATACTGTTTTTGGGAGTGTAAATTAGTTCAACCATTGTGGAAGAAAGTGTGGTGATTCCTCAAGGATCTAGAACCAGAAATACCATTTGACCCAGTAATCCCATTAATGGGTGTATACCCAAAGGATTATAAATCACTCTATTATAAAGACACGTGCACACTTATGTTTATTGAAGCACTATTCACAATAGCAAAGACTTGGAACCAACCCAAATGTCCATCAATGATAGACTGGATAAAGGAATTGTGGCACCTATACACCATGGAATACTATGCAGGCATTAAAAAGGATGAGTTCATGTCCTTTGCTGGGACATGGATGAAGCTAGAAACCATCATTCCCAGCAAACTAACATAGGAACAGAAAACCAAACACCACATGTTGTCACTCATAAGTGGGAGCTGAACAATGGGAACATATGGACACAGGAAGGGGAACATCACACACTGGGGCCTATCAGGGGTGAGGGGGTAGGGGAGACATAGCATTAGAGAAATACCTAATATAGATGATGGGTTGATGGGTGCAGCAAACCATTATGGCATGTATATACCTGTGTAACAAACCTGCACATTCTGCACATGTATCCCAGAACTTTAATTAAAAAAAAGAAAGAAAGAAAGAAATTGGACAAGGGGCCTAATTTCTCACTGCACAAGTGTTCATCCCCTGACTTTATTTAGTCATTTTTCCCCTCAGTGTATGCTATGTTGACTTTGGACTTTATCTGGTAGGCAGGTAACAAGGAGCTATTTAGCACTTTTTTTTTTTTTTTTGAGACGGAGTCTTGCTCTGTTGCCAGGCTGGAGTGCAGTGGCGTGATCTCAGCTCACTACAATCTCCACCTCCTGGGTTCAAGTGATTCCTCTGCCCCAGCCTCCTACACCTGGCTAATTTTTTCATTTTAGTAAAGACTGGGTTTCACCATGTTGGCCCAGATGATCTTGACCTCCTGACCTCGTGATCCGCCCACATCAGTCTCCCAAAGTGCTGGGATTACAGGAGTGAGCCAAAGGGAACAGTGACACAGTTGGGCTTATATCAGAGATGGATCTCTTTGCTGGCATCAGGAAGGAGGGATTCAAGGAAGTAGGGCTTTTAGGCACGCAAAGCAACTCAATTCTAGATAAACTATTGCTGAAAATTGCATTGCAGCATGGTGGTTAAAGATGTGGGCTCTTTACTTAGATATACATCCATTCAAATTCTACTTCTGCCATTTATGCAGAATATAAACTTGAGCTAGTCACTTGTCTTCTCTAAGTTTCAGTTTCTTATCTACTAAAACAAAGTAATTACAACAGTGTTCTTATGAAGTTTGATTGCAAAGAGATATAGGAAGCACTTAGCACAGTGTCTGGCTCATTAACCATAGCTATGCTTATTATTATCATATGGAATGGGTTATTTGTTTCCCTTGCCAACTCCATGATTATGCCCTTTCTAAAACCACTGTGCTTCCAACACTGGGAAAGAAGGACACGTGGTTGACCACCCCATCAGTCAGCCTCTCTCCCTCTGCAACCCACAATGCTTTAAAAGCAGAAGCAATGACTACTTATTCCTTCCCCTATTTTATAATCTTAATCTTCTACCTAAAGGCAGCAGCCTTGTGATCTAGCTGTCAGATATGGAGTGGCAGCTTACCCACTTTACAGAGGAAACTTCTGACTGAGTCCACGATATGTGAAAACAAATCAGAAAAATCCACTTTCTGTCCATAGCTTAATTTTAAATGTATTGCCTTGCTAAAGAAATAATCTCAATCACTTATTCATTCCTTCATTCATTCATCCTCTATTGCCCTGGGTCAAAAATCCTAAGTAAAGGAAGAACTGAAGGATGATCATTTAAAGGAGAAATAAAAATACATTCTTAAAAAAAGAAAATTACTATTAATGGAATAATGAGCAATTGAGTATCTAGAATGAATAAGTGACTAAAGGCATATAGAATGTTGAGGATGTGACGTACTCCTAGTTCCACTGTTTGGCTGACTTGAAATTCTTTTACTTTGGCTACTGGGCCTAACTTCCCATATTTGCACTTTAACAGTCATGTGTCTCCTCAAAACTGTGCCTTCTTATATATTTGTCCACAAATATACATGTTGCACTTTGGTAGTCATTTTTATTGCTGCCTTTTTAATTTTAATCAAATTATGTCAACAAATATATTCTGGCTACCTTCACCGTACTAGAGACAGTAAGGTTGCCTACAAGGAACTTTTAGTCTGTCTTAACCTAAGCATCCCTCTGAAAACAGATGCTGAGGGAAGGGCTTGAGAACAGGTGGTTTATTTGAGCAATGGATTTCAAAGAACAGGAGTGGGGTATTAGGAACTTAAAACAGGAACTGAAGAAGAGCCAATCCAATAGTCATGATCTAGCTGGTTTCTGCTGTGGCAACTGGGGCTCTATCCTCTTGGGTATCCACTGAGAAGATGCAGAATATGTCTTGGAATTTCTGGTTCAAGAGACAGTGAAGAGGAATATGTATTCAGTGGCTCCTGCCCCACCTTGGTCAAGGATCTCTCATACTTCAGGATTGGCCCAGGCATCAGAATGGCTTAGTGGGATCCCCAGTGTTGGCAGCAGAGAGCCCCTGGGCAGGAAGTGAGAGTTAGGAACTGAGGCAAAGTGCTGCCTGTTTATCCCTACATAGGGCTGATTGCTGCACCAGTATCTAGACTGGAAAGATTGGCAATGAGTATGTGAGGTTGGGTACAATACCCAGGACCCACATGGAAAGCTAAGAGCACAAATATAACCAGTAGTTTATGACAACTTGGGGCACAATATCACAGGCTGTGCAGAAGTTGTTGCCCAAGGAGTGACAGAGACAATGATTATATTTGGGAGTTCAGTGTAGAGTGCTTCAAGACTGGATGTTCAGAAATGCTTAACTGGAAAGGGTGAATTCCAACACTGGACTTGAAGGATGGGTATTGTTGCAGACATCACTTGTGTTTGCTGCTCGGAATTCATTTGCCCTTCTTCTGATAGCCAAATCAAGATTAGCCCTAAAGAATGACTCCTCCTCTCCTCTCAGCCCACAGGTTTTGTCTTCGTCTAGCTTAAGGGTCAAGAACTTAGGCAAATTGGGAGTATTGGTGCTGTATTCCATGGCCCTTGGGATCAGCATGTGACCCAGTGAGAGCCATTTTAATAAAATGAGACTTTTGCTGAAATGTCTGGGCAAGAGACTTGCTCTTAGCTCCTGGATATAAAACAAAGAGGAGGTGAAGTATAGACTTGCTGAAGTTATCCTGCTTCTTTGAAGTGTAAGGTTGCCCAAGGAGGCGGAGTCAAGAAATGTAAAGAGAGAAGCTAAGGCCCAGAGGTGTTTGAGTCTCTGCATCAAACAATATCTGAAGCCAGCAGTTCCCTGGACTTTTCAAATATATGAGCCAATAATTTCCTTTTTATGTTTAAGCCAGTTTTGGATAGGTTTTCAGTTGCCTCCAACAGGAAAAACAGCAACAAATCTTTTAACTTAGGTAAATTTTAGGCATTTTTTTGTCTCCTCTATAATTTATTCTATTTTTCTTATTTTATTTTTAATGATCTCTGTATTTCTTTCCTTAACTTTTTCACTTCAAAATGAATAAAGACGGGGAGAATGACTATTAACATAAAGAATCAAAATAGAGTAGGATTTGTAAAATCTAACTCAGAAGTTTGTGTGATTGTGGCAGACAAATTTGTGTGCATGTCATATATGTAAGATATCATCTTATAGCTTGGTTATGTAGATGAAAAATATAGGAAGACTATATATTGTCTTCCCCCAAATGTCTGCACTGGCCTCATTAATTTGTTGTTGACTTTATGTAAAAACTGTGAAGGTTACAATATAGAACTAGGGTCTAAACCAAACTGTACCTGGAGGACCTATAGTTCCAAGCAGGGCATGAAATAAATAAATATGAATTTGTAGAAAAGAAAATTTAGCCTACTTGCCAGGAAAATTTTTTAGACAGTGAGGTGGTTACTTTCTTATCATATTTATTGGATTTGCTCAACACTTATTACCTCCTAGGCATAGTTGTGCATCACAAATCTAAAAGGTTGAAAGGCCACGTCTGGCAGTAAAGCTCATAGTCTATAGTAAACACAACAAGTAAACTATGGAAGCAAATCGCATTTCAAACAAAGCCAAGCAGAGAACCAAAGACCTTGGGAAGGAAACTGATAATGGCAATGCTGATAAATGAGCATTAGGACGCTGAGTGGAGGGCAGCCCATCAACCTCACCTTCACTGTAATTTTAGATTCTGATTATGGGAGAGATGCAGCTACTTTTGTGTTCAAGCATTATGTATTCATCAGAGTTATCTAAACACTGTATAAACCATGGCCTATTCTACATAATCCTGGCCTTTCGAGTGTGTAACAGACTTTGTTTTTTAATGAGTGATGAGTGATTGGAACCACATGAGCAGCCATTTATGCTGATCACATTTTTAGCCACTGTCTCATGGAAAACATATATTGGGTGGTCATTATTTCTGCCTGAGGTCATAGCAGAAGCAGGGATGTTACATTTAGTAACATGTTACAGAGTGAAAGGCAAATTGGAAGATGGGGCTATTATTATCTTGGATGCTCATCACAGGTCTTTGCACATACTTAGAGCTCAGTGCATATTTCTCAAGTAAATTAATATCTAAAATTTGATTCTTCTTTCAGTAGTAGAAACTGACATTGTGTCCAAACTTTGAGTGACACACTTGTGTTAGTTTGTTCTCGCACTGCTATAAAGAAATACCTGAGATTGGGCAATTTATAAAGAAAATAGGTTTAATTTGCTCATGGTTTTGCAGGTTATACAGGCTTTTGCTTCTGGGGAGGCCTCAGGAAACATAATCATGACGGAAGGTAAAGGGGAAGCAGGCACGTCTTTACTGCCAGATGTGGCTAGAGCAGGAGGAAGGGGTGGGGATGGCACACACTTTTAAACAACCAGATCTCATGATAATTCACTCACTATCACAAGAACAGCACCGAAGAGGAAATTCGCCCCCATGATCCCATCACCTCCCACCAGGCCCCCACCTGCAACATTGGGGATTACAATTTGATATGAAATTTGGATGAGGCCACAAACTCAAACCACATCAACACTTAACTCTTACTTTATTTAATTAGATGAAAAAGAGTCTATTTTAGAGACAATATTTTTATTTTTCTTCTTCAAACCTCATGTAAAGGCACCCAGCACATCTGTAATTATTCCAAAATGAACCAAAAAGTTTTGAAAAATGATTTCAAAGGCAGAGTAACATATTTAAAAATAGGAATGGCATACAACATTTGGGATAGAAGTAGAACAAGGTCAGGAAATCAAATAGTATGCCTCCTTCTAACAGAGCAGAGTCGTTGCTCTGAACTAATGAGGAGGTCGCTTGGTTAAACAAAAATATTTGGGTTTATTTTAGATTGGTTTAGATTTTCAGAAATACCGTGTTAACATAGGGAATCATTTTGAAGATAATTTGGATATTTAAAATTGCTCAATGAATGACTTTAATCCTTTCTGATGGGGGATTTCACTACATCTGAGACAGGCTTGATTTTGTTAAAACTCCCAAGTTCCATGTTTGGCCACATCAACCTGAGACCATGATTAGAGTTAGAAAAGAGACTCTGTAAAAGATGTCATCTTCCTAATGAACCATAGCTGCAGCTCCCCATGTGTCTCTGGATCACATCTGTTTGCTGACAGAGGTCCAACCAATGTCCTCATTCACTCACACGCAACACCAGTGAGGGTTGCGTGTATGTTCTGACAGTACGTGTTGGCCCCAAACACAAGTTGTACTACTGTCAGCCTTGAAGTCCATATTGTTATGAAAGTGACCTGGCTTCTATCTACTCTACCCTGTGTATCATCAGAATAACTTTCATCTGAATTCCTACCCCTGAAGCTTTACCTTCCACGGTGGTAGAAAAAACAAATACTGTACTACAATTTGATTTGCATCTGTCATGTAAGACTATTTTTTAAGCTGGCTGAAATAATAAAAGTTACCTTTCCAACAAATCAAACTAATTTTTTTAGAGGAGGTTAAAATCTACTGGTTAAAATTAAAAGTATTTCTTTCTCCAGCGTGTCTGAAGGTATATATATCTCCACCCTTTCTTTCCCTCCACCAACCCTTCATACCTGCAAATAGTTAATTTTATCTTTTTTAATAGAGGAGTTTCTGAGGAAAAAAGTGAGATATTGCCTCAGATATTCTGAGCATATTTTATAGAGAAAGGATATAGGAGTTTTTGAATGATGATAGATACAGAATCCTATTCTTATCTTCAAATGAATAGTTGTTTAATGTGTTTTCTTTGTGATAACTGAAAATGAGATTATGCCTTTTCATTTTGTGACCAGCATAGATATTTTTCTGCCTTGGTAGAGTTTCCAGTTTTAAAAGTTAGCTTTTTAAAAAGACTATCAATGCATGACTATACAACTTCAGTTTTATTTAAAGTATATTGCTCCAGAGAAGGCGTGAACACACAATGATTAATTTTTGGTGACCAGTTTGAGCCGAGTTTTTCCTTTTCACTCATGAGGAAGAGAATGCTGCAACCTATCACAGAACTATGCATAACAAATGTAAACAGAAGTCAAATGGCAGTTTGTGACTGCAGCCAGGTACAACTGTCACAAACCAACCTTTGCAAACACGTTTATTTATATGGGGAGTAGGGTAGATGGAAGCGTCTTTGTTCAACACAGTGTTTCTAAGACAGAAATGATATGCTTCATGACTGGAAAATACATGGAAAAGTAAATTCAGGGCTTGAATTTTGTTAGATGATTGAATAATTTTACTATTTTTGCCTATATATTGATTTCTCTAAAACTGTGACTTTCTTAAGGCTACATACCATTTGACTCATCACTGGAGTGTGCAGATTACTTAAGGAACTACAATGCGTGCATTCATTCAGTGTATATTTTTTGAGTACCTGTTATGTTCCAGGCACTGTGTTAGGTGATGGGAACAGAATAGTGAATGAGAGAGGGGAGGAAGAGAGGCCCCTACCCCAGGTGATGAGGTTGTAATCTGATTCATAAATTTAGAAGGAAGAATCAAGCATATACAACTCAACGCCTTCTTCTATTTGGGATCAGGCTACCGGCAGAGAGCATGTTTTGTGATCTATCTTTTGCCATGAGGTAATAGGGGTTTTTATCTAGAAAGAGACACCTGAAGTTGCCTACCTAATGACTGGGTAAGTAAGATTCCTAAATCAGGAATGAATATTAGTATGCCCATTTGGTGTCATGCCTAAGATTTCTTTTTCTCTAATTATTCTCATCACCAGGAAAGTTAACACTTTATCTCTCTGACTCCTAAGTCTGTCCCTTACGGTATAGCCTATTGTTCTTAGGCTACAAACCTGCTACTGTACTGCATACAGTATGTTATTTGTACAGCATGTTACTGCACTGAATACTGTAGGCAATTGTAACAACACAGAAGTATTTGTGCATCTAAACATAGCTAAATATAGAAGAGGTACAGTAAAAATAAGGTAGTAATATTGATTCCTCAAAACACCAAGATCTGCTACTAACTAGCAGGATGACCTATGGCAAATTACTTAACCTCTGAGTTTCTTTTTTTGTAAAATAAGGCTAGGAAGTGAGTCCTAAAATCCTGGGCTGCTCAAATATTCTGTGATTTTATGATTGTTTCTAGTAGGAACTTTTTAAAATTTTAAATGATTTAAATTATCTTTCACTATTGAGAGTTCAGAAAATTTTCAGCTCTATAACTTGTTATTGGTTATGCAGTGCAAGTATTTAGGATTGTGGTCAAATCTGGGAAAATATTTATCAAATCAAGTTTCTTTCACCTACAAACTGTTTTATATATATATATATATATATACACACATATATATGTGTATATATATATACATATACCTGTTTTTTGTTGTATTGCCACAGGATCTGCCTACAAACAGAAATTCTGATAAATTTCATTTTACATACCTTTTCATAAATTCTTTGTGATTTCCTACATAAATAATCAGGTCATTTTGGTATAAAGAAAATTATTTCCTTTCTTTCCAACCTGTATTCCTTTGCAGACATCCTTGCCTCATTTCCTATCTTAAAAGAAAGCATTTGTTTTTTCATGATTGAGTATGATTTTACCTAAAGATATTTTGTAGATGTAATTTATCTGCTTGAGGAAGTTTTCTTGTGTTCCTAGTTTGCAGAGAGTCTGTCATTGATGAATATTCAATTTAGACAAATGTTTTCTCTGCATCTAGGCAGATCAATATATGGTTTTTCCTATTAGTGTATGGACATGGTGAATTATGTTGATTGATTCTTTAAAAATTGAACCAACTATATTCCTGGGATGAACCCAACTTTATCATGATGATATAGGAGGATTTGGCTTGCTAATATTTTGTTATAGATTTTCTTGATATACATGAGAGATATTGGTCTGTGGTTTTGGTATCAGAGTAATGCTGGCTTCATAAAATGTGTTGGAAAGGGTTCCCACATCTACGTTCTGAAATATTTTGTGTAAAATTTGTATTGTTTCTTCCTTAAATGTTTAATAAAATTCATCAATAAGAACTTTTTAAAATATAAATTCAATTTATTTAAAAGGTATAGGGCTTTTCAGATTATCATCTTTTCTTGAGAGAGCTTTGGAATTTTGTGCCTTCTAGTTAGTTTATCCATTTCATCTAAAGTGTCAAATTTATGTATATGAGGTAGTAGAAATGTAGAAGGTGGGTAATAGTTTTTCATTATTCTTATAAAGTTTGTAGGATCTATGCCAATGATTTCTCTTTCATTCCTGAAATTGGTAATTTATAATTTGTGTCTTCTCTGGCTTGAGAGTTTTTTTCTTTCTTCCTTTTCAATACAGTCATGCATTGCTTAATGTTGGGGATATGTTCTGAGAAATGTGTTGTTAGGCAATTTTGTAATTTTGTCAACTGCATGAACATCAGAGAGTGTGACTATCACACAAACTTAGATGGTACAGCCTACTATACACCTAGGCTATGTGGTATAGCCTATTGTTTCTAGGCTACAAACCTGTTACTATACTAAATACAGTATATTACTGCACAGCACGTTATGGCACTGAATACTGTAGGCAATTATAACACAGTAGTATTTGTGTGTCTAAACATAGCTAAATGTAGAAAAGGTACAGTAAAAATAAGATATAAAGGATTAAACAGTGATGTAACCGTATAGGGCACTTGCCATGAATGGAGCTTGCAGGACTGGAAGTTGCTCTAGGGGAGTGAGGTGGGTGAGAGTAGTGAGTGAATGTGATGGCCTGGGACTTTATTGTACACTACCATAGATTTTATAAACATTGTACACTTAGGCTACACTAAATTTATTTTTAAAATTTCTTCAATAATAAATTCACTTATTGTAACATTTTGATTTTATAAACTTTTTAATTTTTAAAAACTTTTTGGCTGTTTTGTAATAACATTTAGCTTAAAACACACATTGTACAGATGTCCAAAAGCATTTTCTTTCTTATATCTTTATTCTGTAAGCTTTTTTCTATTTTTTACAATTTTATTTATTTATTTATTTTTACTTTTTAAACATTTTTGTTAAAAACTAAGACAAAAACACATTATTTTAAGCCTATGCAGGTTCACGATTATCAAGATGTCAGCAGGCAATGGAAATTTTTCAGCTCCATTACAATCTTATGGTATCGCTATCATATATGTGACCTGTCATTGAACAAAATGTCATTATTCAGCACATGACTGTATTTTAAAGATAATGCTCCACTCTCTTTTAGTTTGCATAGTTATTGACAAGAAGTCTACTGTCATTCTCATTTTGTTTCACTGTATGGAGTGAGTCCTATTCTGGCTGCCTTTAAGGTGCTCTCTTTATTTTTGGTTTACAGCACTTCAAGTAAGATGTGCTTAGTTTTATTTTCCTTTGTATGTATCATCCATGGATTTCCCTTTGTATGTAACATCCATGGATTTCTTTGGGATTCTTGGATCTGTGGTTTGTTTTCTTTCAATAATTTGAGAAAATTCTTCTCTAGAACTCATAAGTGAGTTTAGCAAAGTTAGGACACAATTTTGAAAAGGAAGAGTAAAGTTGAAGGAATCATACTTCCTGGTTTTAAGATTATATATGAACCTACCGTAATAAAGCAGTGTATTAGAGGAAGAATACACTGCTATAGATCTATAGATCAATTGAACATGACAGAGTGTCCAGATACTAAATCAGAATCTGCATTTTAACAAGATTCCCAGGTAATTCCTATTTACATTTCGATTTTGAGGAGCACTAGGCTAGAACAAGAAGAATCAATGGTGTTAATAATGATAGAAATGATCTTATGTTAGCTCACATCTCTTAAAATAACCCCACCATTCTCTACCTCCTCAAGTCCCAGACTTTGGTGTTATTATAGATTATTCTCTTTCCTTCACCGCTGCCTCCAAGATCACATCACCAGCAAGTCCTTTTGGTTCATACCACCCAAACAGGTCTCAATTCATCCATGTTCCTCTCCCATGGACACCTTATTGCAAGCTGCCATTTTCTCTTCCTTGAACTATCATGGCCTCCTAATGTCCTTACTTCCTCTCTCCTCCCATAGACAATTTACGAAACATTCAGAATGATCTTAACGGAGTTTATGCTCTAGGAAGGAAGACAGAAAATAAACACATAAGTAAATAAATTAAAACCATTATTAATTATGATAAATGAGATGAAGGAAATCAACACAATGATGTGATAAGCAGAGATGAGGCCATGAGTCTCCTGTAGATGGTAAGTACCTTAATCTGCTCAGGCCATCCCTCATAACAAAGCACCATAGAGTCATGGCTTAAACAGCAGACTTTTATTTTCTCACAGTTCTGCATGTTAGAAGTCCAAGATCAAGGTGCTATCAGGGGAGGTGTCCAGCGAGGCCTCTCTTCTTGGCTTGTAGATGGCTGCCCTCTTGCCATGCTCACACATGGCCTTTCCTCTGTGCTTGTGTGGGAAGGGAGGGAGGGAGGGGAAGAAATCTCTCTGATGTCTTCTCCTCCTCCTCCTTCTCCTTATTCCCCTTCCCCTTCTTCCTTCTCCTCCTCCTCCTTTCCTTCCTTCCTTCCTTCCTCCCTTCCTTCCTTCCTTCCTCTCTCTCTTTCTTTCTTCTTTCTTCTTTTCTTGCTCTGTCTCCCAGGATGCAGTGGTGTGAACACTCTTCACTGCAATCTCACCTTCATAGACTCAAGGAATCCTCGTACCTCATCCTCCTGAGTAGCTGGAACTACAGGCATGCTTCACCATGCATGCCTATTTCTTAATTTTTTTTGGTAGAGATGAGGTCTTATCATGTTCAGCCCAGGCTGGTCTCAAACTCCTGGGCTCAAGCAATCCTCACACCTTGGCCTCCCACGGTGCTAGGATTACAGGCATGAGCCACCACACCCAGCCTCTTCATTTTCTTATAAGAAACACCACTCCTATTGGATTGGCCACCTCCCTCCACCCCATGACCTCATTTAACTTTAATTATCTCCCTGAAGACCCTACCTCCAAATGCAGTCCCATTGGGGGTTAGGACCTCAACATAAGAGCTGGGGGTGGGTTGGGGGAGACAAAATTCAGTGTCTAACAAGAAGGTTGGGAAGGCCCCTCTGTCGAGGTGGCATCTGAAGTTTAAGGTGGAACCTGACATGTGAAGAACCAGAAAAAGAGAAACACAGGCAGAGGGAACCCATGGACCAGAGGCAACTTTAAGTACTGGATTTTTGGGTTATCAGGAAAAAAAAAAAACAAAAACAGTAAGTCAGTCCAGTATTTCTAGCCTGATCAGAGGTGAGACTTTAATGTCAGACCTATCCTCTTCAGATTTCTACTCAAAAACCGCTCCACTAGCATTTGAAAGTGGCATTCAGACAAGATCAGAAAGAATACAAAGAGACTAATTACTAGCAGGTTGGAATTGTAGCTTTACTTCCAATCCAAAACTAACACTTCTCACTGAAACCGGTTTGCTTAAAAGCTGCCTATGCGAAGGATGAATTCTTGAGAAGTCTCATCAAGTATTTAGTGGATATATGCCTGCTCCATTGATGGTGATTTGAAAACATTATCCAATTATACTATGAAGAAAACATTTCTCAGAATGTTCTAAAGGTCACATTGGCTGATGTACAAGGAGATTCTTACTCTAAGTCTTTCTTTCTAAGTCAACTGAAAAGTATTTGACATCACGTGTCGGCAAAGTCCTCTTAGGGGTTGCCAGTTGCTTTCTGCGGCAGCTTTCCGCTGTTTACCCAAGCAACAAGACCGGCAGATTATGGTTTGAGACATGCTCCAAGGCAGGAGTGGGGAATGTGAAACATTGAAATCCTTCCACGTGTATTCAACCACACCCCGTTTTCATTACCTCCAAGCAGGGAGGTGAACAGAGAACTACTACATAGAACAATAGGCATGATTTGTGCTTGATTCACTCTTTCCCACCTCAGACAGTGTAATTATCACATGCATCAGAGAGCCGTAGACAAGCACTTTCCCAGTTCAGGTGCAAGAAACCGTCCCTTTTATAACAGGCCTTTAGGGACTGAAGTCTTAGCCTAATCTGTTTAGTACTTTTGTGTAAACATCCTTTGTAGCAATCATCTGACCAAGAATTATATTTGTAAAAATTATATTAAATCTCTTTATTGTGCATAGTTTGAGAAAAAGAAATAAAAAAATACTATATGTTCTATTACCAACGGATGGGTTATATTCTTGTCTGATGGATTGTGTATGTCACACTCCTTTGGTAAACAGTATCGTTGGTTGGTTTCCTCAAGTAATGGCCAAGGAAAACTAAAATTTAACTTTCTTTACATTGCATTCAATGCTGATTGTACTTCTATAAATGTAAAATAGGGCCGGTCACGGTGGTTCATGCCTGTAATCCCAACTCTTTGGGAGGCTGAGGAGGGCCGATCACCTGAGTTCAGGAGTTTGAGACCAGACTGACCAACATGGTGAAACCCTGTTTCTACTAAAAATACAAAAGTAGCCAGGCATGGTGGTGCATGCCTATAATCCCAGCTACTCAGGAGGCTGAGGCAGGAGAATCACTTGAACCCGGGAGGTGGAGGTTGCAAAGAGCCAAGATCACGCCATTGCACTGCACCATGGGCAACAAGAGTGAAACAGGAAAGGAAAGGAAAGGAAAGGAAAGGAAAGGAAAGGAAAGGAAAGGAAAGGAAAGGAAAGGAAAGGAAAGGGGAAAGGAAAGGAAAGGAAAGGAAAGGAAAGGAAAGGAAAGGAAAGGAAAGGAAAGGAAAGGAAAGGAAGAAGAGAAAGGAGAGAAACAGAGAAAGAAAGAAAGGAAAGAAAGGAAAAGAAAAGAAATAAAAGAAAAGAAAGAAACTAGGTATGTTGCTCATCTAGTGCTCCATGATTTAACTTGTACTTGTGGTTTAATTTGCCTTTAACTGGCAAAATTGAAAGAAACTTTTAAAAAAATCTCTGAAAATCTATTTGATTATAGCTTTTACAATTATAGCAAAGAAATAATCTTATATTTTCCTTCATATGATGTGTAAAAATGTCTACTTACACATGAACATAAACTTTTAAAATATGAGTATGTATGTTAAAATAATATGTATGTTTATTTCCACTCAGCTTCTTTTTAATGAACTGTAATTTTCTATTAAAATCCTTAAGAATCATTTAAGTAATAGTGAGGCAGTTTACCTTACAACTACCACTGTGGAATAATAGATTTTAAATGACGATTATTTAGTTGAAATATCCACTTGCTGTAAATGTTTTCAACAAACCTGTATATTCTTCTTGGCTTTCTCCAAGGACTCATTTTGGGATCTTTTTCTGCTTTTGGTTTGTACTAATAATCTTTTTTCTTACAAATAATTCCAAGTTTACTTTAATACAGATGGTATTTGTCCATAGCCAAAAACCCTTTCCAAAATGCGCCCTAGCTCAATAAACTAGTTTAAAAAGCATCTTCAATAAAAATAAACATCAAAACAGAGATTAACAGGAATCAAAACCCCTAAGATCATCATGACTGGCTGCTTTCACTTCACTAGTTCTAGTTTTCTTCTTCTTTATTGTGGAATACAAATGCTGTAAGAAATAGAAAATTGATTGCATGACCATATACATGATTTAATGGTACATGGTAACTTGAACGACTGCCACCTATATTGTATTAAAAACAAGATATTGCACATGTCTCTAAACTATGCCAGATAAAAATAATGACTGAGTTTAATACGGTTTAGATTACCAAGTATGGGATAGCTTACGCTGAAACCCTAGTCAGTAGGTTGAATAGAGAAGAAAAATTATTTTTCTGAATTCAGAATTTGTCTTTAGATTTTATATTGGCATAAAGTTATGTTTTAAATGCTATCATTAATGCTTACTATTTGGCAAGGACTGAACTAGATATCAGTGATATAATAGTGAACAAAAAATATATAGATTCTACAACCATTAATTAAAATAAACATTGGAAAACAGTTTAATTTATATTCATCTTTTATCAACTACATGGTCACTGAATTGGAAGATTTGTCACTTGATAAGGAAGATTGTTATTAGAATTTAAGAAAATAAAGAGCAGATTTTATTTCAGGAATAATGTGCTAAAGTAACCATGTTAGGTTGTTCTGAACATGTACTGCCACCCAATGGAGATGTGTCCAAATGACACCAGTCATTTGGAGGTTTGGAGACTGCACATTCTTTTGGGGGAATACACCTGTGGCAAATCATTCAGCATAGCTGAGTTTTGTCCAGATTGAGCTGGATTGCCCTAGGTGAGGGGGAGGAGAAGGGAAGCTTCAGCTAAAAGCATTTTCTTCTCTAATCCCAGCAAAAAAGAAAGGCTCATTCAAAATCTGATCTGAGGTGATTATAGTGAAAAAGTAAAATTGCCTGTGAATAGCTCATATTTCAAATAATGCTACCATCTAATAGACTATCAACGTGCTAACGATAACTTTTCCACATAACATAGAAATTGCAGTGTGAGGAATTGAGTTTGGGAGAAACCACTGGAGTAGACCACAGTTTTTCTGGTCTGCAGGTCTCTAAATTTCAGCCCGAATCCTTATTTATGGAGAGTAATTTGTAAGGTTCTGGACTGCTCCAAAGGAGGGATAGACTAGAGGGTTCCTCGAGATTCCTTCCTCCCTAATTATTGCACTGTCAGTGTCATTGTTCAAACCTCTGACAAAAATATTTTATACAGAATAATGTAATTCACCTCCAAAGTTCTTAAAATCACTGGTATGTTAGATGCAAGTGAGGTTGTCTATAGCCAAAAAAGACGTTGAAATGGCCCAGACTTTTTCACATTTTTCTTGACCCAGACCCTGAGATAGCCAGCATATTGTCCCATGGCAAGTTTTGAAATAAGAAGGTGCCCCAATATCAAAGACTTTCTTTGTTTAAGAAATCTAGCATTCAGGAACAGTTAATTTCCAGTGTAATGAAAACGTGTTACAAAGGCTCTTTATGTTCCAAAGACCACTTCTGCTTTTCACATAGGCAAAATTTACAGAGGGTTTAGGACAATTGTAGGGCACCCTAGCACATAGGAATCAGTGGAACTTTAGCTGTTAAGAAGGCCTAATTTTAGTAATATCCTCCTGAAATGCTGAAAATTTGTCTAAGGCAGCAATCGCCTTACTGAATCGATCATTTGATAATCCTAACACTCAGGGCTTTAAAGGGAATAATTATCTAGTAATACATCATATAACAATTCAAGTTACATTATGAAATGTGACAAGAGAGATTAAACTGGTTTAATGAAAAACAACATGGTAAAATTTTTGTATATATTTTCTAAACAAGTGATTTAAAGCCATGCTTTGTGTAGGCTTTGCAGAGTATTTCCATGTATTGAGTGTCAGAAATGATAAGCATCATTTAGTCACTCAACAAACACCTATTGCATACTTACCCTATTCTCTGTGTTGATGCCTTGCATGTACTTTGTATATAAACATAAATAAAAAGAGAATTTCTGCCCAGTGTGGGAGAAGCACTGCTATGGCTTGATCAGCATGCTCTGACTTGAGGTGTAGGACAGAAGTTAGTTCAAAATATGAATTCCATCTTACTGGATGGAGGAGTGATGGGGCATTATATCAGCTGATCATCAAGTGAACTAATACACTGTGGCTGTAACAAGAAACCAGTCTTTTCCATTGAAAAATAAGTATTAAATTTTTAACAAAAATTGTGTCAGGGACAGCATCTTTTAGCCAGAATAAAGTTTGTGCAATCAAGTCAGATTATTTTAATTATAATACTCTACTAAAATATTATAAATGTTGCACTATGAAAGATACATAGTGATATTCTAATGACAAATTAAACACATGGGAATGCAATTGCTCGCTGAATCCTCAATGATAAGTTTGTCTCAAAGGAAGTTGCTAGAGGGCTACAGGGGAATGGAGACACTAATCAAGATAAGGGCTCTTCTGTCTCTCTTGCAATTTACTGGGATTGAGAATCGCTGAAGAAGGGCATGTAAATCTCAACTCTCCTTTTGACTTGCCTGAATCACAAAAGGATCTATCCCATTTCCTATTTGTCTTATTCTTGGCCAAATTCTCCAAGTGCAGAAGTCACTTCTGTCTCTCTTAATTCTTACAAGCTCCTTAGGGTACCAGTTAGCAAAGTAGCTCTTACATTAATAGCTCTCAAATGACCTGGGAGTTGAAAACCTTCCAAAATTGCCCAACTAACTCCCAAGCAGTAATTTATGAATAGGAAGTCACTGGTTTTGATCTATAGATCAGAAGATGAGTGGACTAATAAATATCTTCATAAACTGTTCATATTTTAGATCTTTATTTTCAGGGCTAAGGTTAACTTCAATTTGCCTCATTTTATTCCATTATCCCTAACTTTATCATCCTTCATGAATAACATCAACCACACATCCACTGTTTGCAGAACTCTAAGTCTTCCTTCTAGTTTTCTAATCCCTTTTAAGGGAGACATTTTGTTTTCTTTTGACATAATTTATATCTGTTCCTCTCCACTCCAGTAGACTGAGAAAACAATGTGTTCTGTGGGGGAGAAATATTTAATGTGAAAAGTTTCTATTCTGTGACCTCATCTGGACTTTGTAATTAAGACTGTATACAATAAAACTTGATTATTTTAGAGGATTAAAAGGAATGATGCTTAGAATTAATTCATTTATGATAAACCAGTGCTTTATGAATGAACAAAAACACAACTAATTAATGAAGGTATAGAAGTGGTTCAAAAACCATGTCATATTTGATGTGGCTCTTAGTAATATAACAAAAACAGATATTTTCAGTATCTGAGATTTCTCCAGAGCCACCCTCCTTCTCCACTTCCCACAGGCCTACTCACAGAAATCATCTTGCTCTTTATTTCGATTTTGAGGCTTTTCCTGTGTCTTTAAGACCATGCAATGTTTCTTGTTTATCTGTTCCTTCCTGTGGTCATTGCCCAATGACACCAGGTCCAGCCAACTTTCATCCACAAGGGTCTAGATTTGCCCACAGCTATGTCTCCCAACTGTCCCTGGTTTCTGTTCTCAGTTCTGTTCTCTGTGTCCTCAGCTGCAGCTTGTTCCTGGAACTGTTCCCAGTTTTAGGAACTAGCCAGGAGAAGCTGACCCACAAGACAGAGACTTCCCCAACTTTCTCCAGCTGTCTCTGGACCTGTGGGGCTGTTGTGGTAGGCAGCAGGGGCATGTCAATCCCCAGCAATGTTCTTTCACTCTCATATAGGTGTTGGCCTCTTTATTCTTTACAATTACCCAGTGAAGTAGGTAATCTTTTTATAGGAAAGGAAACTGAGGTTTCCAGAGGTTAAATCACATGTCCGCAGTGGCACAGCTAGTGAGAGTCAGAGCCAGGATTTTTACTCATATATGCCTGACTCCAGCAATCATGCTACTAATCAATCACTATAGGCCACTGCATCCTAGCCACCCGAACATTGAAACAGTAGCCATGACATTCAGGATTCCCAGCTAAGACAAGTGAAATGCAATCAAAATGACTATCCCATTATATTTTATTTATTTGAAATTTAAAGCCTCTTGAGTTTAACATATAAAAGTACAGTTGAGTAGTTATATGCCAGGTACTGGTTCAAGTACTTTACACGTATTTTCTCGTTTAAGTCTCACAATCATCGTATAAAAAAGGTAGGCACTGGTATTCTTTGCATTGAAAAAACTTGAAAACAGAGGTACAGCATTGGGTTTAAATAATTCACCCCAATTTAGAGATCTGGGAAGAGCTGAGAGTTGAACTAGGTATCTCTTATCCACTGTACTTTACTGGTTTTGATAGAATTTCACTGCTTCCCTTATAAGTGCTTTCTATGAATAGGCATTATGCAGTGTTATTTATGCATTACGTGTAAGTCTTTGCATGTTCCCTGAGAGGTAGTACTATTATCCACTTTTGACAGCTGAAGAAATCAAGCATAAGAAACTTTCAGTAATACCTGGGTAGAACGGAGTAGAACTAGGATTTGAACCTAGATCTGACTGATTTCAAAGTTAATGTTTATAGAAAAATACAAAAAAATAAACAATGGCTCCCAGATAACTTTGAAAATGACTAGAGAGGGGATTTTTTTAAACAAAAACTTCCTCCATTTCTCTGGCAAGCTCATTCATCCTACATTTTGCTTGAGGTCTCTACATTACTTCTGTTCATGAGTAGCATTCTTTGGAAGATACAGTATTTGAATCATAAAAAAATATTTATTGGACTGGATTCTGCCAATTGGTCATAGTTAAATAGTTGTGGCATTAGCATTTTATTTTTACCTTCTATTTGAGGGATTAAATTATCCACTTTAATGTTTTGACTCTTAATTGCACATAGGTTGACTGTCACAGGCAGACCATTAAAATGTCTGTCACCCACCACCTACTCCATCTTCCTGGAGTCCAGAAAGCTTTCTATTGTGACTAGCTTCCAATCACCTGAGGCTATCTAATAGCTCTGGCTAATGCAATTCTCCTGGCTTTTCTGGAAGTGCCACCAGCTCATTTTCTGGTGTTATTAGAGTGGTCTCACATGGTCATTGACCTGATATGCCCCCCGGTCATCTTGTTACAACCTTCTCAGTTTCAAACTCTGCCTTGAAGAATATTTGTAAATATGTAAAATTTGAATCTCCACACTTGGAAGTGGCAGATCCTGTTTGGGAATGAACAGTACTCTGATTTTTGTTACTTGCTTGTTTTTTTTTTTTTCTCTCCCTTCAGGCCAGATTTTGGACAATTTCCCAGTTTCATATTATAATTCCCAGTTGTATCGGCATTCATGTTTCCAAGTTGAATCTCATTTCATGATTTTCTGCCATATTTCTAGCTTCTCTTTTCCATGGTGCATTACATCCTCTATCATTACAATTTTTAAACAGCTGCCAATGTAGCACATTTATCATATTAGCAAGGGATACTATTTACCCCCTACCCTCTAACAGGCCACGAATAAAGATATTAAATTAACCTGGTTTTATTCCAATACCATAGAGAACTTACTGGACAACTTCCCCTGTCTGGGGATGGCCATTTATCACTGCTTTTGGATGCGGTACTCTGGCGTGTTTTCAGCTCATGTGACAGCACTTCCATATGAATAAATCTTATGGAACATTCAAGGGAGATTTTTGTTTTGCAATATATTAGCAGTGCTATTCAAGGTTGGTTCTATTAGATCTACTGAATTTTTTCCTTCACACTAATTTTGGTAATTCCTTCAAAAGAGGGATTAAGTGTGCCTGGCATTATGCACACTGTATTTTGTTTAGAGTTGAATTATCCCAGATGTTCAGAATCAACAGCTGTGGGCATATTGAAGGAGAAAAGTAAGATATTCCCAGGCACCCCATTATGTGCATAAATGCTGGAAGTTGATGACTATGAATATATATATACACACACATACATATAAATCTGCCTATATACATTCATAGATGTGCTTTGTTGGAATGAGCATATGGTGGTGTGTGAAGCTGAGCGACTCAAGAGAGAAAGCACTAACCAGATTGTCTAGAGAGATGGCTTCTACTCCAGGCTCCGAGTCTATATAGCTGCTTGATAAACTTTAATAAAATTCATCTTGTGAAGCCTTATATGTGAAATTTCTAGGTGGGCCAAAATTATCTCTAATGTCTAATGCAGCATCTAAATGTATGACTGCATATCTTTTCTCTTTTAATTTTCAATTTTTTTGTATCAGAATAAGCAATATTTTTTTTGAGATCGACCAGGTAAAGTCATGTGTTACATCCAACTCTGTGTCTTTTTTGCAGCACCAGATTAGGGTATTCAGGCTTCTTTTGTACACACTCAGAAAATGTTTGATTTTGGAACCAAACTATAGTGTAGGAAGAAGGAAGGAGTTGCCAATACAGAACAGAGGACCTGCATCACATACCCTGGGCTGGAAAATTCACCCTTAATTTTGCTTCTAGAGTTTCTGAATAAAAAAGAAACAGCAACATTCTTGCCTCTGCAGAGCTCCTGCATTAGAGACTCACAGAGTCATGGACATTGAAGGATATCCAAAGGTCATGTAGCTCAGTCTCTCATTTTAGGAAGCTTCAGTTTCTTTAACTTCCAGTGCAGGACTCTTTCCTCTGCATAGAGTGGTGGAAAGGTCAAGAGTTCATAGCATAAGTGTGGCCCTATCTTCAAATTCCACTCAGAACAGAGGCCAGGAACCTGCCTCACATAGCTGGGTAAGTAAAAGGCACAAAGAGGGGTCTCAGAGACCCTCCACAGCTTGGGGGAGCGGGGAAAAATGACAAGGCCAACCAACTTTTCTCTCTCTACACCCTCTCCAAAACCACAGCCAGGGATTTTGCCCTCTGCCCTTGTCCTTTGTCCTTCTGTTTTTACCAGTTATTAATTCACAATTTAAAGGTAGACAAATGGCCCTGACCACCCCTCCTGGTACTGCTTGCAGAGCTTGAGTCCAGTGCAAACAAAGGTGAGGCAACATGAGAAACTGAGAGGACGTGTTCCCCCAAAGCACAAGAGAGTTGCAAAGTTGTTTATTCACAGAAGCACTAAAACCAAAGAAAAGTATGTGTTTTATTTAATCAAAGGCATGTCATTTGAAAGCCAAGTTTCCCAGGGTAAATTATGTCCATTCCTATTACCAATGAAATGTATCCACCCTTTAATTAAATCATCTGCAACACATGAAGTAATGAGACACTGAATATTTCAAAAACTATACAAATGTTTTGTGATCACTGGATCCTAAAAACAGCTTCATAAGCAATCAAATGTACTAAAAAAAGAGAAATAATCTTCCATTTTCATAAAAATTTATAACTGCATAGAAAGGTGACTGGGAGAAGAATATTTACCAAAATATAAAGGGTTGTAAAATTTTGGTTGAGTTTTACTTTCTCTTTAAGCTTTCTGGGTATGGCTTACATAGTCTAAGTAAAATTTATCATTGTAATTTTAAAAAAGTTAGTTTCATTCAGACATATTAATACAGAGCTACCTTTGAAGTATGCATAGAATCCTTGAGCTGGTGGTTCATGGCAAGTGCCTCCATCTCCCCGTCTATTTCAATCTTTTCTTAAACCTCCATTATCTGGTTTCTCTTCAATCCCACTCTGATGGGACTTTCTTATGGATACTACCAATGATTTTCCTTTTTAAATACCTGATGTTATTTTATGTGCCTTAACTTCTGAATTCCTATAGTTCAGAAACCAGCTGGCCATGTATTCCTTGAATATTTCTTCCCATGATTTTCAATCACACTGACATTTCTCTTTCTCCATCCTATGTGAACATTCCTTCTCTGTGCTATCACTGCATGGTAGCGATATTTTTTTCCTTTCTCTTCACTCTCTTCTTTGGTGAGCCCATCAGCTTCCCTGTTTCTAACCACTCAAAATTCCACCACATGGAAATTGAGAGTCCTCTAGGTGCCAGGCGTTGTGTTCAGATGTGAATTCATCAGAGATAAGATACAGTATCCTCGGCCGGGCGCGGTGGCTCACGCCTGTAATCCCAGCACTTTGGGAGGCCGAGGCGGGCGGATCACGAGGTCAGGAGATCGAGACCATCCCGGCTAACACGGTGAAACCCCGTCTCTACTAAAAATACAAAAAATTAGCCGGGCGTAGTGGCGGGCGCCTGTAGTCCCAGCTACTCGGGAGGCTGAGGCAGGAGAATGGCGTGAACCCGGGAGGCGGAGCTTGCAGAGAGCCGAGATCCCGCCACTGCACTCCAGCCTGGGCGACAGAGCGAGACTCCGTCTCAAAAAAAAAAAAAAAAAAAAAAAAAAGATACAGTATCCTCAGGGAACTCACAAAAAGAAGACAATATAAATTATGCAACTCGCTAAGTTTAAAGGTAGAGTCAAACAGAGAAATGCAATGAAACAGTATCATTCAGCCTAGAAAGCAGGAAAAGACTTCCTCAAAGAATGGTCAGTGGTTTCAGACACAGTACAGTGCGAGCCTAGGCACAAAGACATGAGACAGCACAAGGTGCATGGGGACCTGTGAGCAGCCTGGTGTCAATGGACAAGCCTGCAAGGAAGGAATGCTGTGATAGTTAATATTGAGTATCAACTTGATTGGATTGAAGGATGCAAAGTATTGATCCTGGGTGTGTCTGTGAGGGTGTTGCCCAAGGAGATTAACATTTGAGTCAGTGGACTGGGAGAGGCATACCCACCCTCAGCCTGGGTGGGCACCATCTAATTAGCTGCCAGCATAAAAGCAGGCATTGAAAGAGCAAACTGGCTGAGTCTTCTGGCCTCTATCTTTCTCCTATGCTGATGCTTCCTGCCCTTGAACATCAGACTCCATGTTCTTCAGCTTTTGAACTTTTGGACTTACATTTGGTTTGCCAGGGTGTCTCGAGCCTTCAGCCACAGACTGAAGGCTGCACGGTTGGTTTCCCTGTTTTCGAGGTTTTGGGACTTGAACTGGCTTCCTGGATCCTCAGCTTCCAGACAGCCTATTGTGAGACTTCATCTTGTGATTGTGTGAGTCAATTCTCCTAACAAACTCCCCTTCACAAATTCATCTATTCTATTAGTTCTGTCCCTTTAGAGAACCCTAATACAAATGCCCATAAAGGGCAAACAATGGAGGGCCTTGTAGAATGTGCCAGTGCTGTGGACTGAATTGTGTCCCTCTGAGATTCATATGTTGAATCCCTAAGCCCCTAAGTGACTGTGTTTGGAGATGGGACCTTAATGGAAGCAATTAAGGTTAAATAAATGACATTGTAAGGGTAGGGCCCTGATCTGATGGGATTTGTATCCTTAGAAGAAGAGATAGTAGAGAGCTTGCTTTCTCTCTCTCTCTTGCTTTCTCTCTCTCTCTCTCTCTCTCTCTGCCATGTGAGGACTCAAGGAGGAGGTGGCCATCTGCAGGTCAGGAAGACAGTCCTCATCAGAACGTGACCATATTGGCATCTGATCTTGTATTTCCAGCCTCCAGAACTGTGAGAAAATAAAGTTCTGTTGCTTAAGGCACACAGTCTGTGGTATTTTTTTCTGACAGCCTGAGCTGACTAATCAAGCCAGGCAGTCTGGACTTGATCTTGCAGACCAGGGATTCTCCACAGGGAACTACTGCTGCCATGAGCATTTTGGAAATTTGAGAGACGGTTGTTGTTGTAGTTGTTTTGGCTGTCACAAAGATGTCCAGGTGCTATTGCCATTTACTGGGTAGAGGTCAATGGTGCTAGACGCCTTCCCCTTCATGGGGAATCCTCATGCAAAGAAGAAATGTTTCACCTTGGCCAGACATTTGTATAGGTGAAAAACCTGTTTATCATGAACTGGGTCCAGAACAAAACTTTATTTTACCTAAAAAATACCAAGTGTTTTTATATCATTTACTATACACTGAAGTTTACTATACACAGAATATCACTATTCTGTAAATTGAAGGAAAGGTTTTTTGTTTTTTTTTTTTGTAAGTTGAACTCTGTTTAATGTACTAGGAAAGACTTTTTTTTTTTTTTTTGATCTTGCTCTGTCACCCAGGCTGGAGTGCCATGGTGCAATCTCAGCTCACTGCAACCTTCTGCCTCCTGGGTTCAAGCAATTCTCCTGCCTCAGCCCCCTGCGTAGCTGGGATTACAGGCGCGTGCCACCACGCCCAGCTAATTTTTGTATTTTTAGTAGAGATAGGGTTTCACCACATTGGTCAGGCTGGTCTCAAACTCCTGACCTCATGATCTGCCCGCCTCGGCCTCCCAAAGTGCTGGGATTACAGGCATGAGCCACTGTGCCCAGCCGGAATGACTATTATTTAAAGGAAAAATATGTGGAATGTTTTCTGTAAGATTAGGATACAGTTCTTAATATATCTATTTTTCAGTTTTTTCCATTATGGTCAAATACCCATAACATAAACATTACCATCTTAATTTTCAAGTATACATTCAGTAACATTCAACACAGTACATTCACAATGTGGAGCAACCATCGTTAACATCTGTCACCACAACTCTTTTCATCTTGCGAAAATGAAACTCCATACCCGTTAAATGTAACTCCTCATTCTCCCTTTCTTTCAGCCTTTAGCAACCACCATTCCACTTTGTTTCTATGATTTTGAGTACTCTAAGTATCTCACATAGGTTAAATCATACAAATTTGTCTTTTTGTAATTGGCATATTTATTTTAGTATAGTGTCCTCAACGTTCACCTACATTGTAGCATATGTCAGAAATTTCTTTCTTAAGGCTGAATAATATTCCATTGTATGTGTATATCACATTTTGCTTATCCATTTATCCATCAATGGACCATGGCTTAGTTCACATTTTAGCTATTGTGAATAATGCTGCTATGAACATGGGCATACACATATTCCTTTAAGACTCTGCTTTCAATGCTTTTGGTATGTACCCAGAAGTGAAATTGCTAGATCATATAGTAATTTTTTGAGGAATCACTATGCTGTTTTCCATAGAGGTTCAACTATTTCACGTTTTCACCAACAGTGCACAAAGATTCATATTTCTCCATGTCCTTGCCAATATGTGTTATTTTCCTTTTTCTTTCTTCTTCTTTTTTTTTTTTTTTTGGAGACAAGAGTCTCTCTCTGTTTCCCAGGCTAGAGTGCAGTGGCATGATCTCTGCTCACTGCAACCTCTGCCCTCCAGGTTCAAGCAATTCTGAGTAGCTTCTGAGTAGCTCCTGAGTAGCTGGGATTACAGGCGTGCACCACCACACCCAGCTAAATTTTGTATTTTTAGTAGAGATGAGGTTTCACCATGTTGGCTAGGCTAGTCTCGAACTCCTGACCTCAGTGATCTGCCTGCCTCAGCCTCTCAGGGTGTGGGATTACAGGCGGGAGTCTCTCTTTTTTTTTTTTTTTCATAGTCGTCTTCCTAATGAGTATGAGGTGGTATGCTATTGTAATTTTGATTTGCATTTCCCCAGTGATTGGTAGAATGTTAAGCAAATTTTCATATGATTATTGGTCAATTGTATATCTTCCTTGAAGAAATGTCCATTAAAAACCTTTGCCCATTTTTGAATTGAGTGTTTTATTGTACTTCTTGAGTTTTAGGAGTTCATTATGTATTCTGGATATTAATCTTTTATAAAACATATCATTTGCAAATATTATTTCCCATTCTATGGTTGCCTTTTTACTCTGTTGATACTGTCTTTTGATTCACAAAGGGTTTTACTTTTCATGAAATTCAACTGGTCTATTTTTTCTATTGTTGCCTTTGCCTTTGGCAGTCTTTTCCAAGACATCATTGTCAAATCTATGTCATGAAGATTTTGCCCTATGTTTCCTTCAGTGAGTTTTATAGTTTGGGGTATTATATTTAGATATTTGATTTGTTTTGATTTAATTTTTGTACACGATGTTAAGTAACTTTACTCTTTTGTGTGTGGATTGCCAGTTTTCCTAGCACCATACGTCGAAAAGACTGTTTTTTTCCCCATTAAATGGTCTTGTTGTTTTTGTTCAAAATAATTTGATCACATATGCAAGAGTTTACTTCTGGGCTTATTATTTTATTCCATTGGTCTATATAACTGTCTTTATACTAGTACCACCCTGATTTGATTACTGTAGCTTTGTAGTAAGTTTTTGAAACCAGGAAGTGTGAGTCCTCCAGCTTTGTTGTTCTTTTTCAAGATTGTTTTGGCTATTCAGGGTCCAGTGAGATTTTGTGTGAATTTTAGGATGGGTTTTTCTATTTCTGCAAATAAAGTCCTTGGGAGTTTGATAGGCATTGCATTGAATCTGTATATTGCTTTGGGTAGTATTGGCATCTTAACAATAAGTCTTCCAATGAGATATGTTTCCATTTATTTATTTATTTTGTTTTCTCTCTCTCTCCTCTTTCTTTGTTTTTGAGACAGGGTTTTGTTTTGTCACCCAGGCTGGAGTGCAGTGGTGCAATCGTGGCTCACCACAGCCTCAACTATCCAGGCTCAAGCAATCCTCCTGCTTCAGCGTCTCAAGCAGCTGTGGGCCACCACCACACGTCTGGCTAATTTTTAATTTTTTTTTTTTTTTTTTGTAGAGATGTGATCTTCTGAAGTTGCCCAGCTGGTTTCAAACTCCTAGGCTCAAGTGATCCTCCCACCTTGGCCTCCCAAAGTGCTGGGATAACAAAGGCCACCACACCTGGCCTGTTTCCATTTATTTATGTCTTTAATTTATTTCAGCAATATTTCACAGTTTGCATTTTACAAGTCCTTCACTCCTTACAATAGCAAGGAGTATTGTAAATGGAATTTTCATAATTCCCTTTTCGTATCATTCATTATTAGTATATAGAAATCCAACCAAAGTTTACATCTTGACTTTGCATCCTGCTGCTTTGCTAAATTCATTTATCAACTCCAACAAGACTATATTTGTATATGAAATCTTTAGGATCATCTGTGATCAAAAATATTTTTTTAGTGTCCAAACATTATTTACAATTTCAGAAAATCATGTTGGCACAATAAAACCACTCTTGGTGTTTGTTTTTCCAATATGTATGCCTCTATCAGTCAGCATATGTAACTGTCACATGCATAGTGACTCAACATACAGGTGTAAGAATCTGTTTGCTTTATTATGTCTTCTATTGCTTTTGTGTCTAGGCATTTACTAATGAAAAATATATTATTTTACTATGGTACTTTTATTTTTCTTTCATAATCCAGCTAGAAAAAATTCTAGTTTTTCATTTTGTTTTGTTTTATTTTAAATATATGTAGGCAGATTACACTTATGAATTTTATTTCAGGATAATAAAAAGAGGACTATTAATAAATATTTTCTATAAAGATGGGAGTATTGAGAACTACGGCTGTAGAATATAGGAATCTAGTGAAGCATTTTAAGCCCAAGATTTGTCTAAATAAGTTCAGAGTGTCCTTAACATTTTCCTTCCTTCCAAAGAGCTCAGAGTGGGCAAGACACAAGAGTCCCCCTTTTCACCTTCCTCCTACCCCTGGGTACTGTCACCATAGGAAAGCTTTCCAAGATTCCTTTCCATTCTTAATCCAGTGAAAGCCACTGGATTAAGGCTTTAGGCTTGATGGCTAATGGCATATTCTAAACTTAGGAAGAGATCTCCACCCATGTCAATACTACTTTAGACAATCACATCAAAACTCTGCTCCCTGCTACTGCCAATCTCAGAGGGAGATCTTGGTAACCTGAGGAACCTCTGTTGCTTCTCTTCAGGATGTATTTATTTCAGGATAAACAAAGTTCTGGGATCATAGGAGCCAGGAGCATGTGTAGCCATCTTGGTTTTGTGTTTGGCAAGGATAATAAAGTGATCAGAGTATCTTTCAGCCACACTAAGTACTTTCCCTAATTCCCAACCTCTTGGGTTAATTCATGGGGTGCCATTCAGAGGTTTTTTTTATTTCATCTAATTTTTTAAAGTGATAAATGGTTTTGCAGACATGCGTTGCTTAGTATGAGTACACTCCAACACCGTGTGTGGTGGAAGCTGTGATGCATCGCCCAGATTCCCCTTCAGGAATGAAGGATTTATTAAGCATGGATGCTGGGTATACTATTAAAAACAGCCTTCAGCTGTCAGCCTCCTTCAGGGTTTTTTCAGCTGAAGACAGCAGCCTAGTCCAGTGCCATACCTCCTTTCTGGGGTTGCCACCATTCACTGCAGGGGAGTTGTAAAGGCCTACCTAGCTTCTTCTCCCCAATTTAGGATGTATCTAAAGGATTATTCCCTATTCAGAATAACCAAGAGGATCACCTGAGGCTTCTGTTGAAATGTATTGCAAATCGACTTCTTCCGCTGACTGATCTTGCTCCTTCCCTTTCCTTCCTGCTCTTGATCTCAAGAGCACTACCTAATAACATCCTATATGCTAATCTTGGTATCAGAGTCTGCTCCACAGAGAAAACAAACCTTAGTAGTTGATGCCAGGAATACTCTGAGAAAGCAGATGCTGGGATGTAATTTTGGAGCTGGGTGACCCACTATTGTTCTGTTGACAATGGGATACATCCCAAAAGAGCTACAGGATTTAGCCACTGCATGGTGGCACGAACAAGGACAGTATGCATTGGTTTGAATTTTTAGGGTGTTGATCAAGGGAAGAGTAGAATAAGGTTGGAAAAGAGAGAAGTTATCAATTTGGGATTACATTCTTAGGATACAATGTTTAACACCCTGGGAATGGTACACACTAGTTACTAGAATGGCCCCTGAAAGCATGGGAAAAGTGATGGCTCACTCTAAGTGACAAAATTACCATTGCTGATATTGAAAGAAGATGTTGAAAGGCTCAGAGAAGTGGGCATGTTGGAGTAAATATACTATAAGGCAGAAAGCCCACTGGAAGACTATATTCCACAGGAAGGAGTGGAGAATGCACTACTAATTTAAGCAAAAGACGTAAATGGAACAAGCACTCAGAAGCTCAGTTGGTGATGCCTCTCTGTAGGTCAGAAGAATCATAGGAGATACCATCAGAGAACCAGGCTCAACATAAAGTGAATAACAAGACCCTGGGACAATGTAGAGCAGGTGGCACCATTTACCAACAGAATACAAGTGGATGCAATGATTGTAATGAGTAGCAAGAAGAGAAGAGGAGAGGCACTAACCAGCAGACAGTTATAGCTATGGTTTAAAAAGCATGGTGTTCCCAATGGCAAAAGGAATCAAGGATGGGTAATCAAGAGATTGGACAGTTACTTGATTTTCAGATCTGAAGCCGTTCTTAGACCCAGAATACACAGACTGAAGAAAAGGTCAAATTTCTAGAAGGAAGGATTTGCAACAGCATAATAAATGTAGGCAACAATAATTCTATAGTCCTTCCCCCCAAACTCAGCCATTTACTAAGGTAAAGGTACTCTGGGAAAGGAAAATTCAAAGATATTTTGAGAAGTTTTGGATACAGGGTCTGAGTTGACATTGATATCTGGTGACTTGAAGTGCCTTTATGGGACCTGGCTAGAGTAGGGGCAGGTAGGCCACAGGTAATAAAGGGAGATCTGGCTCCCAGTGGGCTTACTGGATCCATGGACTATCCTTTGGCCATTTCCCTGGTCTCAAATGCATAACTAAAATAAACAAATTGGGCCAGGTGTGGTGGATCATGCCTATAATCCCAGCACTTTGGGAGGCCAAGGTAGGCAGATCACCTGAGTTCAGGAGTTCAAGACCAGCCTGCCTAACATGGTGAAAACCCATTTCTACTAAAAATACAAAAATTAGCCAGGCGTGGTGGTGTGTGCCTGTAATCCCAGCTACTTGGGGGGCTGAGGTGGAAGAATTGCTTGAACCTGGGAGGTGGCAGTTGCGGTGAGCTGAGATCGCACCACTGTACTCCAGGCTGGGTGACAGAGCAAGACTCCATCTCAAAATAAATAAATAAATAAAAATTTCAAAATGAACAAATTGGTAGTTGGCACAAGCCATATTGGTTCCCTGGACCATGGAGTAAGAGTGATCATAGTGAGAAAGGCCAAGTAGAAGCCTCTGAAACTATCGCCCCTCAAACCAAAAGAGTAAATCGAAAGCAATATAAAATATGGGGGTTATCACAGAAATCAGTTGTCTTAGTCTGCTTTCTGTTGCTATAGCAGAATCCCATGCTGGGTAATCTATAAGGAAAAGTTTATTTAGCTCATGGTTCTGGAGGCTATGAAGTCCAAGATCAGGGAACCAGCATCTGGTGAGGGGCTTCTAGCTATGTCATAACATGGCAGAGGGTATTATATGGTAACAGGTCAAGAGTGTGCATGTCAGCTCAGATCTCTCTTCTTCTTATAAAGCCACCAGTCTTATCATGAGAGCCCACCCAGATGACCTTATCTAATTCTAAAGACCAACCTTCATTCAACACATCCTTTTGGGGATTAAGTTTCCAACACATAAAATCTGGGAAACACACTCAAACCATAGCACCAATGCTACCCCTAAAAGCTTAAAAGATGCAATGCTTACGGTTCCTATCATAAGCCTGTTTAATTCAAGAGTCTGATCCTCCAAAAATAAGACAGATCCTGGAGGATAAGAGTAGACTACTATGAAACCTGCAAAACAGTAGTCCCCATTGAAATTATTGTGCCAGTTACAGTATCTTTACCAGAGCAGATTAACACAAACTGAGGAACAGGTTAATTTGCCATTGATTTGGTGAATGCATTATTTTTCATCCCTATCAGAAAAGAAGTTCAGAATAAGTTTGAATTCATTTGGAAAAAGCCACAATTTATATCTTTTGTCTTGTCTCAGGACTAGATCAACTCTTCTGCATGGTCCAGAGACCTGGGTTTACTGGATGTCCTGCAGAACATCACATCAGTGATGTCATGCTAATTGTACCAAATGAGCACAAAGTGGGAGTACATCAGAGATGTTCATAAGATACATGCACTCTGGAGGGAGGGTGATAAAACGTATAAAAATTCAGAGACACACCACTATTTTAGATATCTAATAGTCTGGGGCATGCTGGAACATCCTCTTCAAAAACACAAAATTAATAGACACATAATTGCTTATTTCACCCTCCTCCAAAAAGGAATGTCTAGTACACCTCTTCACATTTTAAAGGTAGAACACCACTCTTATTAACACAGCTTCAACTAACACATTGAATGAAACTACAGACTGCTAGATTTAAGACGGGGTCCAGAACAGGAAAAGGCTCTTCATCAGTTCCCAGTTGCAAAATAAGCAGATCTACTGCTATGATCATATGATCTGTAAGACATTATGTTATTAGAAATATAGCTGGTGGGAAAATACACTCTCTGGATTTTATGGCAATCTTGAATGGGGTAATCATCATGTAGATCTGTTGGGTTCTGGAGCAAAGCCATGCCATCTGCAGTGTGAAATTATATACCTTTCACAGACAGCTTCAGGTGTGCAATGGGGCCCTGGTAGAGACAAATCACCAGACCATGTCACCAGATCTACTCTCATGAGTATTGTCAAACCCATCAAACCCTCAAGTCAAGTAGGCCCAACACCAATCTTAATATTGTGGTGTCTCCACAATATTAGTATGAGTGGTGCCTCCCAGATAAAGGACAAGTAGGGCCAATAAGAGAAATGCGAGCATCGTGAGCAAGTAGCCCAGATCCCCATGTCATCTACTGTTGTTGCTCCTGTGCCTACCTCCATTTATACCTATAGGGGAATCCCTTGTGACCAGGAAATAAAGGAAAATAAAAAGCTTAAGCTTGGTCAGATTAGGAATGTGAGTATAAGTCAAACACAGGTGGTGACTACACTACAGCCTCAAAAGAGAAATTTTTATAATGGACAGAGCTTCTAGCAGTAGACCTGGTTATCTAATTTGAGTGGAAAGACAAGTAGCCTGAGGTTAGAATATATGCCATACACATGGACATACTTACAGTGCGAGATGGTTTGGTTCAGTCCTCAGGAGCCTGGAAATAAGAAAGTTTTAAGCTGGAGACAAGTGGACATATAGAAGTAGATATAAAGTATCGCATGTTAGTGTCTAGCAGGAAGCATCTCTCACTGAAGAGGCACTAAACTATCAGGTAATCAAAATGACTTGGCAGTAGGTATCAGCCAGATTCTGTTATGAGCCACCCCAATGCTGTCATAATGGACACGTGAATGGAGTGGCCATGTTGGTAATGATGAAAGCTATGTAAGAGCCCAACGGCATGAGCTCTCAAGGCTGAACTAACTACTCTTGTTAGCAAGAGAGACCATCCTGGATCTCCAGTGGATTGTGAGATGTATGGGTCTGGAGCCTAGAGAAGAAGGGTAGATTTGTTGTACAGACTTGGTACTTACTGATGTAGGGTTAGTATGTTTTTGGCATATGAGCAAGGGAAGAAAAGACAACCATGCCCAGGGAATAACAATAGCTAAAGGGAAGGCAAAGGAGGAGCAGTTCTAAAGGGAGGCTAAGAAGATGCAGTTAGATAGAAAAAAAAAATAGCTGATACCCTAAAACTTAAAGTATAATAATAATAATAATAAAAAGAAAAAAATAACTGAAGAGTCAGGGGTAGGACAGCTTCATAAGGAAGAGTACAAAAATGCAGTAAGATGAGGATTTGAAAATATTCATTCATTTTAGCAGCAAAGAACACATTAAAAATTTTATCTAGAGCAATTTCAAAGAGTACTAAAGCACGGGGGAGTTGAAATATGATTGAGAATTAAAGAAGGCAATATGAAGAGCATAAATTGAGTTTTAAAGCGTCATACTTGTCTGGGAAAAGAACAGATAAGGTGGTGCATAAAGAAGAAAATAATGAAGGTTTGAAATAGCTGCTTTGGAAAAAGGAGAAAGAGAGCTGACCATGTGCACAAAGAACATCAAGAAGTGCTGAATGCCAAAGCCAAGTCAAGGTTGAAGTCCCCAAATTTGCATTGACACTACTAGTCAATTTGATTTATGTGCATTTTCTTTGGCAGTGATTGACTTTCAGGGGGACAGGGATGATAGTACACACCATTGGGCTGGCCTAAAACCTGATATAAAAGTAAAAGTTTTCAGAGTAGGTGTAGAGGAAAAAATGGGGCAAGAATGTTCAGGGTCCTGGCAAGTCAGATTATAGTGTGATTCATTACGGTGGAAAGGAAGGAAGGAAAACAATGAGGAGGTGACTCTCTGGGAAGAAAAATGAGGTTCCAGATACCTAAGACCAAGTGCTTTGGGAGCTAGAGAGTAAGAGAGATGGAGGGATGAGAGGTTATAGAAAGATGTTGATATGCCAGAGTTTACACTTTCATAGGTCATTCGGTTCCAGCTGAGGGCAATGCCTACCTTGATGCAATAGTATATAGTGGAGTAGAGCCTTTTATGGATCACCAGTCTGGGTACTCAGTGCTGAAGTGCAGCAAATTTGAAAACTGTTACAACTAAGGAAGGCAAGAGATGTTGAACAAGCCTCAGCATAGATGCTGATGACACCCAGAGTGATGATAGTAATTGAGCTTTTTAAGCATCCTGGCAGCTAAGGTATAATAGGAAATCCATCTGGTATTTAGCCCTACCTTATTAAAGAAAGAATCATACACATGTGAAGAGAAGCTGAATTCTAGAAGGAATATATTTGCTGAATAACTTTAAGTCTGACTCAGATGAAGGGGTTGGCATTGCTCCAGGGCAGCACATGAGCTCTGTAGCAGACCAAAACAGTACCACTGCTTCCCACTACTCCAAGCCACCAGGAATGTGCTGATCTCCTTTTCTAACTAGTCAAAGTGCAAAATTGCCATTTTTCCTTAAGTCTCCCAAAGACAGCAGTAGCAGTGTGCCAATGGTATGTCAATCAGTGTGACTCAGATGTCAGTGGAAGGCCCCATGCTGCTTGAGCCTTCCACATTTCATAGTCCGTGGAATTCAAAGCCTTTTTAAGTGTGTCTAACTTCGAAGTGGTTTTGGTTTCCTCAGCCTCCCTTACCTCTGAGATTTCCTACTCATCACCATTCTCCTACACCATTTTGACCCCTTCTTTCTAAAGACTCAAAACTCATAACTTACATCATGTTATGGATGGAAAATCAAGAAATAGCAAGTAGAATGTCTTTCCAAGAAAACCAAGCAAGAGCCTTAATAAAGCTTTACTTCATCAACATTAGAGCGTCATGTTTCTAAACTCTAAAATTGTATCATGGTCATAATGATATCCAAACTTGTCAATATTTCCTTAATCACTTGGTAATTGTGTTACTCTGCTTTCATACTGCTGATAAAGACATACCTGAGACTGGGTAATTTACAAAAAAAAGGAGGTGTAATGGACTCACAGTTCCACATGGCCGGGAAGGCCTCACAATCATGGTGGAAGGAAAAGGCATGTCTTAACATGGTGGCAGACAAGAGAGAATGAGAGTCAAGCAAAAAGGCAACCCCTTATAAAACCACCAGATCTCATGAGACTTATTCACTACTACGAGAACAGTGTGGTGGAAACTGCTGCCACGATTCAATTATCTCCCACCAGGTCCCTCCTCTGTGGGAATTATGGGAGCTGCAATTCAAGACGAGATTTGGGTGGGGACACAGCCAAACCATGTCAGTAATGCAAGCAAGAACTTCCTTCTCTGTATGCAGGAATTTTGTAAAATTGAAGTAATTTTGTTGAAAAACCAATAGATACAAAATTTCTACTTACATACATATAGAATTTTGTTACTAAGAGGACAATTTGCAGGCCAGACACTTTCAGTCTTCTATTGTCTGACCTGAGCAAATGGGAGAAGGGTGGACCGATGGTGCTAGATGTTGGCATGATAAAAATTACTATGGGGCCAAAAGGACTTCCCTACATAAAGTAATTATAAGTATTATCCTAAGAGAATTAAGCAGGGGGCAAATGAAAAGCTGTCACAACCTGCTTCTTCCAGTTCTACAGCAGGAATTTTAGGACTTTGTGTTGCAGCAATGCTCCAATAGAGTTTGCCTGGTGGCACGCTGAGCTTTAAGAACAGTGGGTGTCTCCTCCTATCAAGCAGAATGGATATGGATATAAAGGATGCTATGATGAAGAGTACATCTGTTAGCGAAGTGCACATTATTTTCAACTCCTATCCTAATCAGATTCCCCCCAAACTAATCTGTGGTGCTTTTATTAATTTACATAGTGGGTACTATTTGGCATATTATGAAACAGTTTGTTGTACTTTTTAAACAGTCAATAACATGACATCTGATTCTTTTTAACAAAAATTTCTTCCCTTGAATATTTTCATTACTTTTGCTGGTGGATTATAACCAGTTGTTATTTCCATTGAAAAACCCAGCCTTTCTAGTTTCTGGTTCCACATAACTGGAGCCCAGGAGACTTAATTACATTTAAAGATGACTGAAGTTAAGTAGCTGAACTTTGCCTTAGCTTAAAGCTGCAAGTTTAACTGTTCCTTGATATGCATTAGCTACTAGTCAATCACTCAGTTGGCTACATATCATACTGTAGGAGAGTTTTGGTGTTCACATAAAAAAAAAAATAATTGGACTAGGCCCAGAAGAATACCCAATGGATTCTCAAATCATTAATTTTTGGATTAGGCTTTTACTTTGGCAACGTGTATACAAATAAGCAGAATGACTGAAATTAACTTATTGCATTCAAGAGACATCTATAATTCTGCAGTTAGTTGGTGAGAAAGAATTAAACAATTTCATCTTTGACCATTTCCCTTTTCATTTCAGCTAAACAAACCTCGCCTTGCTGAATTACTCAGATCCTCTCTTCCAGCTGATAGGAAAATAAAGGGCCTCATGAGTGAGGCTTTATATTTATAAATTTTAATTCATATAAAAACACAAGGATCACATTAAAGTGTCATGAAAGGGCAAATTAAAGATAAAAGTTTAAAGACAAATTAAAGACTAATGCTTCCCGCTTCAAGCGGATCATGGGGGTCTGTGCCAAAGTATTGAGGCACATGCCATGTGAGAGATCAGGAATTGAGCTCATCTCCCTACAGTTCTGAAATATGAAGGCTGGACTACAAGCCACCTCTGAACAACTCATGAATCCTGGGGAGCTAAATTCAATAGGACTCTATTTTGGATTTTTTTCTCTTTTATTTTCATTTCTTTTTTTTTTTTTTTAAAGGAAAACTGTGACTACAGAAATGAGAAAGATGCAACCCATGTAATTGACCTAGTACCCTCTGTCTCATTAGAACACTTTCAGCAAAGCTGCAGGGTTGGCTGGTGGATGAATGCATCAGCTTCCTCAAAGTAACCAAAGGCCAGAGGGACTCAGAAAAAAATAAGGATAAATGACAGTCCTGCTCCAACGACTGACCAACTGAATGTTCAGGGGTATTTACCATAGCCTTAGAAAGCAGAGTCTTGAGATTTCTGCTAAGGCCAATAAATGTTTTATTCCCAAGTGAGTAACTGAGAAAATGTTCCCGGGTCCCAGTTATGTGCTATTGGAAAGCCTAAAGGAAGATAGGAAAGGAGGAGAAAGGAAAAAGATAAACCCAGTTGGTAGAAGAGTGGAGGAGGAAGGGGAGGGAGCCATTTCATAATGATGGTGGTATTGACAGAAATAGCACATAGCTTCAGAAGTCTCAGAGAATGCAGAGACTATGGGCCTGGTGGGAGTTTTCATCCTCAGGTTTTACTATCATTCATTTACTCTGGTTGGGGTTGGTGGTGTGAAGATGGAAAGACATTTAAAATTCATTCTTTTCTTTCTACAAAAGAAACTTTTTTCTACCTGGTATTGCCTTTAGAGTTTTGTGGAAGTAAATTCAATGGAATAGGTGCTATTTATTTAATACCTTCTATTTACTTGTCCTTGCAACCCCTACAAAGGGTCTTACTATCTGGATAAGGAAACTAAATCTCCAAGAAGTTAATAAGTTAAGAGATTTGCTCAAGTCAGACATGTAATAGAAGAACTGGACTTCAACTTGGGTCTGGCTTAAAGTCTGACTACCTTACACTTCACCCTCTGATGTAAAAACTTAGTCTAACCACAAAATTAAAATCCCTGAGTATTTAACTGCTCAAAGAAATTATGCTTCATTAAGTAAAATTCAACATTTAATTATATGAAAATGCCATTTTCTTCCTGATGTGCTTTAAAACCAAGTGGTTTCTATTCCCTAGAATGTTGTTTTCTAGATACATTTAGGACTGGCTGACAACAAAATGATGTAAAAGACAGACATAGGGACAGAAAACAAATACTGTGATGTCTATTGGACATTGTTTTGGATAATATGATAATACTTTATTTGTACTTTTATTTTACCTTCTATTTAGCTTACATAGTTAAAAATATGAAGTTACATTGACTTATGGAGGAAAAAAATTACAGCCCATTTAGTTCTAGAAAGGATTCCAGGTGACTTGAATCATAGCTGAGCGTTTCTATACTCCTTCATCTCTCGTAACTAGATTATCTAATCCTCAGGGCTGGAGGCTATCCCAACCTTATTTCTCCAGCAGCACCCAGCAGTTCTTGATGTGGTAGGCAACCAACATTTGTTGAATACATTTCTACTGAGATGACTTGACAGATGGAGTATCCAAAAAGAAGGGCTTCTACAGAAAAGAACTGTATGGATTATCTCTCAAAATATATAGAATATTTCAGAATCAAGGCTAGATGGAATGATTCTTTAATACTCCTGTGGATTCATGGATGACCCTTTTAAATCTTTAAATATCAATAAGACATGTTGAATCTAAACATTCTATATTTTAAATTCCAAATTTTATACATGTTTACTTGGGCCAGAAATGGTCATTGTTGCATTCTTACACTATAGTAGATATTATTATTTCTTCCCTCTGCCTGCAAAACAGGCAGGTGCACTAAGGAGCAAAAGCATGGGCTGTTTTAATCTCTGGGCTCTTATTTAACCTATCAATAATTTAGTGGGTGTTATTTGTTGCCTTTAGTTTCTGTTATTTTTACTCCTTTGTTGGCAGCTCTTGTTTATACTTTGAGAAAATAAAAAGGTTACTTCACACACTGGGGTTTTACCTTATTCTTGTATTATTTTTCACTTGCACAGCATGAGTGCAATTAATAAGATGGCATTTAAAATACAGTACTAAATTACATATACTTAAAGCTATATTCTCTGTGACAGTGTAAGGCACATAGATAATCAATAAATAATGATGAATTAAGAGACTGTCTTTAGAACTATTATTTGAAGCTGTAGTTCTGCAACTCACTTACTGCGTGACTTTGGACATCTTATATCACCCCTACAGGTTTCACTTTTAGCATCTGAAAAATGAAGAGATTAAAGTAAATGATATATAAGGACCATTGAAACTTTTGCATTCTGTGATCAACTGGATGGTATAGATTAGTTCACTACCTCTGTTTTTCCACTATGAGAATCAAGTTAGTTGCATTTCTATGGAGTAGATAAATTTATTTATTTATTTATTTATTTTTTAATTATTATTATACTTTAAGTTTTAGGGTACATGTGCACAATGTGCAGGTCAGTTGCATATGTATACATGTGCCATGCTGGTGTGCTGCAACCATTAACTCGTCATTTAGCATTAGGTATATCTCCTAATGCTATCCCTCCCCCCTACCCCCACCCCACAGCAGTCCCCGGGGTGTGATGTTCCCCTTCCTGTGTCCATGTGTTCTCATTGTTCAATTCCCACCTATGAGTGAGAACATGGGGTGTTTGGTTTTTTGTCCTTGCGATAGTTTACTGAGAATGATGATTTCCAATTTCATCCATGTCCCTACAAAGGACATGAACTCATCATTTTTTATGGCTGCATAGTATTCCATGGTGTATATGTGCCACATTTTCTTAATCCAGTCTATCATTGTTGGACATTTGGGTTGGTTCCAAGTCTTTGCTATTGTGAATACTGCCACAATAAACATATGTGTGCATGTGTCTTTATAGCAGCATGATTTATAGTCCTTTGGGTATATACCCAGTAATGGGATGGCTAGGTCAAATGGTATTTCTAGTTCTATATCCCTGAGGAATTGCCACACTGACTTCAACAATGGTTGAACTAGTTTACAGCCCCACCAACAGTGTAAAAGTGTTCTATTTCTCCACATCCTCTCCAGCACCTGTTGTTTCCTGACTTTTGAATGATTGCCATTCTAACTGGTGTGAGATGGTATCTCATTGTGGTTTTGATTTGCATTTCTCTGATTGCCAGTGATGATGAGCATTTTTTCATGTGTTTTTTGGCTGCATAAATGTCTTGAGAAGTGTCTGTTCACATCCTTCGTCCACTTTTTGATGGGGTTATTTGTTTTTTTCTTGTAAATTTGTTTGAGTTCATTGTAGATTCTGGATATTAGCCCTTTGTCAGATGTGAAAATTTTCTCCCATTCTGTACGTTGCCTGTTCACTCTGATGGTGGTTTCTTTTGCTGTGCAGAAGTTCTTTAGTTTAATTAGATCCCATTTGTCAATTTTGCCTTTTGTTGCCATTGCTTTTGGTGTTTTAGACATGACGTCCTTGCCCTTGCCTATGTCCTGAATGGTATTGCCTAGGTTTTTTTATAGGGTTTTTATGGTTTTAGGTCTAACATGTAAGTCTTTAATCCATCTTGAATTAATTTTTGTATAAGGTGTAAGGAAGGGATCCAGTTTCAGCTTTCTACATATGGCTAGCCAGTTTTCCCAGCACCATTTCTTAAATAGGGAATCCTTTCCCCATTGCTTGTTTTTCTCAGGTTTGTCAAAGATCAGATAGTTGTAGATATGTGGCGTTATTTCTGAGGCCTCTGTTCTGTTCCATTGGTCTATATCTCTTTTTAGGTACCAGTACCATGATGTTTTGGTTACTGTAGCCTTGTAGTATAGTTTGAAGTCAGGTAGCATGATGCCTCCAGCTTTGTTCTTTTGGCTTAGGATTGACTTGGCGATGTGGGCTCTTTTTTGGTTCCATATGAACTTTAAAGTAGTTTTTTCCAATTCTGTGAAGAAAGTCATTGGTAGCTTGATGGGGATGGCATTGAATCTATAAATTACCTTGGGCAGTATGGCCATTTTCATGATATTAATTCTTCCTACCCATGAGCATGGAATGTTCTTCCATTTGTTTGTATCCTCTTTTATTTCATTGAACAGTAGTTTGTAGTTCTCCTTGAAGAGGTCCTTCATGTCCCTTGTAAGTTGGATTCCTAAGTATTTTATTCTCTTTGAAGCAATTGTGAATGTGACTTCACTCATGATTTGGCTCTCTGTTTATCTGTTATTGGTGTATAAGAATGCTTGTGATTTTTATACATTGATTTTGTATCCTGAGACTTAGCTGAAGTTGCTTATCAGCTTAAGGAGATTTTGGGCTGAGATGATGGGGTTTTCTAGATATACAATCATGTCGTCTGCAAACAGGGACAATTTGACTTCCTCTTTTCCTAATTGAATACCGTTTATTTCCTTCTCCTGCGTGATTGCCCTGGCCAGAACTTCCAACACTATGTTGAATAGGAGTGGTGAGAGAGGGCATCCCTGTCTTGTGCCAGTTTTCAAAGGGAATGCTTCCAGGTTTTGCCCATTCAGTATGATATTGGCTGTGGGTTTGTCATAGATAGCTCTTATTATTTTGAGATATGTCCATCAATACCTAATTTATTGAGAGTTTTTAGCATGAAGGGTTGTTGAATTTTGTCAAAGGCCTTTTCTGCATCTATTGAGATAATCATGTGGTTTTTGTCTTTGGTTCTGTTTATATGCTGGATTACATTTATTGATTTGCGTATATTGAACCAGCCTTGCATCCCAGGGATGAAGCCCACTTGATCATGGTGGATAAGCTTTTTGATGTGCTGCTGGATTCGTTCTGCCAGTATTTTATTGAGGCTTTTTGCATCAATGTTCATCAAGGATATTGGTGTAAAATTCTCTTTTTTGGTTGTGTCTCTGCCCGGCTTTGGTATCAGGATGATGCTGACCTCATAAAATGAGTTAGGGAGGATTCTCTCTTTTTCTATTGATTGGAATAGTTTCAGAAGGAATGGTACCAGTTCCTCCTTTTACCTCTGGTAGAATTCGGCTGTGAATCCATCTGGTCCTGGACTCTTTTTGGTTGGTAAGCTATTGATTATTGCCTCAATTTCAGATCCTGTTATTGGTCTACTCAGAGATTCAACTTCTTCCTGGTTTAGTCTTCGGAGAATGTATGTGTTGAGGAATTTATCCATTTCTTCTAGATTTTCTAGTTTATTTGCGTAGAGGTGTTTGTAGTATTCTCTGATGGTAGTTTGTATTTCTGTGGGATCGGTGGTGATATCCCCTTGATCATTTTTTATTGCATCTATTTGATTCTTCTCTCTTTTTTTCTTTATTAGTCTTGCTAGTGGTCTATCAATTTTGTTGATCCTTTCAAAAAACCAGCTCCTGGATTCATTAATTTTTTGAAGGGTTTTTTTGTGTCTCTAATTCCTTCAGTTCTGCTCTGATTTTAGTTATTTCTTGCCTTCTGCTAGCATTTGAATGTGTTTGCTCTTGTCTTCTAGTTCTTTCAATTGTGATGTTAGGGTGTCAGTTTTGGATCTTTCCTGCTTTCTCTTGTGGGCATTTAGTGCTATCAATTTCCCTCTACACACTGCTTTGAATGTGTCCCAGACATTCTGGTATGTTGTGTCTTTGTTCTCGTTGGTTTCAAAGAACATCTTTATTTCTGCCTTCATTTCGTTATGTACCCAGTAGTCATTCAGGAGCAGGTTGTTCAGTTTCCATGTAGTTGAGTGGTTTTGAGTGAGTTTCTTAATCCTAAGTTCTAGTTTGATTGCACTGTGGTCTGAGAGACAGTTTGTTATAATTTCTGTTCTTTTACATTTGCTGAGGAGAGCTTTACTTCCAACTACGTGGTCAATTTTGGAATAGGTGTGGTGTGGTGCTGAAAAAAAAGTATATTCTGTTGATTTGGGGTGGAGAGTTCTGTAGATGTCTATTAGTTCCGCTTGGTGCAGAGCTGAGTTCAATTCCTGGATATCCTTGTTGACTTTCTGTCTCGTTGATCTGTCTAATGTTGACAGTGGGGTGTTAAAGTCTGCCACTATTATTGTGTTGGAGTCTAAGTCTCTTTGTAGGTCACTAAGGACTTGCTTTATGAATCTGGGTTCTCCTGTATTGGGTGCATATATATTTAGGATAGTTAGCTCTTCTTGTCAAATTGATCCCTTTACCATTATGTAATGGCCTTCTTTGTCTCTTTTGATCTTTGTTGGTTTAAAGTCTGTTTTATCAGAGACTAGGATTGCAACCCCTGCCTTTTTTTGTTTTCCATTTGCTTGGTAGATCTTCCTCCATCCTTTCATTTTGAGCCTATGTATGCCTCTGTATGTGAGATGGGTTTCCTGAATACAGCACACTGATGGGTCTTGACTCTTTATCCAATTTATCAGTCTGTGTCTTTTAATTGGAGCATTTAGCCCATTTACATTTAAGGTTAATATTGTTATGTGTGAATTTGATCCTGTCATTATGATGTTAGCTGGTTATTTTGCTCATTAGTTGATGCAGTTTCTTCATAGCCTTGATGGTCTTTAAAATTTGGCATGTTTTTGCAGTGGATGGTACCGGTTGTTCCTTTCCATGTTTAGTGCTTCCTTCAGGAGCTCTTTTAGGGCAGGCCTGGTGGTGACAAAATCTCTCAGCATTTGCTTGTCCATAAAGTATTTTATTTCTCCTTCACTTATGAAGCTTAGTTTGGCTGGACATGAAATTCTGGGTTGAAAATTCTTTTCTTTAAGAATGTTGAATATTGGCCCCCACTCTCTTCTGGCTTGTAGACTTTCTGCCGAGAGATCCGCTGTTAGTCTGATGGGCTTCCCTTTGTGGGTAACCCGACCTTTCTCTCTGGCTGCCCTTCACATTTTTTCCTTCATTTCAACTTTGGTGAATCTGACAATTATGTGTCTTGGAGTTGCTCTTCTCGAGGAGTATCTTTGTGGCGTTCTCTGTATTTCCTGAATCTGAATGTTGGCCTGCCTTGCTAGATTGGGGAAGTTCTCCTGGACTATATCCTGCAGAGTGTTTTCCAACTTGGTTCCATTCTCCCCGTCACTTTCTGGTACACCAATCAGATGCAGATTTGGTCTTTTCACATAGTCCCATATTTCTTGGAGGCTTTGCTCATTTTCTTTTTATTCTTTTTTCTCTAAACTTCCCTTCTCGCTTCATTTCATTCATTTCATCTTCCATCACTGATACCCTTTCTTCCAGTTGATCGCATCGGCTCCTGAGGCTTCTGCATTCTTCATGTAGTTCTCTAGCCTTGGCTTTCAGCTCCAGCAGCTCCTTTAAGCACTTCCCTGTATTGGTTATTCTAGTTATACATTCATCTAAATTTTTTTCAATGTTTTCAACTTCTTTGCCTTTGGTTTGAATTTCCTCTTGTAGCTCGGAGTATTTTGATCATCTGAAGCCTTCTTCTCTCAACTCGTCAAAGTCATTCTCCGTCCAGCTTTGTTCTGTTGCTGGTGAGGAACTGCGTTCCTTTGGAGGAGGAGAGGCGCTCTGCTTTTTAGAGTTTCCAGTTTTTCTGCTCTGTTTTTTCCCCATCTTTGTGGTTTTATCTACTTTTGGTCTTTGATGATGGTGATGTACAGATGGGTTTTTGGTGTGGATGTCCTTTCTGTTTGTTAGTTTTCCTTCTAACAGACAGGACCCTCAGCTGCAGGTCTGTTGGAGTTTGCTAGAGGTCCACTCCAGACCCTGTTTTCCTGGGTATCAGCAGCAGTGTCTGCAGAACCATGGATTTTCACGATCCACGAATGCTGCTGTCTGATCGTTCCTCTGGAAGTTTTGTCTCAGAGCAGTACCCTGCTGTGTGAGGTGTCAGTCTACCCCTACTGGGGGGTGCCTCCCAGCTAGGCTGCTCGGGGGTCAGGGGTCAGGGACCCACTTGAGGAGGCAGTCTGCCCTTTCTCAGATCTCCAGCTGCATGCTGGGAGAACCACTGCTCTCCTCAAAGCTGTCAGACAGGGACATTTAAGTCTGCAGAGGTTACTGCTGTCTTTTTGTTTGTCTGTGCCCTGCCCCCAGAGGTGGCGCCTGCAGAGGCAGGCAGGCCTCCTTGAGCTGTGGTGGGCTCCACCCAGTTTGAGCTTCCAGGCTGCTTTGTTTACCTAAGCGAGCCTGGGCAATGGCGGGTGCCCTCCCCCAGCCTCGCTGCTGCCTTGCTGTTTGATCTCAGAGTGCTGTGCTAGCAATAAGCGAGACTCCATGGGCGTATGACCCTCCGAGTCAGGTGCGGGATATAATCTCCTGGTGCGCAGTTTCCTAAGCCCATCGTAAAAGTGCAGTATTAGGTTGGGAGTGGCCCAATTTTCCAGGTGCCGTCTGTCACCCCTTTCCTTGACCAGGAAAGGGAACTCCCTGATCCCTTGCACTTCCTGAGTGTGGCAATGCCTCGCCCTGCTTCGGCTGGCGCATGGTGCGCTGCACCCACTGTCCTGTGCCCACTGTCTGGCACTCTCTAGTGAGATGAACCCAGTACCTCAGATGGAAATGTAGAAATCACCTGTCTTCTCTGTTGCTCAGGCTGGGAGCTGTAGAATGGAGCTCTTCCTATTGGGCCATCTTGGCTCCTCCGCCCCTGAAATATTTCTTCTGGAATAGATGAATTTAAAATACAGCTTTACCTTTTCTGTTTTTCTTAACTGGAGCCCAAGTGCAGGGTAAATTATGTTAAGATGTTTTGTGTAGCATCATGAATGCTCTTCCTTCTTCAACCACTTAGGACAGGTCTGGGGAGAGTTCAAGTGATTCTCCTGCCTCAGCCTCCTGAGTAGCTGGGATTACAGGCACCTGCCACCATGCCCAGCTAATTTTTGTATTTTTACTAGAGAAGGGGTTTCACCATATTGGCCAGGCTGGTCTCGAACTCCTGACCTCAGGCGATCTGTTTGCCTTGGCCTTCCAAGGTTCTTGGGATTACAGGTGTGAGCCACCACGCCCGGCCCATATTATTTTCTTAATGGGGTAAAGTGTTTCAGAAAAATCACTACTCCCAGCCACTATAAAATTTTTTATTTTGCTTTCTTAAAACTGTCCAAAAAGGAGATGAAATACCCAGCATCAATCCAACTTTAGGTGAAAGTTAGGTTAGTTGCATGTACTAATCCGAACACAAGTTAACTTAGAAGAAATTCACAGTGAATGTCTAGACAGGGTCTGCTAAAGAGGTTTCTGCTTTTCAGAAGGTTGTTGGGTGGAGAAGCTACCTAGCTACAAATTATACAGTAAGAGGTTGTGAGCCTGCAAATTATTTATCAAAGACTATTGGTAATATTCTTTCATTATACAGAACAAATTTCCAGCAAGAGAATTATCAGGGTTGAAGTCTGGCATCAAGCAAATTAAGATCTAAGAAAAAGAAGAGAAAACTTATAAGTGCCAACAATAAAATGCTCATCATTTCCCCCTTCTTTATCAGATGAATAATTTGGACATGATTTCTGTTACTTTTTTCTTTCCTGAGCTTTATTTTTCTGACTCTAGTACTAGGTAATCAACAATATAAGATGGAGTTGAATTGCAAAAGCCACACAGAACTTTATCTTAATAGCTCAGACAACTCAGAGGATCAGAAAAGTATATCTTGAGTTTATAGAGATTCTGGGATAAACTTGGCTTATGCTGTTGGAAATGAATAGCTAACACTTTACATACACTACTAATATACACTAACATTTTCATTGACTTACAAAAATTTTTCTCGGTAGCCACTTGAATACCTGGTTGCACTAGAATGCTTATTGTTGCTTCCCTCAGTTAGCAATAAAATAGTTGCTAATCATTAGTAGATGATGCTAATCAATCCTGTGAAATATGTTTTAAATTTATTTGAGTAAATCAATATTGAAAATAAATTTCAATGTGTCTTGCCTGCATTTATACTCACCTTCTCACCTTGAGTCAAAGTGTAAGTACTTAAGTGTAGAATTAGTGTTTGAGTATATGTTTTGTATTAAATATTTAGCTTTTTAAATAAAAATCTGCAGATAGTTTAAATACAAATATCTAATAAGTGCATAAAGGAATGGCTGTTATATCTTGTTAAAAAATAGTTCTGCCATAGTCTTATAATCTGACCCAGTATTGCTGGAGAAAAGGGGACTGCAAATATTCTAAGATGTTGCCTTTCCTGGACACCCTGACTTTGCAGATTTTTATTCTCGCATGTTAGGTACAGTTCTGGCAGTTTATCCTGTGAAAAGAATAGGGCTTTTGCAGTCTCCCAAAAGCATACAAAGTAAAGACCACTTTTTTTCTTTCTTTCTTTCTTTTTTTTTTTTTTTTTTTGATAGAGTCTCACTCACTCTGCTGCCTAGGCTGGAGTGCAGTGGTGTGATCTCAGCTCACTGCAACCTCTGCCTCCCAGGTTCAAGCTGTTCTTCTGCCTCAGCCTCCTTAATAGCTGGGACTACAGGTGTGCGCCACCACGCCCAGCTAATTTTTGTATTTTTAGTAGAGACGGGGTTTCACCATGTTGGCCAGGCTGATCTCGAACTCCTGACCTCAAGTGATCTGCCCGCCTTGGCCTACCAAAGTGTTGGGATAAGAGGCGTGAGCCACTGTGCCTGGCCAAGACCACTTTCTAAACTGTGGTCATAGAGAGATTTATAGCCACTCGAATCTGAAGAGCAGTTTGAATTGACGTGCCATTGATGAGCAGACTCTTCTTACTCTGAATCTAGCAAGCACTCCATTCTTTGACTTAAAGAGCAGAGGGACGACTTACGTTTATATTATAATTTGGATGCCGATGGATAATTACAGTGTACAAAACACTGGAGCATGGTAAATAGAGAAAGATGGGTAGATATTTAAGTAGAGAGATTCCTAAATAGACAGTTTCCAGAGATTATTTTTGTGACGGTTAAATTAACTACAATGAGAAGTAATTATTTTTAAAAACACCTTCTCCAGGCAATCTGTAGTTTTAGATTTGAGTAGAAATAATAGGTGCCTGGGAGTCTCCCAGGCCCTCATCAGTGTCAGATATTAAGAGAATTTTATACCTGAGTAAATTTGGCAGGAGGTCTGCTCCAGAGATTCTGCGTGTCATGCAGAAAATGGCCCAGGTTTGGCTGATGCTTGTAATACTGTCATTAAATTGAATTTGACTTGTAAGTGCTGGTTTGATCTAAGGAATGGCTTTTTCTATTTGTAGTGGTCTTATTGGGGGTACATACAAGAAAATCATGACTGAAGGTTATGTTGCATGCATATGCTTTGTATAAATGCTTTATTTCACTTAGAAAAAGCTCAAATGTTCCAGAGACCACAGTTTTTGACTATTATAGACAGATAAATGATGCATTGGAATTTCAACAGATAATAAGGAAGTGTTTAGTTTTTCAGGAATAATTGAAAAATGTCCTTCTTATTGACATAAGATGTGGTTATCTTAGAGGGTACACTTTGTTTGCTTTCTCCTCACTTTGAGCCAACATACACATCATTCTGATTTCCTGGAGTTTTTCCTCTCCTTCTTCTGCCAAATTATATCCCATCCTCCTTTCAAAACTATGTGTAGAACACACATCCTTCAGGGGCCCTTCTGCACTGACCCCACCAGCCTCCAGCCACTCTCAAATATTCCTGCTGGGTTTTCCTTTTATTTTTTAAGGTTCAATCATTACTTCCTTGATTCATTTGACATATCTGCTAACCATATGCTGGGCATAGTTCTAGACACTTGAGATATATTAAGGAACAAAATAAATATTTTTTTCTCTCAAAGAGCTTATATTTTGGTGAAGAGAATGTGATGGTTAATTTTATGTGTCACTTTGGGTAGGCCATGGTACACAGATATTTGGTCAAATGCCAGTCTAGATGTTGCCATGAAGATATTTTTTGGTGGGATGAACATTTAAATCAGTAGACTTAGAGTAAAGCAGATGACCTGTCATAATGAGAGTGGGCCCATCCAATCAGTTGAAGGCCTTCAGAGAAAAAGACTGAGGCCCCCTACAGAAGAGGGAATTTTTTTCTCCAAACTGCCTTCAGATTTAAGCTGAATATCAATTCTTCCTGTATCTCTGGACTGCCAGTCTGCCTTGCAGAATGTAAACTTGCCAGTACCCATAATAATGTGAGGTAATTCCTTAAAATAAGTAAATGTGTGTATATATATATATAAATATATATATATAAATAAATATATAAATATATATACATATATAAATAAACATATACAAATACATACATATAAAAAGAAATATACATATAAATAAATATAAATACATATACATATAAATAAGTAAATATACACATATATGCACACACGTATTTATTTATTTTAGATACGTGTGCATATATATGTGTGTGCGTGTATATATACACACAAAAACACACATTTATTTAAAATAAATATATATATTTGTGTGTGTGTGTGTGTGTGTGTGCGTATATATAGTCAGGGTTCTCCAGAGAAATGAAACCAATAGCAACAGGATGTGTGTGTGTGTGCATGTGTGTACATATATATGTGTGTGTATATATACACACATATATGCACACTCATATATATACACACATATACGTATACACACATATATACATATACACACACACACACTTATCCTATTGCTATTAGTTTTATTTCTCTGGAGAACCCTGACTCATGCAGAGAAACATACAATAAATAATAAACATAAGAATTAGGTAAATTATATGATACATTAGAAGACGATAGGTGTGAAAAAAATGAAAAAGTAGAACAGGATAAAGTGAGCTGGAAAGGCTAGAAATGGGGATCAGAATGGTCTTTTGAAATGGGGAGACCTCATTGGGAAGGTGAGATTTGAGAAAAGACTGAAAGATATCGGGAGACTTAGCCAAGGGGCTATCTAAAGAAAGAGCGTTTAAGGCAGAGCAACCGCCAGGAACACTTGGGGCAAAGGTCCTCAGGCAGGAGTGTTCCTGGTGTGTTCAAAATAGCGAGGAGGCACTGTGGTTGGAATGGAGAGCACAAAAGGTTGATTAACAGGAGATGTGGGCAGAGCAGTAACAAGAAGCCAAATGAATTAGAGCCTTGTAGGCCACTGTAAGGTGAGCTGTTTTAAGTTTTGAGCAAAAGAGTGATGTAATTCTGATGGTGTTTTTTTTTAAGTCCTTCCTGCCTGCTATGCTGAGAATAGACTTTAGTGGGCAAAGGTAGTAGCAGGGAGATGAGTTAGGAAGATGTGTCCACTAGCTATTGCTGAGTAACACACCACCCCAGATTTTAGTTGCTCAAAGCAAAAGTCATTATTTAGCTCAAACTTTGGGGGATGGACAAATTAAGATTGGCTCAGGCAGGTCATTCTCTGGTCTTCTCCACAGCCAGCTACAGATCAGCTAGGAGGCTCTGCTTCAGGAAGCTGGGTACCATTGGCTTGGAAAATAAGGGTGACCAGGCCATGTGCTTATTCACTCAGTGGCAGCAATTTCAAGAGAATGCACAGAGGTGTGCAAGGTCTCTTGAGGCCTAGCCTAGGCTCAAAGCTAGCATGGCATCACTTGAGGGTTTTTTTTTTTTTTTTTTTTTGAGACGGAATTTCACTCTTGTTGCCCAGGCTGGAGTGCAATGGTGGGATCTCAGCTCACCACAACCTCCACCTCCCGGGTTCAAGCGATTCTCCTGTCTCAGCGTCCCGAGTAGTTGGGATTACAGGCATGTGCCACCACGACTGGCTAATTTTGTATTTTTAGTAGAGATGGGGTTTCTCCATGTTGGTCAGGCTGGTCTCGAACTCCCAACCTCAGGTGATCCACCTGCCTCGGCCTCCCAAAGTGCTGGGATTACTTGAGGTGTATTCTATTAGTCGAAGCAAGACATTGGATGTATGCAGGGTGAAGGGTTGGAGGACTAGATTCCATGTCCTGATAGGAGAAGCTACAAAAATCACATTACAAAGGAGTGTAATATAGCAAGGAGAATAACTGAGGTAATTTATTGGTAAACTATCTCCATCAAGGCCATTTTTGATGTCCTGGTGGGAGATAGTGGTTGCAGACTGGGGTGGGAGGTGGAGGGGGTGTGACTCGGTCAGAGCTTTTACCCACTTTCAAGGTTGATGCAACAGGATTTCTTGATAGATAGGCATGGCACGAAAAGGAGGAAAGGAGAGGAGGCAGGGATGGGCCTGAGGTTTTCGGCCTGAGCCCCTAGAATGATGGAGTTGCCATACCCAGATTAAGGGGAGATTGTATGTGGAACAGATTTTTGAGAGAAGATCAGGAATTGAATTTTGATCATGTTACTTGACATGTCTGCTAGATATATGGGTAGGAATGTGATATAGGCAGTTTGATATCGAGGGTAAAATTTGAGAGATAGTTTCAGGCTGGAGTCATCAGATTATAGCTGATATTTAAAATGATGGGACCAAACAATATCACTTCAGGCATGACTAAAGATAAAGGAAAGGACCACGAATCGAGACCTGGAAAGAATACACTCATACTAAAGTTCATGCTAATGCTTCAGTGTACTGGGAGTTCAAGAAGAAGAAGAAGAACCAGGAATGGAGACTGAGAAGGGGCAGCCAGTGATACAGGGAAAAAGCAGACAGAAAGAGTGCAGTGTCTTTAGAGGTCTACAGAAGAAAGTGAATTGAAGCACAAGAAATGATTCACTTTGCCACATACTGCTGACAGGTCACATGAGATCACTGCCAGCCAGATCATTTGAGATCTTTGTAAAAACAAACTGAGACTTTTTTGTCATTTTGTCTATCAAAAAAAATTTCCATCTTGGTTGTCACAAGAGTAGCAGTAGTAGTAGTACAGTAGTATACTAGTAACAGTATATTAGTAACAGTAATAATAGTAGTAACAATAGTGTTGTAATAGTAGTAGCAATGTAATAATAGCAGTAGTAGCAGCAGCAACAATAGCAGAAGCATGCTTAGGCACCGCTCCATGTGCTTTGTATGGATTATCTCATTGAACCCTCCCAGTAATCCTCTTTTAAATTAATGAGGAAACTGAGGTACAGAAATGTTAACTAATTTTCCCAGAGCCAGTAAGCGATGGATCCATAATTAAAATACAGACATTCTGATTCCGGGGCCTTCCCCCTCATTACTCTACTATACTAAGGATGTAGGAACAATGGCCTCCTTTGTGCCATGGTTGCAACAGATTACATTTTAGGCATCAGATTCTATCATAACTTACTATGAAAGCCAGGTTTCTGATCCTGTAACAATTCTAACATACCTTTTTCTTATTTACTAGCTTAATTATCTCCATCTCAATCTAAAACCAATTGGAAGCAGCCTTTACCAATTACATAGTATAAACAGAGCAAGAAGAGTAAGTGATGGGATAGAGTAGACTCTTTGATTCCATCTGTCATTCTAACACCTGGCATACTCATGGGACAGAAATGATAACTTTTATTTCTTTAAAATTTGAAAACCAGACTCAAAATGTGATATGGAAATTTTAACAAACTCTTTCATAATTATCCATGTTTTTAATAGAATTAATGGCAAGTTTCCTATGTCACTTAAGCGTAAACACAGTCTCAATTTTTGCACTGCATATAATAAAATGTTATCCTTGAATGAAAACATATTGTAATTGTGGATAGTACAAAGAATGATTAAAATTTGTTCCCATTCAAATTTGGCCTAAGTGTTACTCGTGTTTATTTTATGTTTCTCTAAAATAGATGCAAATGCAATCCCTAGTCATTCTAATAATGGAAATGCTTCAACAGAGTACAAAAATATGCCTTAAGCCATATATTATTTTAGTCATAGTGGCCATTTAAATCCATTTTTGAAGTGATAAATGGCAAATTATAGTGGAATATCCAGGTGGAAATGTCTGCAGCCAGAGAGGTAAGCATCTATAACATTGGTTCTGTGTTGCCCACCTACAGCAAAGTGTGGTGGGCATAGTGTGATTTCAACCTACTCAAAGACAGAAGACAAAAGTTAACACAAACTCATATTCCTACCTTCAAATTCTTCAAATACTATGAATACTTTCAAAGTCTGTCCCACCTGGGATATATTTTCAATGGGGAGATATATATATATATATGTGTGTGTGTGTATATATACATATATGTGTATATATAGTTCAACAATGGATATATTTTCAATAAAATTTCAAATGTAACATGTCTAAAAGGAAGAACGTTCTTAATGTTTCTTTTTGCCTCTACCCTCTCAGATCTCTAATTCATTCTTCAACAACACCATTGAATCAATCATATTATAGCTTTATTCTGTGTTGTTTCTCTTCTGAAAATTAATGACTGCCTATTGTCTACAAGTTCCATACAGTTCCCCCTAGCTTGGGCAGGTTGGCTAGTTAGGGCAACAGCCTTTCCCAACACTTCTTCACTGACATTCTCACCAGAAAGGCTGGAAAGCAGATAGATTTTTTTCTCTACCTATCTTTCAACTACAAGTGGCACTGACTAATTTTTGGACAATGAGATAGAACTACTGAGGGATTTTGAGAAAGCCTTTGGTTTTCTGATAAGAAAAACATATGTGGTTGTTGCTATGTTTTTTCTACTTCCTGTCTTGAATATAAATGTAATGCCTGAAGCTTCCGCATCTATCTTATGACCATGAGGAAATGAATATGGGTTAAAATTCCCTAAGGATAGCAGAGCATAAGTGGAAAGATTCTGGTCCATCAGAAATCTGGGGAGCTGTTGACACACCTTGGGACTGCCATTCTGGACTTCTTTTTAGAAAAACAACAAATATGTTTATCATTTCAATCAGACTTTGCTTCTTTTTTTTCTTTCTGAGGCTGAGTCTTGCTCTGTCACACAGACTGGAGTGCAGTGGCACCATCTCGGCTCGCTGCAACCTCTGCCTCCTGTGTTCAAGCGATTCTCATGCCTCAGCCTCCCAAGTAGCTAGGGCTACAAGAGTGCGCCACCATACCTGGCTAATTTTTGCATTTTTAGAAAGAGATGGAGTTTCACCATGTTGGTCAGCCTGGTCTCAAACTCCTGACCTCAAATGATCTGCCCACCTTGGCCTCCCAAAGTGCCGCGATTACAGGCATGAGCCACCACGCTTTGCCAGATTTTGCTTCTTATGGATGCCATTATTTCTAGCTAATTCATTTTGGCATTCAGATACCCACACTATCCAATTTGAAGCTATCATTTCATACACCTCTACCTTTACTTGGCTACTGAATCCCCACAAAAATCTTCACTAGTTTCCATTATCTAGAACACTTCCTGGACTTTCCTGCTTTAGCAGCTTAGCTAACATTCTTTCCTCCCCTCAAAATTCCTTTTTTTTGGTATTCTTCCACCAACAGTGACCTCCCTTCTCTGTCTCTACTCTTGCTGTATAGTCTTCAAAGTCCAGCTTACATTTCATCTCCCTGATGAAAACTTTTCATGATCTGTCTGGAGGTTACACAGGTGAATTCCTATGGAACTTGGCTCTGTACAGCTAAAGATCACACCAAACCCCAGAATATAATTACTGATGAACATGTCATCTCATCTTTAAATTGTAGTCGACTGAAATTGGATTGATACATTATTTTTTTCCCCTTAGGGAGGGGTTGGACTTTGGTATTCAATCAATTTTTATTTCTTAAATGAGTGGATAAATGAACAAAGGAAACAGATAATAAGTGTCCAAAGTATAAAGTAGGTTAGGAGTACCAGAACTGAGAAGTGGGGAAATAGACAGGACTCCATAGATAGAGTCAAAGGACAGAGTATTTTATTACTGTAAAGAGGTCATGAAAAGTTTCATCTAGGTACAGAACAACAAAATGAGGTTTTGGTCAATGCAAGAAATGGAATAACTCTTTGGTCTCAAGTCACATTTTGACTGTAGTGTGTGGTGAGATTTTGTGCATTAGTTGTTTTTTTACATTTAATGGGAACTGGGCACATAATTCTATAAACCCTAAAAGGAGAACTGGGCCCATAAAATATTCTAATTAAAAACTGTATTCTTTGTGGTTTTATTCACATGTTTTCTTTGTATTATAATCTAATATGCTTGCTTAGAAAAACACATTTCATTGTTCTTGAGTCATATTCCCATCTTGAGTTTATTAAACTTGAATTAAAATAAATTACTCTAAAAACAAGGCTATATTTTCAACATTTGTACTTGAAAAACCTTTGAAACTAAATGATATGGTTTTGTGGTGTCCCCACCCAAATCTCATCTTGAATTGTAGTTCCCACAATCCCCACATGTCATGGGAGGGACTTGGTGGGAGGTAATTGAATGATGGGGTCAGTTACCCCCATGCTATTCTTGTGATAGTGAATGAGTTCTCACAAGAGCTGTTGGTTTTATAAAGGGCTTCCCCCCACCCTTCACTCTGCACTTCTCCTTGCTACTGCCATGTGAAGAAGGATGTGTTTGCTTCCCCTTCCTCCATGATTATAAGTTTTCTGAGGCCTCCCCAATGATGCAGACATGTGAGTCAATTAAACTTCTTTCCTTCATAAATTACCCAGTCTTGGGTATTTCTTCATAGCAGTGTGAGAACAAACTAATACACTAAATAAAGTTAAAATTAAAAACATTAAGCAAATCTAAGTCTTAAAAATGGTAAGGCCTCGCCCATCTCAAATATAGATATTTGTTACAGCAGCATGGTTTTCATTTTTGTCTTTTGGTCTTTTCCAGTTGGAGAGGTTTGATTAATGTTATGTTAAATGCCTAATATTATGTAATAAATTAAGTTACTCATGCTGTGCCTAGCCCCTTCGCACCTACTTCTAGCAGCAAAAGGTAGCTGAGGATAAACAACTCCATGAGGGGAAATTCACTATACATATGTTCAAACAAATATATCCATGGTATCAAAGAGGGAGAGGGGGGGAAAAAAGCTTTCAGAGAAAATATTTCAAATATTTGTCTTTCTCTTCCTATTATATTTTATACGTATGTATTACAGAAGAAAAAAACGCTCAGCAAATTAAGAAAGCCCACTAGTAATCCCTAAGGACACTGTCACTACTAGGTCTTGATGACAGGCAACATTCTGAAGAAATATATCTAAATCATGGACTTTTTTTTTTTTTAAGTTAAGAAAACCAGAAAAGTCATAGGTCCTGATTACAGATTCTGGCACAATTTCAATGACAGTTTTTAAACATAATGTCCTCTTAGTTGTAAACCCACATATGGGTCCTTTATTGGTGAAGTTCAGAGCCAATTTCTTCATGCAAGCCTGGAACCCTATCTACTCCTTTCTGATCTTTCAACAGTTTTCAAGGAGTCGGCCTTCTTTCTTTCCAGAAAGCAATCACCCATTCTTTCAACTTCATGTCACTAACATTACTCATCACAGTGGAGGAACAGACGAGGGTAATTATAATTTTTTTTAATTTTGGAAAGAGCCCAAGTACTAAATGTCTTTCAAATTTGTGTAGTTCCCTACTCTATGACTGTTAATTTTCTCGATGTCATTGAAAGTTTCCTTTGTTTGTTTATTTATTCATTCGCTCTTTCATTCAACAAGTGTTTATCAAGTACCTACTATGTGCCAGGCACTGTTTTGGACTCTGGGGACATATCAGTGGACAAAATCTTAAGAAAGTGTGCATTCTAGAGGGGAGAAATGATTATAAACAGACCAACTAAAAACAAAATCCAATCTACCAAGTAATGATAAGTGATATGAGAAAAACAAGCCGAGTTCGTGGAAAAGAGAAAGCTGGGTGGGAGGGCTGCTGCTTTGTATTGGGTGGTCAGTGAATACTGCTCTGATACTATTCATTGAGCAGGACCTGAAGGAAGTGAGGGGTGCATTATGCAGATATCTGGGAAAAGATCCATTTAGGCAGAGGAAACAGGAATTTAAAAGGTCCTGAGTGTGCTTGATGTGTTCAGGGAACGGCTGGACCACTGTGGCTGGAGCAGAATGTGCAATGTGTTCGAGGATGGAGGAAATGACATCAAATAAAACAGAGCTGGGACCAGACCTGGGCCTTGGTGTCCACTTTAAGGGCTTTGACATTTATTCCAAGTGAGATGGGAAGCTATGGAAGAACTTTTAGCAGTGAAGTGACATGATCAGATTTAAGTTTTAAAAGGATCATTTTAACTTTTACATTGAGCCACAGACTGTAGGGTTAAGTTCATAAACAGGGAGAACAGTTTTAAATCCATTGTAATAGTGCAAATGCTAGATGAGTTATTGTCTCAGAAATGTACACATTCAGGCTGGGTGCGGTGGCTCACACCTGTAATCGCAGCACTTTGGGAGGCCGAGGCAGGCAGATCACTTGAGGTCAGGGGTTCAAGACCAGCTTGGCCAACATGGTGAAACCCTGTCTCTACCAAAAATATAAAAAAATAGCCGGGTGTGGTGGCACACGCCTGTAATCCCAGCTACTCGAGAGGCTGAGGCAAGAGAATTGCTTGAACCCAGGAGGCGGAAGTTGTAGTGAGCCAAGATAGCGCCATTGCACTCTAGCCTGGGCAACGGAGTGAGACTGTCTCAAAAAGAAAAAAGAAAAGAAAAGAAAGAAATATATACATTCAGTCCAGTCTGGGTTAGATATTTAACCATGATGCTTACCTCATAGCCAGCTTTTGGGTTTAGTATTTTCTCAGAATCATTCATAACCTTCCCTGATCTCATTTCTGTACATGGACCAATCTCTTCCTAATCCAACTATACCCAAGATAGTCCCTATGAAACCATCCTAGGGGAGAAACATTCAACCTTTTGGCTCTCAAAAATTTTTCTTCTGGGCTTCAAATGTTTTTTGCAGGAAACTTGCATTTGTAACTTTTTCTTTCTTCATCCTTTTAAAAATTCTTTTGGTTTTACCTGTAGCACATTCAATCATATGTTACCAAAGTCAGTTCTGGCTTTATTTGGAACTCAGTCTCCTTACCTGTTGCCTGAAATGAGTCTTTCTGCACCTGGTATGTGTCCTGTGGTGGATGACATCCTCCTAGGGGCACTAGTGCCTCATTCTTTAGCATTCTCTGAATTTTCTTGCTACCTCTACCCCTTATATCTCCTTAAAAGCTCGTATTTCCAGTCTGAGAGATGTTGCTGATCCAGAACTCCTTTTACAAAGAATAATGATTGACAGGCCTTGAGCCTTAGTTCCATTTTTCAGTTCTGACCACCTTCTCCCATTACCTATGCCAGAGGTTTCTGGCTACATACCAGCCATATTAGCTCACAGTGTGTTCTCTTTAGCCCATACGGTGCTTTTAAAATTGTTTGAATAGGCCGGGCGCGGTGGCTCACGCCTGTAATCCCAGCACTTTGGGAGGCCGAGGCGGGTGGATCATGAGGTCAGGAGATCGAGACCATCCTGGCTAACAAGGTGAAACCCCGTCTCTACTAAAAATACAAAAAAATTAGCCGGGCGCGGTGGCGGGCGCCTGTAGTCCCAGCTACTCGGGAGGCTGAGGCAGGAGAATGGCGTGAACCTGGGAAGCGGAGCTTGCAGTGAGCCGAGATTGCGCCACTGCAGTCCGCAGTCCGGCCTGGGCGACAGAGCGAAACTCCGTCTCAAAAAAAAAAAAAAAAAAATTGTTTGAATAGTTGCTGACACTTAAAAATGATGAGGTTTATATAAAAACTGATTTTTTTTTTCACTTCTCTTGAAAAATGGGAAGACGTGGCCAAACCAGGTGTGTATGATTCTATGGCAACAGTCAACCAGAGCTGAGTAGTCATTTGACAGGGTGCTCTGCAGTTCCCCGCAGCCTCAGCCAGCCTGGTGCATGCTCCATTAAATTCCCTGCCTGCTGGTCCCTCTAGACATTTAAGTGTGACACTTATGGTTTCCGTTCCCATTCTCCCACATCCCACTATCCTTTCCAGATTATTCTAGGGCCCTCCAATGCCCCTGAAGAATTATTCAGGACAATGAAAGAAATCTTTTAGAATTATATTTTAAAATAAAAATAACACCTCCCAACATATGGAAAACAATAAGAGACATAACTTTCACATAGAAAAGAGTGACCAACTTCTCATATATTTTCAAAATAATAATCTAAATAGATTCTGGTTAGTTGTCCAATTTAGTGCAACCTGGGAAACCATTGGACATAAACTCTGACTTTCCCCTAAGCCTAGCCCTCCCCGACCCCGGGCTCCTCTAGCAAAGCCTTCTGAAATAGGATTTATGAGATGACCAACAATGCAACGAAACTGTGGACAAAGATACTGACATTAGATTTGCCATGGCCACTCATGACAAAGTTTCTATTGGCTTTTGGCCCATTTTCAGATGTCTGTATGATGAGAGATAAATTCTCGAATATCCCATTAGAGTTACTAAGCAGCCCCCCCATTCAGTGGAGTATACATATATAAAGATTCTATTTCTTCCAGTCACTGCCTTTAGCCATACCTAATTCATTCTCTGTTTCTTGTCACTTTATACTATCTGGGATAGATTCCATAAATTTCCAGTCATGCTGAGCCATTAAAACTCTGTTATTTTAAAGCATCAACCTCAAATTTGATTTAAGTCTCTTCCCTCCTTTGGATCTTTCTTGTATGGTTTTTCAGAGGGCTGTGCAGACCCTTTTGCTCCACAGTTTCTTAACCAGGAGATCCAGCTTGAACTCCACCTCTTCTTCCTACCATCATCAGCACATGCCCCCACCACAAAGCTTCTTGTTACTGCCCTCCCCCAATCCCTGCACTTACTCAGGCAACCACCTTGTGGGCAGGGCAAGATGTCTACAACCTGGCTATTTTCTGACCCAAAGTCAACTCACTCATCTTTGCCACAAACAGTGGTAGGGCAGATCAGAACCCTCTCCTTCCTAGTGTTTCTCTTTAGGTGCTTCTTCCCCCAATTCAGATTTACGTAGAGACAAATTAGCCAGTTCATGACCTAAGCAGATGTTTAACCAGGACATCCATCCATTCCACTGAGGTTGCCAATCTTGCAGGCCCCCAGCCTCTGAGCTCTTCTGTCTTGCCTTGGTGAGGAGAAAGGAGGTGAATCATCTCTTCTCTCTGTGGGGAGGGGAGGTGAATCATCTCTCATTCCAAATCCTACAGATTCTCCAGTTTCTCCATTGAGGCTCACACTTTCCTCTCTCCGTTCCTTTTTCATAAAGACAAAATTGGGGAACAGTCACATGTGGTAGGCTCAGCTTTGCAGACTCTATGGAAGGCTTGAGGAACGTCTCATGATTGGCTGCTCTCTTCAGAAAAAAAGGGGCTTTACAATTTCACACATGTTGTTCTGTGTTATGAGCCTTGGTGCCAAGTCTGGAGAAACCCTGTTCAACATCTTGTTACACTCTTCTCTTTAGGCTGGCTGAATCAGCTGGGGTCTACCACTGAGTGGCAGAAAACTTGACCCAAAATGGCCCTGGCAATGAGGAAGTATGTTGTATCACTTAACTAAAAAGTCCAAATGGGAAGATCTGGCTTCAGGCCATATTGATTCCTGGTTCAAAGGACATCTCCTGGTCCCTAGCTCCACTTCATTTCCTCTGGATGAAGAAATAGTAGATGGAAGAGTTGTGGGGTCCTTGCGGAGGCCCCCAAGTTTCACATCATTACAAGCCAGCTTTCCCAGTTGTGCAAACAAAAGTCCTGGAAAATGACTTGGGTTGTGTGCCTATCCCTGATTGTCTCACAGTGCTCAGTGATAGCTGATGCCACTCTGAGGGTCAGTTGAAGTTTGTAAATAACTTCACTCCATTCCTTCTAACCTCTTTTGGTATCCATCAAAGAAGGCCATGGATTTTCCAGATCAAAATGTGTCCAAACATAAATTGAGGGCATTAGATACATGCTAGGACCTGAGTTGAAGGTATGGGCTTGGTAACATAATGTAGCTATTTCTGGGTTTCAGACGGGCATAAAGATTAGTAAGATTAGTTAAAAATGTAGGGCCTTAGAGTAAGACAGGCCTGGATCCAAATGATTGCTTCACCAGAGCAAGAAACCTTGGATAAGTACTTAATTTCTCTTGAGACTCAGTTTCCCCAATTAGAAAATGGGAGTATTGAGAATACCCAAATCATTGGGTTGTTAAAAGGATGAAATAAAATACCTGGCACAATTATTATATTTCTTAATATATAAACATATGTTATATAATAAATATGATATATTAATATATGTATTATTCTGTTCTCATGCTGCTATGAAGAAATACCTGAGATTGGGTAATTTATAAGGAAAAGAGGTTTAATTGACTCACAGTTCCACGTGGCTAGGGAGGCCTCAGGAAACTTACAGTCATGGCAGAAGGGGAAGCAAACACATCCTTCTTCACAAGGCAGCAGGAGGAAGAAGTGCCGAGCAAAGAGGGAAAACCATCTTATGAAACCGTCAGATCTCATGAGAACTCACTCAATATCACAAGAGCAGGGTGGGGGTAACCTCCCCCATGATTCATCCACCAGGTCCCACCCACAACACACTGAGATTATGAGAACTACAATTCAAGATGAGATCTGCATGGGGGCACAGCCAAACCATATCAATATACAATTTATATAATAATATAACATATATTATTATACAATGTCTGGCACAAGGAGATGCACAATAAGTACTATTTTTGTTGCTAAGTACTTTCTCCTCCGGGCACACAGAGCAATACTGTGGAAAACCATGCTAAATTATGAAGGATTTTCCTTGTAGTTTCTAGAAGTGGCCAATTTGATAGTTATCCCAGGCAGTAAGCAAATTATCCTGCCATTTCTCCTATTATTATTTGTAAATAGCAAATGGAGAACCTAGTATGAGAGATGGAGGGTGAAGGAGACTTAAGTATATGAATTGTCTTAAGCACTGATGTGTTTGTGTATATGCATATATATATATCTGCATACGTGTATATGGATATATATGTATAGATGTGTGTATGTGTATATATGTACATGCATACATATGTATAGATGTGTGTGTGTGTGTGAGACTAAGATGTTTATGCTAGGATTATGCTAGCAGAGATTCATTGATCATTTCTCAAAAGTAACACAGGATACTTTGCAGGCTATGCCAAATTTGAGACACATATGAATTTAGCAACACTGCAAGATGTTGCTGAGGCCTTCTACTCTTAGATATGTTTCCACAAAAAGAGGAAAATCAAGGCATTTTTGTGGTGTCATTTAAAGCGAAGCAATCTTGCTCAAATTTAATATTTAAGTAAATTGTAAAAATACTGACGACATAAATTCACTTTTCTAAAATGCATTTTTAACATTTATTTATTTACGATATTTTTTTTTTTAATTTTTTGAGATGGAGTCTTGCTCTGTCACCCAGGCTGGAGTGCAATGGCACGATCACAGCCCACTGCAACTTCCACCTCCTGGGTTCAAGCGATTCTCCTGCCTCAGCCTCCCAAGTAGCTGCGATTACAGGCATGCGCCACCATGCCCTGCTAATTTTTATATATTTAGTACAGGAGGGGTTTCGCCATGTTGGCCAGGCTGGTCTCAAACGCCTGATCTCAGATGATCCACCTGCCCCGGCCTCCCACAGTGCTGGGATTACAGGTGTGAGCCACCGTGCCCAACCAAAATTTATTTTTTTAAATAAATAATACTAGAATTATGCTTGAGAGATTTCTTTTTTATATCAACTAAAAACTGTGACTTTCTGTGATCTAAAATTTTGTTTCTTTGGGAGACAGTAACAATGAAGGTAATCTTCCCAAGTATACTACATGAATTATGTTGAAATATTTGGTGTAACTACATAAATATAAATGTAACAAGAGCCTTTTATTTCCAAAATGAGATTCAATTTATTTTAAGAATAAGATATCAACTAGCACCCTCTTGTGGAAATGATTATTTTAGATATTGGAAAAGAAAATCTTACACAAGCAGCATGGTGGCACACCTATCATAGATGTATTTTTTTCCACACACTCTTGATGACTTCAAATTAATTGTATACTTTTGTTTATACACAGAGTCTAGGAGAAGATGTTAACATGCAGCACAGTGATGACTGCAGATTTATTCTCAAGACATTTTTTTCTTAAGTAGATCTTCAGCTGTCATCTGATTCAATTAGTCTAAGAATTTTAATTTATATTTCACTTCAAAAGGTTGAACTAGATAAGTACACAGAAATACAAATAAAAGTACTTTTTACAAGCTTTAAAACTGTGGTGTCCCCTATCTGTATTTTTTTCCTCTAGCATCTGCCTTGCCAAAAGTTCTCTTGATGCCTCCTCCCCGGGGGATAGGTTCTGACCCAGACCTGAACCAGTTCTGACCAAATGTGAAATCCTCCAGGAATGTCAGCCACCCTTCCTACCTCCAATTTTTATTGATTGATTGTTTTGAGACAGGGTCTTGCTCTGTCATCCAGGCTAGAGTGCTGTGGCATGACCATAGCTCACTGCAGTCTTGCACTCCTGGGCTCAAGCAATCCTCCTGCCTCAGCCTCCCAAGCAGCTAGGACTACAGGCATGCTCCAACATGCCCATGCTTTTTTTTTGTAGAGATGAGGATTTCATTATGTTGCCCAGGTTTGTCTCAAACTCCTGGTCTCAAGCGATCTTCCCGCCTCAGCTTCCCAAAGTGCTGAGATTACAGGTATCAGCCATCACACCCGGCTCACCTCCACCTTCTTAGTGGCCAGTCACCTTTCCTATATGAGAGTATATAAAAAAGAACAGTCACACTTGTCTAAGAGTGAAAGTAATTCTTGGGCTTAGAATTTTCTGGTACTCAAGCTATTCAAAGATAGGATGTTTAACTGCTTAGTAGGCAATTGACAGAATGTGTTCAAGTTCAGTTAGTTATTTGGGCTCAATAATCTTCATGGTCCCTTCCAATCTGACATTCTAAAGCCTTTCTATTTAGTCTAATGGCCAGTGCCTCTGAATGAACTAATCACTGCCATTGCTCCTCTTTTATTTCTGAGATGGTCATGAAGATTTTAACATAGTCCTTGCAGCATTGGTCTGTATCTTCCCCCGAAATTATTCTTTCAAGTAAACCATCAGGACCTTCAAAGGGCCATTCAAAGTGCACATTAGGCCAGACAAGGTGATGCATGCCTATAATCCCAACACCTTAGGAGGCTGAGGCAGGAGGATTGCTTGAGCTCAGGAGTTTGGGACCAGCCTGGGCAACATAGGGAGACCTTATCTCTACAAAAGTAAAAATAAAAAACATTAGCCAGGTGTGGTGGTGTGCATCTGTGGTCCCAGCTACTTGCAAGGCTGAGGCAGGAGGATGGCTTGAGCCCAGGAGGTTGAGGCTTCAGTGATCCATAATCACACCACTACATTTCAGCCTGGGTGACACAGCAAGACCTTGTCTCCAAAAAACAAACAAACAGAAAACAAACCAGTGCATATTTATTAGGGAACTCGGCCATAATAGTGACATGAGGCCCTTTAATCATTAGTTTTAAACAATTATAAATAATCAAGGAATATATAGGTTATCTCCAGCAGATAATTGTCAGGTATAATTAAGGGTGAGATGCTGATTCAGACAGAGAAATGTGTAACGTAGAAGGCATAGGGGCACATATTCAAGGGAGACATGAAGCATCCTGAGATGAAGGACAAGTGTGGGATTTGGGGTACAAACAATCCAATTCAAACGCTGGTTCTGTTTGTTGTTACATGAATGGCCCTAGGTATCTGAGACTCCCATATCTGTCAAATAAGAATGATTGTATTTACCTCACAGGGTTGTTGTAAGAATTAAATGGCATAAAAAACAATGAGAAGCACAGAGCATAATACTTAATCCAAGAAGGCTCTCAAAAACTGCTAGCTTTACTTTTTTGTTTGTTTGTCTTTTTCTTCCTTCAGCCTTTATTTTTGTGTGTGTGACAGAGTCTCATTCTGTTGCCCAGGCTAGAGTGCAGTGTCAATGCTCACTGTAGCCTCAAACTTCTAGACTCAAGCCATCCTCCTGCCTCAGCCTCTCGAGTAGCTAGGACTGTAGGTGTGCACTACCAAGCCTGATTACTTTTTAAAATTTTTGGTAGAGATGGGGGTCTCACTGTGTTGCTCAGGTTGGGCTAGCTTTTCTTATGGCCAGAAAGGGTCCTTGATGTTTAAGGATTTAATAGCCAGGGGCTGGGGGCAGGGGGGACAAACTAAACAAATATTTCATATATGAAATTAAATTGTGTTCACTGATTATCCCTGATAACCTTACCTGATGAATCAGGGGACGAGATCTCCATCTTCCCTAATATTTTACAATATTTTTCTAATAATCTTTGATTACTGATTGGGGCACATTTTTATCTCTCAGCATTTAGATTCAGACAGTGTGAGTGCTCTTAGCTAACTTGGACTCATATGTTTGTGTGAGCAGATCTTTGTAAGTTTGACCTCCCTAGCCTTTGCATTAAGGACATCTCTGAAAGCTGAAAGCAAACACTTTTAGGAAACAACAGCTTCTCTTCTCTACAGTGAGGAATCCCTGGAAACCTTGGTAGTTGAGCCCTGACTATTCAATAATTCAGTTAACTACGGAATTGGTTAGGTCTATAAACTTGGTGATCACAGTTCATGCTAGGAATTCACTTCTGAAGACTTAGTAGTATTCAAAGGATGCATAATTTAAGACATACTGTTGAAGGATAGTATTTGTAATTTATTAGCTAAAGTAGTATCACCATGTGGCAAGAACAAAAATAGCATGTATTCAGACAGCACGTTTTAAAAGTAGCAATTTCTTATTAATTTTTAATTGATTTTGATAATTTTGTTGATTTTAATGAATTTATTTTCATTTTAGTTACCATTGTTCAAAATGTTATACAAAACTAAACTTTTACTGTTTTTTATTTGGATGACTTCTAGTACATGCAATTCAAATATACATAAAAGGCAATAACCCTGTAATTTAATTTTTGTGATAAGAACTTAATGTTAAAATGGATTCCTGAAGCTAAGTGAAATGTGATGATGGCTGGACTTGGATAATGTTAAATAAGTATTAGGTTGCTTTGCTTTGTTTAGCACTCTACTTAATAATTTGATTGATTCCCTGAGTGAAAATAAATAGATAAGGTGCTAGGAGAATTGACTAGCATTAAAAATGTAAAGGTGGGGTTTTATGGGCCATATAGCAGACTGACCACATGCTTATTTAAATAAAATTGAAGAAACTTCAACAGGACATATCCACAATGAGAGAGAAGAGATACATATATATATATGGAGAGAGAGAGAGAGAGAGAGAAAGAGAGAGAGAGAATGAGATTTCAGTGGATACCTGGAAGAGGAAAAGCAGCTGGAGGAATGGGATGGAGGGAGCTGGAACACAGTCTAGAGTGTTTAAACAAAGGGCTACAACTGAGAAGGCTCTGGTTATGCCTCCGAAACCTGGAGTGTGAGATAAAGCACAAAGGTGTGTGGGTGTGAGAATGCAGAGCAAAATATAGGAGTCAACTGAAGATATATACCTAGAAAAATTGACCCTAAATTCTCAGCCACTAACCTGTCAGTATGCATACAAATCCAGGTATCCAGACCCTTAGATCCTAAGAAACAAACTGGAATGATCTCTTTGGCTTTTATTTCATATAATGCTGTAGAAAAAGCCTGTCTGGCCACAATGGAGTAACATGGACCAGATTTACCCTTCTGGTTTAAACAACTAAGAAACTGGACAAAATACATGAAACAGCAGTTTGCAGGACACTGACCAACAGGGACTGAAGAACAGTGACTCCTGAGAGATGGAAAACCGATGAGGTAGACAATACAATTGGCACAGCTCACTGCTTGGTGAGAATTTCCAGATTGCAAATAAGAGAGAAACCAGGCAGAAACCAGTGGTTTCCTTGAATTAGGAAGAAGGAGATGAGAATCTGGGGAAGCCAAGTAAGCTAAACCACCAGAGAGGAGGGATGTGAACAGGAGGGGAGCTCTGGAGACATGCTGAGGGCTCCTTTAAGCATTCAGCTGAGTCCTGATCAGTACATGTGTGAGGAAACTACCCAAGGCCAGAGAAAGAACCAAGGTAGAGAATAAGGAAAAAAAATCCATAGAACTCACAGGTCCAGGATTAGTGCCTGTCCCTGGCAGCTGACTGGAAAAACCTCATAATTCACAAGATGTTGGGTAGAGTACTCAGAAGAATTCTGCCACAGTAGTGGGTAAAATTAACCCTAGACTAACACTGGCTTGATCCTGCTTAACAAGATATACAAGTAAATCCCAAAAGAGTTAATTTAGGATTGTTATGTCTTTTGCTTGAATGGGGCCTTTTATTATTATGTATTAATAATATCATGCTTTCTCTCTAATACTACATCTTGCCTTAAAATCTATTTTGTTCCATGTGAATATAGTCATATTGGCTTTTTTGGTTAGTGTTTACACCATGTATCTCCATTAATTTGTTTTCAATCTACCTGCTGTTTTCCCTAGCTTGATTTCCCTGTGCAAGCGTTTAGAAAATGTCCTTAAAGAAAAAAGCTAAAATGAATATGAGATTTGCCATGTGTGTTTTCCTTCTCTCAGGAACTTTAACCCTTGCTATCAGGTGCTTGCCGATGATAGTGGCAGAAGGCAGATAATGCCTAGGCAGTTGGGGTGGGTCCCCAGTGAAACCTGACCTTCAAGCTGGAAACTGTCCTAGGGATATCCTCCAACTGGATTGAGAACCCACCTTCCCATTTGGCGCACTTTCCTCTGATTGTTCCCCATTCTACACCTATTTTACACATATCTACCCTTTCCTAATTAGTTTTCTACACTGTCACGCCCATATTTGAGTGGCGTCTTCACTTTGACCTTTTTTGGATACTCACAAACCAATCAGCGCACACTCCCTATTCTGAGCCCATAAAAAGCCCCAAGCTCAGCCATATTGGGGAAATTTCCTGTCTTCAGGTAGGAGAACCAACCCCTACATCCCCTCTTTTTGCTGAGAGCTTTCCTTTTGCTTCATAAATTCAACTCCCCTCACTCTTTGATGTCTGTGTGCCTAATTCTTCCTGGTCATGAAACAAGAACCTGGACCTAGCTGAGCAAAGGAGCCAAAATCCTGCATCAAAGACAGTTGTTTAATACATCTTTTCACTTCTTACAGTTTTTGTGAAAAGGTAAGCATGAATCCAGCTACTCCATCATGACCAGAACTGGCATTGTCCCATCTACTATCTAGCTTCCAACATTTTTCTATTGTTTTCTCTCCTGGCCTCCTCATCCTTGTGGGTTTATGCCTTTTAACATCATTTTTCAGAGGGAGAAGAGGTAAACAGGTGCTCAACCTGCTGTGTTTAATCAGAAATCCTCATCTCTGCTCTGCTGGAGTTTTGCCTGAAATTGCACCTTTGTATCCTTGTTTGCTTTCTCCCCTTTCCCTACTTACCTTTCCCGCTTCCTTGCCAGTATTTCTGGGGAGCATTTCCTTAATAAATGACTTTGTTTTCGCATTTCAGGTGGTACTTCTGGGGAACCAGGCCTAAGGTAATTCAGCATACTGTAATATTCACCTCTTAAGTTAAAATGCATTTATATTCTATAACCATAATTTCCATGTTTATTTAAACTTGGTTGTATATTTAAATAGTTCGGTTTGCCATTGGTCTTTTTTACAATGGCTTTCACTTCAATTCCTGTTTGATTAGATTTTATTATATGGAAGGTTTCATAAGATAGTCCTATGTGTACTGTATTTCCCAAATTATTTCATATTTGCCTGCTGTCTTTATAGCTTAATGATAATATGTCTGAATGTAAGACATTTTAGGCTCAGTTTCTTTCCCTCAGCATTTTGCAGACAATGTTCTGTGCCTTTTGATAATAAATGTGACTGTGAAGAAATCACAAAGTAGCTCAATTTTCATTCAGGTGTAACTTTTTATATTCTTCCCAGATACCTGAAGACATTTTATTCTTAAAATCCAATAAAGACCAGGAAATATTTCATTAGGTTTCTAAATTTTACCGGAATACACTGTCCTTTGAATCTGTAATGTAAATTCCTCCTTTATTTAAGAAAGTTGTCTTCTATTATAACCTAAAATGTATGTCATATTCCATTTGCTTATTCTTACTCAGGGACACAGGTTAACTTTATATTCTGTGGGTTTTGTATCTATTCTCCCTTTATCATGTTATCTGTATTTGTTTAACCTATTTTCTTTTTTTCTGTGTTCATTGAAATTGACTCCAGTGTTTCCTCCAGAACTGCAGTTGAATCAATAGCTGCTAGCCAAGTGTGGCTATTTGAATTTAAATTCATTAAATAAATTATAAAGTTTAAAATTCAATTCCTTGACTCCACTAACCACACTTTAAGTGTTCAGTAGGCACTTGTGGATACTGTATTGAACAGCACAGTTACAGAACATCACGATCACTGCAGAAAGTTCTTCGGGACAGTGCTGTTCTCAAGCAATAATGAGTCTCTACCAGTGGTGGCATTTTTTTCCTCTTTCTCATTTATTTATTGCTTTCTTCTGTAATTGTTATCATATTAGTCCTTAATACTTTCTTATAACTTTTTATTTCTATGTTATGATTTTATCTTATCCTCAAAGTCTTCTTATACAAATTAGTGTCCTTGTAAACTCTTGGGGTGTGAAGTACACTAGGGAATTTTCCCTTTGGGAGGAGGTTTGCTTTCCACTAGAACATATCCTTTGGTCTATTATTTGCACACTACCTTTTTCATATTAGCTTTATTTATTTTGGGCTGAAATATATATTTTCCCTCCTTAAACTGGTTTATGTTTTTCCTGTTTGTTTCTCATTTTACTGAAACTTATTTGTCCAAACCTAGTTATCCTGCTGGTAATGTGGCTGAATTCTCCCTTACTTCTTTTCTCTTTTCCTTACTTTATGAACTACACTGCAATGGTCAGCAAATATGGCCTGTGGGACAAATTGGCCCATCTCCTCTTTTTGCAAATAATTTCACTGAAGCAGAGCTACACTCACTCTTTTGCTCTTTGCCTCTGGCTGCTTTCATGTGCAATAGCAGAGCTCAGTAGTTGTGACAGAGATCACACGGCTTGGGAAGTCTAAATATTTACAGTCTGGCCTTTTACAAAAAATTGTGCTGACCCCTGAAGTGCAGTGAAGAGTTATCTGTAGCCCAAGGGCATGGGGTAGGGTGAGAATAGACTTGGAAGACATCCTCCATTAGCCAAACTGGGCTGTTTCTCATTTGCAGTTTTGTTAAAGGTCTTCAGTCTGGGTTTACTTAGTGTCTTAGTTTGGGCTGCCATTACAAAGTACTATAGATTGGTTGGCTTATAAACAACATAAATTTATTTCTCACAGTTCTGGAGACTGGAAGTCTGAGATGAGGGTGCCAGTATGGTTGGGTTCTAGTGAGGGTTCTTCCGAGTTGCCAATGGACAACTTTCTTGCAGTATTCTCAAATAGAAGAGAGTGTAAGCAGGCTCTCTGGAGTCGCGTTTATAAGGGCATTAATCCCATTCATAAGGGCTCCACCCTCATGACCTAATTACCTCAAAATGCCCACCTTCAAATACCATCAGCTTGGGGGTTAGGATTTTAACCTATGCATTTTGGGGGGACACAGACATGCAGTTCATAACACATCACATCACCAGGTATATTCTCTTTCAGTCCAGGAATAAACTTGAGATTCAGATAATCCTCAATCCTTAGTTCAACTTGGACCTCTGAATTCTGCTACTTTTAAGGAGATGTAGCTCAGTTTATACTCTTGCCCTATACTCAGGCATCAATCATTTCTACGGCCAGAGCTGAAAGGCTAATAAAAGGTAGATGTGGCTTCCTTACCGAGCACTGTTAAGACTAGAAGAACCTTACCTGGGCCATCCACCAAGGACTCTGGGCTCAGGCCCTTTCTTACCTTCACTGCCTCAGTTCTTATTTCTATTTTAATGAAGACTTCTGCTTCACCAACTTCCCTTTGGTGAGATATTGCAGACTTTTTTCCACAGCTCTCCTTCTTAACACATCTGAAAAGGCAGTTTTAGGAGCTTTCTAGAGCCCACAATATGCTCCTTAAAAGCGGTGGCTAATGCCTGTAATCCCAGCACTTTGGGAGGCTGAGGTGGGCGGATCACCTGAGGTCAGGAGTTCGAGACCAGCCTGGCTAACATGGTGAAACCCCGTCTCTACTAAAAATACAAAAACATTAGCCGGGCGTGGTGGCACATGCCTGTAATCGCAGCTACTCGGGAGGCTGAGGTAGGAGAATCACTTGTGCCCGGGAGGCAGCCGTGTCAGTGAGCTGAGATCACACCACTGCACTCCAGCCTGGGTGACAGAGTGAGACTCCATCTCAAAAAAAAAAAAAAAAAAGAGCTTTGGTTTTCATTGTTCAACATCTGTGTGGTATATTTTTCTGTTTCTAAAATCCATTTGTTGTGCATATCTTAGATTTTTGCAGAAATGAAATTACAAGATCTGGCTTTCCTCTGGCATCTGAAACTGGGGGATTTGATATATACATTTTAGAAAATCATCAGTGAAGAACATATTTGCAAAAAGCTCCTATAGCCATGTTCTTTCATTTTAAGGTGAATGATTTGCAGTTGGAATAACTAACCACAAGGAGGTGTGCTTCTTTTGACCTAAATTTCCTTGAATAAACTAACAAGTACAATATATATGGTTTATTCTGGCTTTTGTTTTTATTTAAAATGACCAATGAATAAAATTACACAACATGGATGTAGCATTTTAAAATTACCTCCTTCAATTATAAAATTGACTTAATATTTTGTACACCTACAAGGTGCAAGGCACACTGCTGGGCTGTTTGTTAACGGCATACTATACTCTATGTCTTCACAAGTCATTTGCATAGAAAGGTGCTTGAAATTCTGTGTGATTTGTTAAAATCAGTAATTCCAGATGGGTTTACTTCAAACTAGTGATACAGTGATAGAGGCAGGAGGCAGAGAAATTTTAGGCAGAAAAGGGAGGGTCCCTGACAAAACCCCACCCTCAAGCCAAAAAGCCTGAAACCGCAGCCCAAAGTAGAGAACTTCTCTCCCTTTTGTCTGCTCAAATGTTGCTTTTTCCTAAATTACCCATGGCCCACCCTGCCCGCCATCCTGTGCTATAAAGACCACAGACTCAGCCAGCAGAGAGGAGAAGCAACTGGACGTGAGGGACTACGGCTGGATGTCAGAGAGAAGTGGCTTGATTTCAGAGGGACATTTTGATGGTGTAACTTTGGAGAAAAATCCAGCCAGAGATGGCAGGACTTCAGGGGAAGGTTACCTACCCAGCCCATCCCCTTTTCTGCTCTCCTTCCTGCTGAGAGCCACTTTCACTGGGAATAAAATACCCCGCATTTACCATCTGTGAATTCTTTTGTGTAACCTCATTTTCCCTGAATGCAGGACAAGAGCTCAGGAGTCATGAGTGCAGATACAGAAGGCTGTGACACTGGCCCTTTACTCTTGCCTAGGGCAGCTGCCTCACGCAAAAAGGCAAAGGGCCCACTGAGCTGTTTACACTTAAGCCACCTACGGATGGTAGAGCTAAAAGAGCACTGTAGCATGTCCTCTGGGGCTTTGGGAGTCACAGGCCGCCCCTCAGTCACTGCTGCAGGGCCCTGCACAGAGTTTGCTCCTGCTGGAGCCCAAAAGTGCTCACCCTGACTCCTGCATCCTCTCACCTGCATGCTCCCTCCCACGAGGGGTGGAACACAGTGTGTCCAAGTGATGGAGTTTGATCCCAGTAGCGCCGAAGTGGCCGGGTTGTTCCAGTGCTGGTGCTCTCCAGTCCTCACCCTCGTTCACTTGTGCGCTCCCTCCTGTGAGGAGTTGTGGGCAGCAGGCTGAGTAAACACCTCTGACGTGGGTCCCATGAAGGGGTCAGGGAAATATCCTGCTTCGGTCGTCCTTCAAAAAGTAACTACTGCATTATCTATTTTTTAATAAGAAATTTAAATATTAAAATATGTTAATGACATTAGTCCAATGTCTACGGATCTCACACCACATAGTCCAAACTTCCTCAGACAGAAATATTTTCACTGTTCAAAAATTCTGCCACACTGGGAAATAAAGGAGTAGACATGGGCTGACATTTGAAAATCTATTACCTGTATTTTTTTTGGTAATAGAATATGATTATAAATCTCAACTTTATTACTGACTTAAACAAGGTCACTAAAGCATTTCACGAAGAGTTCCTGATAATGGGTAACCAGATATCTAGGACTAGATACTATTTAGCAGCTGAAAATGATGGCAGAAAATATATGGGCAGCAATAGAAAAAGAATGTGACTAAACATTTTTAGCAATTTGATATAAAATATTTAGATTTTAAAAAATCTGTATAAATGGATGAATAGGTTGGATTTTACGGAAAAAAATAGGCTCAGTTCAATTAGAGACTGAACTGTAACATGATAAATCAGAATCAATGATGACAAGTTTTATATACTATTTTAATAGCACAGAAAACAAAACCAAAAAAACCTATTACCTATTGGCGAAACGACTGATGGAACATCTAATAACTTTTAAATCAAGTTAAGCCTAAAGCTGCCTCCTTACAAATTTTAAGTTTGGCCTAAAGGTTTCTCAACACACAGTGAATTGTAACCTAACTGCATGTGTAAACAGGCTGTAACCTACTCTTATACCAATCACTGTGTTGCAGCCCATCAAAGGCAGCCAACTGTTCGAACCTTGTTCAAGTAAGGTAAACACCAAGCTGTAACCAATCCAGCTGTTTCTGTACCTCATTTTCTTTTCCTGTAATTTATTTGCTTTTTTTGTCCATAATTCTTTGATCATGTGGCAGCACTGGAGTCTCTTTGAACCTGTTCTGGTTGGGAGAGGGGCACATTTCACAAATTGTTCTTTGCTCATTTTAATTTGTCCAAAGTTTTTCTTTTGACACAATGAACTCTGATTCTGCCAGGTGTTTCTGGGAAAATTGTTTTTCAGAAAAGGCAATGAACATTTTTGATAATTTGCTACTACACGTGTGTCTGGAATTGGTTCCTTCCGGTGGGTTCTTAGTCTGACTTCAAGAATGAAGCCTCAGACCTTCGTGGTGAGTGTTACAGCTCTTCAAGGTGGCATGGACCCAAAAAGTAAGCAACCCTAAGATTTATTGTGAAAAGTGAAATAACAAAGCTTCCACAGCATGGAAGGTGATCCGAGTGGGTTGCCACTGCTGGCTAGGGGCGCCAGCTGTTATTCCCTTATTTGTCCCTGCCCACGTCCTGCTGATTGGTCCATTTTACAGGGTACTGATTGGTCCATTTTACAGAGTGCTGATTGGTGCATTTACAATCCTTTAGCTAGACACAGAGCGCTGACTGGTGTGTTTTTACAGAGTGCTGATTGGTGCACTTATAATCCTTTAGCTAGACAGAAAAGTTCTCCAAGTCCCCACTCGACCCAGGAAGTCCAGCTGGCTTCACCTCTCACAAGCAACGTTATGTTTCTCATCTTCTAACAGAGCGTTCTGTGAAGGTCTGAGATGCTCCTACATTTCTAGTCTCATGGAATCTCGTCTTTTTTCAATCTGAAAACAAAATGGAAATGTTTTTGCCTCAACTTGTTTTTTTTCTTAACCAAATAGGATTCCTTATGGTAAAAATAACTGGGAAAATGGTGGCTCCAACTATGTTTTCACAAAAAATTGTAGCTTAAGTGAAATGCAAATGTTCATAAAGTCATTTTGCTATTACTAAAATAATTTATATACCATTGTGATGATTCACTGATTTAATTAATGAATTCATAAGAAAAGTAAAATCAAAGCCTATGGAATAAGCCTGGAATATTTTGGTATCAGTTTTGCTTGCATATCCACAAATTATAGATGGGGCTGTATTTTGTAAAAAAAAAAAGAACTGTGTCATATCTACAGCATAATGAATAAACGATGTGAACAGAAACTTCACAGAGAAGTATAAGTGCTCAATGAAAATATGAAAAGATTCACCTCATTAGGAATTAGAAAATAAAAAAATGAAAGCAAGGCAATATTATTGACCTATATTTACTTGAATTTATCAACAAAATAACTGGTGAAACTGATAGGATTATAAATCATCAGATTATTGTTTATTTGTAAAAGATAGTTGCTCCTAAAATATTTTCTAAAATAAAGAAGATTATGAAAAATATTAAGAAACCTGAATTGATATTTTGTAACTATATGTTCCCACTTTGGACAGTTTCCATTTTTTTTTAATATTCTGATGTCATTTACATTTTATTTTATAATCATATCCCATAATTGATATCTTAGTTTTACGTTTGAATGGGTTAAAATCTCAATGCCAGTTTTTTTAGTTTTTCATTTTTCCCATATTAATACCTTTATTGCTGAGTTATTTACTTTGATTACTCTTGATTGAGTGGACTTTTTGCCCAAGAAAGATTTTTAAGAAGGGTTCTTGGGTATTGTGTTTTTTGAGTTTTTGCTGATTTAGGAGAATCCTGCCCCACCAGTTTGGCTGTAATATTATGGGATCATGCTTTTGTTCTCAGCCTTTTTTACACACTGCACATTGCCATCAGATGCCACTGAGGAGTCTAAGGCCACTATTGTCATTCCCTTGTTTTTATGCCTGGGTGTGAATATAGTCTTTATCCTTTATGTTTAGCAACTTTACCAGGATACACATTGGTATTCATTGCTCCTTGTCAATTTTTCCTACCAAGGACTCTCCAGCCTCACTTCTCATCACCTCCTTTGCTGGAGGCACACCTGCCTTGCCAACTACTTGCCCTTCTGTGAACTTATTATGCTTCTTCATATCCCTGTGGCTTGTCAGAGGCAAGTGAAATTTCTTCGTGCTCTACTCCCACTCTTGTCATTTACTGCCACCATTCTAGCAGATTTACCTTCTCAGCATCTTCTCACTCCCCAGGTGACACAACCACTTTCCCCTTCCACCCTTGAAATGTAACACAGATCCTTAGTATTACAGGGAATTATCATTCATATTTAAAACTCTCCTACCCAGGACTGTGAGCTCCAAGGAAAGGGACGTGTAACTTACATCCACTTAACGACGCAAGCAATTTAAAGCCAAGAGTTCTTGTTGGCAAGAATTGGGAAAGTTGGACGGACAGTATACAATTACCGAGCAGCCAATAAACAGGAAAAGTCATACAGTTCGAATGTTCTGACCAGGCGGATATTCTGTCTTTAAGAAACACTAATCATATACCTGGGAAAGAAAAAAATCTTGGGCCCCTTCAAACTGGGAATTACTCAGGGCAAATCTGCCTCCTATTCTATCCAAGTCACCTCTTTTGCTGACAAAGAATAGATGCATATTCTGATTGCCTCCTTTAGAAAGACTTATCAGAAACTCAAAAGAATGCTACTGTCTATTACCTACCTGGAAGCCCCCAGTTGGGGGGGGCGGGGCTTGCTTTTAACGGTCTCCGCCTTTCTGGAAGGAACTAATGTACTTTTTACATATTGATTGATGTCTCCTGTCTCCCCAAAATGTATAAAACCAAGCTGTGCCCTGACCACCTTGGGCACATGTCCTCAGGACTTCCTGAGGCTGTGTCACGGGCATGTCCTCAACGTTGGCAAAATAAACTTTCTAAGTTAACTGAGACCTGTCTCAAATTTTCGAGGTTCACATACCGTAGGTAAAAGTGTCAGAAGCCTAAAGGTGAGCCAGTGGAAAAGCCTGAAGACCCCTGCAAGGTTATTAGCTAAGCCTCCATAACGCAGGCGGCAAGTGTCCAGGAGTCTGGCGTCTGCTCGCCTGCACCACGACCTCCCTCCTGGGGAGAAGGACATGCATGGTAAGCCATTTCTCCATTTCCATACTGATTGCTTCCTCTCACCACCACGGCCCATCTGCGAAGCAAAACTAATCCTGGCGTGGAACAGGCCGCCTGAGGGAAACAGCTAGAGCCCGGCGCGGGGCGGAGCTGGTTGTGCGCATGCTCCGTGCAGGCGCAGGCGGGGGCTGAGCGCCGTCGGGTTACGCCTGCGCTCCGGGTGAGCCCGCGCCTGCGCCTTTGCGGCCGTGATTCGGTCCCGCTGTCCTAGGCGGGATGGTGCCGCTGTGCCAGGTAAGGGTGGCGGGTGTGCGTGCGGGCCTGGGTGCGGAGCCCTCCTCGACGTGTCTCTCCCGCCCTTTCCCTCCACATACCCAGCCTTGGTCAGTCGGACCTCCCCACTAGCCCCCAACCTGGCCGGCGTCTTGGGTTCGGGGGCGCCCCCGCCCCCGCCCCCGGGCCCTTCCTGTCTCCGGGCTTTACTGCGACTGCCCCAGCAGAAGTCGGGTCCTCTCCGAGAACTCTTGTCAGCTCACGGCAGCAAGGACGGACTCGTTCTGAAGGCGCCTCCACCTTTTATGACCACCTCTTTCCCAGATTATTCGTTTTGATGAAGCTAAAATTTTAATCTAAAAAGAAATGCACCTCATGGAGAATTCTTGTGAAGAACTGTGCTTCATCTGTGGATTTCTACACCCTTGATCATTTGCAAACCTGTAATTATTTCGTAAAGAGTTGTTTGCACGGAGTGACAGGTGCCTATTTTACTTCGTCGGATCCCTTACATACCAGGCTGCTGGCACAAGTTTGTTCTAGCAAATTCCAGTCTGTCGTGTGTTTCAAACCTACTTGCTTCTGTAAATGTCAGATTTACTATGTTGCATAACTTAATCCTTAGCGTCTGGGGACGATGTTATACAGACCGGAATCTAAGGTCATTTGACAACCGTGAGAAACAGGTTTTTCGCTTATTTATTCATTTATTTTATTTGTGTAACTCATCTCTTGACTCAAACATTTGTTCTTTGCTTACATATTTATAAAAGGTGCTATACTTTTATGTCAATTAAGGCAGGCTTAACATGTTTTCCTAGAAGATAAATACTTAGGATTTTAATGATGGCACACTTAAGTTTGTAAAACTAAAAGGCATCCAGAAATTAGTCTGAATTGTATTTAAAACAACAAGTTTTCAGAATTTGAACTTGTAGGTATACTGAAATTTTTTACGGGTTATTTAATTTTCTTTATAAAATTTGTCTTTGATTAAAGCAATACATTTGGAAAATGAGAAAACTGCTCAACATTGACAGTCAGAAAACGAGTATGAGTTGTTATTAAAAGCATTTTCTTTACTTTCAGGTTGAAGTATTGTATTTTGCAAAAAGTGCTGAAATAACAGGAGTTCGTTCAGAGACCATTTCTGTGCCTCAAGAAATAAAAGCGTTGCAGCTGTGGAAGGAGATAGAAACTCGACATCCTGGGTAGTTAAAAATTTGTAGAATGCATATGAGTAACACTTAGATATTTTCAAAATACATAAATGATAAAAGTAAAAAGGTTAATTTCGATTTCCGTGCTTAATGTCAAAAAGAATCGTTAGTTGTATTTTTTTTGGAACACCTGAAAAACTCTAAATGTGCACCGTATTTTAAGAAAGGTTAAAGATATTTTACCCCAAAACACAGTGAACCGCAGAGGGACATGATTATATTCTCTTTGATAATTTACAAAACACTGCACATGTCACTTCTGCAATTTTATAACATTAAATGAAATTGTTACAAATTCTGTTAAAAATGTGTGCTTTAAACATTTTGTTCTGCCCCTCTCTTTAGAGAGCTCAACATAGAAATTTCTAAGATTGAAAGAAAAATGAGTTACAACAAATCCTAGATGCTGCTGAATTTGAGTTTTTGTAATATTTAATTTTTTTTCTGGTTCTTGAAAAACCTATAATTTTACTTATGTCATTCCCACTTCAAGTTCTTTTTGGAACAAAATATAAAAGTGACTTATTTGAGGGTGATTCAGGAATATTAATGGTGTTACTTAGCTTGTATAGGTGTTTAACCTGGAAGTCCTAGTTCTGTGTAAAAGATACTCCATAATAAGTGTTTAAAAGCAAACCACTTCATGATTTCGTATCTTTTAAGTTGCTCTTACAGTGGCCTGATAATCAATAAAACACAGTGGGGTCTCCCATTCTGCTTTACCTGGAGGGAGACAGCAGGTCTTGTATACGTTTTCACTGTGCCTGAAAAGAAAGCTTACCATTGTTCAGGTATAAAGGAACAGCTAATAAAGCTGTGTTGCAGGTGGCTTTATGACCTATGCTATCTTTTTCATCTTTCTAAGCAACTTAATCCATATTCGAGTAGGATAATGTGTACAGGCATAGTTTGTGGGCAGTTATACTTGTGCTTGAACACATGGATAGAAGGACCCTGGAAAGGCCATGTACTGATTGGAAACTTTTCTTTTGACCTGGTTTGAGTGTTGCCTCCAGTCTGGTGGGTTTTTTGTGCATTTTTTTGTTGTTTAATTCCCCAAGGCATACAACATCCAATAAAGAGTTGACAGCAGTTTAACGTATCTTTGTGGTGTATAAGTATGTTCTTCAGTGGATATGTCCTTTCTCCATATACTATGTGTAAATTTAATTGGTAATTTTGCAGGTGATGCTTTATATAATTATATCTATGTAATATCTCTAATTGCAGCTGAAGCGATTTGAGGTCTATCATAGCGTTGATACTTTGAGTCATATTTTTTCCCCTTTAGATTGGCTGATGTTAGAAATCAGATAATATTTGCTGTTCGTCAAGAATATGTCGAGCTTGGAGATCAGCTCCTCGTGCTTCAGCCTGGAGACGAAATTGCCGTTATCCCCCCCATTAGTGGAGGATAGTGCTTTTGAGCCATCTAGGTATGTGAGATTTGTTTTTCTTAATCAGTCGTGTGGGGAAGGATCATACAGATGATAAAGTGTATGTGGTTTGCTGTTAATGTATATTCTTTGTAAGTCTGTCTGTACCAAATCTTTATTGATGCAGCAACTCTTCATTGGTGCCAACAGATTTATGAATATCTAGCACCATTTCTGCATCAAGTCTATTGTAAGCAGTTTAATTACAATAAACATATCAGTTTGATATGTTTCATTTAACATGGTTTATTGAGATCTTATGTGTCAGGCACAGTGACATATTAATATCCATATTTTGCAGGTAAAAAAACAAATTCAGAAGACTTAAAAAACTTGCCTTTGATCACATAGCTAATCACATAGCTAATAAGTGAAAGAGCCAAATTAAAAAGAATTTATTTAACTTTTAAGTTCAGGGGAACTTGTATCATGGCGGTTTCTTGTACAGATAATTTTGTCACCCAGGTATTAAGTCTAGTGCCCATCAGTTATTTTTTCAATCTTCTCCCTCCTCCCACCCTCCACCCTCAAGTAGGCTCCAGTGTCTATGGTTTCCTTCTTTGTGTCCATGTGTACTCAATATTTATCTCCCACTTGTAAGTGAGAACGTTTGGTATTTGGTTTTCTGTTCCCGCATTAGTTGGCTAAGGATAATGGCCTCTAGCTCCATCCATGTCCCTGCAAAGGACTTGATCTCGTTCTTTCTTATGGCTGCATAGTATTCCATGGTGTATATGTACCACATTTTCTTTATCCAGTCTACCACTGATGGGCATTTAGGTTGATTCCATGTCTTTGCTATTGTGAATAGTGCTGCAGTGAACAGACGTGTGCATGTGTCTTTATGACAGAACGATTATATTTCTCTGGGTATATATTCAGTAATGGGATTGCTGGGTTGAGTGGTATTTCAGTCTCTAGGCCACCCTGTCTTCCACAATGATTGAACTAATTTACACTCCCTGCAGCAGTGTATAAGCATTCCTTTTTCTTCACGTCCTCGCCAGCATCTGTTATTTTAATAATAGCTCTTCTGACTGGTGTGAGATGGTATCTCATTGTGGTTGGGATTTGCATTTCTCTAATAATCAGTGATGTTGAGCTTTCTTTTCATATGATTGTTGGCCACATGTATGTCTTCTTTTGAAAAGTTCCTGTTCATGTCCTTTGCCTACTTTTATTGGGGTTGTTTTTTCTCATAAATTTTAAAAAATTCCTTAGAGATGCTGATGTTAGACATTTGTCAGATGCATAGTTTGCAAAATTTTTCTCCCATTCGGTAGGTTGTCTATTCACTCTGTTGATAGTTTCCTTTGCTATGCAAAAACTCTTTAGTTTAATTAGATCCCATTTGTCAATTTTTGCTTTTGCTGCAATTGCTTTTTGAGTCTTCTTTGTCATTAAATCTTTGCTTGTTCTTATGTCCAGAATGGTGTTGCCTAGATTGTCTTCCAGGGTTTTTCTAGTTTTTGGTTTTACATTTAAGTCTTTAATCCATTTTGAGTTAATATTTGTATATGGTATAAGGAAAGGGCCCAGTTTCAGTCTTCTGCACATGGCTAGCCAGTTATCCCAGCACCATGTATTGAATAGGGTATCCTTTCCCCATTGCTTGTTTTTGTAGGTTTGTTGAAGATCAGATAGTTGTAGGTGTGAAGCTTTATTTCTGGGTTCTGGGTTCTGTTTCATTTGTCTATGTGTCCTGTTTTGTACCAGTCCCATGCTGTTTTGGTTACTGTAGCCCTGTGGTATAGTTTGAAGTTGGGTAGTGTAATGCCTCCAGCTTTGTTCTTTTTGCTGAGGATTCAAGAGGTTTTCAAAAGACAGCATTTGAACTCATATTATTGGACTGTCTGTGTACTTTTTTCCAACCACACTTACTAATACTAGATAATAGCTCTCCCGGCCATGGAAAATGTAGAAAAATTTCACAGCTAATAATGCCTGAAAAGAGAGCTAATCATTGCCCAGGACTAAAGGAATAGCTTTATTGTTATGGCTGTGTTGCAGGTGGCTCTTTGACCCATGCTACCTTGTCATCTTTCTAAACAACTTAGTCCATATTCAAGTAGGATAATGTACAAGAACATTGTTCAGTATAGTGTGGAGAGATCAGGCTTCTTATAAGTACAGACAGAATGAGGCTTAATTTATTGTCAGCTGAGGAACAAACAGTAGAAATTAACAGTCATCCCTGAATAAAAACTCTTGGTAAGTTAGGAATGAAAGAAGACTTTCTTAATTTGATAGGATTTTTATTCAAAATCAGGAGTAAATATCATATTTAATGGCAAAAACTTGGTTCCATTAAAGAAAGGAGCAAGCCAAGGATGCCTTTTTATCTTTTTTCACCCATTTTTTCCCCACCCTCCTGGAGGGCAGTGCCACAAGAAATGAAGAATCAATCTGTAAAACAGATTGCCTCTCATGTCAACACTAGGCTTCTTTCTCAGGCCTACTATCTGGAAATAATAGAAGAATCTCTTGTCAGATATGTATCTCAATGCTATTTAGAAACTGTGGTCACCATATCACCACCATGATTTCAGGAGGTTCTAAAAATGCAGTTTTTTGGAATTTCGAATTTATTCAGAAAACTATAGGCTACCATTAAAGGGATATTTGTGGTAATTACAGCTGTTCTTTGAAAAGGTTACGAAGATTACTCAAAAGCATTGTGTGTTACTTGAATGTGTTTCGCAGGACTGGTATTATGCATTTTTAAAACCTGCCAGCTAGGTTTTAGTAGTCTCGTAAAATCAGAAGTTGTGGGAACTCAGTATGGTTTGAAACTCGTAGACCATATTTATATTACCTATATTTTATTGCAAGAAAAAGAGGTGGAAGACACTTAGGCGGCTTGTGTAGCAGATGAAAAATCCTGGAATCCAGTGGTATATAAAGAATTGTGCTGTTTCCGTGGTGGAAAGGAGATAGGAAAAAGAACATTGGCTTAACTAGTACTCCTTGGTTGGAATTTCAGCACCTTGAGTGAGTTCCTTAACTTCTCTGAGCCTTCTTTCTCTCGTCTTTCAATTCAGATGAAACCTTACAGGATTAATAATTATATTCCTCATTGCCTGCAAGATTCTACCTACCTGTCCAGCCTCAGCCTGCCCAGTTCTCTCCGTTCGTTCTAGGTTCTGGAGCACATCACACCCTTTCTTGTCCCAGTGCCTTGGCATTGGCCACTCCCTCTCTCTGCCTGGGGGCCTGTGCCCTGGTTTCTTTACAAGACTTCCTCCTTATCTTTCAGGTCGCAACTTTTCATAGAGGCTCTTGAGAGAAATCTCCCCCAGACCCCAGGTTCTGTCTCTGAAGCCTATTTACTTCCATAAGTTATCCCTATTTGTAATTCTGAGTTTCTCCTGTAATGCTTTGTTTCTCCTATTTGAATGTAAGCACGCTGAGGAAAGGAGCTTGAGCTTCTTTCTCCCCTGATTGATATCTAGTGCCTGGCCCTAGTCTCTGGCCCTTAGTGAGTATGTAGTAATGTTTGAGGAATTAAATGAGAAATGCATGGCAAAGGGCTTTGCACAATACCTAGTAAGTAAGTGTGCAGTTCATTCCCTTATTTCCTCAGTTACTTACCTGGGGTTTTGCCAGTTTGTGAAGGGAACCCAGTTCCAGTAGAATCACTGTCACTTCTGTTCTTCCTTTTTTGTTGGATAAAGAAAAAGACAGCTTTAGGTGTGGTGCTTGGTACCATAGTGGTGAGAGGGGATGGGCATGTAGGTGAAAGTGGCAATACCTCCACTGTATCTTGATGGGAGATATGAATAGCAGTTACAGAATTTGGAATATATTGGCATTGAGACAGATTATATTTTAGTGATCATGTTAATAATGGATTACTTTTTATGTCATGCCTGATTCATTATGAATATTTATACACATAATTGAGTTTTGTTAATTTTTACACTTGCTTATTTTTATCATTCAGATCAAATCATGCCTCCTAACACATTTAATGGTGGGGAAAAAAAGAAAAGAAACTTTTTATCTGAGGAATGTGAGCCCGTCAGATAAAACATTAAGAGGCACAGAAAGGCACTGGAATGAAATGGCAGTCATGTCACTCCCCATTAAGCTGCATCATTACCTTTTTTTTCTTTTTTTTTTTTTGAGATGGGGTATCACTTTGTCGCCCAGACTGGAGTGCAGTGGCATGATCAGTTTCAGCTCACTGCAACCTCCACCTCCCAAGCTCAAGCAATTCTCCTGCCTCAGCCTCCCAAGTAGTTGGGATTATAGATGTGTGCCACTACCGCCTGGCTAATTTTTGTATTTTTAGTAGAGACGGGGTTTCACCATGTTGGCCAGGCTGGTCTCAAACTCCTGACCCCAAATGATCCACCCGCCTCGGCCTCCCAAAGTGGTGGGATTACAGGTGTGAGCCACTGGTCCCTTGAAGCCACTTATTATGAGGGCTGCAGACTAGCTGAAGCTAAGAAACCATAAAGTCCATATGCTGGACACTCTAACTTGTACCCACCCTATAGTTCAACAGTGTACAGCCAATCAGTGATCAACATTATCTCTGTATGCCAGTGAGAATTCTTGGTGAAACTTTGTATCATTGTATCAGCCCACTTTTTGTTCCCTTTGCCTTTACAAACCTGCTTGCAACAAAGGCCGAGGGAGTGCTCCCCAAAGGAACTCCCCAAGGTATCTTAGAAGCATCCTGGGCCACTGTCCTTGATTTGACTCATGTAAACTATATTTTGTGCCACAGCCTCTTCCTTTTACATCGACATAATGTAGAAAAAAATATAAATTGAAAGAGCCTATAAGTTGTTGAGTGTTTTACCCCTAGGACTTCTGTTAAGGTTTGTTAATGTATTATTTCTAGGAAAGATATGGATGAAGTTGAAGAGAAATCTAAAGATGTTATAAACTTTACTGCCGAGAAACTTTCAGTAGATGAAGTCTCACAGTTGGTGATTTCTCCGCTCTGTGGTGCAATATCCCTATTTGTAGGTGAGTTGTAATTTTCATTGCATCTATCACTGTATAAGACAATAGAAATTAGCATGTGCTTTCCATGTTCAGTGTTAACGGAGGAGTTTGAAATACTGAACTTTAAACCAAGATTACCGATGATGGTGGGTAGACTTTTTTTTAGTTCTTGTTTTGTTTTAGTAACCTTCAAATTAACCTATATTAAATTACAAGGCATTTTGAAAAGTAGGATAAAAGTCATTGTTAGGAGAGAGAATTCTAGATTTTCCAAAATTGAAGGTAAAAATGTACTTGATAGTCCTGGGAACATAAATATTTTCCTTTTAAGTATCTATTAGTCAGAAGAGGAATATTGCCCGGTTTGCCAGGTGAGTGTTTTTAGTAAGCTTGCTTAATCAGTGCTCATCTTTGTGAAGATCTGTTTTATTTTCCTAATCAAATTTTGTTTTTAGAAGATTTCAAAGTAGTTTTAGAAGAATTGGTATGCTGCTTGTTTACTATTAATTTACTATTAAAAATATTCCTTTTTTATTAACGTGCTATTTCTTTTGTAGGGAAAAACCTTATTTTAATTGTTTTCTTTTTCTTTTTTTTCATTTTTAAAGGGACTACAAGAAATAACTTTGAAGGGAAAAAAGTCATTAGCTTAGAATATGAAGCATATCTACCCATGGCGGAAAATGAAGTCAGAAAGATTTGTAGTGACATTAGGCAGAAATGGCCAGTCAAACACATAGCAGTGTTCCATAGACTTGGGTATGATTTCCTTTATCACTCTAAAAGTTAAGTGTAATTGTTTTCCATCTTTGTACTAACTCTGATTCTTGAATCTTTCTTAGTAATTCTATATTACCATGAGAGGAATATTCATGTATTATTTTTGGAGGACAATAGGGATGGCTGTTAGTACCTTTAGGGACTGCCTAGTGAGTTTTGATATTGGGAGAGCTCTTGTTGCCTCTGTTGCTGTAACAAACTGCAGTTGTGCCAAGACTTGCAGGCCCTATGACAATCTGTGACAGATTCTTTTTGATATAAATGCCTCGAAAGTCATTAGAGTGGTTTGCCTTTTTGTACCCCTAAAAAGAGAAGAGTTCTTGGCTTTAAAAAGAAGCCAGTAATTGAGACTGTATCTATCATACTCTGTTAGTTACTAGTTTGTTATTAATAACCAGTAGTTTTATTAATGGTTATTATCACTCCTATTACTTGATATGTATTATTTTAAATTTTGTATTATACTCGTTAGGACATAACTTTGTATTTCTAGGCATTACTTGGCACTGTGCCTTGTTGAGTCAGATGTTTGCTCTATCAATGAAAGGATTTTCCTTGGTGCCCATCAGGAGGGTTTAGTGGATAGATTCTAACAAATTAGCTGTAGCATCAGCCTCATCTACTGCCTCTGCTGAATGCTACTGCAATTAATTACTCTTTTCTAACTGTATGTTTACGTAAAATAGAACTACAGTATAATTCTAAGACTGCATACCTGGATTTTTTTTCATCTGTCTAGCAGATTCTTTAACACGTAGATTCAGAGATGATGGTGATTTTTTTTTCTCTTCATCTTGTTAAAGCTTGGTTCCAGTGTCAGAAGCAAGCATAATCATTGCTGTGTCCTCAGCCCACAGAGCTGCATCTCTTGAAGCTGTGAGCTATGCCATTGATACTTTAAAAGCCAAGGTGCCCATATGGAAAAAGGTAAGTTAAGAAAATAACACATTTTAGCATGTGGACCTGATTTTTCTCAGGAATTTTTAGATAAATCCCCCCATATTTATGGACTTTTTACTGACTGTAGTATCTTGTTTTCTTTATCTGTGAAATATCTTCTTTCCAAGATTTGTTAAGCATGAAAAATATGTGCCCCAAAGAATGCATGGCACACAGTAAGCCTCAATGAGTGATAACAGTGAGAATTCCTAGTCTGGACTGTTGGAGGGGTTCATACATGAAGTTATTTTCCTTGGATTATAATTCCCTTGAATTAGAGGGTCTTTCTGTTGGAGAGTGAGAATAATGCATTAGCTATTTAGGTAATGGCTAAAATAGAAATTCTTTAAAGTGAAAGAGGCTTTTCCTAGAGGTCCTTTTTAGGGAAGAAAAAAAAATGGTGAGATATTGCTCCCTCTGAGAAAATGCAGTGAGTGGATTTAAAAACAGAAATAGGAACTTCTGGCATGTTTTCTGTCAATAAGGGCAAGTAATTCTCTGGTTAAATAGAGCATTCTGATGGGATGAAAAGGCCCAACTCCCTAGTTTCTCCCCTGGTGTAGTAACATTAACAGTGGGATTGTTCTGTGGTTGCACATTCAATGTCTAGAATTGTCTAGAATTGCCTACAGCGTTGTGGTTGACAGAAAGCTGAGGAGTTAATGAACAGCTCAGTAGATGAAAAGACCAGAGCAGAGAGCCAGGGCTTTTAAAGGGCACTTCTCCCCTCCTTCCCAGGGGACCTGCCTCAGTCAGTGGTAGAAATAAGCAAGTTGGACTCATAACCAGGGCCTGGGAAATTTGATGACCATGTTTTCAGAATAAAATTGAAGCCCATTGTTAGAATACGTAGGGATTAGAGGATAGAATATGTGTGAAAGGAAACTTAGTGAAGCTCAGATATATTGTTCCCTTGCTGTGAACAAGGCTGACACAACAGGAGGCAGGCCCCCAGAGAGCGAGAGGTAGGAAGAGCATTCTAAGATCAGCTGCAAGCCTGGAAGGCAGGGGTAGCTTTCTTCACCAGGGAGGAAAGGGTGCACAGTCAGTGGACAGAAAGTAGATGGGAGCAACCCCAGAAATACAGGTAATGAGCAGGAGTTGGGGCATATTCTTGTTTTCATGCTTTGAGGACTAGTTGGGCTTCGTATTTTGCTTTTGTTTGTCCATAGAGAGTCCGAGGAAGTGCAGGAGTTCAGAGGACAGTTGAATTTGAATTCCTCTCCCTACAGAAATGGAATGTGACTAGAGAGTGAGAAGAGAAAGTGATATGTTCTCCTTACCCCTCCTTTCCACAAACTATGTAACTTCTAGTCTGGTTCTAGTCTCGGCCTGTGCTTTGAGATCATCTGTGATATAGGGAAGGGTGGCAGGTAGGTAGAGTGCATATGTCAAAGAACAGCTCATACCAGAGGGCAGCTCAAACTTGTTTAGGAACTTCTGAGAGGTGACCACTTAATTCAACAGCTAATGAAGATATCTGCCTTTGGAAAAGCATATTTAGAAATGTTGAAGTAGTAGGTATGTTTGGAAAGAAAAAAAAATGTTTAAAACTAAAGACTTTCTGTCTTCCCCTATGTAACCTTGCCCATGATGTCTCTCGTCATGATTGTTAAAAGAGGAGCCATTGAAATAGATGTGATATTCATTTGTCTGATTTATTCAAATATATTTTATATTCGTATAGTAGAATGGTCTATTTTTAATACCTGTTATGATTTTGTTTTTTAGGAAATATACGAAGAGTCATCAACTTGGAAAGGAAACAAAGAGTGCTTTTGGGCATCCAACAGTTAATCACTTATGTTTTTAGAGCATGCAATCTTAACTTTGTTAAACTATTATTATTGATCACATTTTGATTTTTTTCTCTCCACATCAGGATAGTTTACTGAAGCACAATCTCTTATACTAGTGGGACAAAAGGGAGAAAAAGGAAGCAAGATAAATGGGTATGTAGGATGAAGGGTTATTTAAAATGGAACTAAAGATAGAAGGAGGACTGTAGGAAGAAATGGAATAATTTAAATGTGAGGAAAGATATCTGTGGTAGACATGTCCTTCCATGACTAATTTCTAATTGTAACTCAACACACATTGAGGTATGGGCCCTCCTCAGTGACTTTAACTAGCTCAGAAACGTACTCCCCCACCAACCCCACCTCACCGCCCCCCATCCCGGTTCTGGGAGAGCATTGTTATTAAGGATGCATGACAGGAATGTTGGCAGAACTGGAAAGTATTAAAAAAGCATTATCAGACAGTCTTGATATTATACATTTTCAGAAATATATTAAAAATAATAAACTAAAACCCATGATTTCAAAAGTTTAAAAAGAGTATTTTCTTTTTTTTTAAATTGCCTAAAATAGTTCTCATTATGGAGATTTCTGGGATTTCAGAATCTATAATCTTACCAGAAAACTTTTTGTTGTTTTTTATTAGTTGTTAATTTTGTATCAATATACAAATCAGCACAAAATTGTCATAAAGCTAACTAGCAACAAGGTGGTTTGTGTTGAAATGTTTAGGTAAACAATGCCCCAATTTTTAACTGGTTAAGCTTTATAGTATTTTGATAGACTTGTACATATAAGTCCCATATAGTTCTTAAATTTTTTTTTCCAGCTTTATTTAGGTATACTTGACAAAAATTGTATGTATTTAAAGTATACAATGTGATTTTTGATACACATATACATTGTGAGGTGATTACCATAATCCAACTAATTAACATATTCCTCAGCTCACATAGTCCCCTCTTCTGTGTGGTGAGAATATTTAAGGTCTACTCTCAGCAAATTTCAGGTAAACACATAGCTCATAAAATAATAAAATACAGGCAAAATTTGGGCAGTCGGCATCATCACAAAATTTGCATTATGCATATTAAGAACAAAAGCTATACTTTCAGACACTTAGATTGAAGGATTTTTTTCTTATGTCTGGGACAAATAAGAAACGTAGTAATCCTATTTGTTATATGTAGTGAAAACATCTTTTACCTAAGGAACCCATTTATTCAACAAATATTTATTGAATGCCTGTTTTGTGCCAGGCACCCACCCAGTGATCTTTTTCTGCCAACCTAAAATACCTTGAGGAACACTCTGCATCTTATCTGTGGCTGGGACCCATAGGACAGCCACACTGACTTTAGGAATCACCTGGTTACATCAGTTGATGCTTGTTCATTAGTCCGTCTGGAGAGATTGGGCCAGAAGGATACTGGAAGGGCAGACAAACCCTCCGCCTACTTCCTCTGCCGGGTTCGGGTTGCCTGTTTGGTCTCAGCCTTACCTTCACAGTTCAGTGTCACTCTGGCTTGCCATCGAGCTTCCGCCTGTCCCCATTGGAGAGAAGGGGTGGGTGTTGGCTGTTGCATTATATCTAAAAGCACATTATCATGGGGTTACTGGGTCACTGGACATTTCTAGGATTTTGGACATAGGTTGTTAAATGGATGTTATGTCATATGCAATGTTGATAGGTATATGTGGATTTCAAGACTTTCCTACTTAGATATTTCTTTAGAAGTTCCTTATTGAGGGTAATGATGTTTTTAAAGAACATAGAACATTCTTTATGTTTTAAAAGAATCATGCCTTCATTAAGTAGGCTTTATTCTAAGTTTGGAACTGAGACTGTTATGCTTTTAAAGTCTCCAACAGAGAGGTTAAGGAGTTAACCTGGGGCATGCCAGAACTGGGATGGAATGGCCTTGAAAGATTTTAGTGCATTGCACTTGACTTAGATAGGATCTTTACTGACCCTTGCTTACTTAGGAGTGGCAGAGTTAATTGGTGGTTCAGATATTAAGGGGCTACTGTCACTCTGATATGTAGCTTTTCTATCATCTCTGTAACTTAGCTTCAAGTAACTAGAAGAGTAATCTAAAAAAAATAATTAGCCTTTAATCAGATTGCCTGCAGTGTTTCTTGGTCACTTTAAAGCCGTGACTTTGCATGATTGCTAGGTAAGTTCACTTAAGAAATAGGAAATTCAAATTATTTATGTTTCAAGTATTTTTGAACAGGTGGTAAAATGAAATTGATTTTTATCATCTTTGAATGAAAGTAACAGCAGATATTCAATGAGTGACTTATTTTGTGGACATTTTTGTCCTTTGGATATGATGTATAGAGTCACAATATATTTTCAGCCTTTTTTGAGAAATAAGTGATTTAGACATCTTACACAGTTACTGAGCACCTGGTACAGTGAAGATCTCTCAAGAATGATTTGTGTGATGTAGTTCGGTGGATCATCCAGCAGAGGGCAGTAGAGCCAGAGCCATAGTAAAAGTTATAGTAAAGTTGCTCTTAGCAACTTGAGTCTTACTTAGATTTAATTTTGCATAGAACCAAAAGTTCAGTTTAGTAGCCATTTTCTTTAAAGTCAGGCTGTAGTGGTTCCGAAATGAAAATTAGGCCCTGATTTTATGTAAGATGATGTCCAATCTTTAATTGACACCTTAAAAATATTAAAAGATTATGATAGGATCAGGAAGGAGTTTTTGAAAATGCAATTTGTAGTTTTTAACAAGTGATGTAGAATAAATAAAAAGAAGTACTTTTTAAAAAGTAAGTATAAAATTATTTTCCAGTTAACTATGGGATATAAATGATTGCTTTAATACAGGTCTTCCTAACCTGTACAGCATTTCCTAACCTGCTCTGTGAAAAACAAAGAAATAAAACTTAGTGCTCTCTTTCTCTAACATTTTATTTTTTAAGAGCTGGGAGGGGGGGGGTCTCATGTTGCCGGCCTTGAACTCCTGGGTTCAAAGGATCCTCCCTGCCTCAGCCTCCCAAGTAGCTGCAATTCCCACATTCAGCTCTCCAAGATTGTATTTTAATGTGAGATATATAGCAGACACACTTATTGATGGTTGTGCTGCAGTGAGCTGCCCTCCTGAGACGGCTCAGCACAACTGCGATGGGCAGGGAGGCATGTGAGAGAGCGCCGCAGACATGAATGGAGATGCTGGTGCATCGCTATTTATGGCAGCACACACACACTTTCCACCCTGTCTTTGCATTACTCTGCCATCTGTACAGCGATGGCAGTCTGTGAGCCCAACGTGTACTTACTTTATAACTTACAGCATATTTATTTCAGCATATTTACTCTTTAAAAATATTTAAACCTTCCTGCTTATTATGATTTTTTTTAAACTGTGCAGATGACTCTGCTTTTGCATGTTGCAGCAGTTTGGCTGATTTTTTTTCCCTCTCTATTCCAAGCACACATTTTATTTCAAAAGGTAAGCTTTAGAGCAGTGCTTCTCAACTTCAATGCAATATGAATCACCTGGGGATGCTGTAGAACTTACAATTTGACTTGAATAGTTTTGAGTGGCCCCTGAGATCTGTGTTTTTTAACAGGCTCCAGGTGATGCAGCACCATCTGTCCCTGGGCCACACTTTGAGGAGCAATGCTTTACACTGTCTCAAAACTTCGAAGGCAGTTTAAGAGTCTTACAAAAGAAGATCCTTGTGGTCACTGCTAGAAACATAGACTGGACACTTATGGCAAATTAATTATAGCCTCAGTCTTCTTAAATTGAGTCTTGGATGTGAGCAAAGTGAATGTATAAGATAAAAATAGTAAAATATATAACTTATAAAAGCCCAAAGAAAATGGCTTTATTTTCAAAACAATTGTAACAATATTCAATAATGTGGTATGAAAAAAGTGGGTTACAATAATGAAACTTTTCTGTTTGTTATACTTGGATATGAGAAAAACTACTAACTGTTGACTACAATTTAATTTTTGTTTCTCATAAATCAAATGAATTCTGCAACTTTTTGTACAAACATGCATTTATTTTTACAGTTTTTGTGGAAAGAGGCAAAACACATTTAATCAAAAACATCAAACACCACATTTGAAAAAAGACTTATCTATTATGTATAAAGGAAAATATCCAAGACAATTTCTTTAAAATATATACAATTCTAACATAGTTATGCAATATATACATTCATATTTTGACTTAATCTGCCAAAATAAACAGGTACATATGAAACTTTATTTACATAATGGCTACAGTTTCAGTCTTTAGAGTTCAAAGAAATAGTTAAGATTTTCACCTATTTCATACTTTTCCCCCATGTTTCTCATTCACCTCTAGAGGTTTAAATTAACCTTTCAAATTGATTAAAATGGGTATGCCTGAATGTACACAAAAGGGCATTGTTTTATGTGTGCAAATTGAAATATTAAAGATGGATCAGGGATCTCAGTTTAAGGAATCCTGCCTTCTGTATGATGATGTCTTAATTTTTGAGATTTTCATATATTGGGTTATAGCTATATATCAGGACAGGTAAATACATTATAAAATTATAACCTTTATAATAATTTTTAGTATAATCACTTGTGTGACTATAATAAATTGGCTTTAGTTTTACTCTTCACAGTTTTAATAGGTAACTATTTTACAAGAATAACATTGCTAGGTAGAAAAATTTCTGTTCAGTTAGGAGTTCTTATTTTGCTGCTGAAATGAGTCATGCACAATTTTAAATCTCTGTAGTTTCTTCATAAGCTATTTTACTATCTTACTATTTTATAAGCCTTGTGTTGCAGTCAAGTTTTTACCACATTCTATAGACCTTGTCTGTACACCATTTATGAAATGGAAATTTGAATATGACATCTTTTATGCCCTCTACTTACTTTTAAAGCAAAAATATTGTTGAATAGGAACACATAGCTTTTATTTAAACAATGTTTTTTCCCCCTAAATTTCTTGTATGAATACTTACCTTTGCTTAAAAGTGCTTGAGAAATACTGCCCCCCAGGAGGCATTTGACAATGTCTGGAGACATTTTTTGATTGTCATGACTGCGGGGGGAGCATGCTCTGGCATCGGGTAGCTAGAGGCCAGGAATGCTGCTAAACATACCTTCTAGGACAGGGCTGCTGTCCTACAAGGTACAGGACAGCCCCTGCAAGGAAGAATCACCTGGCCCCAAATGACAGTAGCGCCCAGGTTGAGAGACCCTGTCCTGGTGTGATAAATGGTGCAGAGACAAGTGGCTAATGGTTTATAGTAATTCAACTACTCCCTGGAAACAGTGTAAACTAGGCTGATTACCTAAGGCAAGGCTAACCAAAGCTTTCAAGTTCCGTATATGTATGTTTAGCACTTATTTAAGGAAGTACTCACCTAAAGGAGGTGAGACAGAGTAAAAGGAAGGATGTGCTATAATTGTTTGTATAGCACATTGAAAAGCTAGTATTTACATATACAGTACTAACTTTTTTTTTGTTTGTTTGTTTGAGACAGAGTCTTGCCCTGTCACCCAGGCTGGAGTGCAGTGGCGCGATCTCGGCTCACTGAAACCTCTGCCTCCCGGGTTCAAGTGATTCTCCTGCCTCAGCTTCCCGAGTAACTGGGATTACAGGCACCTGCTACTACGCCCAGCTAATTTTTATATTATTAGAGATGGGGTTTCACCATGTTGGCCAGGCTAGTCTCAAACTCCTGACCTCGTGATCCACCGGCCTCAGCCTCCCAAAGTGTTGGGATTACAGGTGTGAGCCACCGTGCCTGGCCACATTGTCTTTTTAAATAGTCATTTTTTTGAGACAGGGTCTTGCTATGTTGCTTAGGCTGGACTTGAACTCCTGGGCTCAAGCGATCTTCCTGTCTCAGTCTCTCAAGTAGCTGGAGCTTCAGGTACACACCAGCACCACTAGCTGTTAAATATTCTTTATCAAGCTAATGACTAGTTTCTCCAGTCTTTTTTTTTTTTTTTTAAATAAAATTTTGTTGGAATGAAGCAGCAAATTCTCACAGCTGTTAAAAGAATTGGACTCTGGCATACCTAACTGGAGAATACCATGCTGTTTTTTCTATAAACCGCTGGCATTTTATGCCTTTTTTGTTTGTTTTGTGTTGTCAACTACAAAGTAATTCTGTAAACAGTACAGATAGCCCTGGACTGCCACCACGGGCCAGGCCAGGGTAGTCAAGGTTGTCCATATGCACATGGGCAGATAACCTGTTTTCCTTTGACATTTTTTTCCAAGTCAAATTCTTGGAGGATTGTGTATTTGTATTATAGGAAGTCCAGATCATAGACTTTTAAAACTAAAAGCATCACTGCTGAACTCCAGCTCAGTCTTCCCATTTTATAATGAGGACTCTGAAGTTTATAGAGGTCAAGGACTTGTCCAAAGCTTTAGATATGTAGTGTCTGTGCCCTTTTCCTCTAAGTTTCTCCTAGAGAATGTGGGGGCTCAGGAACAGAGAAAATAAGGTGCAAAAAGTAGAAATGGGTGGTGTTTCTCAAAGTGTGGTCCATCTGCATCCTAGTGACTGGGGTGCTTGTTAAAATGCAGATTGCTGGGCCTTATCCCAATCTGACCAAATCATCTCAGGATCTACCTTTTGAACAAACTTGCCTAGGTCAAATTCACTCTTGTGGAAGTTTAAGTACTTCAGAAACAAGACAGCCACAGAAGGTGCACCTGCTAATTTGGTGGCTTCCAGTGCCTCATCTGTAACTTCTGGTGAAATCCTGAGATGTCTTACTTTACATTGTTTACATCCCATAACATTCCAACATTTAGAAATTCACTCGAGCTTATTTTTCTTACTTGTTTAGCACTAAATGAAAATAGCTCCCTGAAGTTAAGGAGTTTATATACAGTAATTCATGCAAGTGTGTAAATTAAACAGATGACTTTCCCCCCTAATATCTAATGCACAGCAGCTGTCCTGAAGGAGTGGGAACTTTGGATGAGGGGTAAAGGAGGGGATAACTTTGGACCGCTGGAGAGAAAGTCAGGCTGTAGAGGGCTTCTATAATAATGGTACCACCAGGAGGTGGGAGAGTGGTTCAGTAAGGGAGGAGGAAGGTTGCCAAAGAAATTACTCATCTTTCAGAAATTCACTAGGTTACTGCCAGTCAGCCAAACAAATCCTAGAAGAGAACTGTTGTGCCTCCTAAAAGAGAAAGGAAATTTCCTCCTTTTCCTTCCTCTGGCACAGGATGGGCTTCTAGCAGATGGGATTTTACATGTTATATTCTGAGTTTTAAACAAAATTTTGTGCCTTATTCTCTATATCGCCCCCTCTCCTAACTTAAATGGACATATAGGAGGTATACTCTAAGCTCAGTTATTCAAGCATGTTTTGATCATTAGAGCAAGATGGGGTGTGGAAGGGGCAGCCGTGGTCTAAAAGGAACCAACAACAAATTTTACCTAGTTTATAAATAAAATTATCACTTGGAAGTATCATCTGTGGCAACTTTGGATGAGCAGCATAAATTGAAAAAACCTGTGTTTTGTTTTCCCCTCTTGTTAACATCAATATTCATTAAAATATACACAAGTGGAAGTACTTACATATCAAGCACTTCCACTTCTGTAGTTGCTGTTTAAAGACAAATATTTTAAAGAGAACAGTTTTCCCCCTTAAAATCTGAGAGTATCATATTTTTCTTTAAAAGTTGTCATGCTTGGAAGCATTTCATGTTTCTGACACAATGCAAATTAGAATGTAAACTCTGGGCCAGCCAGTTTAAAGATTACTTTTTTTCCCCCATCATATAAAATAGGTATTTTCCCTATTATTTCCCTACCTGCCCCCCGCACCTCCCCCACCCCCCACAATTTCTTCATTCCAAACTGACCTGCAGTTTTCTCTTAAAATACCAGGTTAGTTTACCTACGACATGATAAAAAAAATATGGGATTTAAAAAGAAATCCATTCACGCAAACAGCAAACCCTGGCTGGGATGCTGCCGGTTCCCACTGCAGGTAGGTCTGCTGGTTCAGCTACTGAGCTCTGTGGTCTCATCAATCTCATCTGGATTTTTGGTCATCTTTTCATATTTTCTTTTGAAGAAGCCGAGCTGTAAAGGTGATGATATAAGAATGTTACCACCCGTGGCTTATTTTGTAAGGTGCCTCTGACCCCCTTGGCTGCCCACGTCCTCTGATGCACCTCTGGGAATCCCTGAGGCTCTGAAGGGAGGTGTGCAGACTGATGACCTGATATCTACCACCTGCTAGAAGGAAATTTATATCCAGAGAGCTCAGCTGCATTGCATAAAGCTACATTTTTCAGCGTCTACTTATTTGAAGCTGAACAAAACATTCAGGGCTCTGGATGAAAGGAAGGTTTAAAAGAAGAAAAATCCTTACTGGTTGTTTTTAATGACATGAGTAAGAAATTATAAACAAATTTGCATTTCTTTTCTCCTTGTGATAGAGAAGGTACCATATAAAACCTGAAGTTGATGTTTTGTAAGCAAATTCAAGGCTGGCCTTCAGGAGCCCTGTATTTTAAAATATAAAGCTTTTCTTACCTTCCATAAAATTGCAACCAGAGCTAACAGCAAAAGGATTCCAGCAATTATACTTCCTATTATAACTCCTGTTGGTACTTCGGCTTTCTCATCAGGTTTCATTATCATCAGGGGAATCTGGAAATGTCAGTTCACAGTTGAGTTATTTTAATACCACAAAAAAGGGGGGAGATGGTCTAGTCCAATTCTCTAATTCTGTAAGTGAAGGTCTACAGCTCTAGAAAGGTGACAAGACTTGCTCATGATGGCGTATCTCAAACATTGTCAGAATAATTTTAGAGAAAATCTTCCTGCAAAGTCCAACCAGCTAAAAAATACAACTTTTCTAGTTTCTCCGCTTTAACTACATCAGTGTCTTGTGGCTACATCATGCCTGACAATCTCAGATGCTTATCTTACTTATGAAATAGAAACTTCCATTTCTGGCATACATTCAAATCAAGTGAAAGCATCATCAAGTGAAAGCAAACAGCTTTGGGGAAGGGAGTCGAAGAAACTCTTTAACCCAACTTCATGGTGATGAAACAGCAGCTTTGTATTGGGTGTCTAAAATACTAGTTTCACTTAAACCTCATTCCAAGTTGATATTGTTGGAAAAGTAGAAATAATATCTCAAGGGTCAAGTTGACCTTTTCAGTGGGAACGTTGTCCTTCAGGCTACTTAGGATTCTTTGTATCTGCTTCCTGGCAATCTTTGAGATGCTGTAATGGAATGGCTGCCCTGAGTGTTAACAGTAAAACTGTATATTCAGTTTTTAATTAATTAGGGGAAATTTAATTAATTGGGGAAAGTGTCTCAAGCATTCTCTTTAGAAAATATTCCTAAAGAGCTGTATTTAGAAGCAAAAGAAGAGGATAATATGTGTTTTATTTACTTGATGTAACATTAAATTGCAATGGCAGATGAGCTGCTTTTTGTCATAAATTTATGGGCTGGGCTAAACTTGCAACTGGCCTTGGTGACTGTATTTCCTTTCATTTGTATCTTCAAGAGCTAAAATGTAAGGCTTTATCAATTTATGAATAAAGTGATGATAAATTCTTGTAGCTCACTGCTTAATGGCAGTCATAAGCCTACTTCTCTCTTTTCCACAGCTTTCTAACCCAGGGAACCACGGATCCCTATGGACCCATGACTATAGCATTTTGTGGATCAGATTTTTAAGTGGGCCAGGCATTCAAATAAATTAACAGATACTTAGGAACATGTGAAGTTATTATTTAGGTTACATACCTTATTCAAAAATTTATCCAAATTATTGTTTAGATTAAAAAATTTTTCATAGACACAACTGAGTAATATTAAGCTGGTGCAAAAGTAATTGCAGTCTTTGCCATTAAAAGTACTTTCTCTTTACTTTTTTTTTTTTTTTTTTTGAGACAGAGTCTCTCTCTGTTATACAGGCTGGAGTGCAGTGGCACAATCTCAGCTCATTGCAACCTCTGCCTCGCAGGTTCAAGCGATTCTCCTGCCTCAGCCTCCTGAGTAGCTGGGATTCCAGGCGTGCACCACCACACCCAGCTAATTTTTGTATTTTTAGTAGAGACAGGTTTTCACTATGTTGGCCAAGCTGGTCTCGAACTCCCAACCTCAGGTGATTCGCCTGCCTCGGCCTCCCAAAGTGCTGGGATTATAGGTTTGAGCCACTGTGCCCAGCCTTTCTTTACTTTTAATGGCAAATACCACAATTACTTTTGCACCTAGTAATTGGCTTCTGTTATTTATTAGTATTGCTCAGAGGAAACCAATAAAAGAGGAATCTAATGGATTTATTAAAATTGTTCATTTGAATTTCCAATTGATATATTTAATACTGCTTTCTAAAAACAGTCTTCAGTAGAGTTTCACATATTGTCTGAACACTATGTTTTTCTAAAATGAGCTTTTAAAAAAAATCTATAATACTTCTCCCCTATGCTAAGTTCATAGCATTTTGAATTTGAAGTCTGCATTTCCTTTGGCTCTATTTCTGATTTTCCAGGCCCCAGTGTCTGAAGAGAGGGTGTAGGCTTTCACTGAGGCTCCTAAACCAGAGGCAGAGAAGTGTGCTCTGTTGCGTAGAATCATTTTCCCTTGGACAAGAGTGGGGCTCCAGTGCTGTGAGCTTCACTCTCAGGCATGGAGTGAGGAGGCCCATAGTTCATGGGGCCATAACTTTTTGACCAAGCCAGAGGAGTGGACTGAGGCCAACTGCCAAGCTGGCCTTGGGGGCAGACTCTTAAACTGGCTTTCAACTCCTAACACAAGCACTGGGAGGAAAATGCTCAGGGCTCTGCCAGCAGATTAGCTGGGCATGGAAATCCCACTGTATCTAAACATGGCATATTCTAACCAGAGTCAGTGCAGAGGAAAATTATCTCATGCCAGCTCTTAGAACAGAGAGCCTTTGTTTTCTGTGAAAGTACATTTCTCTGTAAAAGCTTTTTTTTTTTTTTTTATCAAGGGGACCATTTATAGTCCTCCCGAATGTAAGATCTAATGAATGGACATGCCACACAGTGTCAGTGTCTAGTTGTAAGGAGAACTATTTTTTAAAACCCTCTAATAAATGCATTATTTATTAAGCATGCTTCAGTACCTTTCTTTAAAAATTTTTCAAAATACAATTTATGATTTAAATAAGCATGATTAAGTTTTGTGGCCTAAGCTCCAGACCATTTTGTGTAAGCAGGAGGAGAAAGGAAGAACTGGTGCTGCTGGCTTAGTCATGAGAAGAGACACCATGGAGTCCCAAAGAACATAGAGCCCCTTTTGTTGTACTTCTCACTGGATCACCACCTCTAGGAAAGCCAGCTTTGCTGACATGAGTGGGGGGCATGGAGGAAGGCAAGTGTATCACTGAACTTTTTAAGTAGCACACACCCTCGCCAAAATCTCAACATAATAAACATCAGATCTTTAAAGTTTTAGTAAGATACTTCTACATACATGTAGGTAAGAAGAGTGACTATCCCAGGCTTTTAGAAGTGGAATGCCATCACAGACCCTGAGGCTCACAGGGAAGGGTGTGATATGCTCACCGTAACAGTGTTATCTTCAATCACATATATCTCAGGGTTATAGGTGTTGATTTCTGCAGCTGCCGTTAGCTGTACTGTCTGGAACGTTGACTGGAACATAAGAATAAGGAATATGTTTTATCGTAGCAGCAGCAAATGCAGAGAAGCTGGCATGCTTATGATTTATGTATTTATTTCCTGGTGGAATGTGACAAGAGCAAATGGTTCTGAAGACCCATCCAGAATCTGTGTGTGCTTAAACCAGTGCTGTGTAACAGGACTGCCCGTCAGAAATACCTCGGGTAATTTTAATACATGTCTGTCTGCACCTTGCCACCACAAATCAACTCTCTGGGGTGGGATCCAGACATGAGTAGGTTAAAATATCTCCCTGAGGAGATCTGAACTTGAGAACTGGGTTGAAAAGTGAGGATTTAAAAATGAATATTTCTAACTGGGAAGATCACAGTTCAGATTTTTTAAAAAATAAGTTTGTGACATGAGAGAAAATTGTAAACTTGGCATCTTTGTATACTTACCTGAATAAGTCACACAATGGAATGGAAAACCAACATTTAAAAGGTAAGAGAACTTTCCTTCTGGGTACATGTGTGTAAAATGATAGTGTTTAAAAGTGCACTTGAACTTGACCACCCATGGCCCTGAACCTTTCAGCTTGTTATATCACATCAGTATAACTTCAGATTTCCTATCTAAGTGTTTCTATCAAATAATACTTAATTTGGGGCAGGTATATAGGAAGGATATTTTATGCTGATGTCACTGGTAACTTACTAATTCGAAATAACTTTACATTCATTCCTCCATCTAGTTACAGAAAAAGAGCCTAGTTTTCAGCAGGGCACAGTGGCTTCTATCTGTAATCCCAGCGCTTTGGGAGGCTGAGGTGGGTAGATTACTTGAGGTCAGGAGTTCAAGACCAGCCTGGTCAATATGGCAAAACCCTGACTCTACTAAAAAATATAAAAAATTAGCCGGGCATGGTGGTGGGCACCTGTAATCCCAGCGACTCGGCTGAGGCAGGAGAATCACTTGAACCCAGGAGGCACAGGTTGCAGTGAGCTGAGATCAAGCCACTGCACTCCAGCCTGGGCAACAGAGCAAGGCTCTGTCTGGGGGAAAAAAAAAAGTCTATTTTTTCAATAGAAACATTATTGATGTGTATATTTCACTATTTTCTCTACATTAGGTCTGATGCTACTGTGAAGCGGAATGCAGCGCTTAGATGTTAGAGCTGCTTTCACATGCTGTGGCTACTAGGACTCAGTTTTTCTGGTTACTAGGGCACATTATTGGACATACTCTGTGAGGTAATTTGCTAAACAATATCTGGGAGCCAGAAAGAATGTATTTCCAAAAACTGAGCAATTTATTTCCTTTCCACTGGCTCAGTCTCTGGTTACTGTTAATTTTCTCAATATAGATGATTGGATCAGAAATTAACCATGCTCACCAGTCTCTTAAACATATTATTGGGGGAAACATTAAGAGTATTGATAATGGTTTAAGTTTAAGAAAAAAAGCAGCAGTTAAGTAAATGCTGGTTTCATAATCCCCAAAGACTAAAGATGAAAGAATTTTTCTTATAGCATTCTCAAAATAGGCCCTTCTCACAGGCATACAATATCCTGCAGGGTTAACAAGTAGAGGTAAGCATGCCACACACATCTGGAGAGTGAAGTAACGCACCTGCTAGCGTTCAACAAGGCTTCTCCCTACAAATGGCAGCAACTCTATCATCAATTTGGAGCCCTGATCAATCACTTTGTAATGAAATTACTTGAAATGTTAAGTTGCCTTGCACTACATCAGAGAAAGGGTAGCAACAAAAGGCAGTGCATTAATGGGTTCAAATACAGGAAATGAGATCCATATTTCAGACTGGATCTCCTAAGTGGTCTGAGAAACATCCACTTTGCTGCTTAAATTGCTGGAAGCAAGGTGAGGATAAACATTTGACTTTTCATGAAGGAGGAAGATATGTAGGACTTGACACAATCCTTGTATGTCACTTGACATACCTTGACATCTCAAGGGTGTTTTCTTAGTTTAACCACCATAGCCACATTAAAGCAGCATAAATACTACACTTTCTAGGAAGTTTACTCCCAGAAATAAACTGCTTCTGAAGATCGTTGGGAAGGTACTTTAAAAAGTTTCACAGTTAAAGTGATGTAGTCTTAAACTCAAGAAAATCCAAATGTGTTTTACAGAGCTGGCATGTGTGCATTTTGATGTGCAACAGTCAGTGTTCCTTCCAGTTGGCAAAATTTGCTATGAAAACATTTGTTCCTCAAATCCAAGGAGCCAAGAACCAATGGAGCAAAACTGAGCACCACACTGCAGCAGCTGGGAAGGTGATAACAACTAACGGCACGCTTCACGTCTTAAAGGACCTAGAATTGTCCTGAAGACTTGAAAGCAAATGCAACTAACAAGAAAACAAAGTAAAAGCAAGCAAGCAAGCCAGAAGAAATATTCAACTCCTCACTTCCCCATTCCCCCAATTCTGCATTTTGTTCTAACTTTTACTATTCCGTTTTCTTCTATGTCTTTGTCCAAGAATATTGCTTATATTTGACTCCAGGGATGAGTTTGGAGGGTGCTGAGTTCTCCAGTTTTACAAAACTCTATAGCAGGAAGTGGATTTATTGGAGAGATCATGAAATGATAAACAGAAAAAAAAATGAGTAGCGTTTGGTTGTAAGCACCTTGGGAACTGATTTATTTGTTAAAAAGAAAAAAAAAATCTAGTAAGAGCTACAAAGATCCCCAGGAGGTTTCAGACTAATTTCTGTTTTTCTTCCTCAATTGGAGCCCATGTCAGTAAAAGGAATGCTAGCCACACAAGCAGTCCAGTTTAAGGAGGCCTGTCTATCCTTATATTTTTTCATGCCAGACTGAAATTCTAGCTACCAAAATCCCTGCTGAAAGCAAATATAACTAGAGCAGACTCACAGTTGCCATATGGAAAAAAACAATGACATTGTTTTGGCTTTTTCTTCAAACTTTCATGGGGATTGAGATGATTTAGAAAGTCATGTGCCCACTGGGCTCTCCCAACAGGAAAAGGGTAAAACAGGAGAGCAGGGTGATGACCTGGCTGTAATATAGGAAGACATATCTTTATGCTAGATTCATCTACTAGGTGGTTTGAGATCAATCATACAATTAACTGAGAGCTCAAGGAGTGAGACAGAGACACAGACATTTTGATTTGGGTGTGGCACAGGAGACTGGGAAGATGGAGAGTGGAGGAACCCCTAGAGGGGGACAAAGCAGGCTGCCCCTTGTAGCCCAGGGCCGCAGAGATGACCCTGACACCATTCCCATTGATGTGGTAGGTCGCATGGAGTCTGAGAAACAGACCCTTTCACAAGTATCCCAGATGACTCTGAGGCACTGCTAAATTGGATGGGCATTGGAAAGCGATGGAAGTGTGCTGCCTTTCAGGGTAAAATGCTCTGGGTTATTTGGCCATTGCAGACATTAGCCAGAATACTTATTTTGTCAAAGGGGAAGAACTTGTCAGTGCAGACTTATGTTTCCTTGCTATTGATAAATCTAACAAATAAAACTGATACTTACTGATGCGAAAGTCCCGTTCCAAATTCTGGTAGTCACATTAACAAAGTATTCTCCTTTCATGTGAACGTCTTTCAACCAGCAGGTAACATTACTACAGGAAGCAGTTCTGCAGTTCTTATAGTATTGAGTCAAAGGTAAAAGAGAGAGCAAGTTAGTAAGAGTTAAAAAATAAATGCTAAAATTTTAAAGCTAGATAAAACTCAGTGCTGGGACACACCTAGGGAAACAGGCAATCTCATGAGCTATTAGTAGTTCTAACTCTCCCGCCCTCCTTCAAGGGATTGTGGGACTATATCTCAAAATGTACCAAGTGCACACTCTTTACCCCATCCATTTCCTGTCTGTATAGATAGCCTCAGGAGATAATCAGCAATATGTGGAACAAAGTACCCCAAGCCTGTTTATTGCACTACTATTTCTAAGAGTAAAAAAACCTAAAAACCAACCCCCCCCAAAACTGTAACTTGTTTAGCAACAATGTACTAGTTAAATAAATTAGTAAACATGCACAAAATGTACTACAATTTGTCATTAAACCTAATTATAGACTCCCTAGGTTTTTAAACAAGTTGACAGAAAAAGGATCAGTGGTTCCAAGGGCTAGTGGGGCGGGCAGGATGAATAAGCAGAGCACATATGATGTGTAGGGCAGTGAATATACACTGTATGATACTATAGTGGTGGATACATGTCATTTTACATTTGTCAAATTCCACAGCGTGGATTTTAACAACACCAAGAGTGAACCCTAATGTAAACTATGGATTTTGGTTGATAATGATATAGTAATGTAGTTTCATCGATTGTGGCAAATATACCACTCTTGTGCGGGATTTTGATAGTGGGGGAGGCTGTGTGGGACAGGGGGTATATGGGAACTTCTGTACTTTCCACTCAATTCTTCCATGAATGTAAAACTGCATTAAAAAATGAAGTCATTAATTGAAAATCTATGACACATTGGCCTATGTTCAAGGCCAAAAGGTAGCGTGGCCCACTTCAGTTACAGCATGCATTTACCTACTTGTAGATTAATACACATTAAAAGAAATAATTTTATTCTTCTGGTTTCCTGTTTTCCCCATCCTTCACAAAATAAAACAACTGCAATTAAAGAAAACCAGGAGAATTCCAATATTGTTCATAGGGGAGAGCTGAGGTTTGTTTAGGAGTTATTGCTTACTAAAGGTTTACTTTATTTGAATATTTAATATGTGCCGAGCACCATGCCAGATGCTAGACTAGTCTCTTTCCCAAAGAAGCAGGCATAGCTTGAGAACAGGAAATAACAAAATATTGAAAAACAGAGAAGTGCAGCAGCATATTTCACAGCTAAATAAAAAACATCAGTATTATGTGGAAGGGGGATTTAAGGGGCTTCTCCTCTGTAGCACACAGCTAGTTCCTTCACAGCTCTTTGCCTTGTTTCCAAAGTGCACAACGCATAAACACAATAGCTTCACATGAGTTTTTCTGATGTCATAAAGTCTGGAACTTATATTTTGTAAGAAGTGGCATAAGATAATTCCAGTAACCTAGATTTGACCACATATTAGGTTGGTGCAAACGTAAATTGTGGGTTTCAAAATCGTATTTACTTTTGCACCAACCTAATATTTTCTAAATCTTGACTCATATAAGCATCAAAGGCAAAATAAGAAAGCTCTATGATATCAGCTGGTAGGAGAAAAGCAGCGTCCTGATCACAGGTGAAATAAATGAATGAGGGGAGCTTTCACACGTTAACTTGTCCTCACCAATTCTTTGGTGTGCCTGAAATTTTCACTTTTGAAAGATACAGAAGAAGATGTTTGTCCTATTTTCAGTGGATTGATATCTGCATTACAACTGATGTCACCAGCCTATAAAAGAAGAACACCCGATCAGACTTCAGAAGCAAAACAGTTTATGATGTTCCTTTCAACATGTTAGGAAATCCTACTGTCACTTGTAGGGGTCTGGGAAGGGCTGTTAGGCTTCTTTCAACGCCACTGACCTGGCCACACTTCATATAATCTCTAGGTGAACATCAAGTATTTAAATGCTCCTGATGTGAACTGATGAGGTGGGCTAGGTTTTTATAGCCCACATATGATGAGGCAAATCTGCAATAGCTAAACACTGTGAATAATTCAGGGTAATTTTCTCTGGAACATTTTAGGATTTTGATTTTTCTGTAGCCTCCTATGCACACTACAGAAATAATACAACTGTTGAATAATACAACTGTTGGACTGAAGATGAGCCAATGTCAAGAGGTTTGGCTAGAGCAGCGCTTCTCAGCCCAGGTTGCGTGTTAGAACCATGGTGTGGATGGAGTGGGGGTGGTTAAAGAAAAACTCTGGTGTAAGAATCTTACCCCTAGAGCTTCTGATTTAATTGCCTGGGTTAGGTCTGGGCACTGTTATTTAAAAGAGCGAACAGAGGGATTAAAATGAACAGCCAGGGTTGAGTATTACCAGGCGAAAGTCCAGGCTGGCTGCTTGAAGACCAGCTCCTTATCACAGCTGTGAAGACCTGCTATGCTCCCCATATAGGTCCAGCCCCTTACCTCCCAGCCTTCACAGGGCCTGTCAAAGTCAGATCTTCACCAGGCCAAAATGGGGTTTTTGGAATAATTTCTGCCACCTGCAATTCCCTAGACTCAGCCATTTGTTTTCTTGTAACAATATTTTTTCTAATATGAAATTAACTGCTAGTCAGTTGGCACCCAGGCTGCATAGGAGTTACCATCTGTTTCCCATCTGTAAAATGTCAGACATGATCACCCTAATCTCATGGGTTATTTACATCTTGAAAGTACACATTTTTAGGCAATTTTTTAATCTTTACCTTGTCTGTTTGCACCCCAGTTAGGTACATCAGTGGGTTCTTTTCTTTGGTATACTGAGGGATGTGGATGATTACAGTTGCCATGCTTACTGGAACACTTCCTGTTGTTACCTATGTAGAGAATAAAATGTGCCAGTACTGCAACAGGATGTACATGATGCAAGGAAATTCACCAGTAACCCCGTGTTGATGAAGGGCAACTACGAGGTGGTAAGACTGAGTCCAAATGAAAGTCAGCCATTACTTTATAGTCACACTTCAGGTCTCTGTGTCTCACCTCTTAAAACGCATTTATGCCTGAGGTTGCAATTTTTTTGAAATTTCGATCATACCTTGGCAATGACCTTGAGCAGTAGGATATAAGTAACTCCCACATGCTTAGTGCGCCAATAATGGAACACTGGGCATAAATGGCTCAATGGAAAAAAACTCAACATCTACAATGTTAATGGGTAAGTAATTTGTGACTTTGTGAGACATGTGGTATAAATGGTTAAAAATGCCATCTGTGGAGCTGGGCTGCCGGAGTGTTGTGTCCCAGTCTGCTGCTGATTAGCAGTGTGGCTTGGGCAAGGAACTTGACCTCTCTATGCTTTTCTTATTTGTAAAATAAAGATGATCAGAAATTCAGTATGTATGTGCTGGCACAGGGCACTGGTACAGCATCTGTTCTCATGGGTGGGGGTTTCTGTTCTAATTGGCCAGGGCTCATACACTACTGGTTATTTAAATATTTTAAATAACATCCCTGGGAATAATAATACCAAGCTCATAACCGATCTGGGAACTAAATGGGATAACATATGTAAAGCACTTGATACCATGGCTGGTGTATACTTATTACACACTCTATGAATGTTATTACCGCGAATTGAATAGATGCCCCATTAAAGAATGTAGTTGCCAAATACCATCCACATTTTATAAATTCTATTGTAGTATCTAGATCATAAAGATTCTTCTAAAGATTTTTTTTATCACAAAATTGCAGAGTTGCAACCATGTAACAAACAAGTGAGAAATGAACAAAAATAAAATGGTATTGGCTTAGGATAGTGGATAAATTCTTTTTACTTTCCAAAGTTTCTTTAACTTTAATTACAATATAAAATAGTTATTCTTTCACAAATTAATTTATCTTTAACTGGTAGTAATCTTTAGATTAATAATCGCTTACTAATAGTAAATAGAATTTGGTTCAAAAATATTTTTAGATACTACCTAGTATTACTGTACAGATTTGTATACAAATGGTAAACTCAAACAGAAGTGGTCTCTGAGGATAAATTGGCATAATAATTATATGCCAAAGACTTTTACCCACAGCAATACCTTCCTTTATAGTAATGCTCTGTTGGTTAATGTTGAACATTTGCCTTCAAAATATATCAAGTATCCCTTACCCAAGACACATAACTATGCACAAAGCCCAGTTGTTTACTTAACTATGATCTAGCCTATTGGTTATCAAAGTATGGCACCTGGACCAGCAGCATAAGCATCACCTGGGAGCTTGTTAGATATGCAAATGTGTAGGCCCACCCTAGACCTACTGAATCAGAAACGCTGGAGATAAAGCCCAGCATCTGTGGTTTCACAATTCCTCCAGGTGATTGTAATGCACACCCAAGTTTGAGAACCACGGATCTCTTTCAATTTCTTTTTACTTTCTCCTTTTATTTCCAGACTCATTTTTTTTCTTCTCACTTTCTCCTGGATTTGCCATCCTTATGACAGGCTTACCAACCTTCAGGGAGAAGATGAATTTTGGACCAACATCTTCAAAACTGTGCACGATTGAAGGAACATTCCCATCCGAAGAGATTTCATAAAAATTTATGTTGGTAGATCTGTTGGATGATGTTTGTAAAGCCAAATATTTTAGTTTGCTTTTGTTCTTGAAGGTTAATATTTCTTTTATTTAAGTATCTTATAGCTTAGGTTAAAGTAAATTTTACTTTTAGTTACAAAAGCACCAAATAAAAAGAAATGCTTGCCTATGGGCTTATCGTCCAATGTATGTTTCTAAGACTAACATAAATTCCTTTGAAAACATATTTCTTTGTGGATTTTCTGCTAAGAGTTTGTGCATTACATGTCTACCAATTCTCAAGTTTCTAAATAAGTACAAAAGTATTACTTTAGAATTGATAGTAGAAGTCTTCCCAAGATTACTGTTATATTGACTAGTATGTTAACATAGTAGACAATCAGTACTTGTTAGTTGAATGAATGGATTTATAAGCCAGGGGTTTTCACTTTGGTGTGGCTAAAATATAATAATAGGGTATTGAGCTCCTTCAGTGTTCATTATTGGATGCCTGTATTATTCGTTCTTCCTATCCTTCTTTAGTTGCAAACCAATTTGAATGGTTTGGGTCTGAATGAGGTTGGTCAAATCTGTTTCCACCATTAGTGTAGAGACCACCTTTAAGATGGATGATCCAGAGGTTTTAGTATTCTGGACCTAAAGCCACTGGATTGATCTTAACTTCTTTGCTTAAGATTGCCAACTAAGTTCTGCAAGCAAAGTGATGATGAGATCAGAGAAACCCTCATAGGACCACTCAGACTAGAATGAAACTGGGGACCTCCCCTCTCCTCACTCATTTCTGGGGCTCTGAGGTGGGATTCCAACCAGGGTAGCTTCTTTGCGTGGGGGATTAGGGGATGAGCAGTGAGGGTAGGGGTCTGAGAACACTGTGCATATCCTTTCCATTTATTCCCACTGGACAATTTACGTTAATTATAGAATGTTGATTCTATTTCTTAAAAACTTGGGGTGGATATTTTCTGAAGTAGAATTTTTTGGGTTTCTTTACTAAAACCTTGTCTTTCCCTCTTTTATGCCTTAATGATTTTTTCCATATCCTTAAAAGGAAAATATGTCACAGGGAGACTTGAGTGGATGTATTTGTCAAGGTTATATATGAGAGGAAACAATGATTTGTCAGCCTGACATGGAAAATGGGAAAACTGACTAGGATTTGAAACAGAAAGCTTGGATGTGTGTGCATGAATTATTTCCTATGCCTTCCAGAAGATCTTTGTGTGAGATCCTAAATGGGGCCAATTTCTAAATTAATATGGTCTGCATTTGCATTTTAAAGAGATCTGACACTTTTCCATTTGTTACTTAAGTGTTGATCAATATATTTATAATAGTAAATATCTATACTCAGGGGGATCCTGCTTCAGAAATAATACTATTATCGCTATTTCTACCCATCATTTTTTTTACAATATAACTGTACAGTTATACAGTATCAAAGTTGTTGCTAAGAAATACACTAAGTTATTGTGTAGGATTTTTTCCAAAAGTTTGCAAAGATGTTTGTTATTTTTTTTGCAGCATTGCTTATGATGGTTAAACAAAACAAAATAAAAATGCAAAACAACCAAATGTCTTGTTAATATTGAATTGGTTACATAAATTATGATCCAGCCAGGACTGGAATAAGTTAGATCTGTATGTCCTCATATGAAAACTTTTCTAAGATTATGTAAAATGCAAGGTACAGAAGAGTGTTTTATCATTCCTTTTGGGTAATAAAATGTGCACATGTGTGTGTATATATATGTGTATGTGTGTGTTACATGCATATATCCTGGTAGATAAGCAACCCTGTATCTGGAAGATATTCTGAAAACAGTCTCTTATGGGGAGTGGCACTAGGGAAGGTGGGGAGGGATGACTTCTCACTGTCTACCTTTCTCCAATGTTTGGGTTTTCTAGGTAGTAGGACTAGGACCCATTTTAACTTTTGTTCTTTATAATTCCCTACGTTAATTTTTTTGAGGATATATTTTAAAGAACATTAGAATACATTTGAATTCAAGTTGCCATTACAAAAATACCTGCCTAAGATGATAATTAGTAAAAGTAAAGTCTCATTTCAATCTTATATTTATTTCATTCTTAAATATCTGGGAAAATATTGGCCATTGTAGGAGAGTAGAATAATAAAAAGACTGTATTGACAAAAAATATTTAGAAGAAAGGATCAAATATAAGAAGGAAAAAATTCAGGTAATGTGGTAACATCAATTTGGGTTGGTTGCATTTGTTTCCAATTTCTTATTTTAGCAAGTGGGGATCCTTTGAAGTCTGCAGTTACTGATGACTTTTTCAGAGATGTATTATTTGGACGGAATTTTGTTTCTGCTTGTGCTATTTGCAACTCACTTGATACAGAAGCATTCTTTTCATCTTTGCTGTTTGGCTCAAGCTCTAGACATGATGACATATTTTCCTTTTTGTTTTTGCTCAGAGAGCTATTGGATGATCTACAGATTCCATGCTCTTAGGGGCTGGAGTGATGTGGTAGAAGTTAGACAAACCTGCTGTCACTGGATTTCTTGGGAAAGTGCTGCAGTGTGCTATTCAGGGGTCATTGATCTGTGCTGGGAAGCTGTCCTATTGCTTCACCAGGTAGAGAACTCTGGTTCCCAGGCCTGTAGGAGGGCATCACCTGTGCCCAGTGCATCTGCACAACTGTGTTCCAGTTTGTCTGTGCCATGAACTCACCTTACTTCTAAGTGTGAGTTAAAGTGATATCGACCTATTAGAACCTGTGGAATTTGTGTGTTACCCACTTACCAAGACACCTGTCCCTCTGAACAATTAAAGACAGCCTGTATCAACCAGTGACATTTACACCACTGCTCTCAGGTTTGCTTGCTTTGGGCAGGTAAAAACAGGGAACAAAGCATTTCTTTATGGATAACATCCTTTGGAAAAAACCTCATTTCCACCTGGCTGGAAGAAAACCCTAATCTGATATGTGAGGAATTTTTCCCTCAGAAACTAGACTTGATCTAGTTCCAATATTTGAATATTCAAACAGTGACTAGATTCAATATTTATTGTGGACCTACTCTGTGCAAAACATTGTGCTTGGGGCTTCAATGTCCAGGAATGGGGATACTGCTTGAGATCTCACATACAATGGGAAGTAGGCAGTGAGAAGAAAGTGAAGACAACTCTCAGGACCTTTGAGAGTTCTGTTTCAACATTTTGAGAATGTTTGCAGCTACTCAGAGGGCCTGCAATGTGGAGTGTGCCTGTGATGTGTGGCTACGGGGATCTTTCTCTGCCTTTCTGGGCTACTCTCATTGGTTTAATAAGCCTAACGAGTCACTCAAGGTTTTCCTAGGGACCAATATGTCTGTGGACTCCTGTTTTAGTTGACAAGAATTTTAATTCAAATTCTTCAGTTAAGAATGAGCATACAGAGGACTTCTTTAGCCATGAGCCAAAAATCTTCTGATCTAGAGTTGGTGTCAGTGATAGCAGGTTACCCACTGCTTCACCTACCTTGTTAAGTGAATTTCAGCATCATACAGGAGAGGAATTTTGAGGTTGACCAAATTATCAGCCTTGTTTTCTTCTTGGCTTTCACTATAGAAAGAAACATTAGGAAATTACTTAAAGAGAAATACAAAGCTATCCATCATTCCATTCATGACTTCATTATGTTTTACCTTAAGGCTTGGAAACTGAGAGACGCCTGATTCTGAAGGTTTTGAAGATTGAAGTCAAAGTTAATAGTAAAAGTCACCTAAAGACAAAATTAAAATTTCTCAGTCTATGATGCTTCATACTCAGAGGCCAACGTGAAAAAAAAAATGTTTCTCATAAAAGTAAACTCACTCAAATTTGATTCTGAATTTTATATACCTTAAGCTTTCAAATTTGTGGAATATCTTTATTTGTCCACCTTGTTTTACTATGCCTCACATTAGAATTAGAGAAGCTTGACTTCCAAGTGACACATGTAAGTTATCCAGGCGTATATACCTGTCTGAATTTGGAAGCTTTGAGCTGATGTGAAACTTGTTACTAGGGGTTAATAAATGATCTCTGTGACTCTGTGTATAGTGCTTTGACCAATGTTGCTCAACATATTTAGACAAAAAGAACTTTCCATAGTATGTGTACCTTTTGGAATGAATTGCATGGAGAAAATCCCATTTTTATTAATAATTTAAAGAAAACATTTAGATATTGAAAACTTCCCCTAAGTATGCAGCTAGTTATTTTGTGATGCCTATCAAATCATGATAGCAAGATGTTATGTTGGTAAATTAGCATATGTGCTAAGGAGGGCTTGTATGGATTGGAGGATGAAATGCAAGTTGTACCTGTTGTTCTCTCTTTAAAGCAGGGTAGCCTACATCGCAGGCAACAGACTTCTGAGATGCAGCCACCTGGCATGTTACTTCTGTCCCATCAACCTGAACAAGACCAAGGAAACAACAATGATCAATTGGCATACAACATTTGTGTGTGTATGCACGCACCTGGTAAAAGAGGTACAGTGGCATTTTAGCAGTAAGGTTGGTTCATACTGAAATAATTTATTATACCTCAAGACTTGAAATTTTATACTGCCCAGGTGGCTAATATACTACTTTTATTGCTAACCCTAAAGATACCTAGAACATCCAACAAAACAAAGAAAAGATTAAATACTGTATTTTTTCCCCAGAAAAAAATGATAGTTTTTATTTTCAGATGCACGAATAGCTTTAATTCAATATTTTGAAATGCTGGCTTTAGGAATATGTTCTTCTCAATTTATTTGAAGCATTTTCAAGAGAAGAAAGTAAAATCATATGTTGGTGTTTGTCTGTATTTTAAGTAATTTGAGGGTTTTTTTTTTTTTTTTTTTTTTAGTTTTCTTCAGGTTTTTTTTTCCCTTTAAAGGAAGTAGTTGCCACTTGGCACAGGGTGTTTAAACACCAAGGTCAGGTTAGGTTTAGAACTCTAAGCCTATTAAGATCACATTAACTCTAAATTAAATGAAATCATTGTTTAATCCTTTAATCAGATAGCTCATTTGGAAAATCTCAGCTTTTCCTTCTCTCCCTTTTTTCTTCATAATTTGGTGGTAGAGGAGGGACCAGGGAGCACTCACAGTCAAGTGTGCTCCTGGTATAATGATCAAGTCAATGTGATTAGTTGGCTTTGCTGGCGTGCATCATCTTGGCAGCAGCAACAACCATAGTTGCAAAGCTCAGGCTAAGCTTTGGGACTCAAATGTCTCAGAGCAAGTGCACCACATCTGTGCAGAATGCAGCAGCCTCATCACACTGATAGCTCAAGAAGAGTTATGGGAGTGTCTGGCTACTGCTGCCAAGTCTCAGGATAAGGGAAAAACTGACCCAAGCTGTCAAGCAGAATCTAGATATAGAGCCAGACTATGTTCTCATGCAGTTTAACTAGTCGGAAGCCACAAAGTTCAGATTGATCATGTTGAGGGTTAAGGTGCTTCTTTAAACAACTCAGAGGACATAGAGAAGACAGTGATCTATAAGTAGGAAGCATGGTGGAAGTAAGTACAGGGTCTCATCACATACCGGCAGGGAGAATGATGCAAAAAACAAGTTTTCTGAAAAATCAACAACAATTCCAGTGTTGTATGCACTTTCCCTTTTATTTTTCAGCGTTACTGAAAATGTTAACCTTTTGTTTTGGTTGCTGACAATAAAGGGTTGTTCTCTGTTAAAAGTAAAAAGGAGGGGGGAAAAGCCATTACTGTTAAATAAAAAGGCCAGTATTTTAAAATTTCACTCATTAAAAAACTAAACTCTTTAGACTTACTTAGAATACTGAGAAAATTGCTGTGTAATAAACTATCTTTGCATCAAAATGATACTGACAACAAATAAGTAAATGCAATTGGATTGTTCTTTGTTGCTATTGTATTAGAGGGAATGGAACCATTTAAATACAGATAATTTTATATTTCTTATTGTTTTACTCCTATGTGGATGGTAGACATTGAAATTTAGTTTTTAAAGGTATTTATGAGTTATGAATGTTTCTTTTGTAGAAAAACTCTATAAACATTCGTTTGAATAAAGTAATCTAGTATGTCTTTTATTTCTACATTTTACAACAAGCTTTAAAGTAAAACTTACTGAGCAGCTGGTATTTGTCGGACATCTAGGACTAGATCAGAAATGCAAAGTCCGTCCTCACCACAGTCTTTGTGGAAAGGAATCTACGAAAAAGGAAAAAAGATCCATACATTTGCTCTTGGGTTGAAAAAGCAAATTACAGAAGAATACATAGAATATTATTCTATTTACATAAAGTACAAAACCAAACAATGTTCTAGGAATATATAAATGTTTAACAAAATAATAAAGAAAAGCATTAATAAACACACAATTCAAGATAATCATTTGCACAGGGGGAGCTAGATGAAAGTGTCTATGGCGGGGACAGCTATACGCAGAGCTTCATATGTATTGGTAATATTTTTTGAGTATGAGCACAAGGCATTTACTTTATTTTTATTTATTTATTCAACAAATATATATTGAACACATACAATGGGCCAGGCCCTGCTCTAGGGAGTGGAAACACAGCAGTGAACAAGAAAGACAAAAATCCCTGCTGTCATGGAACTTAAGTGTTAGTGAACTTTATGCATATGTAATTGTAGTTCATTTAGAAAATTAAGAATTTTCAGGCTGCATCCTAACCATCCTTCAGACACTATTGCAGTGACTGTGGAACTTTATTTGCCAGTCTAAATCCAGGAAGTGTAAGCTGCACTTACACTGAAGACCTTGGCAGTCTCAGAATAGGCTTCAAGGGCAGGGCTAGTGCCAGGGTTTTCCAGACTGATGTCCACACGCAAATCCAAAGAGTTGACAACATCAGAGGGCTCCTAAACATACACACACACAAACATACAGGGGGAGACAGAGTCAGTTTATTAGAGCATAGCAACATTAAAACAAGAAAATGATTCCAAATGTGTTTACAATTTAGAGCACAGTCAGCTCTCAATTATGTAGAATATCTTTGTTGTGAATAATCAAGACTCTCGCTTCTTTTCTTCCATCCTAATTCTGCTTTTAGCCTCTCTTCTACTAAGAAACCAAAAGAGACTTGGGTCTAGTAAGAATTTGAAGCAGGGATTCTTAGTTAAGCTCATCAGTTCTTGTCAAAAAAGCACTATGTCTATACAAATGAAACCCTAACATTTGAATTTGCCTTTTCCTCAGAAGCGGTATCTTGGTATTCTTTAGTCCATTCACAGGCAGGACTTACTCTTAACTCTTGGGGGCCTCCCAGAAGTCCTCCCAGAAGGACTTATTCCTTCTGGGGGCCTGTCTACCATGACAGCTCTGGACTATGAGGAGATGTTTCCTTGGCTGGCTGCGGGCTTAGCAAGTAGGATGTACTTTAACTGGCATTGATATCAAATAGTGAAAAAGGATTTTGTTTTTTTAAACTTTAAAGAAAAACAGCTTGGCTGTCTCCATTTCCTCACTAGGGATTGCATGTATAATCTGATCCACCAGTCAGCACAGGATGGGAGAGAAGGGAAATAAGATTTTTTCCTTTAAGGAATCTATAAAATTGTCACTTTAACAAAAAAGAAGTCTACGTCTTCACAAACAAGAAACCTTCAAATTGAAAAATGAACTAAACAACTCAACTGATTTTAATTCATCTAACCGTCAACTTTATGTTTTTCTAGTGTTTACACTTAGCATTTCTTGAAGTAAGATCTCTCTGTACCATCCATTTACATCAGAAATATTTGGGTTGCTCCTTAGATCTGCATATTCCTTGGGCCTTCAAACCTAGATTTCTGATGGTAAGAACCCAGAATATACATTTCCCAAAAGTTTCCCTGGCAGTTCTTTCGCACCTTAAATTCTGAGAACTGTATTCTAAGAAAGTACTTAAATATCCTTTTAAAAAAGTGATTTCCTGAGTAAATTATCCTTTCAAATGCCATTATGTGGTTTCCAAGGTGGAAATATTCACATCATTTATAAAATAAATTTCCGGCTGGAAGTTTTCTCCTGAAAAGCATTTTTCTCACTTGGGAAATTTTCAAAATCCATGTTAAATACAGTAATTACAGCATACGATTAGAACAAATAATTGTTATCTCATAATCTACTATATTTCATCTATGTTAACTTAAATCTAATAGTAGAAACCACAATTGGAGTTATTTTTCAGTAGCTGAACAATAAATAAAATTTTTCCCTGATAGGAAAATATCAAAATAACATTTATTGCCAATGGAAAGTTCTCTCTGTTAAACATTTAAGAAAACACTGTATCTATGATTTCTTTAAGAATTGTATTTTTAGCCCTTTCATTGCAATTCTAAATGAAATTTGATGTTGCTGACTTATATAATAGATTGTGACCATAAATATTAGCATAAAGTAAATATGCTTCTTATTTATGGAATTACATAAGAAAGGCATTCATTGGAAGGGTGAGCATTTTCTAACTCATAAGCTTCCATTTTTGACTTTTACCACTCTCTCGTCTTTAGGAAGAAATAAAGTCAAAAGGGATGTTCCTGAGGCCTTACCTGTATATAAATGATGTGCTCGGGGCAACTCTGTGCTTGATTTACTACCATATTCTTCTGCAGGCACCTTTCATTGTTTTCTTTAAATAACCCCCTGGAGGTTACTCTGGATGAAAATCCATCTGCATCAAGTGTGATGTTATATACAATGGCTATGATAAAAAAAATCATAAAGAAATGTTATTTCAAATCAACTTATAGGAAAAAGCATCTTTGCTTTATTGTGTCTTCTTGGACAAAGTATCTCACATCAAGAAAATATGGAAATAGTCTTCATATTGGTGGCTTGTGAACCATAGCTAGCACCACAAAGCATTTGTCATTCTAGCTCTGATGTGACGTAGGTGACTGTGCATACAAAGAAATGTGATTCAGAGAAATGTGGCTGGGAGCAGTGGAAAGGAAACTAGACTTGCCGCCAGGAAACCTACTGTGATGAACCTGGGCAAATTGCTCACTCCCACAAGCACGGGTTTCATTACTCATAACACGGAGACACAGAATGGAAAGGAACAGTTGCTGAGCGCCTGCAACTGGACACATTCTCATGTATGCCATACAAGTTTTACAATGAATCTGGAAAGTGAATTTTATTATCTTATTTTTCAAATAATGTACTAGAATAAGTGATGTAAAATAATTCACCTAAGTTCACATGGCTAGTCAGAAGTAAAAGTTGGGTATTTTTGAAATAAGAGCTCATATTCTTTCTGCTTCCATCCAGTTGTAAGAATTAATTGTTATTGTGAAGATTAACTGAGATACTCTAAGGGAACATGGACAGTGCTTGACCTATTCTAGATGCTCACATAGGGAAATGCATGCAACACTGCAGCAATAAAGTCTCAGTCAGGCAGACTTGGTTTGAATCCTAATTCTGCTGTTTATGAGCTCTGTGACTTGGGGCAATTTACTTACCCTCTTTGAACCTCTGTTTCCTAATACCAACTCATGAAAAAAAATTATGTGATAATAACTGATGTCAGTAGCCGATGTCTAAACTATCAGAATTATTACCTTCAACTAAAGTCCACTGGCCGTGTGTCCAAAATTGAGAGAGAACACCTGGTGCCATTCACAGCATCAGCTGCCTTATTGCCTTATTTGGGGTTATTCTATCTTACTTTATTATTTTCAATATTTTAAAGGTTGTATATACTTCCCAAAACATGAATTCTACATGTTACCTTGAAAAAAATCTATCATATATGTTGTACAATTTTTCTTGCTCCAGTGACTTAACAATGCCAACAAAGATAGATAAAATATTAAAGAATTAAATAAACTAAAAATAAGTTGTGAAGATGATGTAAAGGAAAAACAATGGCAAGGAGGTGAGTGCAGTTAGGACAAAGTTAGTCCACATTATAATGCTTTTCCTTTTTTTTTCAAGCAGCTTTATAAAAATGATACATCGCTTCATGGGCTATGTTATTAATCTTAAAGTGAAGTGTGCACCTGATGCAATAAATGATAGAAACCATATGCTTTATAAATTCACTTTCCACAGTTGTGAAGATGGGATTCACGTCTTACATACTATTATTGCCAAGCAATGAAGTGACAAATGAGCTCACAATCATTTCACTTGGCTTGTCTTTGTGGACCTGAAGGCATCAGGAAAAAAGATTTAAAGGGAAAGATGCCCAATAGTAAGAAAGGCCAGAAACCCTCGGCAGCCTGTGGATGGGAAGGAAATTCTCTGAAAGTAGAATTTTTGAGTGTGCATCACCATAAGGGTTGAAGTATAGTCAAAAAGGGAAGATACATGAGACACCTCTATGCTTCGGGGCCAGAAGAGCTGACCAGTTTGCTGTTTCTGCCAAATAATATATTTCCCAAGTTAACCTATTAGGCAGACTAGCCACAATGTTTATGCAGCAACGGTTTTTGACTTAACTATCATGTGTGCTCAGTTAGATGTGCTACATGGCAGGTCAAGTGACATATGCTACTCAAAATTGGGTCAATCTTTGAACATCTGCATGGAAAACTTCCAAATGGATATGAAAAGTAGGAAAATATGGAAAGCATGTTAAGATTTGAATCTAATTTTGCTTTGTGTTCTCATCTTATTTGTATCTTGGTATGAATTATGGCAAATAACCTGCTTCTGTATTTTCAGCTTTAAGTTAATATGTTTGTCACTTAATTGAATTCCTATAGGAACTACAAGTTCTGAAGTTTAAAGCCAAATTCTGACGGAATGGGAATTGGGACCCATGAAGCAGCAGTTAATGAAAGAAGGTAGCTTTGAATCAAGTGTTAAATTGCAAGCTATGCATTGAGCATGGTGAGATAATTGGGGCAGAAGAGATGAAGGTGAGATAGTGTGCTTAGAAAAAGCTTTGAAGAGGAGGCAGGACCTCTGCCAGGCCTTGAAAGACAACTTGGCCAGCCCAAGAGAAAAGACAACAATTCCTGCTGATGCTTGCCCACAATGATTTCCTCATCCTTCCCCATCTGATGAGACATAATTCAGACTTTTACTCATTTCTCTGTATTATTTAGAACATTTAAAACACTGGGTAAAAGTTATATATTGCTTTTCATGTTTTCTTTCATTATTTCATGTTTATTAATTCCTCAACGACAGGAAAAATACTTGATACTTTTACTGAACCTGTCCTATATAGATCATGGCATAGCCAACATGATATAGTCATTTGAGTGGCAGTTCAGCATAATCTGTGTATGCTCAAGGTTTTAAGTAAGAGAAATGGAGGTAAGAGAAACTCAAAGGATGGAAGCAGGAGGGCCCTTGGTTATGTCATAGAGATTACAACTTTCTGCAGCAGAACCTTCTAGAGATGTGGAAGGAAGATCTAAACAAATCTTCCATGACTAGTGAACCATTCTCGGGCATCTCCAGTGTAAGGAAACTTAAGTGTCTATAACTAAAACCCTTATTTCTCTTGGCCTACAAACCAAAATATGTTATATTCAGGACTAAAACTCTGTAAGCCAACCAATTTCTATACAGATTATTTCAGATCTACGCACCCACTTGATTGTTTTGCTTAGTAGGTCTGAACTTTGCACTGAAGCAGAGTTTGAGAATTATCTGAGCATTCTTGTTGACCAAAGTGATTTTTTCTGGTGTGAATGAAGCTTCTATAGCTACATCAGCAATACTTTGTGACCTAAAAGACATAAAGAGTAACAGATGGATGGATGTTATTACTGAGCACACGTATTATATCCTTTATCATAGAGGACCCAGTACCAGCATTACTGAATTTTTCTCTCTACTCTCTATCAAAGCACTTTAGCAGTAGTATATATTTGAAAGCTCTAAGATGGCAGACAGAGATAATTTTTTTTTTAATTTGTGACTGCATCACTAACACAATACATGTTTAACATATTAGTTATTTATTATACTTTAGGTTCTGGGATATGTGTATTTACTCTTGATATGCTACTCTGAAATGATTTTAACTGATTTATTCAGTAAATATATTTTCTTGTTTTTTTAAAGTCTTAAGTATTATTCTTGAGTTTTATTTTTTCCACATAAAAGTTTCATTCTGCAATAAAAATAATGTACTTCATTCTTTAAAAGCACAAGTGAGATTTGTAAATAGTATCATTAAACTCAGAAATAAAAAATAATCAATGAATATTATTTTTCTGTTCTTCAAATATTTGTACATTTAAAGCACATTTTTTGACAGAGACAAATGAATGGAGATTCTTGATTGAATAAACAACTTCTTTCTGATTCTATTCCCTTGCCGGCCCAATATACTTATTTTTGACCTTGAATCACATGACCTTCACACTGTTCTCTCTGAATCTTCAACTCCTGTGGAGGTCAATGAGAGGTCAGCTAAACCTAAATAATGGCTTATTGTTTATGACTAATAATTTTAAAATATACCATTCAGTCACATAGAAGTTACACTTTACTTGTGTGGTCTGAATTTTCAGTATTTTTGAATGCACTCTCATGAGGTTTCCCTTCTGTATGCTGAGATAAGGCTATTTATAGGAAGATAACATTCAGAAATAGCCTGGATACCATTTCCAGAACTTTATGTTTTCTATGTACTGTTTTACTCACCATATGAGGAGAGAACTATATTTCTAATGGTAAGCAAATATATCTATTTTTCCTACTTGGAAAAACACATTTATTCCTTTGTGCAAACTATGATACATCGATTCCCTATAGTCTTATAGAATGCATGTGGCATTTCTATAATACCAGTACAGACATCTGTTCTGCTTTCTTAGCAGGTAATTTTTAGTTAGTTTGTGTCTGGCTCTTCCTGACTCACCAGAGTTGAACCACTTGTCCAAAGGCACCAATAGACACATCGGTGATGGAATCCCCATTTAAATCTCCATAGCCATCCAAGGACCTCCCAAAGTACTGGAGATGGCTCCTAAAGGCTCCATCGGATCCCAAGATTTTCTAAAAGAGCAGGTTTGACACGAAATTATAGTACACAACAGCTGAACCAGAAAATGGCAGCCTCTGAATTTCATTATTATATTTTCTATATAGTAATGTCCCAGATTGTGTTTATTCTCTACAAATTCTAAAGATTCATTTTTTAATCACATCTTATTATCTGATCTCTGCATCACTCTTACAGCCACATTTTCATCGAAGGGACAGCATAAATCTTTAATAAAAAATCATAAACCAGTGAAAAGATCAGTGGACTTGGAGCAAATTGATGCAAGTTCAGGTACAGGGTTAATTTCCTAGTTCTTTTCCTTCCAGTCTTACTCCAAAATTGGCTGCTCAGTGAGGCCTCATTAGTCACCCCTTCAACCACCTGATACTCCTATTGCTGAAATTTTATTTCCTATTTTAGTTTCATTTGCTTTTTTAAAAATTCCTTTATTACTATCTGGAATACTTTATCTTATCTACTTCTTTCTTTTTATTTGTCTCCTCCAATATAATATAAGGCACACAAAGATCAGAATTGTGTCTGTCCTGTTCTTATAGCATCCCCAGACTCTAGAACAGTGCTTGGGCACACAGTAGAGGCTCACTTTATATTTGCTGAGTGAAAGAATGAAGTTACAAAATAAGGCGGACGGATTGCATGGTTTACATGACGCTTTCTATGTCTAATATGATAAGACCCACAAATACATACATCACCATAACAGCTCATGGATTACCTGGGAATACTTTGTGCGGATAGTGCCCTGATGACCATTGTAAATGTATACAGCTCCAGAATTCTGATTTTCTAGTGGTGAACCAACAATCACATCATTAAAGCCATCCATGTTGATGTCTGAAAGAGCTGCAATTGCTGAACCAAATCGAGTGTTTTCAATGCCCTCGGGGCCTTCAAGAAATTGGTGCTGACCCAAAATGCCCTTGCAAAGGGGAAACAAAAGGATGATTAAAGCAAACCTTACAACTTGTATAATTAAAATTCAGAGCAGCTGGGTGTGGTGGCTCATGCCTGTAATCCCAAAGACTCCAGAGGCTGAGGCAGAAGGACTACTTGAAGCCAGGTATTTGAGACCTGCTTGAGCAATAGTGAGACCTTGTCTCTATAAAACATTTTTGTAAAAAGTTAGCCAGGAGTGGTGGCACACAGCTGTAGTCCTAGCTCTCAGGAGGCTGAAGTGGGAGGATTGCTTGAGCCTAGGAATTAGAGGCTGCAGTGAGCTATGATCACACCAGTGCACTACAGCCTGGGTGACAGAGCAAGTCCCCATCTATTTAAAAAAGTGAAAGAAATATGATAAAATAAAAAAGAAAATAAAATTCAGAGCAATCGATGACCAAACTAATTTTTTAATATTAAAAATGGATAGAATTTTAAACCTGAACTATTTATGATCAGAATTATAAATAAGAATTTCAGTAAGGTCATAAATATCTGCTCATAAACCAAGGTCAAAGGAGATAATTCTCTTTACTGTAGCTGAACAGCATCCATTTCTTGGTCTCATTTTCCTCTCAATAATACGATCTTCATCTATTTCCAACCTTTTGATTTAAAATTTTTCTGGTGAAAATTACTAATATCTTGAATGAAATTAAAGCAGACACAGAACAAAATAAAACACAATATCTTAATTTAGGCTTTCTGTAAAAATTACCAAATAGTGACATAATTATAGTGGTACAGGAAGTAGAAAATGAGATTGTTAATATCTCCATTATTAAAAACATTAAATAATTCTGTGCAAAGGAAAAGACGTTTCCTTGTAAAACACAGTTTTTTTCTTCAATTTTATGATCAAGTATGGAAATATTTCATGACTTCACAAGAAAGCAATGTTTCTCAACCATGAAACTGGGTCAGTGTTCTTTCTCCTCTAATATAATCTTATACAAATTTTTACTGCGTTTGACACGGTATTAAAAGATCTGTTCATTTTCAACAATTAATGATAATTCAGTATATCTCACAAGTAAGAAATATTTAAAGAAGGGGGGATTTGTCAGTTTTTCAACAAGTAACTAGGTCCAGCCTTTGTTGATACTCAATTACACATTCTTTATATGTATAATTGCTTTAGAATTGTTTTAATTAATTACTTCTGTTAAAAGATTAATTTTTACATAAATATCAATAAATCAGGTGGTACAAAATATCACAATACTTAAACATAGTATTTACTATTTTAACATCAGCTTCTCCTTTTCTTATATACTAAGGAGCATATAATTTTCTATGTCAATCTGTGCCTTTAATTTGGTTTTCTTTTTTTATTTCATGGAGTTCACTACACTTATATACATGGATTTAGAGAGTTCAGTCCACAAATTGGAAAAATTATGCTTTGCCATGTTAATGTATGGTGTTTTTTTGTGGAAGGACTTGAAACTTCAAGAGTTGGATACATGCCTAAATGTTACACTAAGCAATGACACTTCCTGACAAACTAATGTAGGAAGCATCTGAGATCACAAGGAATTTACAAAGTGCTTGGTAAAACTTCTGTTTTTCACTGTCAACTGATAACAAGAAAGCATTGCCCTGTTATTGTTGTCTTTATCGCAAAAAATTACATGTGATACTAGAGAAATACACAAATGTTTGTGTGTGTGCATATTTCAATAAACGATGTGCACTTATAATGGCTTTATTTGCATAAGAGACTATATATTCAAAGACCTCTCATGGAAAATGGCAGTACACTATACATTCAACTCTAGTTTTTCCTGTTAATGTGATTTTTAAAATCATAACTTAATGGGGACATCCTCAAAAATGATGAAATGTAAACCATACTATCTGTGCAAATTATCATTCAATAATAATAAATTTTTCTTTCCAAATGCAAGTTAAATTACCAGTACTAAAGCAAATTAAACTATTAGTTTATTTTTTTTTTTTTACCTCTTTGATAGTAAACAGGTAGACTCTTCCTTCCTCTTTCTTTAGGTCACTCATGTACATTGGTGCACCTACCAAGAGCACGTCTGTAATGGTGTCTTTATCCACATCAACTGAACACAGCACACTACCAAAATAGGAGCCAATCTGGAGTAATAAAACATGTTAAACTTAGAATTCCTAGGATTCATATACTTCTAATATTACACTGAACATTTACTTGCTCATTCAATACACAAAAATTGAGTGTTTACTATTTGCAAAGTGCTTGGAACATGAAGACAGAGAGCACAGTTCCTTCCCTCAGGTTCTAACACCATCTAACACCTGGTTCTTAAATCTTAGTGTGCACAAGAATCTCCAAGAAAATGCCTTTGAAATACAGATCCCTGAGACCCATTTCTAGAGATTCTGAAGTAATGTCTAGGATGTGATCCAGAACACAGCAATTTAAATTAGCATTCCAGGTGTTTCTGATGCCAGGGGGTCAAAGACATACTTATAAGGCAAACCTTTTGTAGGTATGTGAGGTTTGTCATAGCAAAAGGCAGGAGGGGTAGAGGCAGGGAGAATAAATAATTAAGCTTCTATAGTAAAATAAATTGTAATAGAGGCAAGTCCCAAAGGCTGAGTGATCAGAGAGCAGGAGAGTCAGGAAGGCTTAGAAAGTTAAAATATCATTCAAATTGCAAAGTAAGAAGGACATGGAGTTTTCTAGGCAGAGGGAAGTGGGAAAGCACATATGATGATGTAAGTGTACATGGCATGATATGAGACAGGTAAGTAGTTGCTGGATAGATTGGGACAGGAGGACAAGGTGGAGATAAATTAAAATAAGAAAAGCTGAGACTTTGAACCTTCATCCCATTCAACAACGTTCAATGCATGCCTATGTGAACACTTTTTGAGGATTTAGAAATGACTAAGAAATGATTCCTTCCATAACACTGTCACTGTTATTTTCTAAATTAAAGAAGAACTTCTTTAAAATATTAAAAAAGAGAGAAAAGTATGTGACCATAGCTAATTTGTGGTCACGGAAGTCAAGAACTCGGGTCTTCTTACTCCTAGAAAATCCATAGGAACAGCAGGATCACACTTAATCTCAGAGAAGAGAAATCTTTGTAAGTTTCTCCAGCTTAAAGAAGGAAACCACTTTTTGTTGGTTGTCAGGGATTAGTGATGCTCATTTTAAATGTGTGTCAAGCCCCTGGGTCAAAACTGTTTAGTAAGGAAACAGGAAGCAATCAGCTGGCCTTTGCTCTAGCAACAGATCTTTGCTGTAGTGGGCCATATCTGGGATTCATCATAGGGTCTAACTACCAAACTGTCACCCATCAGCTGAAAGTGGCAGAGAAGATAATTGTTTTACTTTTAGAATCTTCAAAACCAACAGGACATTCTGACAGGTTCAGATGTAAAAGTTCAGTCCTTATAATGTTGTGCTGCTCCCTTCTTCTCATTATTTCCTCTCCAAATCCTTGTTCCTAGTGTGTGCTTACCTACAAAGCAGTGGTTACATGCCTGCCATCACAACTAAATAATATCCATGCATTATTAATCCAGGGAGTCAAAAACATGAAGGGGATGTAATCATTCAGGACAGCCTCTGAGTCCAGAAAGGACTGAGTTTTAATGACAGCTCAATCCATGGACGCTGTGTGACCTTAGAAAGCTAGCTAAATTCCCAGTAAGTTGTCAAAAGGGAGGGCTGTCTTCTTGGTATTGTTGTGATGATTTAAGGAATACACTAAGTAAACTCAGATTACAGAGCCAATCACAGAGTAGGCACTCAGGCCATGTTGTTTTCCATTTCTGTTCACCTGACTCCCCACCTGCCCAGTTGCCCCTAAAATTAATTTCACCTGCTAAACAGTGAGATTTACCTGGTCACCTCGGTGAGCCTGAATAACCGTGATATTGCCATTCTCATTCACACTATATAGCACTATCTGGCCGGTATAATTTGCCCGAGGAGCACCAGCAACAAAGTGAGTGCTTTCTCCAGTAGAAATTGCAGCCACAGAGTAACCTAAAAGGGAAGGAGCAACAGAGTGATTAACATTGACTATCTGAGCAAAATAAAGTTAAAAGAAGTGAGTAAAGGTGACCAGAGATCCTTTTGTGTTAGATGTGATGCAAAGTTTCTAGTGCTCCTGAATACATCACTGAGGACATGTCTTCCTTTTTCTAAGATGAATTGCTCCTGTCCTTTGACCTGCAGCACTTCCCTTTGCAGGTGGGACTTCTACCTATAAAACTGCCTCTAGATTCCACGCTGTTCTCATCAGCCACCTGTGAACCTGGCATTCAAAAAATATTTCTTGAACGAATGAATAAATGTATTTAAAAGGTAGTGTTGCACAGTAGAAAGAACACAGGTCTTGGAAACAGGCTGAGGTTCAGATTCTGGATTTGCCGCTTACTAGGTTGTTGAACGTTAGACAAGTTGTTAATCTTGCTATCTCTCAAAGGCAAAACATCCCTGAAAGACTTGTTGGAAAGATTTAAATGTTTATGTAGATAGACTAGCAGCTCAGGAACTGTCCCATAGTAAGTCTGCAAAATCAGTGGCTGCTTATTATAAGAACAAGAAGACTAAGAGCTCTAAAATACTATAAGACTATCACTTACTGTATTGACTTTTGGGAACTATTTCCATTTTGGAGGAACACAATCATGTTCCAGGAATTACAACCACTTGACCAGCCAGAAGAAACTAGTGAGTATAATATAGTATTCCAATAAGTAGTTATGCCTTAAGGCCCGATTGGCAAAGAGACAACATATGTATGTGTAATAAATATGATAATTAGATGACAGTTCAAGGATTTTGCTGAACTCACCCTGAGATTCAACAAAGAGCTGGTTTAAAGCAAGGGAACTTAAGTTTGCTGAGCCAATTATTACCATGCCTTACCTAAATATGAACTGTGATTTCTGTCCTGCAGAATTTGGTCAAAGGCTTGTTTAGGAAAGATCAAATGGCCATGAGATGTCTTCTGGACAATGGTCCCACTCCAGCCAAAAGCTCCCACTGCACCCAGCATCAGAATATCCTAAAATAATTGAAAAATGAAGATCATTGAAACAAATCACCTTTAAAACATAAGAATGCAGGGTAGGCAAAACATTGAAATAAGTTGTTTAGATTTATTAAAAATGATGAAATATATATGAACATATATTGACATATTGTAGAATTGTCTTAATATATTTGTGCTAGAGAACAAGCCTTCCCATTGGCTGTGTTATTTTGGACTTTATTTAGTATGATATGTTATACAGACAAACCTTTGTAATAACCTGTAGTACAGGACAGGTACAGAGCCATCTTCAAATTTCCCTTTCAAAGGCATATATTTGCCAATGGTAAACCCTTATGAACTTTACAAAGGAGTCAGAAGTGAGTCTCTCACTCCACATATTTATAAGGAAAGCTCACAGCCGGATATGAGACATGCTTGAGAAACAGAAGTACTGACACGGGAGAGACGGAGATACTTCTGCTATCCCAGACACGGCTCGGGAGGCCCTCTTCTGACCTGTTCTACTTTCAGCTTTCTTCCTCTCTCTTCCTGACCCCTTCTCAAATGTTCCAGTATATTCCTATATTCCATCTATTTGATAATAGCACAGCTACAAGAGGCAACTTTAGCTGTGACATTCAATCTATTGGAAGGAAAATAACCATTTGTCAGCCCTGTGGGGAGGGCAAAGGAAGATGCCTACTCTGGATTGACTTGAAACCCAATCTAAACACTCAATGCTATAAATCATCAAACGAGGCAGATTTGGTGAGGATGAGATACACTATTTTTAATTTTTTGTTCTTCTATCTTAGAGCGTACCAAAGATAAGATGTTGGACTAAAAAATACAAGCCATGAAAAATAGCAAGTAAGGAAAAGATGTGTTCTACTTTGAGGATAAGAGACCATGAAGTTATGTGAATGACTGTAGTAAATTGAGGGACTCTGGATTTGGGGTGCATGAAAGGACTTCAGCGTATGTACAAAAACCTCATGGGATTGTGTGCAAAATTCTCCGTGCATAGATTCATTTACATTTTTTCTGAGGGAAAGATCCATAACTTCTATGAGCATCTCTAAGGATTGATGATCCAGAAAAAGTCAGTTCCTTTGATTCTAGATAGAAAACAAGCTGTTCTTGGTCCTCTGACCTGCCGATCAAATCCTGGGATTTCCTACTGTTCCTTAAATAATTCCCAGGATCTCTTTCTTTTTTTTTTCGCCTCCTTTCACTATCTCTCTCACCTCCTGACTCAAATTAGAATCAGGGGCCCAGGAGGTGGATGTTTCTGAGAGATAGAAATAGACTTCCCCGAGCTGAAAAGACAGTGTTGTATTCCAATTCCACCTCACGTTTTTCCTACCTCCTTATTTTTTCAACTCTTTTCTGTCTGCTCTTAGAAAAAGATACTATGACCATTCAGAATTCGACCATGACGGTGATGACAAGAGTACGTGTTTTTAACAAACATTTCCAGTAGTTAATTGATTCAAAGAAAATTCCTGCAGGAATAATACCTTAAGTTAATATACAGTCTGTGCCCTGGGGTACTCAAAGACTTTCTGGTATACTATCAGTTTTCCCCCATATAAGATCCCTGTGAAACAGGGAAGGGAAGACATTATTATCCTTCAAATTTTAGAGGTAAATCAGCAGCACAAAGAAACTAAATGACCGTGACTAGGAATCAGAAGGGCTGATCCCTAGATGGCTGTCTTCCCATTTTATGTATAAGGCTACTGTGTCTGGAAGTGTTATGCCAAATGACAACATGGCTTGAAGCTATCTGATATACGCACATTTTGAGAAGAGTAATCTGCACTGAATCCCACTTGTGACATTTCCATCTGAAAGTTGTCTCCTCCTTGAACAGTACCTGGAACATTCAATTTTAAAAATTGTATTACTGTCAGTAATTTTAAATCAAGTTTTCAAACACAAGCAGGCACGTATGTACACACATGCCTACAAACACAAACACAAACACACACTGTTCCAATACTCACCCAAAAATACAGAGCTTGCATATTCTGGGAAGAAGAAATTACTAAGAAAGTGTTCTAGCAGGTTATGGAAATAACAACACTTCCAAGGTAGTGTTCAAAGTTGGCATTAACTTTAATTGAACATTAATGTATTTAGCAGAATATGTATGACGTTCTTGATACCAAAGGACACTCAACAAAGGGTATAAGGTAAGGTGAAAACTGAGATGATAATTTTTTAAAAACTTGATCATTACTAGCTAAGAAACTAACTGAATTTTTAGCTTTGAAATATGGGTACTGATAATGTACACATATCTCAGATGCAGTTGGAAGGGCTGGGCAATTGATCTGTAGTGAAGACTGCTGGGAGATAACTGAGTTAGCTATTAGGAATCAGAATTCAAGACTGAGTAGGAATTTTACCAATTGGGAAGTTTGTTCTGGTTCTGTATATGTGCTTGCCTGTGTCACTAACACTGTAAGATGCAATTGGTACTTATTTTCCATACAGTGTGATCAAAATGGCTACGTTTCACTAATCTTCACAAAAGGAAGCTAAATTACTGGACTCACACTTTAATATAGAAAAGAAGACAAACTGTACTGTACAACATAGTCTTATTTAGAAGATAAAATAATTTACACAGGATGAGTAGAGATACTTTTTAATAAAATAGAATAATGTTCCCCAAAGTCCATAATAGCAAATAATGCTCAAAATCATTTCTAGCTAGCTTGTAGATTGCAATTGTTCTCATTCATTCCACTACAAACAAATACAATTATCAGTGTGGATAGCCTAGTGATTTTGTGTTATCTCAGGGTATGCTGGATTTAAATGGTTATTTAAACAACTTTGAAGCACCATGGGATACTGAAGAAGCAATAATGCTTTTTGGGTAATTCCAATGGATAATCAAATCAAGATTTGAGTATATGAATGAATAATTTATGCAATTCCTTTAGCCCCAGACTCTAAGGCTGTACCTGATACATAGGTTTCCAATAACATATGGTCTTTATTGCAAAGAGTTATTCGGGTTAACCATCAAGAACTAGGATTTGGGTGATGTGTGTTTTTTTTTTCTTTTAACCAACTGTGAAGTGTGTGCTAGTCCCCCACACAGTGAGCTCCTGAACACGTGATCTTTCTGCACTAACTAGATTTTCCAAGGCCACCTAAGTAAATTATTTTAGGTCCTATAAATAAAATGCTTCCTCAAAAACTGAACTATTAAAAATCTTTGCTGTATTTTTCTAATTTTAAAAATATATATGCTTACTGTAAACAAATTCAAGAATTTTAGAACTTACATAACACAGTGTAAAAAGGTAAAACTATTTATGATTCTAATAGATAGATATTCATACATTGTCCCCCAAAAGTCATAACAATTTATCATCCTATCAACAGTGTATGAGCTTCTTTGCTTCCTGATAATCTCTCCAGGATTAAACATTATTATTCTGTGTCATCTTTTAGGCAAAACATATTGTCGGTTTAATTTATGTTTTTAAATACTTACTGAAAGTATTTAGAAATATACTTTGTAAATTGGGAATATTTTCTTATGTTTATCAGTCATTTGTATTTTATCATTTATAAACTATTTATTCATGTTTTTCATCCATTTCTCTTACTGATTGTAGTAGCTCTTTTTATACATGGTATACAAGTTAACATTAGTAAAGCAAATATGTGATAATAAACAATTATTTAAACATTTTGAAGAAAATTCTTGAAAGGAGGTTATTTTTTTTACCTTCAATGCTGAAAATTTGTTCTCCTAATGTCCCAGCCTTTTCTAGTAGAGCTGCTTCATCAGACACATTGAAAAAGTATCTTTCTGTTGGAATACTAGCGATTGCTTTTATTTCTTTTATTAAATTTTTAGTATCAAGGGCGTTTCTGTTTAAGTACCCAAGAACCTTGAAAATAGAGGAAGAGAATGTGCAGTCATTACTGCTGTACATTTTCCCTATGAGTACATTCTAGCCTATTTTGAACACAATATTCCCTCTGGAAAAGTAAATCAAGCAACATTTCCATAACCCTTTATTTAGTAGACAGGATTGAAAATCATCAAGAAGCAGAGATAGAGTAAGAACTTTCTTTTATATTCAACTATGAACAGCCAATGGGAAAGTGCAGCCTTGAGAAGTGATGCTATAAAGAAAGATTTACCCAATAGCGGCAAGACAAGTGAAAAGAAAAGCCACTTACTGCTATGCCAAACCTCAGTATATTGTCATGGTTGCATTGATCAATCACAGCTTTCAACATTGAACCATCATGTGATTCACCGTCAGTTACAACTACCATTACTTTCGTAGCACTTCGTCGCCCACCAGAAGCTGCTGAATAAGCATATTTTCTGTGGCAGATAAAATTAAATAAAGACTTGCTATCAAAATATGAAGTTAATATGAGAACCTCTGGTTTAAAATAGAAACATGAAACTAGCTTCTTTAAACACAATCTATTGTAACTCCATATTAATTCTGAGGACATATTTAATGTTCCATTTGTAGCTTGTAGAGAAACATATACAAATGGAAGTCTTGCTTGACATTAAAAACAATGTCTTGTGTGTCAGGGCATATGTGTGTATATGTGTGCATGTATTTATCCCAGTATTCCTTAGAATTCTTTTCTTCTAAGAAAGTTGAATTAATCAGTATGAATTAATAAAGCAAAGATATTTCTGTTATAAATTTTATGCATTAGTCTTGTGTTTACTTTATCAATACTTATTTTTTTAAAAGTAATAGATATCCACAGTTAAAAAAAAATCAAAGTATTTGGAAAGGTATAAACCAAATGTGACACTAAACCCCTCTCCACAGGTAAGCACCATTATCAGTTTCTTGCATTTCCTTCTAGAAAATGTTTTATTTAGATGTAATATAGGTACAGGCATAGTCTACCCCTTAAACTTTTACTCAAATGAGGGCATATTCTTTTTTAAAAAATGTTTTATTTCCATAGGTTTTTGGGGAACAGGTGGTATTTGGTCATATAAATAAGTTCTTTAGTGGTGGTTTGTGAGATTTGCACCCATCACCTGAGCAGAATACACTGAATCCAATTTGTAGTCTTTTATCCCTCACCCGCTTCCCACCATTTCCCCCCTGAGTCCCCAGAGTCCACTGTATCATTCTTATGCCTTTGCATCAAATGAGGGCATATTCTAAACAGTTGTTTTTTACTTTGATGGAGACCTTTCCATATCAGCACATGTATATACATGAAGGTCTCATTCTTTTTTTAAATGTCTGCATAATATTTTATTTGGAGGACCATATGAAGGAAGACTGGTTTATTTAACCGGTTCCCCATTATTGGATGCTTAGGACATTTTGAGTTTTACAAGTAAGGCTGTAATAAATATCCCTGTGTATATATCTTGGCATACTTTTTCAAATGGGATAAAATCTTAGCAGTAAAATTATTGGGACACAGGATACACACAATTCAAATTTTAATAGATAGTATCAAATAAAGAAAAAAATCAGAGCATTCTATGTCTTGAATACTTTAAGAAGGCAGTCGGGAAAGTTAAATCTTTGATTTTAGGATGTTTATAAGATATTACATGATGTTTAAATGAATTTATATGAAGTAAATGAAATGAGAAGACCTTAGATTAAAACAGTAGGAAATGGGGCAATCTGTCATAATTTGTTAATATTCATCAGAGATTCAGACAAATTGAGCTCATGGATAACTTGGTGCAAATTAACAAAGGCCACAGAATCTTAAACATATGAGTTTCAGTTTATTATAAAACTGAGCATATCATTTTATTTCCTAAAATCTTTTTTGTATTCTATAATGTAGACTATAGAAACATAGAAAATATTCTGCATTTTTCGGCCAAATTTGAATTACACTATCCACATCAGATCCTTTCTGAGTGTCACATTCTCTTTATGATACACTGTAAATTTCATGTATGATTCTAAGGTTTTTGAGGACAGAAACTGTGTCTCATTTAGTTTTAATTACCCGCAGTGCTTAAAACAATAAACTGCAACTGTAGGCATTGAATGAAATGAGGTGAATGAAAACATGGCAACAATTACTGAAATAATTTCAGATTATCTTCAATGTTTTAAAGAAAGAGATGAGAGACAGACAGAGAGAGAGAGACAGGCAATTACATTCTAGGAGGGATGAGTAAAATGTTGGGTGATTCTCCTAGCACTGGGCAGACTAAAACCTGTTAGCTTGGGAAATAGTGGGAAGAGGGAGATAGACAATGGCCCAAGGGAGAAAACCAAAGTTTTGAAACATGATGAAAGCCAGGCAAGTCCTTCCTCAATGGACAGTGGCCATTGTCCTGGAGAACAAAGCTCGCCAGGGCCCCAGGCTCCTTCCAGGGAAAAATGCTACTCCCACCTTCCCTGCTGAAAACCGGGCCGTTGCAGTTTCTAACTCCAGGAAAGCCATTTTTCATCTCAACTTCTTTGTCCTTTTAGTCCAGTTTGCTGTGTCCAGAAAGGGCGCTTCACCTAATGGCAGCTGACCTATTGACTGGCCAGCAGCTTATGAGATGGCCTGGCCCAAAAAACCTTTATTGTCCCTGAATAGAGACAGTAATGATGAACCAAACCAATCATATCTTCTCTTGTGGGGAATCTGCTTTTGAGACATTTGGGATTGTCACCAGTTGACGGAAGTAGCAACTGAAATACACACACAGAAAAAGAAGACAGATAAAATGGGAAATGCAGAAATAGAAATGACAGGATGTGGCCACTGACCAGATGTGTGACATAAGGAAGAGTGGAAAGAATAAAGGAAACCAAATTTTTAGTTCGACTGACTAGGCAAGAGACAGTGGCATGAATCAAAATGGCAAGTTCATGAGGAGTGGTAGGGAAAAGAATAAGGCCAGTGTGGGACAGATTGAATTTGGTAAGTGAGCCAACACTCCAAATAAAAATATTCATCATCAGCTAGATGCCAGTGTGAGTTTTGGGAGAGAGTGTAGGGCTGACAACATAGCAATGAGATAACCCAACAGTGCTGCTGCTGATGCCATGACAGTGGATAGAATCCCTACAGGAGAAGAGCAGTAAAGAAGAGAGGGCTCTGTTTAGTGAAGAAAAAATAGGAAAAGGAGCTAGTGAAGAGGCAAAAGAATTTGGCAGGAGTTCGAGAAGTTTGTGGTGTCATGGCAACTTGGTTAGGAATAGCAGCGTATGTTCATCATTATCAAATGTTCAGAGGAGCCAGAAAGGATGAGGTTTAAGGTGGGACCACAGGGTTGGGGGATGAAGAGGGTCATGCTTATCTAGTGGCAGAACTGTAAGTTTCAAGGAAGTAGAGGGAGGGAATAGAGTTGCTTTTTTCAAAAAGAATTATGGTGGTAAAAAGAAGGAATGCACAAGACAAAGAGAGAGAATAGGTTTAAGGGAAGGCAAGCTTGTTGTTCTCATTAATTTGTTTAACAACCGGAGTGTGTTTAGCATTTTTGTGAAGGTATCTGGTTTGCAGGGACATGGATGGAGCTGGAAACCATCATTCTCAGCAAACTTACATAGGAACAGAAAACCAAACACTGCATGTTCTCACTCATAAGTGGGAGCTGAACAATGAGAGCACATTGAACAATGAGGACACAGGGAGGGGAACATCACACACTGGGGCCTGTCAAGGGGTGGGGGACTAGGAGAGGGATAGCATTAGGAGAAGTACCTAATGTAGATATGGGTTGATGGGTGCAGCAAATCACCATGGCATGTGTATACTATGTAATGAACCTGCACGTTCTGCACATGTATCCCAGAACTTAAAGTATAATAAAAATAAAATAAAAAATAGAGTGAAAAGAAAGGTCAGTGGATCTGAGAAAATAGAGAAATTGAGATAAGAATCAAGAGAGTCCTGTATAGTTATAATTTCACATTTCCCACTGATTGTAATAAGCATAATAAACTTAAACTCGTATGTTTAAGATTCTGTGGTCTTTGTTAATTTGCACCAAGTGATCCATGAGCTCAATTTGTCTGAATCTCTGATGAATATTAACAAATTATGACAGATTGCCCCATTTCCTACTGTTTTAATCTAAGGTCTTCTCATTTCATTTACTTCACATAAATTCATTTAAATATCATGTGATATCTTATAAATATCCTAAAATCAAAGATTTAACTTTCCCAGCTGCCTTCTCAAAGTATTCAAGACATAGAATGCTCTGATGTTTTTTTCTTTATTAGTTCTGATTTAAATTAGGTACCAGGTATATTATTTTTCTTTGTCTTTTCCTTACTTTTTCATATTTATTACATAAATATAATGTTTTACATTATGAAAACATTGGCCTATTAGCACCAAAACTTACCTTGCATATTGAATTGCTCCGAATGTGTTTGTGAGGTCCCCACCATATTGGGATGTCTGGGATGTTGCTACAATCATTTCTTCTTTGGTTTTATATGTGTTCAAGTTAAACACAACTCTTGGATTATTGGCATACTGAATTAACCCCACCTTCAACAGAGGAGACATTTATTAATGGGCTGTCATTACATTAAAAATAATTTCTACTTAACCAATAAAATAAAAATCAAAAGTACATTTAGACATGGGCCGGTAGCTTTAAGGCATCACTTCCAACTTTGTTCTTGATAGTTACTTTTCTTTCAATGGAATGATTTCTTCTCTGTTAGAGGCCATCAGTGTACAACAGCAGTACTATTGCCAAGAAAGATGATGTGCTACAGTGTATGATTTGATTCCCAAGAGTAATATTTGTAGTTTTTAATACTGCCATATAATATTTTAATATGGATGACTATTAGAACACTGTTTTTAACAGGAAGATTAAACTTGATATAAATAAACTTTCTAATTACCAATGGACAGAAGCTCGCGAACAACTATAAGCAATCACAGATGAAGAGTAACATCTCATCAAAGGATGGTAACTGTGTAATAAATAATTAGAATTGAATACAACAAAAACCAATGTGCTCCTAATCAGCGTAGTCAATTGAGGTCTATTTATTGTGCTGAATTTCCTCTATTATGGGCTTCAACAACACTGGAAAGAAGATGCTATATGTGCATATGGGGCAGGGAGTTTCTGGCTTTCAGAGAAAATGCCACTGGAGAGCATCTTATTTGAAAGAATTTCTGAACAAGATGTTTGGGAGCATTCCCTAATCCTAGAGATCAATAAGGTCACACCCTTCTGTTAATGTCCTTGTTTGCAGGCATTGAGATCATCCTCTAAGCCTAGGAGATGGGCTTTCCAGAACAGGAGTGGCAGTGAGGGATCTCTGAATGGCAATAAGAGGCTCTCTGAAATACAGGTCAGTATGTAAGGAGGTGGAAGCGGTGAGGACTGGATTTCTGAGTTCCATCTGCTGTGTTTTGCCAAGGGAGCAGTGAGCTAGGCACTGGGAAGATAGTGAGAAATATAATATTCCTGGACCCCTTTCTCTAGGGATGTAAGACTTGAGAGGGAGGAAAGAATAAAAAATAACTGAGAATTTCAAAGTCCAATACGAGAGGAAGATGGTAGTAATCCCACGACAGAGCCCCAGGACTTCTGTGTGAAAAAGAAGAAAAAAGATTTAAAGAAATGTGGTAGGTTAGAACTTACAGGAAGGTCAAATTTAGGCTGTAAGAAAAGAGATTGAGTTAAACCACTTCTAGAGAGGAATCAGATGCACTGTGGTAGGAAGACACAAAAGAGGAAGACTGTGAATTCTATATAGGAGACTTAAATAAAATTAGTCACATTATGAGGGTAACTCATTTAGAAACAGAGGAAATAAGGAGATACATATGAAAACTTATAAGGGGCTTTAAGAGTGGTGCTTTCTGGAAACCAGTGCTATATGTAGTTTTATTTAGCGGAATGTCCTGGAAAATGCCCACAGGGAAATTTCCAAAGCTTCTGTGGGTATTGAGATACTCTTGGTACTGAAAAGCAATTTCAATGGGAGAAACATATAACAACATGTTATAATAGTGAACAGGAAAGCAGAGAAGCAAATTTCAATAAAGATAGCTGGAAAGCATTTAGGGAAAAATATGTCAACAATTTGTATTAGATGTTGGACATTAGAGTATAAGATGCAATCCATGAGCATACACTGGTAACAGTGAACTGGTCCGGGTTGACACTGGTTCAGTATACTGCTACAACCAGAATGGCTCAGGAAATGGCAGATTCAATCAGAAAGGAAAAAAAAAATCCAAAACCAGAAACTGAACTTTAAAATAATACTATTGAGCTTTAGGTGCCTACCTCAAGAAGATGTAAAAGCAAATTAAAGACTTCTTAAAATATAAAGAACTATATAAAATTATTGAAAAGACCTTTTCTGTAGGCAAAAGGGCAAGCTAAACTGGAATATGATAAATAACTATAAAATATTATCATAAATGCTGGAACTATGCTTAGTGACTTATTTATACAAATTTCAGAATTCAATAATTGTTTTACCAGCAAGGAATAAACAAAAGAAATTAATTATTGGTCCAAATGGACATAAAAATACATATTGAATTTTAAAATGTAACTCATGGGTTAGAAGGGAAAGACAGGAAACTAAAGGAAGATTAAAATGTTATATCCTGGCCGGGCATGGTGGCTCATGCCTGTAATCCCAGCACTTTGGGAGGCTGAGGCAGGTGGATCACCTGAGGTCAGGAGTTCAAGGCCAGCCTGGCCAACATGGTGAAATCCTGTTTCTACTAAAAATACAAAAATTAGCTGGGTGTGGTGGCAGGAGCCTGTAATACCAGCCACTCGGGAGGCTGAGGCAAAAGAATCGCTTGAACCCAGGAGGCAGAGGTTGCAGTGAGCCTAAATCGTGCCATTGCACTCCAGCCTAGGTGACAAGAGCAAGACTTGGTCTTAAAAAAAAAAAAAAAAGTTATGTCCCATACCTTTAATGCTTGTGTCAGAAATAGAACTCTAAGGTCAAAAGACCAGCACTGGGCAAAGCCATAGGTAGAATAACCCAATGTAGTAAAAGTTTCAATTAACTTTAAAAACTACCATCAAATGCATTTAAAATGGGGATTTGGCAAATACAAAAATTAAGACTTCATAGCTAACAATATTTTTTTCAGAAAGAAAGCCATAAGTTAGTTATGCATTTCTGTTAGCCATACCTGTGTCTTTGTGGGGCCTATATCCAGGCCTTGTACAAATTTTTCCAAAAAATTCTTTACTGCATCCCAAGGATAAATACTATTTGATTCATCACACACAACCACAACATCTATGAGGGAAGGGCAGGCTACACAGGAAAAGAGGAAAGAAGCAGATTTCCACAGGTAAGTCATATTTCACAGCCATATAAAAATGAGACTTAAGGAGGGTTTGGGTGCCACTAGTTGATAACCTTTTCCCCCTCCTTTAACTGTAAGGCATTGCTCAGACCATCTGCACATTAATAACTTACGCTGAGTTGCAGGTGAGAAGCTGGCTGAGAGCTGAAAATCAGGACTGATGTCAGAACACACACCCGTTGTGTAATACTGATTCCCACATTGCTGTGCCCACAGAGGACCACATGTCTTCAAAGAAATGAGAAAACAATCAATGGAAACACATGAAAAATGCAAACCTTCTACCTCTCCATTATGGAGCTCAGAAATCATCTCTACTCTTTTCTAAGATACTAATAATTGTCAACTCAAAACCAATGAGTCAGTAATGCCTTCGGGGAAAGCAGAAGTGATGGAGAAGGTGGCAGGTGCTCTGTGCCCAGTGGCAAGCCTTGCGGGAGGAGGAGTGCTGAGACTGTTGGGAGCAGGTGTCAGTGAAGGGAGGAGCCTATGAGGTCTCCCAACAAGCTAGATAAAACAGGTGCTTTCCTTCCAGAGAACACCAAGGAGGAGAATGCATGCAGGTTCACTTTTTGTCTCTCATTTACCTGGGCCTCAGGTGATTCATCTGTAAAATGAGGATAACCACACATTCTATCTTTTAAGATTGTTGTAAAGATTAAATGGGTCTATAGATACAAAACACTAAGAACAATGCCAGGTAAATAGCAAATGCCATATAATATTGTTAGCTAGCATCATTATCATTGTTCTTGCTGAACATTAGTTTTCTGCAGTTCCTTCCATTCATACTGCTCAGCAGAAACCATAAACCTAATGGCAGTAACGCTTGAAGAGGGCTTGGGGTCAGGTATAGACATCATGGTGAATGAAGAACCCATGCCTATGTACAGACCACTATGTTTTCTGCCTGCCCACGGGTATGAAATAGGTTGTGTTGCCAGATTCCCTAATTTGTAAAAGAGAGTCGAGAGGGCAAATGTTGTGTGAAAATTCAGTTCAAAATTACTCCATATGCTAAGCAAACACAAATGAGGTTCACTGACTACCAGTTTTTAACTTTGGCCACTTCCCAATTAACTGCAGTCACTAACGCTGAATGGCACTTGTCTTCTTGCTCACATTATACCTGCTCCAATCCTTAATATCTCCATTAATGCAATCCCAATTCTCTCCTTTTCAGGAGTCCTTGAATGCCAAAAACTCCTGATTAAATCATGATTAAATGACACAAGAAACATTAGATTAAATAACTTTAAAATTGATACATGAAAAAGGAGACAAGTGCAAAAGAGAAATCTAATTAAGATCCTAAAAAATGCCTACAGAATTTAACGTTATGTAAAGTTGTGAATCAGTTATAAAACTGAACAGAAGAGTATGGGCTTGCAAGAAGTAATTGGAAAAATAAAAGAAAACTTATTTGACCCAGTTTAACTGTCAAAGGGGAAGCAGCTTTGGCCATATTTCATGTGCAATGAACAAGGCATAGTTTTCTCCCTATAAAACTGATTTATTTTGCCAATTAATTAGAAGAAAGTCATTATTAATGTCTTTGGTTAGTTTACCAAATAACAGATACTAATTATTGGTTTCTATATCCCCATTCCTAAGCTTTTTTTAAAATCACTTTGAAAAAGAACTCATGAAGTATTCAAAATTTTTTTTTGTTTTAAAAGCAATGGAAAACAGCATTAAGAAGTTGAAATTAAAATATGCCAATTGTAAGTGCCAGAACTACATTCCTACTTTAAGCCCAGAACTTAAGAAGTTTCAAAAAAATGTGATGATTGTCAGTCTTTTCCACATAATTCTTAAGAGTATCTTATGATTTTGACCTTCTAAGTATGTAAAGGAAACTTTGGGTTTTTTCTTTTTTTCTTTCTCCTCCTCTCTCTCTTTCTGCCTCTCTGCTTGCTACCTGGACTGCTAATTAATCTCTCAAATTCTCTTGCTTTTTACCTTTCATTTTTTACTTTATCTGGAGTTATAGATTAAAAATTTTGAGGCACATTCTGTAATCTCTAAATATCAGTATGTTCTTTTTTTAAATTTTTGCAACTTTAAAATCAAAAAACAAAAAGATTAAAGCAACCTTATTGTAAAGACCTTGGAATATCATAAACCATAAAGATCCATTGCAATATTCATTTATGCACTGATGTTAACACATATCACAAGCAATATCTAATTCACTTACTGGCAGCACAGTCATCAGAATAATAATATCCATTAGTAAAAATAGAATGACGTTGAAAATTGATTACATTTTTAGAATAATACAGTTATAAAACATAGGATTTTTAAGAAAGCGTGCCAATGGTTCAGATAAAACTAGTGTAAAGTTGAATTATGCTGTCTAAGACTTTTTTTTCTTTTTTTTTTTTTTTTTTTTTGAGACAGAGTCTCACTCTGTCGCTTAGGCTGGAGTGCAGTGGCACGATCTCGGCTCAGTGCATGCAACTTTTGCCTCCTGGGTCCCAGTGATTCTCCTGCCTCAGCCTCCCGAGTAGCTGGGATTACAGGTGTGTGCCACCACTCCTGGCTGATTTTTGCATTTTTAGGAGAGATGGGGTTTCACCATGTTGGCCAGGCTGGTCTCGAAATCCTGACCACATGTGATCCACCTGCCTCAGCCTCCCACAGTGCTGGGATTACAGCCATGAGCCACCGCGCCCAACCTCTCTAAGACAATTTTAACAGGGTTATACATACATACACATACCTATATGAGTCAATGGAAATTTCAAATAAGATTGTGTTTTTGTCTTCAAACTTTTTTTTTGGTGTGTGATGTTTTTCCCTTTTTTTATATAGTCAAATCCTTTCAACAATTTCCTATATTATTTTTTCTATTAGCTCTAAACTCAGAAATTTTTCCATCCTTCAGAAAATTTCCATTTTTTTCTAGTTTTTTTATATTAACTTTCAATTCACTTGACAGTGTATTTGGATATGTAAATATTAATCAATTAATTGTTCCAAAAGCACTTGTTAAATAAGGCATTCTATTTCACTGATTAGTGATGTCTTTTTACTCTTTTTGTAACTAAATGAAAGTGAGCACTGACATGAGAGACTGCTCCATGCCTCAGATAACACCAGATTACTCAACAATTACAGGAAATGATTAAAAACCAAAAATACTTTTTAGCTTTGAAACTATCTTGAATGATCCTACAGGAAGTAGAAATGAGATTTGGGATTCTGCTGTTATCAACAAATACTCAGCACACTTTCCAAGGGCAAAGAATCAGGGTTCTTTTTGTTCCCTTTTCTTCAAAACATTCAGTAGCAGTGGTTTTGCTGAATATCCTAAAAAGTCTACACATCAACATTATTTTGAATATTCAACATTGGATAGCCAAATAAATAGCATAATTTATCAAAAAGCAAGTTCTAAACATCTAAATCCTCAGATTGGGAGGGATGGTGAGAAGACACTACTGTCTATGTACTTTCTTGAGAGGAATAATGATTTGTAAAGTAAACACTCACGAGAAAACCTCCAGTTCCCATGTTCCTGGTGAGGATCAAGCCGAGGCTCATGTTGGTTTTCATCTCAGTAACATTTGGAATGCTTGTTGAAGCTTTCAAAGGGAAAACAATTTTTAAAAGTGATTAAAAATTCCTCGTTTACTTAAAGATATTAAAAGAAAACAGGCACACCCATGTTTGCATGTAGCATTGAATTTAGTGTCATCAATATAGGTACTTGAGTTATATAATGAAGTGTGGGGAAACGCGATGCTTTCAGTGATCTGGTAACGCACATTAATGTGTGAGGCTGCAGAGCATAAGACAGTAAGGAGTGGGCTCTGGAGAGGGTATGACTTATAGATGTTTAATTATGATTTTTTTTACAATATTCTAGCAAAACAAAACACATTTGAGGACATCATTTTTGCCTCTCTTTTGAAAGTCACAGTAGCTCTATCTAATGCCTTTTTTTTTTTCTGGGTCAGTAAAAATATCCTTGAAGTGTTATCAAAGAATGCCCTATGATAGAATCTGGCTCAAAGCAATAGTGGGTGAATGTTAAAAGGAAATTAGACGAGTCATATAATATACTAAATAAATCTCTCCACCTCCTGTCTTCCACTGACCTAGGGCATCAACCACTGTATCCATTCTTGAGTTATCGAACATTGCAATTCTCTTTAGTAATACCATCATTCAGTCATGTTTCTCATCTCTGCCAAGCTATCATTGCCTCTGTCACTTATTCTTAATTGGATTCCTTCCCTTATTTCCCAGGGTGACTGTTGTAAAAGTTCACCTTTCTTTTTTTTTTTTTTTTTTTTTTTTTTTTTTTTGAGACAGAGTCTCACTCTGTCATCCAGGCTGGAGTGCAGTGGAGCGATCTTGGCTCACTGCAACCTCTGCCTCCCGGGTTCTAGCAATTCTCCTGCCTCAGCCTCCCAAGTAGCTGGGAATACAGGTGCACACCACCACACCTGGATAATTTTTTGTATTTTAGTAGAGATGGGGTTTCACCATGTTGCCCAGGTTGGTCTTGAACTCCTGAGCTCAGGCTATCTACCCACCTCGGCCTCCCAAAGTGCTAGGATTACAGGCGTGAGACACCATGCCCAGCCAAGTTCACCCCTTCTTTTCAAGCCTCCAACCTCAACTCAGATCCCATCACTCAGTGAATAACGACTACTGCAGAGAAGATGAATCAGACTTCCAGGGTAATCTCAGTTTCTCTAATCATTGTGTAAAGATCATTCTTAGAACTCCTAATTTTTCTCTCCTTCCTTTGTGTCTTAGAGAAGGAAGAACTCTTTTTAAGACTCTATTTCTCAGGTACAAATGACATTAATTTTAATCAGTTAACTCTATCCTGGACAAATCATCCCTTTTTACTGCTGCCTCCATGTTCCCTACAAAAAGTATCATCTCTTGTTTACTAGAAAAATCTTCTCACACTGCTATCCCATAGAATTGTTTTTCCCAGCTCCCCCTTCACTGCTGAACTTCTGGAAATGGAGGTCAACTTTCACTCCTTGTACATTCACTACTGACACACTCCTAAATTCTTTGTTATCTATTTTCTCCCCATAACACTGGTGGATTTATCCTCTAGGTGAGTAAGTTACACAAAATATGATCTGTTAGAGTGAAGACAGAAAATAATAGAACTTCTATGGGCATGTTGTTATTCTTTAAAATTTATTTTTATGTGAAGGTATTATTGAGAAGATAGGCCAGTACATGTATATAGCTTTAAAAATAATAAAAATATATACATTAAGAATGAGTGTTCAGAAGTTAAGGGTGATATGAAATGTTAGGGGTGATATACTAAAATTTTTGGACTATATAATAAAGCTTTGAACACTCACTCCAAATGTATATATTTGTGTTATTAGAAATATATATATATATATACTGAGTGTTCAAAAAATTTGGAGATCACTGATCTAGATCACCCACAACCTGCTTAAATAAGCTGAAGACATTTACTCAGTCCTCATCCCCTTCAACTTCTGTAGCATTTGACACTACTGATATTCCTTCTACTTCACTGAAAATATGTTTATTGAGCCCTATTATGTGCCATAAATTATTCTAGATATTAGGTCTACAGAGATATGCAAGAAACACCACTTCCCTTGTTTCCAAGTCTTAATCACTATTTTTGAAACTCTTCTTTCCCTTGATTTTCACAACACTCTTTTCTAATTCATGCCTCAATTCTTCAGAGGAACTCCGTGATTCCTCAGGGCTGTTTTTTTAGGCTGCTGCTGCTGATGATGTAATGATGATCAAATTGAGTGACTTTTTACTTGTATCAGCATATTACATGGAAATGTCACTCATTTAGCTGTCTACCCTTGAACCTTTAGTAAATTTTTGGCATTAATAGGAGGCATCTGAGATGGGGATAATTAAAACAGCAAATAATTCCAAATTGTGGATTTGTTTTATTAGAATGCCATCATTTAGACATAACAAGAAACACAGAGTGTTTTTGGTGCCTCCAAACTCAGCCCTTGTACTGATGTTTCCAAACTTAATGGTTTATTTTGCAAAGAGGAGAGAAAGAAATATGGATAGCCTCGGATTCAAGGATAGCCTTGATTCTGCAAGTAATCATCAAAATTATTCTAAATGTTGATGGAAACCAGTCCATGGTCTATAGGTAAATGGTCCAGGAGATAGCACATTTTCCACGCATCTTGTTAAGTCAAGTCTCCAAACTGTTTTGGAAATTTGGATATGATTGTGCCCCATATTACTAAAGACATAAGGGCAAAAAAAAGCTGTCTGTATTTCTTTAAGACAGAACAATGATTGTTCTGATGTTATTTTTCAGTTGAGTCTAAGACAAATCACATGCCTTGCAAGTAAATTTAAACTTACTTTGCAAATTTAGTTTTTCACATGTGGCAGTGGATAGGTCAACAGGACATTTATACACATCTCCCATTCGGTTCTCAGGAAAGCCACTCCAGGGTGAACCAACCAGTAACCTAGAAACACATTTTTTTTATTAGACACAAAGTGTTAAGTATAGTTTCTTAAAGATAAACCTGATCACAAACAGTGAAAAACACATTTAAATTTCAATGTGAACAGTTTATATTTGTTCAGCTATGATTTGACCTGCTGCCTTTCTGCTTAGCTGATAAAGAGCTTTGATCAATGTCTGTAACACTGCTGCATTGCCACACACCCTAGAAAGTCTCTCTAAAGCAATGCTGTCCAATAGAAATATAATGCAAGCTACGAATATTAGCCACATATATAATTTCAAATTTTCTAGTAGCCAGCTACATTAAGAACATAAAAAGCAACAGGTGAAATTAATTTTAAAAATATATTTTATTTAACTCAATATATCCAAACTAGCATGCAATATCAAAATTAGTAATGAGATATTTGACATTCATTTTTCCTAAGTCTTTGAACTTCAGTGTAGATTTTACACTTAGAGCACATCTCAATATGGAAAAGTAGCATTTCAAGTGCTCAGTAGTCACATGTGGCTCGTGGCTACGTATTGTTCAGCACAGCTCTAAAGAATGAAACCAAATTTAAACCAAGAACAACAACTAGCCTTTGCTGAGTGCTTTCTATGCCCTAAGCATTTTCATATGTTGACTCATTTAGAGAGCAGATATCTTATCTTAGTGGCTTTATGCTAACTGTCTTTATGAGAGGATACTTAGCAAAAATACAGAACAAATACATTACAAGCTATCTTTATGTGTAACAAAGTGCATATATCTAGAATACAGGATGAGATTGGTGTTTACATCCTTCCTTCGGTTAGTTTCATTTCCTTCAGAACTTCACCTAGAGAATATGGGTTTTCTTGCAGAAGCACTCACCTGACACTTAGAACCACAGAAGATTGCACAGAAAGAGCCCAGGTATCAGTTTGATCTTTAGAAACTGCAGCAGGTTACTCAGCAGCATTCAATTAATACGGAAGCATATTTGCTTCCATTTTTTTTCATGTCAGTATTGGGAAGGGTTAAAATATCAAAGAAACTAAAATTATTTCATGAGCCTTCTGTATATATATTTTATAATTATCATTTAAACAACATATGCCCCATGTTGAGGTACGGTAGATACAAAAGGATTAAAGCAGACTGCTGTCTTCTAAATCTAGTAAAACTAGATATATGTGACAAGTAAAATAAAAATCCAAATGACCTGGAATATATGATCTAGTTTACCAGTAGAAAAAACATTAAAATGGTCCAAGGTTACAAAAATGGACACCAAAGGATGAAGGTTTTAACCTGAAGTATTAGCAGACAGAATAGCATGAACACTTAGGGAAAAAGGAAAATGCAGATTATTTTGAAAGTTAATAGTTCATTAATAAGTTCTCTCCTCGTTCATCTTATAAAATTATTCTCAAACTAAGATAGAACACTCTAGCACACTTTAATTCAGTCAGCCTTAACGTTAGAGTTGAAAGATTTTTTCTTCTTATGAGCTAATAATTTACCATAATTTACCTTTTAAAATATTACCATAGTTAGGTTTACAATAATACCAGGCAGATAGGTTAAGGCTTTTGAAAAAGATAGAAATCTGAATGTTGGATGTTAGTAAGTCCCAATAGCCACTTTAATGAAGGGAGGGAACCAGTGCAGAATTGGAACGCGTGTTTGAGCATATCTGATGTCTTTCAAATTCATGATAGCTCAGAAGAAATTAGGAATCTTATAGAGTCGGTACCAAGAAAATTGTCTTCCAGAGCCTTGATTTTCTCCATCTGTACAGGTCTTCATTTCATAGTAGTATTACACAGCATTAACTCTGATTTTTGCATGCTGGACATATCTTAAAGTGTAAAAAGGAAAGAATCTGACTCTTTCTTCTCTAACCCTGGCTTTTTCTATGTGTCTTCCTGAAATCACATTTCAGTCATATCGAATTTAGCTTCTCCTTCAAATTAGAGTCTCTGTTGCTTCTAAACCTTCATACATGCTGTTTCTTGCCTGGCAATGTCTACTCATTAGTTTGATCTCCTGTTTGACACCACTTCCTCTAGGAAGTCCCCCGGCTCTTTTAACTCGAGGTAACCCTAAGTACCTACATAGCCTCTGACCTTTCCACATCCCATTAAAAAAAATCATATTGCCCCATAGCTGCCTTCCTACTGACTAAATCCCTCACTAGAGAGGAAAGGTACATGAGGGCTAGGAATTCTGTGCCTGTAGCAATGAATAACCACTTGTTGAACAAATGAGTTAAAAAAAACAACAGCAAATGAACAAGCAAATGAATGGATGATTCTATGCTATCATTTAAAAAAGAGTTTCCTGATTAAGGAAAAGTTAAGCAGAAAATCCTTACTTTTTTTTTTTTTTTTTTTTTTTTTGAGATGGAGTCTCACTCTGTTGCCTAGGCTAGAGTGCAGTGGCACCATCTTGGTTCACTGCAACCTCCACCTCCCGGGTTTAAGCGACTCTCCTGCCTCAGCCTCCCAAGTAGCTAAGACTACAGGCCCGCGCCACCACACCTGGCTAATTTTTGTATTTTTAGTAGGGGATTTTGCCATGTTTGCCAGGCTGGTCTCAACCTCCTAACGTCAGGTGATCCGCCCGCCTCCACCTCCCAAAGAAAATCCTTATTTCTGTTCTTCTGGGGAGCATGTATTTTTGCTTGTTTGGTCCAAGTAAATGTAAAAAAAACAAATCAACCAAGTTGAGAGGGAAGCATTATACATTCTGTTACCATTGTGTTATTGTGTCATCTGTTCCTTTCTCAGCCTCTGCGTATCTACTACGCACCAAACTGGCATTTTTTTTCTCAAACAAAAGCTTACTATGGAGTAAATGTAGAGAACAAAATAGCACCTTATAGCAAGGAACTATCATAGGAAGTGTGGCTCTGCCCCTTGGCATTCATTAATTAATTCCTATTAATTATAGTAAATTTTACAACATCTGGTACTATGTGTAAGCCTTTCCAAAGATTATCTAATTTCATCTGCAGAAGAAGCCAGAAATTATTATTATTATTTTTGAGATGGTCTCGTCTTTTGTCACTCAGGCTGGAGTGCAGTGGCATGATCTTGGCTCACTGTAACCTCCACTTCCTGGGTTCAAGTAATTCTCCTGCCTCAGCCTCCTGAATAGCTGGGATTATAGACATGTACCACTATGCCCAGCTATCTTTTGCACTTTTTTAATAGAGATGGCATTTCATCATGTTGGCCAGGCTGGTCTGGAACTCCTGACTTCAAGTGATCCACCCTCCTTGGCCTCCTAAAACACTGGGATTACTGGTGTGAGCCACTGTGCCTGGCCACCGGGGATGATCTTATCCCCATTTTACACTTCATTTTACAGATGGAATCACTGAGACACAGATTGATGAGTGACTTGCTCATGTTCCCATGGCTAGTGAAAACCAAGTGCGGAAGCCCAGGTTCTTAACGCTTAGGCTAGTGTCCTTCCTCTTAGCTGCAGGAAGTCCTGGCAGAGGGCCCAGATTGGGAAAATGATCTTAGCAGATGAGGTGGGTTCTAGAACTAGCATGGATTAGAAACCAGACACAGGGAGTCAGGCCACACTTATGTGAAGGGGTGTGTGGCTGTGTGATATATGAAGGGGCTGCAGACTGGACACGAAGCACAGCTGTCCTGGGAGGGTACATCCATACTGTGGGGCCTAGGCTACACTGTTCTCAATGGCAGGTAGGAACAAGGCATGTTCAGACAACACCAAATACAAACCCAATGACAGGTAGGAACAGGGTATGTTCAGACAATACCAAATGCAAATACCAAATTCAGGTGATTCTATTATGCACATTTCCAACCATCCTCACCACAGCCCGAGAGAGGCTTGCTGAGAAACAACAGAGAAGTGTGTCTGATCTAAAATTTAACTGTTTTTTTTTTTTTTTATCAGAGCCTCTGGTAGCAAAGCTGCAACAACTAGCTATTTTCTTCCTGAGAAGACTGTTTGGTTTTTTTCTCTCAACTAAGCACTCCCTGGACACTCTCCCTGTCACCTCCTACCACCTTTTCTAAGAATTCAGGATTTGATAACCTTGCAGCACAGGAGGGGTCATAACATCATGACCACCTCTGTGAAAACTGCAGCTCTTCTAATTTAATCAGAAAGAAGAGAAAAGTAAGCATCTGTGCAGTTGTGTGGCACTTAACAAGAAGGATGTGGAAGCACTTGAAATTCCCTAAAAGATACATGCAAATACATCTCTGACAGTATTATGCTATCTTAAACTCTTAACACAAGGCAATAGAAAATAGTGGAAAACCAGACCACTTTGGTAACTCTTGAAGAACAAGGGTTTCCTCATCATATATGACTCATTTCTTAAATATTGTGAACCACATTAATAAGTAGGCTACAGGTCATGTTGGTGACTACAGAGAAGTCACTGACCTTTGCTTACCTTCTTTATTAGAAACATTTCCAGCAGACTCTCCTCCTCATTCACACCCTAAGGCCTCGGTGAAATCCTAGTTCCTGACAACTCACCCTCATAAGAAGAGGCTAGGACATCACCAAGAGGCTATTCCAAGAAAATTGTGGCATTCTTAAATTAATCAGACAGGAAGATGAGGGAGGCTGTTATATTTCTCTATGAAATTTTACGTGCAGGAAGAGACACACCAAGAGAAACTGTTACCAAGGTGGGAAATTGGATATGTTGGTGAGTATACCTGTTGAAGTATGGCGAAACCTCTTTGAAGTAATGGATTTAATTTAATCCCAACCAGACAAAAGAGTTGCATGAACAGGCATGTGTGCTGATTCTCAAAACAAAACAAAATCCCAAGATATAAACTTTTCTTTTCCTCCAGTGAAACTGGGAATTCTTCCAAGACTACTTTAAATAACACTTACTGTTCAATTATCTTGTGGGAAAATAGTGATTATGTAGACTTTCAAAACACAGCCAATTTGCCTACCTCCAGTGGAATTCAAAATACTTTGTTTAGTTAGCAAGCAGTATTTATGGTGGTGTAGGTAGGACAGTTTTAAACCCACAATCTAGGGGCTGTTATAAATATCTTCCTTTGGTCTGTGAGTCTGTAAATTCTCCAAGTGTTTTCTTCAATACTAGAGATTTTACCAGAGATTACTGACAGAGATGTACTTAAAATAGTAGGGCAAAACATTTTGTTTTATTCAATTTTATAACAAATGTTTATTGGGCTCTTGGGGACTGAAATGGTACACAACCCCAGGGGACACCATTCCTTGAATGGTGTGTCCAGGCCTTGTGCAGTATACAATCTGTGAGTCTATACGTGGTGGCCAGACCTATTATGTACCAGACCTCATTCTAGGTACTGAGGATATACTAGTGAATAAATCAGTAAAAAAGTTTCTAGCCTGAGGAGCTTACATTCTAGTGGGAGAAAATAGACAGTAAATGTAATAAGTAAGTAAACCATATAGTGGTAGTGATCAGTGCTTTGGGAGAAAAATAAGCAGGCTGGAGTTAGGAGTGTGGGGTGGAGAGCAGTATAATCTTCATCGGAATGGTCAGGGAAGGCCTCACTGAGAAGGTAATATTTAAGTAAAAACTTGAAGAAGGTTAAAGAGTAAACCTTAAGACTCTAGTGGCAGAATAGTCTAGGCTGCGGGAACAGCAAATGCAAAAGCCCTGTGGCTGGAACAGAATGAGTGAGGGGGATAGTGGAAGGAGATGGTAGTCCTACTGGTAATGATAGATCATGTAGTGACTTGTACGTAATGATTAATAGAAGGCCTCAGCTTTCCAGCTGAGGGAAATGAGAATGCCATTGGAGGGTTTTGAGTACAGCATGATGTGATCTGACATATTGTAGAAGAATTTTGAAGGCCACACTGTTGGGAATCATTGTATTGAAGCACAGGTGAGTCATGTAAAGTACTTAGAAGACAACTGCAATCATCCAGGCAACAGATGATGGAGTGCTCATACAGGGCTGGCAGAAGGGAAAGTGGTAAGAGGTGGTCTTGTTTTAGATAGAGTGTGATGGTAGGGGCAGCAGGACTTCTTGAGGAGTTGGTCTTTCAATGAATGAATGAATGAATGAATGAATGAATGAATACGAGTCAAAGACAGCCTAAAGGTGTTTGGCTGAGAAGCTAAAAGAAACTAGTCACTACCATCAGATTAAAGGGGATGCTGTCAGTAGAGCAAGATTTTGCGATAGGGGGAGCTCAAGAGTTCACTGTGAGATATTTTAAGTTTGAGAGGTCTATGAGCCATCCAAGGGGATATTTTACTTTGGATTAGAAACTTATTGTATCTACATGCACGTAAAAATTTTCCAAGTCTATAGTATATAAATATAAATATTGTTTCTTATATTGTTTAGTTCCAGGCCACGGACAACACAAGGTGCTTGGTGAGCTCTAAATGGTACCTGCTTTCTGCTGGTAAACATAAAATGAATTTGTGATGGAAAGAATTCACCCGTGAAGGCTGCCCGTCTCTGGGAAGAAGGAAGACAGGTAAAAAGAGTCATTTCATTTTTTAGGTTTTATTTGGAAATACTGCTATCATAAATTTAATAGTTAAATTCTTTGGCATATATTGAAAGGCAATTTTAGTATTTAGGCCTCATTATGCTGCCTCAGACTTCTTAGGCTTCCACATTGTCTCCTCAGTTAGCGGGATGGCTAGATCCTCAGCATCTTTCCGTTTCACGATAAAGAGTCCACTGACTTCACTATTGCTAAAACATCTTAAGCTTACTGTTCTGTCTCATAAAAATTCCAGAAATTGGCTTTGGCACTAGAAGAAATATAATCAATAAAAACTAATTATGTTACTTCCTCTCATCCGACATGCAGTTTTCTTGAATTTAAAATCAAAAGCTAAAATACTAACCCTAAAGCCTTGTGATGATACAAATTCCTGTTCTTGGCTATTGGAGGGAGAGAGGGGGATAATTTTAAGACCATCACATTTTGCAAATCAAAGCTCATGAGCTAGTACCTTTCAACTAGGTGCTTTGGCAGATGGTTGTTTCATCAATGATAAAAACTGGAATAGCAACATTTGTAAACTGCTTTATAGCTCATAAAGCATTTTTTATGTGCATTATCTCCTTTGATCCTTATAAACACTCTGTGAGGTCAAGTGTATAACTATTTATGTTTTCATTTAAAGAAACTGACTTCAAGGGTCTAAGTGAAAGCAAAACCTATATATCTGCACCCCTGCCCTTTTGCTCAAAATTGCTGGTTCTTTTTACCATATTAAGTTCCCTTAGAACTCTTCTAGAGAAGCACTGTTTGCTTTCCCATCATATGGGGCACAGCAAGTTAATAAATAGTTGCCACTTGTGCCACTTAGCATTCCCCAGATCCTTCTTTAGATGGAGTTAGATGGATGTAAATGTCTTAGACAACTAGATACTAGGAAGGTGTGTGTGTAAGTCCCAGTCACCTTTGTAAATGAACTTTATTCCAGAAACAGATATTCACACATTACCACAGAGGAAAGCTTAAAATTATAAGACTTGTTGGTGAGGCATGGAGGATTTTTATAGATCATTAAAGCACAGCAGACATTCTGGAGCAACATATCTCTCCCACGTGCAAGTCACAAACAATGGGTGTGTATGTATTCATGTGTTTGTAGGTGCACACACAAACTTGTATCCAGAGTGAAGGAACGAAGAAGCAAATCAGGAGATATTTAAAGTGTCCTTCCTACTATAGATTTTTTTTTTTTTTGAGTTGGAGTCTCACTGTTGCCCCGGCTGGAGTGCAGTGACGTGATCTTGGCTCACTGCAACCTCCGCCTCTTGGGGGGTTGTCATTGTTGAGATGAGACATGCCACTTTGGATACCTGTATTAATAGTGCTGAGGATGGCTTAATTGTACAGCAATAGCATAATAAGTATTTATAAAATTTTTAACAGTAAGTATTTAAAGTTAAAATAAAAGTGTAAGAATATATTACAGTTGGATTTCTAATGTCTTTATAGAATCAAACACTGGACTAAGTTATGAGTAAAAAATAAAATTGAATGGAAGAAGAAAAGGAATATTTATGTTATGAATTTAAAATAAAAGGAGGGCCAGGCTCGGTGGCTCACGCCTGTAATCCCAGCACTTTGGGAGGCTGAGATGGGATCACTTGAGGCCAGGAGTTCGAGATCAGCCTGGCCAACACGGTGAAACCTCGTGTCTACTAAAAATATAAAAAATTAGCCAGGCATGGTGGTGGGCGCTTGTAGTTTCAGCTACTTGGGAGGCTGAGGGAGGAGAATGGCATGAACCCAGGAGGCGGAGCTTGCAGTGAGCCGAGATTGCCCTACTGCACTCCATCCTGGGCAAAAGAGTGAGACTCCGTCTCAAAAAAAAAAAAAAAAATTAGCCTAGTATGGTGGCACATGCCTATAATTCCAGCTATTCAGGAGGCTGAGGCATGAGAATCACTTGAACCCAGGAGGCAGAGGTTGCAGTGAGCCAAAATTGAGCCACTGCATTCCAGCCTTGGTGACAGACTGAGACTCTGTCTCAAATTAATTAATTAATTAATTAATTTAATTAAATAAGATATAAGCAAACTCTGTGAATAAATGAAGTTGGCATGTTAAATGGCACTGCCAGGACAACCTAATGGTAAGAGACTTTTATCTTTGAAAGAGATATAAAGGATGATAATTGGCTAATATTTAAAAGGCTATATCATAAAAGACAAAGACATGATTATTTTGGAAAGAGGATTGGAATAGAATAGCATTCTTGGCCAAGAAGAAGAAATGGACTTCATGAAGCTAATCCAATATGCATGGAAGCTCATCCATGACAGATGAGAATTGGTTGAGGGGATAGGAAGAGGTAGGGAGGACCCAGTTTTTTTTTTGAGATGGAATCTCCCTCTGTTGCCAAGGCTAGACTGCAGTGGTATGATCTCAGCTCACTGCAACATCTGCCTCCCAGGTTCAAGTGATTCTCCTGCCTCAGCCTCCCAAGGAGCTGGGATTACAGGTGCCTGCCACCACGCCCTGCTAATTTTTTATGGTTTTGGTAGAGATGGGGTTTCACCATGTTAGCCAGACTGGTCTCGAACTCCTGACCTCAAGTGATCCGCCCGCCTTGGCCTCCCAAAGTGCTGGAATTACAGGCATGAGCCACCGAGCCCAGCCCTGAAGTGCTTTACTTTTATTCTCACACAAGGTGCTCATAACATTCCAGTTTGATAAGGATGGCATACTTTCTGCTCCAGAGAAGTTGTGTGACTTTCCCAAAGTCACCCAGGGAGTGGTGGGGAAGCTGAGGGTAAAACCCTTGTGCTCCGGCTCCTGAGTATATTCATACAAGAAATTCCTGTCTATGATAGGATGAAAAGATGGATGGTAACTATCATCTTTGCCCAGGAAACAGCTGATGGTAAAGCCAATGATGCTAACATTGGAAATTCTCTAACAGAATTTTTCATTCAAGATTCTGAAAGTTTCTCTTACTTCATAAAGTTTATGTTAAAATAAAATTTAAATATTATTTATAAATGCCAACTACATCCTGTCACTCTCCTTCTTGGATACTTACAAAAATATGTACGTTTGGAACATTTTGTCTCATTTTGCATTAGCTTCCCCTATCTTTATTAATTATCAGCTCTGTAATCTTAGGTTAATTACTTAACATTTCTGAGTCACACTCCTCTCATTTGTAAAGGGGGTAATAATTTTGCAAAGCTCCTAGAGTAATTATGGGTATTACATGTTTGGCAAGGAAAGAGTACTCAATAAATACCAGGTGGTGTTATTATCAAAGTATCACGTGACATAATCTTTGATGTCTGTTATAGAATTAAACTTTTTTTTTTATTTAAAGTTCTCCTATAGGCACATCTGTGGATGACAATGCTATATTCATAACACATGTAGAGCTTTATTAAAGTTTTTCTCAATTAAAAAGTTAAAACTATAAGCTCATATATAGGTGGATTTTTTTTATTTTTATTTTTTGCTATGACACTTGTTCTTTCTATTTCTCCTCTCTCTTTAAGGAAAAAGAATGCACTAGTCCTTGTTAGAATGAAAGACATTTCTACAACTGGAAATACCCTAATTCCCAGTCAGTCCTCATCACACAGAGAGATTGCAGTTCTCTCTGGTTTTTGAGTCACATAATGAGCTCAGATTGTTCTTGCAACAGGCCTTCAGATTAGACAAACAGAAAGAGTGCATATCACCACAAACTCCAGGAAATGATTTTAAACATATCTCAATCCTTTGTAGATTGTTTGTGATAAGAATTGCATCATCCACATTGGAACATCCTGTGTGTGAAGTGAGGGCTCTGAAGCGGGATGGCCCTCCGCCTACACCGAAAAGAGAACAGACCACAGCCTTACTTACAGCCAGAGGGCTGCCCAGGTACTCTACTTGGGAGGTCAGCTTGTTTTAAAATTATCCCGCTCACTTGAGACTGTTAAAAAGGCTCCAGAATTATCAAAGCCATGTCACCACTGTTTCTAGAGTTGAAGTTCATAGTGCAATGAAAGTCTCATAAATGAAACTAGCAAAAGAGTTAAGATTATTTTGTTAAAATCTGGTAGATCCTGATGTAAATATGCCCATAAATTCTTAGAAAACATGGCACACATGACAGAGCTAAAATTGTACTTTAAAAATAACAGAGTGTGATTTAAGAATACTCAGACTAGAGCCTTCAGTGAGTTGTCTGAGGGAAAGGAGTGAAGTCAGGACTTAGATAGAAAGATTACAAAGAAAGTCAAAGTAAGCAGAGGAAAAAGATACCAAAATGACAGCTTCAGAATAAGCAGTAAGGGAATAAAGAAAACAAAGTTGTGTGTGTGTGCATGTATTACATGATAAATCCATGGAAAAAGAACTCGCAATTTGCTAAAGGAATAATTCATGGTCATACCAATTTCTGTGTCCAAAACTAACTTGATTAGTATCAGAAGGAAAGTCAATGTTTAAACAGTCCTTCCCACATCTGCTACTTCCATAATGCCTATGCAACTGTCATAAATTAAGAGTAGAGAAGGGCACAGGGCCCACTGTCAAAACAAACAGGCAATTCTGGGTTCCAAGTTTCATATAATTTTCCTTGAGCCTGAGAGTCGTGAAGACTGCTTGTCCTAACATGGCCCACTCTAGCACTGTAATGGGATAACCCATTCACCTGGATCCTGGCCACAGCCCTGCCCTCTGTGGCAAGGTACCTTGGCAGGGCTGGGCAAATGACAGAGGTCATGAGAAAACCTTGTCTCTCTAATGACCCAGGCCTTGGGAAAAGAAAATGAGCTCTTAAGTTATTATAGCTAGTGACACTGAAAGAAAACAAACACCATTAACTGCAAGGGGTTTACACTGACTGATGTCTTCTATATTATTCAAAGTTGCCTATTCTGCATATAAATCTTCCTCACTGACTCTATTTTACACTCCTTAAGGCCAACAACTATGTTTTGCATTTTTTGCACCTCATGTAGTTTAGAAAATCATGCCCATGGTTTTGCCTCTCTTGTTTCTTTGCTTCATAAGACCAGATCAACAAAAGGACCCAGACAGACTTGCTTGGCCAACTTTTGTTCTCTGTCCTTCCTGCTTCTGAATTCCATATGGTTCAGCCCTTCAGGTCAGACAGGTGCTGTCTCTTCCTCTTGCATGGTGGGGTATGCTTGTATCATCTGGTGGTTAGGCCTTGAGCCTAATCTCAGTGCTACACCTTGCCAGAAAGCTCTATACTGGAGTTCAAAGCCCTGGCCCAGCCAATAATAGAGTGGTGCCTTGCTTCCCAGACCTATTGTCCTGTGTTTATACATCATTCAGGGATGTCATGAGAAGGTCCAGGCAGGATTTAGAAATGTCCAGTGTCCCTGGTCTTACCAGCACTAGGATCTCACTATAAACTACAAATATACTTGTCTTTCAACAATGTCTTGGATACTTAGAGGTAATCCTGGACAGAGAAAGGAGATATGGCTGCCTCTCATGTTCCCAGAACTCTGCCTGGTGGGATCCTCTCAACTCTGTGTCCCTTTTCGTCTTGTTCAACTTCCAACCAGCAGCATGGCCAGTGGTTGAGCCCCTTACAATCCTTGAAAGGCTTATCACCTTCAATAATGTCTATTACTGATGGTGGCTCTTAGATTTACTCTGTCCAGGAAAGCTGTTACTTAAAAGAATTGCTTCAAACTCGGTGCCAGATGTCCTCAGCTAGGCCATGTCTATGAACTAGAACAGTGGAGTTCATCTGAAGCTCCCTTTCAGCTCAAACATCTTAAGTCAGTCTACTATAGCTCACTTTGTATAGCACTTGGGATGAATCATTTAGAATTGGGACTTCCATTTAGTCATTTAACAAATAATTGTTGATCCTTTACTCAGTGCCAGATATCACTCTGGGTGTGGAGAATGCAGCAGTCAACAAAACAGTGTCCCTGAACTCAGAGACAGTGGCAGGAGACAGATAATGAGCATATAAACAAGTATAGATCATTTAAGATAGTACTAATCATTAGAAAATAAATCCACCTGTAAGGCTGGAGTGACTCAGAGAGCAGTCGAGTGCTATATAGATAGGGTTGCTCTGAAAGGTCTATGAGGAAGAAACATTTGAGCTGAGACTGAAAGATGAAAACCATTTGAGTGATGATCTTAGGGAAGACTCTTCCAGGCAGGAGAAAATAATTTGCAAAAGCTTTGCAACAGGAATGAGCTAGGCATGTTCAAGGAACAGACAAAAGACTTAGTTCTTGGAGCATAGAAAGCAGAGGAGAAGGTGTAAAAGATGATAATAGGAGAGAGGCTGACACCCAATCGCAGAGCATCCTTTAAGGAATTTTAATCTAGGGAATGAGCTGTGTTTTTTGTTTGTTTTTTGAGATGGAGTCTCACTCTGTCACCCAAGCTAGAGTGCAGTGGCTTGATCTTGGCTCACTGCAACCTCTGCCTCCCAGGTTCAAGCGATTCTCCTGCCTCAGACTCTGGAGTAGCTGGGATTACAGGCGCCCGCCACCACACCTGGCTGATTTTTGTGTTTTTAGTAGAGATGGGGTTTCGCCATGTTGACCAGGCTGGTCTTGAAATCCTGGCCTCAAGTGATCCACCCGCCTTGGCCTCCCAAAGTGCTGGAATTACAGGTATGAGCCACCGTTCCTGGCCGAGCCATGTTTTTAACAGTTCACACTGGCTAGAGCAAAGACAGCAGAATAAAGCTGGCAGGAAGGGAAGCTGAAGGCAGGTGGAGAAGCTGCTGCAGCAGTGCCTGTAAGAGCTGGTGTTGGCTTCCATCAGGGTGGCATCAGGAGAGACAGTGAGGAACGGCCAGGTATAATTGGTATTTTGGTGATAGGATTAACAGGACTGGCTCATGGATAAGATATAGGGGAGGAGAAAGAAGACAAGTCAAAGATTTTTGGCCTCATTAGCTTGTGCAGAAAATCAGATACTTGTGTTCTCCCAGTTCAGTTTGGTATGTCTACTGGGCATTAAAGTGGAGATGTTGAATGAATTGTTTAATATAGCAGTCTGAGGGAAAAAATTAGGGCTGAATATTTAAAACTGTGGGTCATTAGCTACTTCATCTGCTAGATTCCAAGGTCAAAATATACCGACCATATTGTCTTTCTAGCCTCCTCACCACTTTATGATTATCAAAGCATCATTTGATAATTGTTAGACATGCAACTCTCTCTCGTATCCCAAATGGTTACAATAATTGCCAATCTTTGGTTTCCAACCAGATGTTCTTATCCTTCTAGACAATTGACAAACTGTATCTACATGCATTGTTTTCTAAGTCTCCTCACATTAGTTAACACTCATCTCCAGCCTCTTCATCCTCACTACTTAAAACCCAGCTCACGATTTACATCCTCCAAGATGCCTGCTGAGAAATGCTGCCCTCTCAGGGGATGATTTCATTTTGTTTCCTCATCAAATAGACAGGCATGCCCCAACATGTGATCCTGAACCTTTCTTTGAATTCAATTGTTTAGAGTATCAAATGGAAGTTCACACAGAAAAAAAGGCTTATGAATTACAGTTACGGTTTTTTCCTCTTTTTTTTTTGAGACAGGATCTTACTCAGTCACTCAGGCTGGAGTGCAGCGGTGCCAACATAGGTCACTGCAGCCTCAAACTCCTGGGCTCAAGCCAACCTCCCAGCTCGGCTTCCTGAGTAGCTGGGACTGCAGGCATGCACCTCCATATCCAGCTGATTTTCAGGTTTTTAATAGAGATGAGGTCTCACTGTGTTGCCCAGGTGGTCTCTAACTCTTAGGCTCAAGTGATCCTCCCACCTCAGCCTCCCAAAGTGCTGGGATTACAAGCGTGAGCCACTGCACTTGGCCATACATTACGGTTCTTATTTGATAAGCCAACAACAGCCCATTTAATCACTGAAAAGAGCTCTAGAGAGTGGAGATTCAGAATCTGAAGTTCCAGGGTGAGTGGGGATGGTTGGAGCCTCCTGCTGCAACAAGGAGATAAGGTCCCCATGGCAGGACCTGTGTCCACCAGTGGGCATGAACTCTGGCAGAATAGGAGCTACAGCGCTTCTTCCCAAATACAACTTTCAAATTACCTCATTTCTCTGGGTTCACTTGCATTAGTATTATGGGAACTAGATTTCCATCTCCATTGAGGTGGTTGTTTTTCACCTGGGTAGAAAAGCCATGGTTTGAAAATGTAACCATCACATAGCATGTAAAAACTGGGAGCACTTTGGGGCAAAAACAAAAGGTGTTAATATGCTAGAGAAAGCCACCTTTGTACATTTTGCATTGATATTTGTGAGGACCCTTCACCACAAGGAGGGCAAAAGCCTAACTTAGAATGAAGCAAGTAGACAAAACCTTGCTAAAGAAAAAAATGTAGGAAACAATTCTACCATTTAGAAATGGTCCAGAGATAGCATTAATAACTAGGTAATGATTTACAAAGTTCAATGAATATCAGTTTACATGATCAGAAATGAAGACAAATCTATCATTCTATCAATCTACCTACCTATGTATTAATGGTCAAAACTGGTATTATAAATTTGCTTTTGAATATTTAGAGAAAACTTTCTATCCAGGTTTTTAAAAATGAACCATTATACCATCCCATTAATGATCAGTCTGCAGTTGTCAACTCTCAAAGAAAGATTGTTCATTTAAGGATATTTGAGGGCCACCCATTTATAGTACAGTCAGGCACCAATTTGAAAAAGCAATTGAAGTCAAATATGAAATTTATTTTGTATTTTTACTGAAATCATAAAGAAGAGAATATTCTTACCAGTTGCCTTTTGGATTTATAAACTGCTGCACTGCATAGCCAAACTGTTCACTTGAAGGACCGGAAAATATTTTTGCTTCTGGGAGACCAACATTGTAGGCCAAACAACAATTTAAAATGCCTATTAAGAAAAATATGAAATAGCACATATTTACAATTCATGAATATAAGTGTGTCGTATAATTCTCAAAGGCCATTTTTAAGAAAACTTGCTTGACCTAATAATTATTACTTATCAACGTTTACCCAGAAAAAATAACTACTGCTTTTTAAGTACTTATTTGGAGGCCCGGCACCAAGCTAAATACTATATATGCATAATTCATTATCTTACTAATCTTCATGGAAATGCTAGAAGATAGTTACTAATATTATCTTTGTTTTGCAGAGAATTTTGAGGTTCCAGGGGACAAGTATATCTCACAGCTGGAAAGAGGAAAGGATGAAGACAAAATTTGAACACAAGACTTAAAACAACTAAATTATCTCTAAGTATTCTTAAGTAATTTGAGTTATATTTGTCCTTCCCAAAACAACAAGACTCTAAGCCACCCAAGGGCAAGGGCTGAAGGGTATCATCTATTTATTCTGAATCACCTTGAACATCTTGACATGGACTCTATATGAAACATCTGTCGAAAAGGCATTGATGACTACATCAAAGGAGATAGAAAATCACAGCTCCTTGAAAATTGTTATCATTTTCTTTCAGAAGTGATCATTATCATTTTTGAGGATGAAAATGTAGGGATTGGTGTCATATCTTTTTTATTCCAGTGGGAACTGTCAAAAGTGTTTTGTTTTTGATGCTTCTTTCTGAATGATTGAGAAATGCTAATCATTTCAAAAAACAGAACAAAGACCAAGGCATATAAAGCCTTGATAGATTTTATTTTATTTTTTTTGAAAATTCTTATTTCTGATGGAAAGGGAATGAAGGAAAGGAATAAGGCAAATCATGTTTCTCTGTATGACACTGACAGCATTAATGCTGCCAGTTCTTCATCCTACAGAAAGAAGGTTGTGTGGATATTAATGCTCTCTCTGGAGATGGGAATATGCCTCATGTTGCTTAAGATCAATATTTACCTTCGCAGACACTGAAGACAGAATGGACTCTTTAAAATTGACATCAAAGTTCCATTAACATGTGCTTTCACAAAGAAATGTCCTACTTTCTAGGCAGCATTGCAAGTGCATGGTATTTCATATGTCTATTGTTTTAGGCACTGAAAGGCCGGAAGAAAAAGGCTTGCTCTTCCATTGCGCCTCTGCATTTCAGGGAGCAGATTCTGTAGAGTGCTCCAAAATGATAATGAAGTCAATGATGAAGCAACGGGGACTTTAAGTAGTTAACGTCCCTCTGTAAGTGCCAAAATCACTGTATCAGGGATTTGTCCACACAAGGAATTCAGCTTTTTATTTCTTACAAATAATGTGCTGCCATGAAGAGAAACACAAATACTCATTCTGAAATACTCTATAGCAAAATCTGCAAAGCTTAACATCTGCAAATTTTCTCCTTAACATCTATTTTTCATATGCTCCATTGCTCCTTTTTATTTTTGAATAATAAAAAAATGCAAAAGAAAATAACAGCAAATTAAGCAGAGATCCAGAATTGGCATGCAAAATACCTGGTGTTTTCAACCAACATTTATCTTCACCCCATTGTGGAGAGCTCAATAAATGCTATTTGAATATGTTATCAATCATCTAACATATTAGCGTGGAGAGATGATGCCAAACTGCTTTCACCTTTAAAATACCTAATTCTGGAAAGGACACGTGACTGTACATAAAACAACCTCATTTTCCCCCATTAATTAGACCTGGGCAGATCATTTAATGGCAGGAAATTATGATGGAGTTCATTTTATCATTTAGCAGTTCAATTATACAGCAATTCACATATATAGGCATATATGTGTTACTATATATGCATAGATATATATTATTAACTTATGTCTTGCCATTGAACTGAGAATAAAATCCAATGTCCTCACTGTAAATTCAAAGGTCCTTCATGATTGAGCCCTGGTGTATCTTTCTGACTTCACTTCCGACCACTCTCGTCCTCCCTCCCTGTGTTCCAGCCACACTCACTTTCCTTCTGTTTTTTGAACACATGCAGCTCATTCTGCTTATGCGCTTTGCAGCTGCCTGTTCCACTGCCTATAACATCCTCACCTAATACGGCATGTAGGACTTTGCTCAAATAGGTCTCTGCTCTCCCTTGGCCCTCTGTGTAGCAGCAGCACCCTTCTTCATCACTGTATCACTACTAGAGCAATTATCCAAAATTATCTTATATAGCCATATTCTTTTGTCTGTGCCTACTAAAATGTAAGCTCCTTGAGAAGTCAAACCTTGTTTCTTTTATTCACTCTTACTTTCTCAGCACCTAGGATTTTTTTTTAATAAAATGCATTTTAATTACTATATGTTCTTCAATAATGATTTGGAATATAGAGAAAACTCAAGGGAAAAATCATTCATAATCTTTTCTTTCTACTGTAAGTTCAGTTAATTCAGATGTATTTCCTTCCAGTATTTTTCCTCTATTTAAATTATAATGTTTATTCCAACTCGCATCTTACTGTTTCTTAATGCTTATGTCTGCCTATGTCAGAATCATCCTGACTCATTTGAGTGCCACAACAATCCTGTGGAACAGCAAAACCAAGCTATTATTAACAAATTACAAATAAGGAAACTGAAACTCATGAAGGCTAAATGTCTTTCTTGCGCAATGTCACCCACTCTGAGTCTAGGTTTGGCTCATCTCTCAACTTTATTGTCCAGAATTTCTATTCATAAATGATCTGCTCATTTTTCCTCACAAAGCATGACCTTCTTTATCACCATCCCTTCATTCCATTGATACTAAATCTCTTTTCAGCTACTTAAATCTTTCCCTTTATATCCTGCCTCTTTTGATAAATCTGGACAATCTCAATTCTCTATACTTTTTCTCTTAATATGTATTTACAATTCAGATCTCTGTCATCATTTCACACTTGGCATATGATATCTAAATAGCTCATAAAAAATTAATGGAAGTATTCTGTCTAATTCAACATGTATTTCTTCTTTGCAATCCCAGTGCCTATATCTTCTGATGTCTGTCCTCATAGTTCAACTGAATCATATGGATAATAAGAACCATATTTGGTTCATCTTGTTTCCTTCCTCCAAACCATGCCCATGTGTCTATACATACTTAAAAAATGGATCATTCAACATATGTTTATACAGCTCCTTTGTACCAGGCGTTTTTTAAGGTCCTGAGGATACTGCAAATAAATAAAACTAAAATCTCCCTGTTCTCTTTGCATTTCCATTATGGTAATTTTACTAAAAAAAATGGCATCAAAATGTATAAGTGTTAAAATAAAGAGTGGTAAAAAGAACCTTGAGCTCAGTATTGAGAAGAGGGTAAATCTAAGTTCAAAGGTTTCACAGAGGAGATGGCAATTAATCTGGATCTTGGAGGACAAGTTGGAATTCACTACATAAAGAGGAAGGCAAAGTTCATCCCAGGCACCGGGAACATCATGTTAAACGTAGGCATAGGGTGTGAAAGAGAAGAGTACGGCAATGGTGAAAAGTCTGGCACAGAGAGTCATAGGTTGCTTCATTAATCTATACATTTCCAGTTCTCTATTAGATGCAGTGAGTCTTCAACTGACTTGGGCTTTGCCAGGAGCCTATTATCACCCAGAGTATAAATCTTCCTTCTTTGTCCTCATGTGAATGCCTGGAAAGGCAATAATAGCATCGCAAACTCAACATATTTAACAAAGGTGACCTTGTCAGACACGTGTTGACAGTAACCAGGCCAAAGTATTCCAGTAAATCTCACGAAAGCTTACACCAAATACATTTTATCTCATGCAGGGCTAACTAGTTTCCTCTATTTTCACAATAAAAAGGGGATACTGTTTCATCCTAGATTATAACAGGCTGGTTGCCATTTTAATATCCATAAGTAAACCAGATAGTCAAGCATAAGTTAACTCATGTAGATTTCTTATTTTTCTTAGAGTCTGAGGCAGGAGGATAGCTTGAATCCAGGAGTGCAAGACCGTCCTTGGCAGCACAATGAGACCTCATCTCTACAAAAAATAGACAATTAGGTGGGCATGGTGGTGCATGCCTGTAGTTCCAGCTACTTGGGAGGCTGAGATGAGAGTATTGCTTGAGTTCAGGAGGTCCAGGCTGCAGTGAGCCATGATGGCACCACTGCACTGCAGACTGGGTGACAGAGACTCTGTCTCTAAATCAAACAAACAAAAATTTACAGGATCTCCTTTCCTGAGGATTCCTGACCATCTCTGAAATAATTTTTTTGGAAACAATAATTTAAGAATTAATTTTAGTAAATATGAAATTTATTCTCCTACTTTCTTCTGGAGCATAATTTTAAGTTATAATTCAAAAGAGAAACATATGATTGGGGATTTGATATAGTTAACCTACTTTTGTTCTAAAAATGTAGCAAAGCCTGAGCATGGCAGCTCACACGTGTAATCTCAATGGCCGTCTAAGACAGGAGGATCATTTGAGCCCAGGAGTTCAAGGCTGCAGTGAACTGTGATTGTGCCACTGTACTTCAGCCTGGGCAACAAAGTAAGACCCTGTCCCCCAAAAAAAAAAATGCAGTGAAACTCAGAAAGGAAAAAGTCTTTTAACAACAAGAGCGTAAATAATGTATAAAACAAAACATGTCATTTTATATTCAACCACAAAAATTTGGCAAGGGAAGTTTATTGATGTCTATGATATCAGTGTCAGAACTAAAGGATGCATTTTGTAGTAAAGGGTGGCAAAATAAAAGGGTCTAACTTTTGTGGTCAATGCAAATTTGAGCATATCTATATATACTGAAGGGCCAGGGGCAGGGATGGGTTTTTCATAGAAGGGACTCATTTGCAAAACGTGCCCAGGGACATACATAGGAAGAAATTCAGGTTAAGAGAAGAGAGCAAAGGCCAAAAGCAAGAGGTGGACTTGGGAATAGAGGTGTGGTTTTGACACAGCCTCTCAGATTGCAATTTGGCCCATTCCTGAAGATGCATACTGCACTTCTAGGGGGAACAATGTCTCCATTAAATATTGAACAAAAACATAAGAACTGTAAGGCCTATCTCTAACTGTGAGCACAGAGTGTCATTACTTTAAGAAGGTGGAGCACATTTCTCCCATGCCTGAGGGACTGGTCCTCAGTAGCTGCAGAAGGATTGACAGGGAAGAGGGCAGAGGATAGTGAGCAACTAGAGCATGCCGAGGGCAGGGGCCGTGGTGCAATAGTGATCAGGACACAGGGGACACAATTAGGGGCAGCAAAGGTTTCCAGGAGAACCATGCTCTAGAGTCTGGGAGAATGTTATCTACTCCGGAAGAATGAGAAAACAGTGTTTAGGCACTTAGGCTCTCTGTGTGTGTAAGTAGGTGGCTGGGCCACAGAAATTCTATTTTGCTAATAAAAATTTTGTATTTTATGTCATCTCTCAGTCTTAGGTGGCCTAAGAAAACACACTTTATACATATTAAATAGCTTTAATAATTTCTAGCAATCTAAAAAAATTAGTTCTTAATAACCACCATTAAAATTATCTGAATGTCCAAGATTAGGGGCGTGAATATGCAAATGGTAGCATATAAACTAGACAGAGTTTTATCCTGCCATTAAAAAAACAGCAATTGTGAAGAAGATGACAGTGCTTAACGAAAATAAAATAACAAAAATAATATTCAGAATAGAAGAAAAAGGTAAAATATATGTGAATAGTAACACAACAAACAGTACAATTGTGAGTGTAATGTAGCTGCTTTTAAATTTTCCTTTAGTGTATAAGAATCAAGATAAAAAGGCCGGCACGGTGGCTCATGCCTATAATCCCACCACTTTGGGAGGCCAAGGTGGGTGGATCACCTGAGGTCAGAAGTTTGAGACCAGCCTGGCCAACATAGTGAAACCCCGTCTCTACTAAAAATACAAAAAAAAAAAAAAAAAATTAGCCGGACATGGTGGCACATACCTGTAGTCCCAGCTACTCGGGAGGCTGAGGCAGGTTAATCACTTGAGCCCGGAAGGCGGAGGTTGCAGTGAGCCAAGATCGAGCCACTGCACTCCAGCCTGGGTGACAGAGTGAAACTCCACCTCACCAAAAAAAAAATAATAATAATAATAAAATAAAATAAAAATAAGAATCAGGATAAAATAATGAAGAAAGAAAATTGCTTCTCCTACCCTGGACTAGAAGGACTATAAGCATGAGCTATTTTATTTCAACATCATTTGCAGTGTGTAATCTTATTGTCACATGCACAAATATATAATTTACAATATATAAAGGAAACTCTGGCCCATTGGGTTGCATTTGACTCTTACTTTCATTTGCTAGGCATGTCCTAAGAATGGGATCCCTACATTTATGCCTATAGACTTAAAAGTGCAATGGTTATAAATGTCTTTCATCTCAGTAACTCAAATGGTCACATAATAACACTTCAATTCCATGGAACTCTATGTTTGTAATAAGTCTTGTATAAACTTGTTCATATCTGTATGATAACTTGTGATATTTTCTCCATGATTCTATGTTTTTTCTCTCTCTATTCAAAACTGTCCATAATACAAAACTAATGAATTTATACACACAGTTAATAAACAGATTTTATTTTCCTATTTATTTTTTGTTCACTCAATAAACTTATTGAGTATTTATGATGTGGTAAACATTGTTCTTAGTGCAGGAATGAGAATTACATTAATTCTCTCTTATCCTCAGGGAATGTGTTCTAAGATCCTCCCATCCCTCCAGTAGATGCCTAAAACAATAGGTAATACCAAACCCTATATGGTATATACTGTTTTTTCTATATATACATACCTATAATAACATCTAACTTATAAAATTAGACACAACAAGAGATTAAAAACAACAACTAATAATAAAACAGAACAATTATAATAATATGCCAGCATTACTACTCTTGCACTTTGGGGCCATTATGAAGTAAAATAAGGATGACTTGGCCAGGCATGGTGGCTCACGCCTGTAATCCCAGTACTTTGGGAGGCCGAGGTGGACAGATCACCTGAGGTAAGGAGTTCAAGACCAGCCTGGCCAAGATGGGGAAACCACATCTCTACTAAAAATACAAAAAATAGCTGGGCATGGTGGCACATGCCTGTACTCCCAGCTACATGGCAGGGTGAGGCAGGAGAATTGCTTGAACCCAGGAGGTGGAAGTTGGAGTGAGCCGAGATCATGCCACTGCACTGCAGCCTGGACCACAGAGCAAGATTCCATCTCTAAATAAATAAATAAGGGTGACTCAGACACAAGCCCTGCAATACCATGACTGTTGATCTGATAACCAAGATGGCTCCTACATGACTAATGGGCAGGGGCCTCAGACAGCCTGCTGGACAAAGGGACGATTCACATCCTGGGCAGGATGGAGTGAGATTTTGTCACACTACTCGGAACGATACACAATTTTAAACTTATGACTTATTTACTTTTGAAATTTTCCATTTAATATTTTTAGGTCACAGGTGACCGTGGGTAACTAATTTATATATTTTGCTCAAGATAAAAAATTAATGAGTTTGCTTATTTATATGAATTACTTCTTTTATCCTTTGTGGTTCAATAAATCATTGAATCATTTTTAAATAATTCAACTTATTTTAAAATTATTTTTTTAAAGTACCCTTTATTTTCATTTAAAAAACAAAATGTTTTATTTATTTATTTGACGTTTATTTATTTATTTATTTATTTATTTTGAGACTGGAGTCTCGCTCTGTTACCCAGGCTGGAGAGCAATGGCACGATCTCCGCTCACTGCAACCTCCGCCTCCCGGGTTCAAGCAATTCTCATATCTCAGCCTCCTGAGTAGCTGGGATTACAGGCGTGTACCACCACGCCCTGCTAATTTTTGTATTTTTAGTAGAGATAGGGTTTCATCATATTGGTCAAGCTGGTCTCGAATTCCTGACCTCAGGAGACCCACGTGCCTCGGCCTCCCAAAGTGCTGGAATTTACAGGCGTGAGCCACCGTGCCCAGCCTAAAAAACAAAATGTTTTAAAGAGTATTTCACTAATTTTAGACATGACCTCTTCAAGAATAAATGTAATTTCTACAAATATTTTATATGCTTTCTATAATCCTCTTTGTGTTACTCAAAAACTATACCAAGACGGGAGCCAAGATGGCTGACTAGAGGCAGCCCGAAGAAACCTCTCCGACCGAGAAACCAGGACATTGGGAAGGCTGGCACACACTCTGAACAGGTCTTTGCAGGGAAGGCATTGAGAGTGGATGAGGGAGGACACGGATGCTGGGCTGAAGGGGGAGAAAGCTAGGAGCCCTACACGAGGCTGCCCAGCACCAGGAATCCTTCCTGGTCCCCAGCAACTTCTGGGGTCAGTTGAACAGGTGAGGAGTGGCCTGCTCCTGCCATGGACCTCCAGCATCCTAGCAGCGGAACTCACGACCCCCACGGACACCTGAGCTGACACAAAGACAGCTGCTTAGAGAGGTGGCAAAGGCAGACTCCAGCCAGTGGGGAGCCCAGAGGATTTAACAACAGCAGAATATGGCCAAGAACGCCCATCCCTCAAGGCCTGCCGTGCTCCTATAGGAGACTTTAGCCTTAGGGTGACTGTTGGACCCGGACAGAGCAGGGCAGTCTTGCCCGTGGGATGGGGCCAGTCCTATCTGAGCATCTCCTGTCTGCTGGCCTTTCCTGGAGCTCCAGCCTGACCATGGCCTCTTGCAGAGCAGCTTCAGATGCCCAACCAGAGTGCTTCCTAGGGCACCTCATCAGAGCTCCTGCACTGACAGACCATGCCTGGCCATCAGAGGGCTCCAGCAGAACAGCCCCTACCGATGCATAATGGTTTACCTGCAGCCTCCCCCAGCCACAGCCTCCCCAACCGCAGCCTCTCCCCAGCATTTTGCCAGCATGCGCTTACCCATGCCTCACACCCCTCCACATCCCCCCAACACTGCTTTGCTGGCCCACACATGCCAGAAGACCTTGTCTCTCCTCCCCTGCCAGTGCATGCTCATCCTACCATACCCCCAGCTGATGTGTGGGCAGCCTGCTATGCTGGCATGAATGCACACAGGAATACTGGCAACCTCATCCCCACTGGTGCCCTGCCCCTGCTGTACTGCTACCATGCACCGCCAGCAGGTTGCTGCCACCCTGCTCCTTCTGGAGCCCCACCCCAGCTGACACATGGGCACACGGCCATGCTGCCACAGCTGCTGTCACATAAAAGTGACGATGGATCCTGCTGCCACCACCCCAACAAAGAGCTTTGGCTGGCATTCCCCCATCGGAGTGTTGTGGACAATATAGAGCATGAACACTTTGGCCCCTCCAGTGCAGCAGATGCCTAACCTTGAAAGACCAGAGAACAAAGCGGGGGGGCCCAATGCCAGTTCCTCAGAGTTAGAGTATGAAGCCTAGGAGTGCAGGGCTGAGCCTTTGCTCCCTATAATCTTACAGAGACAATGCCAGTTCACTAAACACCACAATCACATCCTCCAAGTGCATCAAAGAAGATAAAAGCAAAAAACAACCCATCCAAAAAGTAGCAATTTCAAAGACTGAAGGAATATCAGCCCACACGGATGACAAAGAAACAGCCCATGAACTCTGACAACTCATAAAGCCAGAATGTCTCCTTACTTCCAAACAACAGCACTAGTTCCCCAGCAATGGTTCTTACCCAGGCTGAAGTGGCTGAAATGACAGAACTAGAATTCACAATATGAATAGAAATGAAGATCATCAAGGTTCAGGAGAAAAAGTCAAAACCCAATCCAAGGAATCTCAGGAATACAACAAAATAATACAGGAGCTGAAAGACAAAATGACTATTTCAAGAAAGAAATATTCATCTGATACAGCTGAAATACTCACTTCAAGAATTTCATAATACAATCACAAGTATTAACAGCAGAATAGACCAAGCTGATGAAAAAATGTCAGAGCTCAAAGACCAGTTCTCCAAATTAACTCAGTCAAAAATAAAGAAAAAAGAATAAAAAAGAATGAACAAAACCTCCAAGAAATATGGGATTATGTAAAGAGACCAAATTTATGATTCATTGGTATCCCTGAAAGAAAGGGAAAGAAAGAAAGCAACTTGGAAAACATATTTGAGGATATCATCCGTGAAAATTTCCCCAACCTCATTGCAGACGCCAACATTTAAATTCAGGAAATGCAGAGAACCCCTGTAGGATACCAGACAAGATGATCATCCCCAAAACACATAGTCATCGGATTCTCCAAAGTCGAAAATAGAGAACAAATGTTAAAGGCAGCCAGAAAGAAGGGCTAGGTCACCTATAAAGGGAACCCCATCAGGCTAACAACGAACCTTATAAGCAGAAATACTACAAGCCAGAAGAGATTTGAGGCCTATATTCAGAATTCTTAAGCAAAAGCAATTCCAACCAAGAATTTCATTTCCAGCCAAATTAAGCTTCATAAGTGAAGGAGAAATAAGATCTTTTCAGATAAGCAAATGCTAAGGGAATTAGTTACCACCAGACCTCTCCCTTACAGGAGGTCCTTAAGGGGGTGCTAGATATGGAAAGGAAAGACTGTTAGCAGCTACCACAAAAACACACTTAAGTACATAGACCATTGACACTATAAAGCAACTACACAATCAAGTCTGTATAACAATCAGCTAACTTGATGATAGGATCAAATCCGCACAAATCAATGTTAACCTTGAGTATAAATGGCCTGAATGCCCTAATTAAAAGGCACAGAGTGGCAAGTTGGAGAAAGAAGCAAGACCCGAGTGTATGCTGTCTTCAAGAGAACCTTCTCACATGTGATGACACCCATAGGCTCAAAGGCAAAGAGTTGGAGAAAAATCTATCAAGCAAACAGAGAAGTGAAAAAAGCAGAGGCTGCTATTCTAATTTCAGACAAAATTGACTTTAAACCAACAACAATCAGAAAGGACAAAGAAGGGCATTATATCATGTAAAGAGTTCAATTCAACAGAAGACCTAACTACCCTAAATACGTATGCACCCAAAATAGGGGCACCCAGATTCATAAAACAAGTCCTTAGAGACCTACAAAGACTTAGATAACCACACAATAATAATGGGCAACTTCAACACCCCACTGACAGTATTAGACAGATCATTGAGGCAGAAAACTAACAAAGATATTTAGGACCTGATTGACACTTGATCAAATGGACCTAATAGACATCTAAGAACTTTCTACACCAAAACAATAGAATACACATTCTTCTCATCTGCACAAGGTACATACTCTAACACTGACCACACAATCAGCCATAAAACAATTCTCAGCAAATTAAAAAAAAAAATCATACCAACCACAGTCTTGGACCACAGCACAATAAAAATAGAAATCAATACTGAGAAGATTGCTCAAAACCAAATAATTGCATCTAAAGTAAACATCCTGCTCCTGAATGACTTTTGGGTAAACAACGAAATTAAGGTAGAAGTCAAGAAATTCTTTGAAACTAATGAAAGCAAAGATACAACATGAGAATCTCTGGGACACAGCAAAAGCAATGTTAAGAGGAAAGTTGATAGTGCTAAACATACACATGAAAAAGTTAGAAAGATCTCAAATTAACAACCTAATATCACACCAATGGGAGCTAGAACAACAAGAACAAACCAACTCCAAAGCTAGCAGAAAGCAACATATAACCAAAATCAGAGAAGAACTGAATGAAATTGAGGTACAAAAACCCATAAAAAAGATCAACAAATTCAGGAGTTCTTTTTTTTTGAAGAATAGACAAGATAGATAGACTGCTAGCTAGACTAATAAAGAAAAAGAGAGGCAATTAAAATAGACACAATCAGAAATGACAAAGGGGATATTGTCAGCAACCTCATAGAAATACTAAAAACCCTTAGAGTCCATTATGAACACCTCTATGCACACAAATTAGAAAACCTAGAAGAAATAGATAAATTCCTGGAAACATACAACCTCTTAATATTGAACCACAAAGAAACTGAAACTGGATAAACCAATAATGCATTTTGAAATTGAATGAGTAATAAAAAGCTTACCAACCAGAAAAAGCCCAGGACCAGACGAATTCATAGCTGAATTTTACCAGATGTATAAAGAAGAGCTGGTACCATTCCTACTAAAATTATTCCAAAAAATTGAGGAGGAGGGACTCCTTCCTAACTCATTCTATGAAGCCAGCATTATTCTAATACCAAATCCTGGTAGAGACACAATAAAAAAGAAAACTTCAGGCCAACATCCCTGATGAACATAGATGCAAAATTCCTCAATAAAGTACCAGTAAGCCAAATCCAGCAGCACATCAAAAAGCTAATCCACCATGATCAAGTAGGTTTTATCCCTCGGATGCAAGTTGGTGCAACAAATGCCAATCAATAAATGTGATTCATCACATAAACAGAACTAAAAACAAAAACCACATGATCATCTGAATAGATGCAGAAAAACCTTTCGATAAAATTCAACATCCTTTCAAGTTAAATACCCTCAACAAATTAGGCACTGAAGAAACATACCTCAAAGTAATAAGAACCATCTATGACAAACCCACAGCCAACATCATACTGAATGGGCAAAAGTGGGAAGCATTCCCTTAGAGAACCAGAACAAGACGAGGATGCTGACCCTCACCAGTCCTATTTATCATATTACTGGTAGTCACAGCCAAAGCAATCAAACAAGAGAAAGAAATAAAGGCATCCAAATAGAAAAAGAGGAAGTCAAACTATTTGTTTGCAGATGATATGATTCTATACCTAGAAAATGCCATAGTCTCTGCTCAAAGCTCCTAGATTTGATAAGCAACTTCAACAAAGTTTCAGGATACAAGATTGACATACAAAAATCAGTAGCATTCCTATACACCAATAACGTCCAAGCTGAGGGCCAAAACAAGAAAATAATCCCATTCACAAAAGCCACAAAAAGAATAAAATACCTAGGAGTACAGATAACCAGGGAAGTGAAAGATCTCTACAGAGACTGATAAAACACTTCTGAAATAAATCCTAGATGATACAAACAAATGGAAAAACATTTCATGCTTGTGGCTAGGAAGAATCAATATTGTTAAAATGGCCATACTTCCCAATCCAATTTATAGATTCAATGCTATTCCTATCAAACTATTAATGACATTCTTCACAGAATTAGAAAAAACTAATTCTAATTCATATGGAATCAAAAAGAGCCTAAATAGCAAAAACAATCTAAGCAAAGAGAACAAAGTTAGAGGCATCATATTATCCAACTTCAAACTATACTACAAGGCTACAGTAATGAAAACAACATGGTACTGGTACAAAAATGGACACATAGATGAATGGCACAGAATAGAGAGCCCCAGAAATAAAGTTTTACACTGACAACCATCTGATCTTCGACAAAGTTGACAAAAAAAAAAAAAGAAAGAAATAGGGAAAGGACTGCCCATTTACTAAATGGTGTTGGGATAACTGGCTAGTCACAGGCAGAAGATTGATAATGGACCCCTTCCTTACACCATACACAAAAATCAACTCAAGATAGATTTAAGGACTTAAATGCAAAACCTGAAAGTATAAAACCTGGAAAATAATCAAGGAAATACCATTCCGAACATTGGCTCTGGCAAGGATTTCATGATAAAGATGCCAAAAGCAGTTATAACAAAACAAAATTGACAAGTGAGACCTAATTAAACTAAAAAGCTTCTGTACAGCAAAATAAACTATCAACAGAGTAAACAGACAACCTATGGAGTGGGAGAGAATATTCGAAAACTATGCATCTGAAAAAGATTAAATGTCCAGAATCGGTATGGAACTTAAGCAAATTTACCAGCAAAAAACCAAACAACCCCATTAAAAAGTGGGCAAAGGAAATTAACCAATGCTTTCAAAAGAAGAAATACATGTGGCCAACAAGTATATGAAAAAATGCTCCACACCATTGATCTTTAGAGAAATACAAGTCAAAGCCACAGTGAGATATCATCTCATACCAGTCAGCAAGGCTATTAATAAAAAGTAAAAAAATAACATGCTGGTGAGGTTGTAGAGAAAAGGGATCACTTATAAACTGCTGGTGGGAACGTAAATTAGTTCTACCATTGTGGAAAGCAGTTTGGTGACTTCTCAAAGAACTTAAAACACAATTATCATTTGACCCAGCAATCCCATTATTAGGTATACACCCAAAGGACTATAAATTGTTTTACCATAAAGACACATGCATGCCTATGTTCATTGCAGTGCTATTCACAATAGCAAAGACATGGAGTCAACCTAAATGCCCACCAAAGGTAGCCCAACAATGGTATTGTTTAAAAATAAAAATAATAGAAAGCAATAAATGCTGATGCTTAAGACAGAATCATTTCTTCCTTCTCCAAAAATAAAAATAGAAATTAATTTTTTTAATGTTATTTGAAACTTTCCAGTCAATCCAAGCCACCATTTGGATATAATGTTGCTATCTGGTGCCAGGAACAGAAAACCAAATCTATCTCATGTGTATTAGGAACAAACTCATCCTTTTTTATCCAAATAAATCCAAATGCATCCACAAACCTTACAAATTCTCAGCAAGAGTGTACAGTAGGAGAATATTTTCCCACCCTGTAGAAAGTGTTAATCATCAATGAAATTTAAAATACAGTCCTCATCCTGAGGGAATCTCCACTCTAGTCTGTGGTGCAGAATGAAAGCCAGGCTGTGCTCAACTTCCTAAGACTATAATGATATTTTACATATAAATAACCCTTTACTGCTCCCAAGGATTTTTTTTATAACCATGACAATTTCTTTGTACTTAATTTACACAGATTTTGCTAAAATCAGTGATGACAAATTTGTTTTCAAATACACTCATTACTTACATTTTAAGTTGGCAAATTCTTCCACTTTGTAACTTTGATGTCTGGATGCATGAGAACATATTCTCAGCCTTGAGGACCTTGCTTCTCTAGCTCTGACTGGTTCTAATTCCAACATCCTTCTGAGTCCGGGTTTTCTTGGTCCCATCCTACCTTCCTTCCTTATTACCACTCCCCTCACTCCCCCCCACTCACATATTCACCATCACTACAATGAATCTCTCAAAGTTCTTTTTAAACACTATTACTCTGATGCAATCATTTATTATTTAATGGGGAAAATATTTTATACTTATATTTTAGAGAGAAACTATCTTTGTGTAGAAAAATCCTTGATAAACTGAGGTGCAGATAAAACTTTCAGGGCATCAGTAATAAAGAGGCAGGGCCACTAAGGAGGAAGCTGAATAGGACTTTGAGGGAGGCAGGAACAATGACAAGAGGGAAAGAAAGGATGACCAGCAACATAGCGGTGGGTTGGAAACCTGCAGCAACAGGGATGCCTAACAGTACTTTAGTCTGTTTGTATTGCTGTAATTGGCTTGCCTCTGATCTCACCACACCTTGGCAAAAGCTCATTGCACACACAAAGGTATTGTATGAATGATTTTGTGGGAAAGTTAAGGAAGAAAATTCAACCTTTTAGGCAAAATAAAGGAACAACTACAGGATTAGTCAGCTGGGAAAGACAGTCCTCTATGGGTCTCTGGCCCCTCTATATGTCTTAATGGATACATTAGTTTTCTCTGGCTGCTGTAACAAATTACCATAAACGTTGTGGTTTAAAACAGCAGAAGTTTATTCTCTCACAGTTCTGAAGGTCAGAAGTCCAAAATCAAGGTGTTGGCAGGGCTCTGCTCCCTCTGCAGGCTCCAGAGAAGAATCCATTTCTTGTTTCTTCTATCTTCTTGGGGCTGTGAGCATTCCTTAACTTGTGTCTGCATCACTCCAATCTCTATGTCTGTGGTCACATCTCCTCCTCCCCTTTACATGTGTCAAATCTCCCTCTGCCCCACTCTTACAAAAACATTTGTCATTGGATTTAGCTCTCACCCAGATAATCCAGGATGTTTTCATCTCAAGATCCTTAACCACCACATCTGTAAAGACCCCTTTTCCAATTACTGGTTCCAGTGATTAAGACATGGACATATCTTTTTGGGAGCCACTATACTCTGTCACCTGGCCCCCCAAAATTCACATTCATGCCACATGCAAAATACATTCTTTAAGGTATCTCAACATTTCCAAATGGCTCAACCCATTACAGAATTAACTCTGAGCTCGAAATCTCATCTAAATATTGTCAGCTCAAAAGTCCCAAATCTCATCATCTAAATTTGGTGTGAGTGAGATGCCAGGCATGATCTGTCCTGGGGCAAAATTCCTCTCCATCTCTAAGCCTGTGAGCCTAGAAAATAGGTTATTTGCTTCCAAAATATAATGGTGGGGCAGGCATCTGATAGACACTCCCATTTCAAAAGGCAGCAATTGGAAGGAGTAAAAGGGTCACCAACCTTAAACAAATTTAATACCTAGCAGGAAATTTTCAATTAGATTTCAAGGCCTGAGAATAATCCTCTGTTGTTCGAGCCTCTGTTCTCTGGGCTGTCAACCATAGGCCTCTGGGCTCTCAACAGCTCCTCTGGCCTCTGCCTCTCTATCACCTTCAGTCAAAGATGGCAATGCTTCTGCTGAGATAACATTTTTTTAAAAATTTGCAGGTTTCTTATGTAGGTAATGCAGGATTCATGCCACTAAACAAAAGAGCTCTCCACAGGAAATCTTTCCTGGATAACCTCATCACTATTTTGATTGTTGCTGAGATGGTTGAGAGGATCTGGCAACCACATACCTAATCTTTTCCACAAAAGGATGTCTAGCCACACCCTTTGCTTTCAGAGGATGCTTTTCTAACAGTGAAACTCCTAATATGAGTGTCTTCATTCCGCCTGTTATAACAAAGTACCATAGACTGGGTGGCCAACAACAGAAGTTTATTTCTTAACAGTTCTGGAGATGGAAGTCTAAAATCATTGTGCAGCATGGTCAAGTTCTGGTGAGAGCCTTCTTCCAAGTTTCAGGCTGCTGACTTCTTGTTGCATCCTCACAAGGCAGGAAGACAGCTCTATCCACATGACCTAATTATGTTCCAAAGACTCAATCTCCAAATGCCATCACACTGGGGATTGCATTTCAACACATGCATTTTGGAGAGACACAAACATTCAGTCCATAACACTCAGCATATATATATAAAATATATAATCAATCTAGATAGGCTGAGAATTTGCCAGATCATCAAGTGGTGATCCTTCAAATTATCTCTTTCCTCTCACAATTTACTATATCTAGCAGGTAAAAACAGGCTACACCTTGAATATTTTGCTTGAAAATTTGCTCAGCTAAATATCCAAGTTCCTCACTTAAAAGTTGTATGCTTTCTGAACAACAATAAGACCCAATTAGGTCAAATATTCTGCCGCTGTATAATGAGGACATTTTCTGCAGTTTCCAACAGCATATTCCTGGTTTCCTTCTGAGCCCTCACCAGAAGTAGCTTGAGCCTTCATGTTTTTACCATCAGTCTCCTCAAGGCAATCTACAGAAACCCTCTTTCCAGATAAGGTAATACTCATAGGTGTTGGGGATTAGAATAGAGACATATTTGGGGGAGACTACCATTCAACTTAATACAATGGGTATATCAAGAATGCAAGGCCCTGACTACTATTTACCTGGGCCATTTCTTAGCATTGTGTTTATGATGAATAATATTGAGGGGTGAGATAATCTCTTCCCCCAGGTCAAAGAGAAGGCTTGCTGACTGCTTGCTATAAAGCAGCAGGTCCACCAAGCTCATTGTTTCTTTCCTGTCTTGCACCCCACTGTGTGCAGGTGTCTGTCTGGGCCCCTTCATGTAACACTATGAGACTAGAGTGGGGAAAGGGGAACTGATAGACACATGCTCATACTCGTGCTGCCTGCTGTGCTGTGAGTAATAAAGTCCTTCTCTGACTCATGCATGTCATGGCATCTTGTAGCATCCATGAGACAGTATCAGGCTAATGTATTGACTGTACCTAGGGTCAAAATCAAATACCAGACCTGGCAGAGTGGAGAATAAACACTCTGCAGTCAGGAAGTGAGGGCCCAAGTCAATGAAAATGCACATCTCCTGGGAGTTCACGGAAATCTTGAGAGGGCACTGCATTTTCTTATAAGAATGGAATAGGGATTTGAATAAATCTTATCTCAATTTTAAGAGGCAGAGAGAGAGAGACTCTAGCTGACATCTGGCGATAATATCCTGCTTCATGATTTGCGGCTATTTGTTTTTTACAGTGTGTCCATATATCATATGTTTGACACTTACTTTGTGTTCATATCAAAGAAATACATGAGCGTCACTTCCATGACCAGAAATAAACCCCTTAAACCATTAAGCCAAAGGGGGTGTTACAAACTGAATTGTGTCTCTCAAAATTCCTGTATTCAAACCCTAACCCTCAATGTGATTGTATTTGGAGACAGAGCCTTTAATGAAGTGGTTAAGGTCAAATGAGGTCCTAAGAGTGAAGCCCTAATCTAGTATGACTGATGTCCCTACAAGAAGAAGAGACACCAGAGATCTTTCTCTCTCAGTACCCACATAGGGAAAGGTGATGTGAGGACATGGTGAGAAAGTGCCCATCTATAAGCCGGGATGAGAGTCCTCAGTAGAAACCAACACCAACCTGAGAGAGCCTTGATCTTGAACTTTTAACCTCCAGAACTGTGAGAAAATATGTCTCTCTTGTTTAAGCCACCTAGTCTGTGATATTTTGTTATGATAACCCGAGCTGACTAATACAAGGAGAAAGTATATTACACCAGAAAATTCCAATTTACTATTTCAGGTTTTGAAGATAATTCTGTCCATACATTTATGCACAGATATAAATATAAGGACAGATATACAATAATTCCAGTTGTATCATTTAAGGTTTATATTTTGTGTGAAAACAATCCAAAGTTGTTTTCATTTTGTTTTGTAACTGCATCAAGTCCTGGAGTACTGTGGCATGTGTTTAGATCATTTGGAGGCCCTTTCACATTTCAAAAATTCAATCTTCAGGCCAGGAACATCTCCAAAAGCCCATTGCAATTGCCTCTAATGTCCATTTATTATGACTTAGTGCTTCTTAACAACTCAATAGATTCTCTCTTTTTCATAAGATTGCTGGAGGGTAAGCCACCATCTGGTAGACTTGCCGTCTCTCAGTGGCTGAGAGGAAGACAGTGAAATACAGAAGAAAGTGTGTTGGCCCAAGAGTTACTAGAAATACCATCTCATGAAGTCACTTTCTACTTCTCCACTTCTTCCTAAATTGCTTCTATGTGAAAGGATAAACTTTCTCTTTTTTTTTTCTCTCTCTCTCCCCGTTTCTCTCTCTCAAAATAGCATATTTTGTGTGTATTTAGCAAGTCAGTGCCTGTCACCTAACTTGCTCATTAGCAGGATATGTCTCACATATCTTGAGGCAATATATGGAAAAAACAGACATAACTGAAGTTAGTATTTCTTTTATTATACCCTGTTCACAAGCCACTTCTCTATAAATTTTGGTTAGGGTCTTTTCTGACCATCCTAGCCTGTGCATACCTTTCTTCCAACTTCTTTGATGCTCACTATTGGCAGCTCTTACTGTAGTGTACTTCCTGGAAATCCAACTGATTGCCTGACACACTTATGCAACTCGTTTTTTCCTAGTTTGGGGCTCTGCTCTATATCACCTCTTCACATGACAGCAATTTTATTAAGTCCTATTCTCTAAAGAGAACAAGAGAATTCATTTTTTCTTCTAGCATGCTACATTGAATTTTTAAAATTATCATTATTCGTAGTTAGGAAAAGCTCCTTTCACTTTCACACCTCCCTGTTTGTGATGCCATGCACATGTTTAGGACTGTTTTCTAAGTCTGCATAGGAGCTACAGCATTTCAAGGCACCTCATGCTTTGTTTTATAGTGATTAATCCAGAACCTCTGAATTGATGAAGTTGATTAATGAATTTTTTTTTATGTTTTTGTTGTTGAAATATGTTGTGTTAGGATAGAAAAGAGACGGTGACCTTAACCTTTTGCATGTTGAATGAAAATATCTGGCACTGTGAAAACAGAGGAAGGGAAGTGCACAGGGAGGGCCCCTGAAACTTCGGCTTCACTTGTTTTATAATAAATATGCCTTTGACCCTAACAGAGAGGGGCTGTGTCTATTTTGTTCACTGATATATTCCCCAGCACTTAGAATAATACCTTGCACATGGTCGTGGTTCAATAATAATTACTGAATAAACACTGATTGCTTCACCTTTCCACCTAACAATAAGTTACGGATATAATAGGAGATTAATAAAGAACAGTTTAATTAACTAATAAATCCTCTTGAATGCAGGCTACTGTGCAGGTATATACATCAATGAATTAAAAGACAGATTAATTTAAAATATACATACCTATATACACATATGTTCATGCAAATAAACACATTGTATTTTCTATTTAGAATTTGACAGAACATTTAACTTTTTCAAGAATCTAGCTATAGGAGAACCCTAAAAAGAAGACTGACTATATTACGGGGTGATGGCATGGCAGAAGTATGCTAATACCATTAAGAGATGTACACCATTTTTAAAAAATTTCACAACTGTAACTTTTTATTTTAAGTTCTGGGATACATGTGCAGAATGTGCAGGTTTGTGTTCCATAGGTAAACGTGTGCCATGGTGGTTTGCTGCACCTATCAATCCATCACCTAGGTATTAAGCCCAGCATGCATTAGCTACTTATCCTGATGCTCTCTCTCCCCTCGCCCCCACCGACAGGCCCCAGTGTGTGTTGTTCCCCTCCCGGGGTCCATGTCTTGTCATTGTTCAGCTTCCACTTACGAGTGAGAACATGCTGTGTTTGGTTTTCTGTTTCTGTGTTAGTTTGTGATGTACAGCATTTTTTAAGCTGAAAGGTCCATTTACTGAGCAAAGCCAGTAGTATATCGCAGTGCCTAAGAGCTTGGCCTCTGAGGTTTGAATAGTACTGTGACCTTGAGCAAGTTCCTTGTTTTGTATAAGCCATTCCTTTCCCATCTGTAAAATAGATATCATGTATATGTTTACCTCATTGTGGTCAGACAATGCATATAAAACTCTCAACCCAGTGTCTAACAAATGGTAAGTACTTAGTAGATTTTTTTTGTTTTTACGATTAGTATCATTATACACTACTGAGGGGGGCACACTTCTTGAGAAATTTAATAAGGCATAGCAATTTATTATCCCACTTTCATCTTTTTTTTTTTTTTTTGACACAGAGTCTCGCTCTGTTGCCCAGGCTGGAGTGCAGTGGTGCAATCTTGGCTCATTGCAACCTCCACCTCCCGGGTTCCAGCAATTCTCCTACCTCAGCCTCCTGTTAGCTGGGATTACAGGCACCTGCTACAATGCTTGGCTAATTTTTGTATTTTTAGTACAGATGGGGTTTCACCACATTGGCCAGGCTGGTCTCAAACTCCTCACCTCCAGTGATCTGCCCACCTGGCCCCCACTTTCATCTCTAACATAAAAAGTATATCCTGAGCAAATTTATATTCACATTTCTGAAAATTGCTGTCTAATGGTTAGGAGGATGACACGTTGCTGCATTTTGCTGACACACACGAGAAGCACACCACAAAAGCCAAGAAAATATTATCCTTCCATGGACCCTCCAGGAAGTCACACAAACAGGAAGTGGGGTTACTCAGACCCTGACTCTGAACCTAAGCAAATAGACTTCAAACTCTAAAGTGTATCTCATCATTACTCAGAATGTGTATGGCAACGGGAAATGATCATAGGTCACATTAGATCTTTTGAACACATACATCACCACAGGAAATCTCATTTTCCAATAGCATTGTCTTCATGTTGAAAGGACAGTAATGCAAGTAGAAAGTCCTCTCCTCCCCCTCCAAAAAAAAAAAAAAAAAAAAAAAAAAAAAAAAAAAAAAACAAAGCAACTAAACTTAGAAGTTGTAGGCCTTTTGGAAATGACCACACACTGTGTAAAGATTTAAGTTCTGCAATGTTTGGTTTATGGCTCTAGTCCTTAAACAAAACATTAGAGCAAAAACCAAAAGCACAAAAGGACCCTTACAACTGCTTTTGGAATGCAGTGGCATAACATTTCCCCTTACTTTTATTAAAAAAAGAAAGATGCAATTTTCTTAGAAAGTCCTTGCTTTAAGTGTCAAACTTTACAGTCACTAAGGATCTAGGTGCTACTATTCTCCTGTCCAGGTGATGCTAGAAATGGAAAGAAGAGCTTCTGGAAGGGGGCTGGCTGCCTCAATCCTCCAGTGCCCCAGGCCTGACACTCTGTGGGTATACAATAGGCACTCCATAAAAGTCCCTTAAGAAGGTCCCTTAAATAAATGAATGATGATAAAAATGGATGCATACCAAGTGTACTGATTTTTTTTTAAATAATATTCCATATGCTTTTACAATATGAAAAATACTTTTTCACTTATAATCCCCTTCGATCTTCCCAATGACCCAACAAGGTAGGGAATTGTTTGCCTATGGCTTATCTAAAGTTACTCAGAAAAATGATGGGATTTAACTTACTCTCCAGAGTTGGAGTTCTCTTTTATGTTGCCATGAACATTAAATGTGCTTAATATATGTTCATTTAGTGCAGTGGTGCTCAACTGGATGTAATTTTATCCCTCAGAGGACATTTAGTAATGTCTGGGCATATTTTTGGTTGTCACTCTAGGGCAGCTGGAGTAGTGTATTGCTATTAACATCTAGTGGGTGGAGGACAGGGCTGATGATCAATATCCTACAATGCACAGACCAGACACCCCCAGCCTACCTTACTACTTCAAAAAAAATTATCTGGCCCCAATTGTCAATAATATCCATGCCCAAACACTGGTCTAAACAACAAATGGGGCCTCGCATGGTCTCTCAAAAGTTTGTAATCCCAGCACTTCGGGAGGCTGAGGAGGGCAGATCGCTTGAGCTGAGGAGTTCAAGACCAGCCTGGGCAAACGTCGTGAGACTCTGTCTCTAAAAAAGAAAAAGAAAAAGAAAACAATGAATGGTCGAGGACCATTAAGTTTATTAAGTTACTACTTTGTTTAAAAATATGTCTGGAAATCTTTTGACACTCCCCATCCATAGGTGGAATCTTAAGTCTCCTCCCCCTGAATCTAGGTGAGACTTTGTGATTGCTTTGATGAATAGATGCAGTTATGTGATTTCTGAGCCAAGGTTATAAAAGCCCATCCATTCTGCCAGTTTCTTTTGGGATGGTTGCCTTTGGTGCCCTACCCACCATGCAAGAAGTCAACTTACTCAGAGGGCACCATGTGGAGAGGCTTGAGGATACCACAGGAAGAGGGAGAGCTGCCTCCCTCTAACAGTATGTGAGAGACTTCGAGTGAGATGGTCCAGCCAAGCCATTCTCAAAGCCCTGACCCAAGACACCATGAGAGATAATAAGTGAGGTTGTGGTTTCATATCACTAAATTTTGGGGTGACTGGTTACATGTCAAGGGGTAACCAGAACAGTCTACAGATTCAGTTACTCACAGTCAAGTGCTCTGGCAGAGAGAATGTCTTCCCTCTCCCTTAAAGGGTTCTGACCCATGGAAGTGTGGAAATTTTAACTAGAAGATTGCCATGCCTCAAGTGAAAATGGATTGTAATCAGCCTGTGGGGAATAAAAGACAAAGGGCAGTTTGTCAAAGAGATTTTGAGAGGGAGCCCCAATGGGTAGCTTAAAATGATGGACACTATACTGGCTGGAGTGTTCTGTTCAGGTTGGAGTCATGGTCTTTAGTCACTTCAAGGCTGGTTATCATAAGAATAAAGCAGGACACTGAACTAGATGATATCTTGAGGTTTCTTCTAGCTCAAATTTCTAGAATACCCTAATCTAAAAATATTTTTTTTCAAAAGATAGGCATTTTTAAATCGTAACTTGAAAAAATGCACCCTCATGAATAAAAAGAATGGAAATAAATATGGAGCACCACTTTATATCCATCAAACTTCAAGAAGTAAATGAAAATCTAATGCTGATGAAATTGGTAAATTCCACATTACAGATGGCTACACTGTTCCATATGCAACAAGAGCTAAAAAACACACACACTCTTTGACATAGTAATGCCCCTTTTGGAAATGATCCAAAAGTAAAACGAAAAGAAAAAACTTCTTGTACAATGATGTTTATAGCCACATTATTTACAGTGGGGGGCAAAATATCCCACAGGAAACAACCTAAATATCCAACAATGGGACAATAGTTAACCATGGCATGGCAGGATGCATTAAAGTTATAAATATAAAACTCACATGGAAAAGTATATACAAAATATATTAAGTGATAAAAGTGCAGTATTCATTTGCATATAGTGAGTATATCTATGAAAAGATTATATTCATATAATCACATGTAAATATCAAAAGAAATATAAATATTTTTTCTGTTAATTATTTTAGTATGTGTCATTTTTCTCTAAAGATATTTAAATATTCAACTTTATAAAGAAAATCCACAAGATAAAATTATTAATCAAGTTTAGTATTTCAATGGACACATTTACTTCACAGTTAAAGAAAAGGGAGTAATTAATACAAGCAAATATACAGATATATATTAAAAAGTGAGTTGAATTTATTGGTCAAAAATGTTTTATACTATAAAATTAAAATTTTAGAATACTAACCAATATTGAATATTGTTTTAATCTATTTTGAAAAAATCTAATTTTCTATCAGTTAAAATGCCACATCAATAAATAGTATGAGGAGAATTTGGAAAATTAAAAATCAATATTTTTTTAAAAGGGGACTCTAAAACACTACTCCAGATTTTCTCCTTTGGCAATAAAAGACTTTGTTATTTTAACCAACTCTCCCACTGAAGATCACTGAAAAATTGCAAGAAATATAAAACAAGATATTTAAGATGTCTTCTAAAGCATCAAATTGCTAAGAAGATGGGGTGAAGAAAGAAGTTCAGAGAAATGACTCAGGCAGACAGTTGGATCACTTTTTTTTTTTTTTTTTTTTTTTAGAAAGGGCCTTGTTCTGTCATCCAGGTTTGCTACAGCCTTGACCTCTTAGGCTCAAATGATCCTCTTGCCTCATCCTCCGGCGTAGCTGGGACTACAGGCATGCAGCACGATTCCTGGCTAATTTTTTAAATTTTTCTTTTGTAGAAACAGAGTCTCGCTATATTGACCAGTCTAGGTTCAAATTCCTGGCCTCAAACAATCCTTCTGCCTTGGCTTTCCAAAGTGCTGGGGAGTTGAATCACTTTTTGTCTTGCTAGAGGACAGTGAAGAAAGCGATTTGCCAATCCTAAAAAGGATCTGAAAAGTGAAATCCAAGACCTGTCAAAAGTGGGGTATCTGATAAATCCCAGGAATAGAGTTTATGCTCAAAACCACTGCTCCTTACATGACATGTGAACCGTAAGTAAAGCAGCCCTTGAATGAATTGTCTGGGTAACCTATAAAAAATCAAGCCCTGAAATTGTATGAAACTGATAAGGAATTCTAGTACCTCCAGGGCACTGCTTCAATTAGCAATAATCGCACCTCAGATAAACCTCATTGGTCATCACACTGCCACTGCAAAACTTCTAGGGTATTGTCTCAATAGAAGCAAATGAAAATGCTTTATTGCTGGGTGTGGTGGCTCACACCTGTAATTCCAGCACTTTGGGAGGCTGAGGTGGGTGGACCACTTGAGATCAGGAGTTCGAGACCAGCCTGGCCAACATGGTGAAGCCCCATCTCTACTAAAACTACAAAAATTAGCCCAGCATGGTGGTACACACCTGTATTACCAGCTACTCAGGAATCTGAGGCAGGAGAATCGCTTGAACCCGGGAGTTGGAAGTTGCAGTGAGCCAAGATTGCATCACTGCACTCCAGCCTGGACAACAGAGCTGGACTTCATCAAGAAAAAAAAAAAAAAAAAAAAACAAAAAGAAAAAGAAAAAAAAGAAAATGCTTTATGTAGAAAAATATCACCCAAGCCTCAAACAATTTTGTCAAATAATTTTTTCTAATATAACGTCTAGCTAAGATAAGCAGGCACCAGGGGAAAGAAAGCAACATAAATGGGAACCAGCACTAACTTTACAAAAGTTGTGAAGGGGACAAGCTAAACTTAAACATCTTAGCAAAGAAATTTAGAAAAGAACCAAATAGAAACTCATAAACTGCGAAATATAATAACCATCATTAAGAACTCAATGAATGTTTTAACTCCAGAATACACACTGTTGAAACAAAAATTAGTAAACAGTAATATAGGATAAAAGAAACTAACCAGAATGAAGTGTAGGCAGACATATGGAGGGACAATACAGTAGAGAGAGTAAGAAACATAAAGAATTATAGGATAATCACACTCATGAACATGAATACAAAAATTCTAAACAAAATCCAGCAACCTATAAAAAGAACATGTGGATCAACTTGGGTTTATACCACAAATACCAGGTTTTCATCATATTTTAATATCAATCAATGTAATTTTCCACATTAATAAAGAAGAAAAATTTATGTAATAACCAATAGATGCAGAAAAATATTTATAAAATTAATACTCAATTGTCACTTTAAAAAATCTCTTAGCAATCTGGTGATGAAGAACTGTGTGATAAAAATACTATACTATTTACTGTACAGTGGTGAAAACAAAAGAACTATATCTATGTGCAACATATAGATTAATCTCACAATTGCAATGTTAAAAAATTCAAAAACAAAATAATATGTATTGTATAATTGTGTGTGTGTATACTTAAAATCTAGCAAAATTAAACCCTTGAGTGTAGATGGTATATTTAACTAGTAGGAGTATAAATGAAAGCAAGGAAATTATTGCCAAAAAAATAAGACTAGAGAAATGGATTTGTGATTGGAAAAGAACATATAGGGGACTTCTGGGATCCTGGAAATCTTTTATTTTTATTTTTTTATCTGAGTTGTGCTTACACAACATTTTAAAAAATTATGTGTTAAGCTGTGTTGGGAGACATGCTTCCATGGAGATCTAACACACCTACATATCTGCTGAGTATGCCTGAGATGCAAGACCCTGATGACTGTTTACCATAGCATTTCTCAGGGATGTCTTTGCAGTGAGCATCTTTGAAGAATGAGGTAACATCTCCCTGTGGGACAAAGAACAGGCTTTCTGACTTGCTACAAAACAGCAGATTCACCATGCTCAGTGTTCCTTTTCTGTAATGCAACTTACTGCATGTTTAGGCATCTATCTGGGCCCTCTGTGTTGCCCCTCTGTGTCTTGGTGGGCAAAGGGTATCAACACAGATATGCTGATCAAGTTACTTGCTGTGCAATGAGTAATAAAGACCTTTGTCTCTTACCCAGAAGTTTCATGTCTTGTGGCAGCATCCGTGAAATAGTAACAAACAAAATTACTAATTCTAAGTAGAGTAAAATGAAACCCAAGCCCTAAAAAGCTGTACATTTACCTTTTATGCATTTGTCTACATGTATGTTACATTTTACAATAAATAAAAGTTTTAAAATTTACTGTATTTGAATTTTGATTTTTTTTCTTTTTTAATACATCATTTTCTGAGTGCTTACTATGAGCCAGGCTCCTGAAATACAATGATAAATAGGACAGAAGGTAATCTTAAAGAATGTATTCGGTGGGAGAGAGAGTCAAGCTGAAGATAAATTATGGTGTTGCTTTATGAGAACAGAAAAGGGGAACAGAAAAGGGTTTGGGGAAAAAATGATATCTGTACTGTCCTAATACTTTCATTCATCTTGTTACTTGTCAACAGAGCTATCCTAGTTAGACATGTTATGAAAAAGGAAAAACATTTTAAAAGCAAACAAACTCTGTCAAAGAAGTGAAAACAAATTTATCAACTAAAGGAATATTTTAGCAAATTCAGATACACTTACAAATAGAATTATTTTTGCATATACTAATTGGAAAGAAGTAGAAATTTTTCAGCTTGGCCTTCATTCAGAAAGTGTGTCTTTAATCCCCTTACAGTAGCTGTCATACATGGCTCATAGATTCATCACTCATTGAATAAAATGGTGCCAAGAACCCTTGATACAAGTGAAGATGATATGGGCCTGTCTTCTCAGCTTGCAGTCAGTAAGAACTATAGCCAAGTTCTGAAAGGGTTATTGAAATAGAATGTAACATTGCTATGGAAGGGTCCAAGTGAGGAGTGATACCTAAATTGAATTAGAAGATTGGCAGGGTTCCTAGGGTGCATGAATCTCAGTGAAATTAAGATTTAAACGATGCACAGAATGGAGGCTGGGGCTAAAGAGTATTCCAGAAAGAGAGAGAGGACATGAAAAAAGGCAGGAGCTCATGGGACTCTGCCTTTTTTGTTTGTTTGTTTTTTGGGTTTCTTTTTTGAGACAGCGTCTGGCTCTGTCACCTAGGCTGAAGTGCAGTGGCACCAATCTTGGCTCACTGCAACCTCCGCCTCCCAGGTTCAAGCAATTCTCCTGCCTCAGCCTCTCGAGTAGCTGGGATTACAGGAACCTGCCACCACACCTGGCTAATTTTTTTGTATTTTTAGTAGAGACAGGGTTTCACCATGTTGGCCAAGCTGGTCTTGAACTCCTGACCTCAGCCTCCCAAAGTGCTGGGATTACAGGCATGAGCCACTGCACTCGGTCTGGGACTTCACTTTTAAAAAGAGTTAAGGTGATAGCTCACTTGAACCATAGCAAAAAAAATAATAAAATGACACTAATATATTAAAGGCAGATTATTTGAGGGGCAAAAATTAAATACTGTGTAATAATAAAGGCATTTCTTAATTACCATGACTACTTCCATAAATTTTTAATCATTTTTCAATGTGGCATTAGATTTTCTCATTAGGGCTATTTATTAAATTTTTATACTGAAAAAATAATAAAGATTACATAAAAGTGCCCCAATTTCCAAGGCTAAGTTTTTCCTTCCCCTCTTCCACCATAGAACACTAAGTCAATTATTTTGAAATATCTATTTTTATGCACCAGCATTCAGAATATGGTTTAGAAGAGGTTATGAAATCCAGGATGGTTTGGGGTCTCTATTCTAACAAGCATCTAAGAAGCTGTTGGCTAAAGGACTCGAAGGCAACTGGTAAACAATTTGGAATAGAGTTGTCTGACTGAACTGACCCGAAGCCAGCTTGTGTTCAGTCTGCATTTCTACATGGTATCCATGGAAATGAGATCAGGCCTGCACAAAGACAAACAAAGGCCACCTTCAAATGAATCCGGGAGAATGACAACTGCCAATGTTCAAGGCGTCCATCGGTGCAATAGCTTTGCTCGCCTTTCAAAACACAATGAAGTAATCTCTTGCACTGACAATACAGTGATTCTTTTATTTCCATTGCTGTGTTTTATTTCCATTTTTTGAACACTCTTTTATTTCCATTGCTCTGTTTAAAAATTAACTTCATTTTTATACAGAAAGCCTTTCAGTGGTCAGGAGTTATATATGGCTTCTGTAGCAAAAACTGTCTCTAGACACTTTAATAAATGGAAGAATTTCAGTCACCTTTTCAGAACAAGATAATAATGCAGGAATCTTTGCTGACAGAATTGCAAAGTTTCTGTTACCTATTTGGGCAACAGAACAGACAAGTCTCTCAAAGGAAGTAAAATATATTTGAAAATCATTAACTGTCCCAACAGTCTATGGAGCTGAAAACATTAGCCAAATATGCAGTTCAAGTTTATACTGGTTCTAAAATGTAAATTACGTGTTCAAGAGTTAGCAGGCATAGACTGGATAAAACACTTGAATATAAGCACTTTAATTATGACTAACAAAATTAAGAATAGACATCAACTTCTTTTCTAATTTATGATTCAATGAAAATGTTTTGAAATGCTTTGAAAACAACACTAAGTTACAGGGCAAACAGCTTTCACATTTTACTAGCAAAATCTTTCAGAGACAACACTATTTCTCTGTGATATATGAGACTGTTATTTCTAACAAGATTATTTTGGGGATCTTTATTAAACTAGATAGAAATAAGGGGAATTGAAGGCTTAACTGGAGAAACATAAATCTATATTTCTAAAAGAACTTGTTTGGTTTTTAGGAAATCTGACTAACGCACTGATATTAATTATGCCACTGGAATTGGAGTGTTATATATTACATGCCCTAAAAACAGCTTATTAATCATAACTGCATTAGTGTGAAAAGATGTTTGAAACCAAAATGTATACATGGGCTCATCAATCTAAGCAGCCACTCTGGAGGATGGGAGGTACCTTTTTCCATACCTCTGCTTTCTTTCCCTCTTTGCATACCTGGATCAACTTCACACCTTTCCCTGATTAGTTAATATCCTCTCTATTTCATAGCCCAGGGTCTGCTTTGCCTACCTTCCCATGATAACCTGCAGCTTCTAAGCAGGGGCTCCTTTCTGCCAGAGCTGTTACTAGTGCTGGACACCTAACTCTCTTCCTCTCCTTTCTCTCTGATAATATCCTTTGTATAGTCATCAAAGCTCCTCCCCTTCCCTCAGTTTCTCTTGTGCAATGAATCTCTGCCACATACATATACCTCAATGCAATTTTAAAACATTACAAGTGTACCATGCAGCACCATAAGTAACAGAAATAAAAAATCTCCTTATAATAATTTTTATGCAAGCCTTTCCCATGTTTGCTTAAAGGCAGCTGCTCCCATTTTACCTCTCTTGCTACTCTCTCCTCCCTTTTACTATCATACCAAACTTTCTCACACTCTCTACATTTCCTCATCTTCCATTACTCCTCTGGCCGCTCTGTTCTGATTTCTCTTTTTTCACTCCATGTAGACTGCCCTTCAAGACTATCAACTTGCTTGACTTCTTTGAAGAAGTTGACCCTATTCACTACCTCTTCCTTCTCCAAATAGTTCTGTGCTACCCCAGTTCTTGCAGTTGTCTTTCTACTTCTCCAGCTGTTCCTACTCTCTCCCTTCACATTTCCTCTTCCTCACCTGACCCTCTAAAGCAGTTCCTTGAGCCATGGCCAAAGCCCTCTTCTAGTCCCTTTGCCTGACTCATCTTGTTAATGTCCTATCTTCAGTTATTCTCTAGGTGCCAATGACTCCTAAATCTCTATCCCCATCTTACTTTCCTGCCTGTTCCTAACGCCACTACATATAACTATTTGCTAATTAGACATATACATCCAGGTGTACATCCAGATGTCTCAAACTCAATCTGTTGACCTGAACTGATCATCTTTTTCCTCCAACTTGCTCTCCTTCAGCACTGCTTATCTCAGTGAATGGCACAAAATCAACTGACTTGTCCATGTCAGAAACCTAAGCATCAGCCTTATCTTCTCCCTCTCTCTCCACCTCCATAGTAAATCAATCATCAAATCCTGTTCACTCTTCTTCTTTAATGCCTTTCCAATAAATCCTCCAGTCTCTTTCCCTACTGCCACTATCTGAGTTTTTACCACCATCATCTCACAACTGGTCTCCTAAACTAAAACTAAAACCCAAACATATTCTTTCTTAAATGATCTTGGTGCTTTCCACCTGGCCTCCATCCAACCCACTCTCCTCATCTGATCATGTCACTCCCCTGCTCAAGGCCCTTCAAGACCTTTCTACTGTTCTCAGGATAAAACCCCTGCTCTATATCATGACTTACAAGGCCCTTCAAGGTCTGGTGGCTGCAACTCAGCTTTCACTCTCTGGGAACAACTTGAATACCACATTGTGGGCATAAGGACCTTCTGTTTTCATTGCGTCAGTATTCTATTCAAGAACCTAAACATCTGCCCCAGGAACTAGGAGACGAGTCCTATTGCTAGTTATGTTGCTTGCTTTTCTAGTATCACTTACATCCATTTTAAAAGGTAGAAACTGTACTCCAGGATCTCTGAGGTTCTTCATGGCAGATCTAAATTGTAATGATTCTTACCTGTTTCCATGAAGACATCTCAGGAGGCTAGACACTTCAATGTATCACAATGATATCTCTCCATCCTCTGAATTCAACATGTTATCTGTACCACTCATTAATTGTGAACACATGACATCTATTATGCTATGGAAACTGATGTTACAGCTCTCTAAGTTATAGAAAATGATATAACCAAGTTTTAAATTATATGAAAATTTTAAAGACACCAAGACATACTATAGTCTTAAATTCCAATAATTCAGAAGTTCAAAGACAACATCAAAGTCCATTTCTTTCCATAAGGCTAACTCCAATATACTAGCTTTATCCTTAAGCTAGTTGACATCGCAGTTGCAAGATGGCTGTAGTTGTTCCAAATTTCACATATAAACTTGACAATATTTTCTTTAACAAATATCTCTCTTAGGAATGAAAATTCTTTTCCCATAAGTCACCCAGCAGATCTCATTGGTCAACCTTGCATTACATGCCCATGGCTAAATCAGACACAGCCCAGATGCCTGGGACCAGCCTAATCACCCTTCAGCATCACCTCAATTTTTTAGCTATGCAGAAGAGGATGGTAACTCAATAAATGGACTTCTGCTAGAAAGGAAGATGACAAGGGGCTGAAATTGGTTAAGTATGCTTCAGGGCTGAGACAATTTCCTTTCCCCATGTTTGGATTTTTTTCCAAATAAACTCCAACCTCTCTCAGCCATGTTTTAAGTTTTCTCTGATTCCACCTTGAGCCTAACACACAGCCTTACATAAAGTAGATACCTTATAAGAATATTATCAAGTATTAGTTTTATGAAATTCACTGTAGCCAGATCAATAAAGCCTCTATGGATCACCTGAAGGGGCATAGGAATCACTGTCATACACAGAGTCTATTGTCTCATGATTTGCAGTGCTAGGATTCTCCCCTGTAGGGAGCCACTCTTCTGTATGTTCTGCTGGTAAATGATTGGTCACTGAACAACTGGAAAAAAAGAACTCCACCAACCTTCCATTTCTTTCACTTGCCAATCAGAGCGGTGATCTTTCATGGTTTCTCTTGTTTTATGCTGTGCTAAATCTTTTACTAATATCCCAAGCTGAGCAGTGTTGGTAGTCAAGACTTATGGCTTTAGTGGTAGAATTTATGTGATGCCTGGACACTTTTGGCCCCAAATATTTTCCCCATTCTTCCTGAAATTCTTGACTTTATACACATTGACTGAACATGTGTCTTTATTTTGCTGAATGTCTAAAATTACATCATGAGAAGCTCATCTCTTTACATTAACAAGCTTCTACCTTTTAATATCTCCAGGGCTGTCAGCACATGAAGACAGGGAGTAGTCATCATCCACTTCGGAAGGAATTTAACTGACACAGCCGCTCACAGCCACTAACTCTTGATGTTGAAATCTACCTGTCTTGGTGATCATCCCACAAGGTGGTAAGGGGTAGGTAACACTGGAATTTTAATCTTAGGAAAGTGGGGAGGCAGTGATGATATTTAAGCAATCACTTCCAAACCAGACCATACATCAGAAATATATGAGCCATTGTAAATACTGAATCCTAAACCCCAGTCCATAAATTTAAGTCAAACAGTGGCTCAGGACCTAGTATTAAGAGAGCAAAGCTTAGCTGAGGTTGGGCAGGTATAACTGCTAAGCCATAGGGGAGCAAAGTTACTTTATCAGAGGGCGGCCTAAGTCCCATTAAGGGGCTGAGGATGAGACCAGAGAGGTGGTTTAGGGTGGGACCCAGCAAAGGTAGGTTACCTCAAGCTTTCCTTTTTGTTGCAAAAGTAAAAGTTCTCTACTTTATAATTTTGCTTGGGATTGACCCTTCTAGCATTGGATAATGGTCAGTTGCAAAGAGATGAGTGAAAAGGGGTGAAAGCAACAATGCAATGAAGGCAAAGGGAGTATTTGGAAAATATTTTCACACTAAATATGGTATGATCAGGTGTAGTCATAACAAAGAATGGTGTATATAGATGGCTTTAGAGTGTGTACATGTGTGGGCATGTGTGTGGTGTGTGTGTGTGAATGTGTATTTGTGTTCAGGAAAGCATACAGTAAAGAAAAGATTGGATAGGTAGAATGTACCTTTTTATGACATGCCAAGAAATTGGCACTTTACCCTACCTGAGATGGGGAGCCACTAACATTTGAAACAAAGCAGTAATTGGAAACATATAAGTGTCTTAGAAAGATATCATTAGTGAAAATGAAGAGAATGGGTTGGAGAGATAAGAAAAGAAAATCCAGTTTAAAAGTTACATACAGACATAAGATGAGGGACTGACTGGGTGGCAGGAGTTGCATGGATGGGAGGAGAGCCAAGAGAATTTGGAGAGTGGCTGTGAGGTTGAAAACATGGGGACAAATTCCTGGCTTTCATGTTTGTGTGATAATAATACTGCCATTAAACAATGGTAGCCAATAGAGGAGAAAATTCTGGAGGACACGTATTAAATTCAGTTTTGGAAATGTTGAATCTGGCTTACTTACAGACTGTCTAGCTGGAGAAATTTGGTGGCTGATGGAAATACTGATCTGGAACTCAGAAGGGGAGGCTGGCTGGAGATAGGGACCTGTGCAGGGAATGGGCCCAGAGACAATCTGCAGAATGAAGAGGAGGATTCAGGATGAAACTCTGCAAACACCAACAAGGAAAGAGCCTGTGAAGGAGATGACGGGAGAGCAGCGAGGAAAGGAGGAGAAAAACAGGAAGAGAACAGAAGCCAGAAGTACAGGATGTTTCAGGAGGAAATTAAATATCAAAAGAAATATTTTTTTTACAATAAGAAAAATTAGAATATTTACAGACTGAGGGGAAGTTACATTAGGGAGAGAATTTGAAGACGTGCACTGAAGAGGGATGAGTGCTGGGGCAGGGTTTCAGGGATAGTAAGAAAAGATGTGGTCTAGAACCTGGGTGGAAGGACTATCCTTGACCTGTGAACATACTGGAGAAAATACGTGATGGCCTTCATTTCAAAATTACATTTGCCTTCTGCTAATGGCCTATATTTAGTTTATAGATTATCTAGGCCTCTTATGTTCTCTCTTTTTCATCCTCAGACTGCCCATTTACCATTTTCATGGTATTAAGCACTTAGAAATGAGCACTGAAAGGTGATAAATATAGGACTAAACTATGAGTACATTTTCTTCTTAAGCACCTGTGAAAAGGTTTCTGGAAAGCAAATTTGAATGTAAGTGTTAAAATAAGATTTGAAGGTGATATGTTTTTAAAGTGGTTTGCATGTATGCTAGAGATGATACAAGATGTCTAAACACACATGTGTTTTATACATATTAACAGGTATATATATGTATATACAATTGTATATACATAACACGGCATATTGTATACTCAAGGAACAGGTTTTCTCTTAATTTAAGATCATCATAATGAAGCTCTGTCACATACATAGCTTTTAAATTTGAATTTTTGTATGTGATATGATGCAATTGTACATACTATAATTTTATAACAGTTATGTGTGTGTGTGTGTGTAATGATAGTGAATGAGAAATTTTATACAGATAGGGTAATGCCATACAAAATTTTAGATACTACTGAGCTAGAGATTTCACTTATTCATGTTAACCTGGGATACTCATGGTACCAAAAAACGATGCTGCTTCTCCAGGAACCTCAAGTGATATCACAAATGAGAGAGCTTTCTTATGAGGATCTTAAATTAAGAGAAAACCTGTTCCTTGAGTATACAAATGGCTGGAGTAGGAGGAGGGAATAAATGCACAAAACTTTTGCAGATGTTATTTTCGATCATCTCTGCTTGCTTGCCCTGAGGTGTCCTTATTAACTCCAGGTTAAGTCTCTGTTCCTGACTTCATGCCTTGCAGCGTTACATTCCATTAAAGAATTTCTCACTGCTCTTTACATAACAAGCCTCAACATTTCAAAGATAAGAAAATGATGTTATGTTTCCACAGCTTATTTTAATACTGGGTAATTACAGAGAGATGAAAAGCTTGGGTTTATATTTCTATTAGCTCTAGTTGTATTCCAGAGACTCATTTTCAATGTCAAGTACAACTTTACCTGAAATCCGTAGATTAGGGTTGGTGGCCCCTCAAAACAACTCATCTGGTTCCCGGAGAAAGTATCTGAAGCACCCAATACAGGTGAGACAGAAAACCTAAGATGCCCATTCTCTGCTCGGGCTGGGGACAGTGGTGCTATTTCTCTCTTATCTCTGACCTGGAGAAAATGCCACCAGGTTGACGTGGACTAGGATTCATTCCTCCACAATAAAGAATAGCAAGTGGCTGAATGTCAGTCTCAAAGGAGGACAGCTTAGGAAATATTTATCTTCTTTGTAAAAAAAAAAAAAAAAAACCACACACACACTTTAAAATCAGAGACAACTTTTTTGTTTTGTTTTGATCGCTGTTCAAACTACATTATACAAACGTGTCTCCTTCTCCCTCCAAATAAACTAAAATTCTTAAATTTGACCACACTCTAGCTCTGCCTAATGGTCAGGGAAAAAGTACTCAGGCGATGGTCCCACAAAAGCTCTCCACCCCAGCCTTATTTCCTCCTCTTAGTGTAAAAGAACTCAGGAGGTGGGCGGGCCCCACTGCCACAGCACTACAGTTAGAGCGGCTGCTCCGGCTTATTCTCTCATTGCGGCATCTAGGATCCAGAAGTGAAAAGAACTTTTCCTAGCCTAAGTTTACATTCGTCGAATAGACAATGTTACAACAATAAGAGGAAGGCAGAAGGGAAGGAAGAATTCCCCTCTGCCAAGTATTTAAGTGGCGCTTGGTTTATTCCAAGTCCCCCCGGGAAGAAACACAGCGCTTCGTCCTCAAGTAAGAAATAGAGGCATTATTCACATCCTTGGGTTGAAAAATAAGCATTTTGGGGCTCGCAGGCTTCTGCAAAGCCAGCAAGCACCGCGCTGGGGAGCTGCAGGCCGCCATCAGCAATGGATTCCGGATTTCCCTGGTCTCTGGCAGGCGCGGCACCTGTCTGAGCCAGGGGAAGTTGGGCTGCAGGACTCGCGGTCTCCAGGACACCCGCGGATCCCCACACTGTCCATGCTTGAGTGCGTGCGTGTCTGTCTGTGTGTGTGTGTGTGTGTGTGCGTGTGTGTACCTAAAACAAAGCACTCACTGAGATGACTTTGGAGGGTGCTTAACAGACAGGGCGAGACGCGCCTAATGGGGACGCAAGGCCTGGGATAGCAGGAAGGGAACGAAGAAGTATCTCTTTCCAAGCAGGTCCTGGTGGCTGGGAGCCCGAGTCCACGTGGAATCCGAGGGAACACACGGAGCTCGCTCCCTAGTTCCGCCCAATCCCTCCAGCGAGCCCCAGGAAGCCGCGCGGGTCCCTCCTGCAGCCGATGCAGAGCGAAATCCCCGCTTACCTTGACTGAGCGCTAACACCAGCAGCAGCGGCAGCGGCGCGGCCCCTGTCCGTTCTGGCCCCATCCTGGGTCTGACCGGGGGACCGTAGTTGCGCTGGGTTTGCAGAGGTTTGCAGAGGATACCCTTGGCCGAGGGATACGAGAACCTGCACACTCTAGAAGCTGTCCAGAGGGCTTCTCTCCCCCGCCCGGTGAGAGCAGGGAAAAGTTTCTGGGCAGCTCCTGCAGCGCCGAGGGCCCGCCCCAGCCCGCCCCTCCTGATTCCGCAAACACCGGATCTGCTCCGGCCGCGCCCCGCCCCACCCCGGCCCTGCGGCCCCGCGGGCTGCACCTCGGCTCGTCCACACGCGGGGCACCGCACCTTGGCTCCCGTACAGCGGCCCAGCCCCGGCAGCCTGGAGGCGGTGGGGATGGGGATGGCGCCCTGGCAGGCTTTCCTGCCCTGGACGGGACGGGTGGGCATATCCGACGGGCGAGCGCCCGCCCTGGCACCACTCCGCCCCCGCAGCCTGTCGCCAGCACGCAGGAGATGCCCCAGTCCCCGGGAGAACGTGGCCCCTCCGCAGCCCTTGGCAGCGCCCGGCTCCTGGCAGCGGGTGCCGAGGGCACTAGCCCTAAACCACAGTGCCTAGGGGCTGCGCGGTGCGTCCCTTTCTCTGTTTTTCCTAAGTGGGTGGAGAAAGGGACAAAAATAAGCGCAGAATGACCAGGTTAGAAACTAACTCATCAGGAAAGAAGATCTGCTCACAAGTTATGATTATCCAAGGTGATATTTAAGCAATACCTGCTGCAAGAGCTGTGTGTGTGTGTGTGTGTGTGACAGAGAGACAGAGAGAGAGAAATCATCATTACTTCCTCTCCTCCGAGATAATTAAGAGCTGATTTAATGACTGAGTTTAGGAGATTAACTTCAAGGCCAGAGAAAAGGCTGAGAGCCCATACATGCACTTGTGACTCTCCCTGTCTACATTACACCATGACATAGACTGTGACCATTTTCTTCCATTATTTCAGTCTCACATCTGGAAAGAGAACATTCTATATCCGAGATTTTTAGTTAAAAACCTAAGAAATAGGATATTAATTTTTCTTGTCTGAATCTTATGTTTTATCCAAAAGTTTGGCCACAAATTTCCAGCACATTGCTGAAACCAGAATTCTTCCAGTGACTACTTTTGTGAAGGAACGAACTGTTTTCATAAATCAAGCTTAAGGAGTTATGAGTCTAATAATCATCATTATTGTCATCATTCCAGATCTTCATGGAATGCTACTATGAGCTGAATGGGATGCCTGAGATACTGCCTCTAGGAAGCAAAGTGGCTCAAGGTGGGAAGGACTTAATAATTCATAAAAATCAAGCTCTTCTCTTTACTATAGATAGGGCTGATGTGTCACATTGTTAAAGTATTAAATTGGTATGCATCAGATGTTGCTGCTGATGGCTTATGACTAATACCCTTTGAACCCAAATTATATAGTCCCAGGCTCTTTCCTGTTTTCTTATCAGTCACTTACTGGCTGCACTTACTCACCTTGACAAACACCTGAAGGCATTTTTTTCTGAATTGTCTGGGGTACTCACCTGCTTACTAAAACTCCGGCTATCACCTGAGAGCTCTTAGGTGGCTGCTCACTAACCGGTGACACGATTTTGACGCTCCTTACAGACTTTTTGAAGGAAGTCAGCCAGGTTTCAGGGAGATGAATATCTGTCTGTTTCCTTCTGACTCACTGAAATGTGAGTAAGTGTTTGGAACAGACCTGTGTTTGGGAGGCAGGACACTTCCTTTAATGTGAGACAGGAATTTGTGTTTTATCTCTGGGGGTGGGGGGAAATAACATGCATCCTTCTTGGTTTTTGTTCTCAGAACTGGACAAATTAACATTACACTGTCATGAAGTGCAGAATAAGTCAGGAGCTACGATTTTCCAGAGCCAGGCAAAACTTTTAGAAACAAAGAACAAACTCCTGCCTCACATTAATTTTAAGAGGATAAAGTGTTCCTGAGACAAAGTAGTTTGAGAACCCCTTCCAGGGTGCTCTCCTGCCTAGTTGCAGTTGTGAGGGACACCACATTCAGAGCAGGAAATATGGAAGGTTAAGCTGGGGCTTCTCAAACTCTTTGGTCTCAAGAGCCCTTTACTCAGTAAGTCCTTTAACAAAAATCCTATTATGTGTGAACATAAATAATGTACATTTTATGAAAAATAACTATATTTCTCCAAATGAAAGAATCCGGGAGAAGAGTGGCATTGCTTTACATTTTTGCTAATATTTTAAATATCTGGCTTAAAAACAGACATTTGGATTCTCAGATCTGCTTCTGCATCCAATCTGTTACGGCATGTAGTTTTGGTGAAATTATATTGATTAATCTGGTGTTACACAGATATGGACTTAGAAAAACAGGAGATAATTCTGGATAATCCCCTGATACTACACCAAAACTCAACAAGTGGTAGTTTCTTAAAGTTGCAATGTGGAATCTGAAACCATATCAATGGTTTTTCCTATTCCGTGGCATTAAAATTCATTGATCTGCTGGCCTCTCCGTGTCCCTCTCCCTTTCTCTTCCTGTGAGTGCCCAGTGATGAAGAATACAATGACCACCAGTCCCCATCCTTGTTCTTGCACCATGAGGGCAAATGTCAACACAGTGAAAAACGCAGTAACGTCTCAGTATTGTTATGAAAATAGTTTTGACTTCACTGGCCACTTGAAAGGATCTTGAGAGACCCAGAGACCCTACTCCAAAAAGCACTCAGGGGTGAAGTGAGGCCTTCCCCTCTTTTTCTTTTCCTTAGCTCAAGACAGAGTTTTGTTGGGGAACACGGCTCAGATAAGTTTCCCCAGTGTTTCCTTCTGATCTGTTGTATCGTCATGCCCTGCCCTCCTTTGTTTATCCCGTTTTCATATAGACAATCACCCAAACCAGAAACCTCTGCTTTCTTCCCCAGGTGCACCACCAGCCCCCTGCTAACATCCCATTCCAATTCTGTCTTTACACCCTACTAGGGTTTTCTGTGCCATCTCCTATTTTCTGTTCCACTGCTAATCTCTCTTTGGTTCAAACCCTTTTGATCTTTCACCATGGTGACAAACTCCCATATAATCTCTCTGTGCTTCCTTCTCTCCTGTTCCAGTTCATCTTTTATACCTGTTGTCACAGTTATCCAAAAATGCAGGACTGATCTGCTGAAAATCATTAGATGTCTTCAGGACATTCAAAGTACCCTAGGGTTTAAGGTCACGATTTGGCTCCAACTCACCTCTGTGGGCTCCGTGGCTATCTTTCCCTCTTGCACACTATGTTTAGGCCAAATTCACGAGTTCACTGGCCTGCCTTTCCCATTCTTCATTGTCAATTCCTTATTTTTCTACTTAGAATAGCTTTCTTTTTTTCTTCCATTGTTTCAAATTCTACTTCAAGGCTCCAGTCAAATTCTATATTATTAGCCCAGCCTTTCCCATTTTCTTCACTGAGAACTAATCATTCTTCTTTCTTGGCTCTGGTTTCCTCTAGCTTTTTTTTTTTGTTTTTGTTTTTTCCCCCAAATAAACTTTCTTTTGTATGTATTACAGAGTAATATATTATTGAGTTATATGTGTATATTCTACCTTCTCATTTAAATGCTGGGTCTCTGAAATCTTATACATTTTTGTTATAAGAGTCTAGTCCTATACCTAGTAAATAAATTTCTAATAAATATTAATAGTTATTATAATACATTGAAATGAGTTTCCTAACAATTCCACATTCTTCTCCCTAGACCTGAAAAGGGTGGTAAATATGAACTTCTAGGTAAGTCCTAGTAATTTTGAAGTGAAGTAACCAGTGGCTTCTCAAATGTTACTCAGTGAATCCATGGGATGAGTGAGTAAAGCTTAGAATCCATTGAGCTTGACTCACACACAAGTCTCTAAGCACTGGCTGGGGTGCATAATGGCCAAAATAAAAGAGACACTCCTAACTTAAACACAAACAAAACAAATAAAATAATTCTAGATTTCCTAGCTTCCTGGACCCATCAATACACTGATGAATCATATTCATATTTCGATTCTAGCACAACTACGGTTGACTGGCCTTACTTGTTTTCATGCTTGTGGCAGACATGCAAAGCTATTTGCCAGCTCTGCCAATAGGGCTTTCTCAGAGTCTTCCATGATCCCCTTCTAGAAGTCACTGAGTCACATAATCCTGCCTCCTTGTCGCTAAGCCAAACACCTGACCAAGCTCGATCAATCTCCTAGGGATTTACATTCATGGTATACAGATTCTAGAATCTTTGCTGATCACATGAAATGGAAATTTGTGTTCACTTTGTACAACCATTTTCTTTCTTTTTTCCCCCCCGCCTTTTTTTTTTTTTTTTTTTTTTTGAGATGGGGCTTTGTGCTGCCTAGGCTAGAGTGCAGTGGTATTCATAGTTCGTTTCAGCCTCAAACTCCTGGGCTCAAGTGATCCTGCTACCTCAGCCTCCCGAGTAGCTGGGCAGGCATGCACCACCACACCTGTCTAATTTTTTAATTTTTCTTTTTATAGAGATGGGGTCTCACTGTGTTGCCAAGGCTGGTCTGGAACTCTTGGCCTCAAGCAATCCTCCTGCCCCACCTTCCCAAAGTGTTGGAATTATGCCCAGCCCATTCATTTTCTTCAATGAGTGTAGAAAAAGCCAATCTGCACCATTTATCAAAAACAGAGACAGATATGAGAGACCAAGAAACTGAGGTGTGCATGCATGAGACAGACAGACAGAGAAAGAGAGAGACACGGAGAGAGATTGTTCTAGGTCTTTTAATTTTGTTTGCCATTGTGTGAGATCTGACTGTTCTTCCTGGGTTTACATCCATGAAATATCTGTGTATCATTCTATTACTTTCAGTGGCAAAACCCACAATTATTTTTGGACCAACCTAATAATAGTTTCTCTTTTTCTCTGAAGCTAATTTGAGCAGGTTTCTAGTCCTTGTACTAGACTACGTTTAAGACATATCTGTCTCTCTTCTGGGAAATCTTAAGGACTTCCAAGTTAACATGTCTCATTAACTTCTTTCACTCACAGTTCCTAAAATAGAGCCTGACACAGAGTTGATGCTCAATGAATGTTTGTTCCCCAAATGAATAAACATACTTCTTCAACTAGTCACTAATGTCTTGATTTGTTAAGATGAACCCGAAAAAAAAAGAATTTTATCTCTTAGGACATGGAAAAGTTCAATGAAGGGGAAACATTGTTCATCCATACTTTAGACTTTTTTAAAGAAATGTGTCATATGAAGGATTAAGGCTGCTTATGGCTATCTGCTACTCTACTCTGTCTGGAAAACTTGCATGTTCCAGTTAGAGGGCAGTTATTTTTCAGGGGTGAAAAATAAATCATATTTAAACTAGCCCAAGTCAAAGAATAGTTAATTGCAAGGATATGAAGAACTTTCTGAGAACCCAAAGACAGGAATTATAGCCCTTGGGTACTTAAAGTGGAGACTGGGAAGATAAGAACCTAATTAACTCTCTGCAACTTTTAGGGAATTCATGACTTGTTGGCTTTGCTTCTCTGTGTGTACCTGCTCTATTGTCTTCTCTGTAGGCTGACTTCCTCCTTAATTACTCATCATTTCCATTGCCCTGTAACTTCAACTTGCAAGTGCCTTTAGTTTTCCATGGCTTGTCTCCAGTTAGGATTCTATAGACTTAATTTTAACTCAGTAAAGAAAGGGTCTTCTTCAGTTTGATACACTGTATGACCACACCAGATGATTTTTCTTTTTTTAAAATTTCCTGCCAAGAACACGAACTTTTGTTCTTTAGGTAGTTATTATTCTTTTCTGAAGCCAAGACCTCTCCTTTTCAGCCATTTTGCAATTTAACTTTTAGTGCATCTTGAGTGACATGAACTCCTATTTTGTTTGAAGTAATTTTGTTGGTACCATTTAGATTGGAGCCTGTCCTTTTAGATGGAAACACATTTCAAATGTGTAACATCAAAAAGTCAAACAGAGCCAATTTTACCATTAGCATCTATTTGACTGGCAGACTAGTGAACTTTGCTTGCCCATCAAAAGAATGGAATCAGTGAAGCTGGGAGAGCCCAGAAAGATTTTGAACTTCAGTTTTTCCAGGAATCTCAGTTTTAATCACAATCTAAATATTTTCTGCTTTCACATTTCCTACTGTGCAGTATGAGAAAGCAACAGCTAGTATTCCTGGCTCACAAATGGTGGCCTATTTCATGGTCTCCTAATATTTGTCTCTAAGCTCTCTGCATAATTCTTCTCCAGAATTTCTATCCCTTTTTCTCACAGATTCTTATTATTTCTAACATTATCCTTCACTTGGATTAAGTTGAGAATCTGAGTTCTCTGCATAATTCTTCTCCAGACTTTCTATCTCTTTTTTCTCACAGATTCTTATTATATCTAACATTATCCGTCATTTGGATTAAGTTGAGAATCTTGCAATCTCTTCGGTTTTGTAACATTCACTCACTTACCACATATTTATTTAGCATCTACAATGTGCAAAGTATTGAGCCAAGCACAGTGTTGAGAATTAGTCATGACTACCCTCAGTGGCTATGCTCAATGGGCTTGAAATCTCATTACCAGATACTGTCTTCAGAGTCTTGTTCTAGCTGAAATAATATGCTTGGATATGAGCAGAACAAATGGAAGTTCAGTCTGGTTTATGCTACTCAGTGGAATGAGAGAACGTTTAGGCACCTTTTTTTTTTTTTTGAGACGGAGTCTTACTCTGTTGCCCAAACTGGAGTGCAGTGGCATGATCTCAGCTCTCTGCAACCTCCGCCTCCTGGGTTCAAGTGATTCTCCTGCCTCAGCCTCCTCCCAAGTAGCCAAGTAGCTGGGACTACAGGCACACACCACCACACCTGACTAATTTTTGTATTTTTATTAGACATGGGGTTTTGCCATGTTGGCCAGTCTGTTCTCGAACTCCTGACTTCAGATGATCTGCCTGCCTCGGCTTCCCGAAGTGCTGGGAATAGGTGTGAGCCACCATGCCCAGCCTAGGCACATTTTCTTTAGATGCATCAGGAACCTTTATAAAAGTACAGTTATATGGAAGATGGCTTGCACCATCAAAAAACTCTGTATGTGTAGATAAATGAAGACATTCTAAGGCTTGAACTTGAGAGGAACTAACATTTTAAAAGCCCCTAAAACCATAAACTTTCACATGGTATATCATGGTAATGCAGTTTATTTTCTTCTTGTAGTTGTAACCTACACATAGAGGCCCATTTTCTTCTTAGAGTTGTGGCCCATAGACCTAGAGGTAGTGACTTTTACTCATTTGTAAACTGAAAATTATCAGCCTCACCAGCCTCTCAGTACAAATGAGGTCCTATCCATGCAAATGCCCAGATGTCCTCCTCTCACTGTTCCACTTGTATATATAGGGCCCAGCTATTGTCTGAATGTGTCCCCCCAAATCCATGTGTTGGAAACTTAATCCCCAATATAACAGTGTTGGGAAGTGAAGTCTTTGGGGAGGTGTTGAGGTGCGGGCTCCACTCTCATGAATGGATTAAGGACTTGACAGAGGAAGGTTGACTCCTTTTTGTCCTTGCATCTTTTGTCATGTGAGGCTCCAGCAAGAAGACCCTCACCAGATATCGGTGACTAGATCTTGAACTTCCCAGCCTCCCGAACAGTGAGAGAGTACATTTCTGTTCTTTATAAATTCCCAGCCTGTGGTATTTTGTTGTAGCAACACAAATGAACTAAGTTCCTCAACCCCTGAGTTATTTCTCGCTGTGCTTAGAGATCAGTCCTAGCTGCTGTTGGCCTGTTATTTGGCGGCCCATGTACTTATCCATCACAAAATTGGAATAGATCCCTGTCCATTTCAACAACTTGTGATGACACTGGATGTTATTGTTCCAGGTCTGCTCTTGAGTCTGTCTGAAAATGAGGAGACTGCTGCTTTCCCTCAGACTAACATTTTCTTAGAGGGATTCCAAAGAAGTCTTTTGTATACCCCAATGTGTTACACATTCTTATTTACCTGTAGTCATTCCCCCACGCCCCACTGGCAGGGTACCTGTGTATATCCAGAATAGCTGGGTCACCAGCATTCATATGAGAGGAACCACTGTAGACTCAGAAACACTATCTCCTCCTGACCTTTGGCTCCATTTCTGAATCTGGCTCAGAATTTTCCCTCCATATTTCCCTGCAATTTGGTTTCTGTTCTTTGCCATTCTCTGCCTTCTCCAACTACTTACTTCCACATTACATATATCACTACATCTCAGCTCCAGCCCTACCACAAACCCCTGCTGCATGTGTAATTTTTCTTTTAAGAATAAGATTTTAACAGTGATTTTGTATATTTTTATTTAACAGCTGCATTGAGGTATAACTAATTATATAATTATAACTAAATAATAAACTGCACATCTTTAAATTGCACAATTTGAGATACAAAATCCCTGATCACACTCTTCAAAACTACAGGAAGAATCATCACACATATGCAGTAGGTCATTTATACAGCATATAGGAACTGAGTACATATCTGCCTGAACAATGCAAGGCATGTAAATATGTTCAATACCAGGCATGAGTCTTCCTAGCAGACCATATTGTCTGATAGGAAATACAAAGTGAAAAAAATCCAACTATGATATAAACAAAATCTCTTCCAACTCACCACACATACAAATATTACAGACAAGAAAACAAACTAATAAACATTAATCACAAAATATATCCATAGGATGGAATACTACTTAGTAATAAAAAGGAATGAACAATTGATACATTCAACAACGTGCATGAATCACGATCACAAATGAATGCTAAATGAAAAAAGGCAGATACAAAAGGTGATGTACTTTATGACTCTATCCATATGACAATCTCAAAAAGCCAAAACTAAAGCAACAGAAATCAGATCAGTTGCAGAGGCTGGGAATGGGGAGAGGAAGTTGACAAAAGGGGCATGAGGAAACTTTTAGAAGTGATAGTAAGATTTTATATCTTGATTGTGGTGGTGGTTACATGACTATATCAATTTTTCAAAACTCATTGAACTGTTGACTTGAAAAGGATAACCTTTGCTATGTATAAATTATACCCCAATAATTATGGCTGGAGTTTGAAAAGTGCAAACTAAAAAGAAAATAAAAGTCTTTAGAAAAGGAGACAAGCAGGGTAAAAAGTCTGGTCTACAGTAATGCCGTCTGGGAAGGAGCTGTGGTGGAACGGGACCTTAGGATGCAATTTAAAGAAACAAAATGCCAATATTAATGCCACAATGTCTAGGAAAGGAAAGAAGAGAGACTAATTCTTCATAGGTAATCACTTACTTAAAAGGCATTTTCCATCTATCTAAGCACATTTGGCTGCCTTGACTAGAAGGTGATAAAAGAGAACGGATGTTTCTTTTTATAATCAGTGAAAATAATATTTAAACATAAAAGCAAAATGCCTCACTGGAGAGCTAAGTAGCCCCTAGGGTGTCTGAAGCAGTCTGTCTTCCTTAATTATTTCTATTAGTCCAAAGAAGCCTCCCTGACAATACCATCAAATGCAATTCAATCATGTGCTGGAAAATCTGGTGTTCATTTTCATTTTTGCCTTCAGCCAACTTTCGAACCCTGTGCGGTAAGAAATGGTTCTTTCTTCATGCTAGGTAGGTCCTGTTTCCTTCCATTCAGCATGTATTTATTGAGTTCCTATTGTGGCCAACATACTGCATGGAAAGCACAGTGAGGGAGAACCAGAAGTGCAATGCGCCCTCTCCTCAGGAAGCTGATGATCAGCTGTGGAGTGAGACATACTCATGCAGTAACAGCCTCTGACTCTGAATTGGTGAGAGAATTCCCTGGGAGTCAACTTGCTCTCTGGATTGAGGAGCCTCATGAATGATGAACTTACCTTAATTAAGAAGATAGACAAAGCAATGATCTAGAATCTGAAAGAAAGGACTACTTTGATTACTGAAAAGTGCCTGGTCTGGCTTCTGTTGGTGAGCTACAACAAAGAGCAGAAAGAATTGGAAGAGGTTATTTCTAAGGGCCAGGAGCAGGGAGACTGCAGTTCATAGAGTGTCCATATATCCAAGGATGTTTGTGACTGTTCATATGAGCCCAGTTTTACCTTCACATGGGCCTATAATAGATATTATATGGGTAAATGCAGATAAATAAAATACAATTTATGCCATAAGGACTGGGGCAGACTGTAATTGCCACTGAAATTCAGAGGAGGGAGAAGTCATAGACTAACCTGCTTTAGGACTTCCCTGAGAAAGAGAAGATCTGAGCTCTAGAGTTGACATTTAACTCAAATCTCTGCAAAAAGCACCTTCCAAAGAATTGTCAGAAAAGAATTTTGCACTAATAAAGTATCCTATGATATCTCGTTGAGGGAATAGTGACATTCAGGTTCATTATCACACTTTGAGCTGATGATTTTCGTAGATGTGTAGGTACTTAGAATTTCCTTTCGAAAATTCTTTTTTTTTTTTTTGGTCAGCTTTGTAGGGATCAGCTTTGTGTCCACAAAATAAAATTTACTAATTTTTAGTGCAAATTTAGAGAGTTTTGACTTGTATACAGTCATGTAAGAATCATCATAGTAACAACGTGGAATTTTTCCATTACTTCAAAAAACTTCTGTCATGGTTGTTTGCAGTCAATCCTGTCCTTATGTCAGCTACGGGCAACTGCCTTTCTGCTTTCTATCACTACAGTTTTTCATTTTCTAGATTTCATACAGATGGAATCATTCAATATGTGGTGTTTGATGTGGTCGTTAGCATAATGCTTTTGAGATTAAACTATGTTGTTGAATATCAGTAGTTCTTTCCTTTTTTATTGGTGAGTAGTATTCCATTGCATGGCAATATCACAACTTACTTAATTACACTCAATTTTAAGCCATCCTAAATTGAATTTTCTGTTATATGAGGCCAAATAAATGCTTATTTATAATTTTCTGATAATGGAAGATGATTTGTCTTAATGTTTTGTAATATTTGGGTATTATAGCTTTGATAGTGTTTAAAACTTTGGAAAAATGTTAGAGGCACTTTTAGTGATGGAATTCTTCAAAGCCTCAATTCCCCATCCTCTAAACACCATTTTAAAATGTTTCAGAGGCTGGCTGGCAAGATGGCCGAATAGGAACAGCTCCAGTCTGCAGCTCCTAGTGAGATCAACGCCAAAGGCGGGTGACTTCTGCATTTCCAACTGAGATACCCAGCTCATCTCACTGGGACTGGTTAGACAGTGGGTGCAGCCCATGGTGGGTGAACTGAAGCAGGGTGTGGCATCGCCTCACCTGGGAAACACAAGGGGTTGGGGAACTCTCTCCCCTAGCCAAAGGAAGCCATGAGGGACTGTGCTGTGAGGAACAGTGCATTCCAGCCTAGATACTACATTTTTCCCATGGTCTTCGCAACCTGTAGACCAGGAGATTCCCTTGGGTTCCTATACCACCAGGGGCCTGGGTTTCAAGCACAAAACTGGGCAGCCATTTGAGCAGACACCAACCTAGCTGCAGGAGTTTTTTTTTTTTTTTTTTTTTTTTTTTTTTTTCATACCCCAGTGGTGCCTGGAACACCAGTGAGACAGAAGTGTTCATTCCCCTGGAAAGGGGGCTGAAGCCAGGGAGCCAAGTGGTCTAGATCAGCAGATCCCAACCCCATGGAGTGCAGCAAGCTAAGATCACTGGGTTGAAATTCTCGCTGCCAGCACAGCAGTCAGAAGTCAACCTGGGAGCTTGAGCTTGGTGGGGGGAGAAGTGTCAACCATTACTGAAGCTTGAGTAGGTGGTTTTCCCCACACAGTGTAAACAAAGTTACCAGGAAGTTCAAACTGGGCAGAGCCCAACATGGCTCTGGAAAGCCACTGTCGCCAGACTGCCTCTCTAGATTCCTCCTCTCTGGGCAGGGCATCTCTAAAAGAAAGGCAGCAGCCCCAGTGAGGGGTTTATAGATAAAACTCTCATCTCCCTGGGACAAAGCACCTGGGCGAAGGGGCAGCTGTGGGTACAGCTTCAACAGACTTAAACGTTCCTGCCTGCCAGCTCTGAAGAGAGCAGCAGATCTCCCAGCGCAGTGCTTGAGCTCTGCTAAGGGACAGACTGCCTCCTCAAATGGATCCCTGAACCCCGTGCCTCCTGACTCAGAGACAACTCCCAGTAGGAGTCGACAGATACCTCATACAGGAAAGCTCCAGCTGGCATCTGGCAGGTGCCCCTCTGAGATGAAGCTGCCAGAGGAAGGAACAGGCAGCAATCTTTGCTGTTCTGCAGCCTCCGCTGTTGATACCCAGGCAAACAGGGTCTAGAGTGGACCTCCAGCAAACTCCAGCAGACCTGCAGCAGAGGGGCCTGACTGTTGGAAGGAAAACTAACAAGCAGAAAGGAATACCATGAACATCAACAAAAAGGGCATCCACACAGAAACCTTATCCGAAGGTCACCAACATCAAAGACCAAAGGTAGATAAAGCCACGAAGATGAGGAAAAACCAGCACAAAAAGGCTGAAAATTCCAAAAACCAGAGCACCTCTTCTCCTCCAAAGGATCACAACTCCTCAACAGCAAGGAAACAAAACTGGATGGAGAATGATTTTGACGAATTGATAGAAGTAGGCTTCAGAAGGTGGGTAATAACAAACATGAGTAGAACATGCTAAAGGAGCATGTTCTAACCCAATGCAAGGAAGCTAAGAACCTTGAAAAGGGGAGATTTCAAGATGGCCAAATAGGAACAGCTCCAGTCTACAGCTCCCAGTGTGAGCAGCACAGAAGATGGGTGACATCTGCATTTCCAACTGAGGTACTGGGTGCCTACACCACCAGGGCCCTGGGTTTCAAGCACAAAGCTGGGCAGCCATTTGGGCAGACACCAACCTAGCTGGGACTTGTTGGACAGTGGGTGCAGCCCATGGAGCATGAGCTGAAGCAGGGCAGGGCATCGCCTCACTTAGGAAGTGCAAGGGGTCAGGGAATTCCCTTTCCTAGCCAAGGGAAGCCATGACAGATGGTACCTGGAAAATTGGGACACTCCCACCCTAATACTGCACTTTTCCAACAGTCTTAGCAAATGGCACACCAGGAGATTATATCCCGCATCTAGCTCAGAGGGTCCCACGCCCACGGAGCCTCGGTCACTGCTAGCACAGCAGTCTGAGATTGAACTGAAAGGTAGCAGTGAGGCTGGGGGAGGGGCGACCACCATTGCTAAGGCTTGAGTAGGTAAACAGAGCAGCTGGGAAGCTCGAACGGGGTGGAGCCCACTGCAGCTCAAGGAGGCCTGCCTGCCTCTGTAGACTCCACCTCTGGGGGCAGGGCATAGCTGAACAAAAGGCAGCAGAAACTTCTGCAGACTTAAACATCCCTGACTGACAGCTTTGAAGAGAGTAGTGGTCCTCCCAGCACAGAGTTTGAGATCTGAGAACGGACAGACTGCCTCCTCAAGTGGTTCCCTGACCCCTGAGTAGTCTAACTGGCAGGCATCTCCCAGTATGGGCCGACTGAAACCTCATACAGCTGGGTGCCCCTCTGAGATGAAGCTTCCAGAGGAAGGATCAGGCAGCAACATTTGTCGTTCTGCAATATTTGCTGTGCTGCAGCCTCTGCTGGTGATACCCAGGCAAACAGGGTCTGGAGTGGACCTCCAGCAAACTCCAACAGACCTGCAGCTGATGGTCCTGACTGTTAGAAGGAAAACTAACAAACAGAAAGGACACCCACACCAAAACCCCATGTGTACGTCACCATCATCAAAGACCAAAGGTAGATAAAACCACAGAAATTGGGAGAAACCAGAGCAGAAAAGCTGAAAATTCTAAAAATCAGAGCACCTCTTCTCCTCCAAAGGAGGGCAGCTCCTCACCAGCAATGGAACAAAGCTGGATGGAGAATGACTTTGATGAATTGAGAGAAGGCTTCAGATGATCTGTAATAACAAACTTCTCAGAGCTAAAGGAGGATGTTCGAACCCATCACAAAGAAGCTAAAAACCTTGAAAAAAGATTAGACAAATGGCTAACTAGAATAAACAGCATAGAGAAGACCTTAAATGACCTCATGGAGCTGAAAAGCATGGTACGAGAACTACATGACGCATGCACAAGCTTCAGTAGCCGATTCAATCAAGTGGAAGAAAGGGTATCAGTGACTGAAGATCAAATGAATGAAATGAAGTGAGAAGAGAGGTTTAGAGAAAAAAGAGTAAAAAGAAATGAACAAAGCCTCCAAGAAATATGGCACTATGTGAAAAGACCAAATCTACATCTGATTGGGATACCTGAAAGTGACGGGGAGAATGGAACCAAGTTGGAAAAGACTCTGCAGGGTATTATCCAGGAGAACTTCCCAACCTAGCAAGGCAGGCCCACATTCAAATTCAGGAAATACAGAGAAAGCCACAAAGATACCCCTTGAGAAGAGCAACTCCAGACACATAATTGTCAGATTCAGCAAATTTGAAATGAAGGAAAAAATGTTAAGGGCAGCCAGAGAGAAAGGTCAGGTTACACACAAAGGGAAGCCCATCAGACTAACAGCTGACCTCTCGGCAGAAACTCTACAAGCCAGAAGAGAGTGGGGGCCAACATTCAACATTCTTAAAGAAAAGAATTTTCAACACAGAATTTCATGTCCAGCCAAACTAAGCTTCATAAGTGAAGGAGAAATAAAATACTTTACAGACAAGCAAATGCTGAGAGATTTTGTCACCGCCAGGCCTGCCCTACAACAGCTCCTGAAGGAAGCACTAAACATGGAAAGGAACAACCGGTACCAGCCACTGCAAAAACATGCCAACTTGTAAAGACCATCAAGGCTAGGAGGAAACTGCATCAACTAATGAGCAAAATAACCAGCTAACATCATAATGACAGGATCAAATTCACACATAACAATATTAACCTTAAATGTAAATGGGCTAAATGCTTCAATTAAAAGACACAGACTGGCAAATTGGATAAAGAGTCAAGACCCATCAGTGTGCTGTATTCAGGAGACCCATCTCACATGCAGACACACACGTAAGCTCAAAATAAAGGGATGGAGGAGGATGTACCAAGCAAATAGAAAACCAAAAAAAAGGAGGGATTGCAAGCCTAGTCTCTGATAAAACAGACGTTAAACCAACAAAGATCAAAAGAGACAAAGAAGGCCATTACATAATGGTAAAGAGATAATTCAACAAGAAGAGTTAACTATCCTAAATATATATGCACCAAATACAGGAGCACCCAGATTCATAAAGCAAGTTCTTAGAGACCTACAAAGAGACTTAGACTCCCACACAATAATAATGGGAGACTTTAACACCCCACTGTCAACATTAGACAGATCAATGAGACAGAAAGTTAACAAGGATATCCAGGAACTGAATTCAGCTCTACACCAAGCAGACCCAATAGACCTACAGAACTCTCCACCCCAAATCAACAGAATATACATTCTTTTCAGCACCACACCACACCTATTCCAAAATTGACCACATAGTTGGAAGTAAAGCACTCCTCAGCAAATGTAAAAGAACAGAAATTATAACAAACTCTCTCTCAGACCACAGTGCAATCAAACTAGAACTCAGGATTAAGAAACTCACTCAAAACTGCTCAACTACATGGAAACTGAACAACCTGCTCCTGAATGACTACTGGGTACATAATGAAATGAAGGCAGAAATAAAGATGTTCTTTGAAACCAATGAGAATAAAGACACAACATACCAGAATCTCTGGGACACATTCAAAGCTGTGTGTAGAGGGAAATTTATAGCACTAAATGCCCACAAGAGAAAGCAGGAAAGATCTAAAATTGACACCCTAACATCACAATTAAAAGAACTACAGAAGCAAGAGCAAACACATTCAAAAGCTAGCAGAAGGTGAGAAATAGCTAAGATCAGAGCAGAACTGAAGAAGATAGAGCCACAAAAAACCCTTCAAAAAATCAATGAATCCAGGAGCAACACTAATAAAGGAGAAAAGAGAGAAGAATCAAGTAGATGCAATAAAAAATGATAAAGGGGATATCACCACTGATCCCACAGAAATACAAACTACCATCAGAGAATACTATAAACATCTCTATGCAAATAAACTAGAAAATCTAGAAGAAATGGAAAAATTCCTGGACACATACACCCTCCCAAGACTAAACCAAGAAGTTGAATCCCTGAATAGACCAATAACAGGCTCTGAAATTGAGGCAATAAGTAATAGCCTACCAACCAAAAAAAGTCAAAGACCAGACAGATTCACAGCCGAATTCTACCAGAGGTACAAAGAGGAGCTGGTACCATTCCTTCTGAAACTATTCCAATCAATAGAAAAAGAGGGAATCTTCCCTAACTCATTTTACGAGGCCGGCATCATCCTGATACCAAAGCTTGGCAGAGACACGACAAAAAAAGAGAATTTTAAACCAATATCCCTGATGAACATTGATGCAAAAATCCTCAGTAAAATACTGGCAAACTGAATCCAGCAGCACAACAGAAAGCTTGTCCACCACGATCAAGTTGGCTTCATCCCTGCGATGTAAGGCTGGTTCAACATACTCAAATCAATAAATGCAATCCATCATATAAGCAGAAGCAAAGACAACAACCAAAGGATTATCTCAATAGATTTAGAAAAGGCCTTTGATAAAATTCAACAGCCTTCATGCTACGAACTCTCAATAAACTAGGTATTGATGGGGCGTATCTCAAAATAATAAGAGCTATTTATGACAAACTCACAGCCAGTATCATACTGAATGGACAAAAACTGGAAGCATTCCCTTTGAAAACTGGCACAAGACAGGGATGCCCTCTCTCACCACTCCCATTCAACATAGTATTGGAAGTTCTGGCCAGAGCAATCAGGCAGGAGAAAGAAATAAAGGGTATTCAATTAGGAAAAGAGGAAGTCAAATTGTCCCTGTTTGCAGATGACATGATTGTATATTTAGAAAACCCCATCTTCTCAGCCCAAAATCACCTTAAGTTGATAAGCCACTTCAGCAGAGTCTGAGGATACAAAATCAGTGTGCAAAAATCACAAGCATTCTTATACACCAATAACAGACAAACAGAGACCAAATCATGAGTGAACTCCCATTCACAATTGCTTCAAAAGAATAAAATACCTAGAAATCCAACTTACAAGGGATGTGAAGGACCTCTACAAACCACTGCTCAACAAAATAAAAGAGGACACAAACAAATGGAAGAACATTCCATGCTCATGGATAGGAAGACTCAATATTGTGAAAATGGCCATACTGCCCAACGTAATTTATAGATTCAATGCCATCCCCATCAAGCTACCAATGACTTTCTTCACAGAATTTGAAAAAACTACTTTAAAGTTCATATGGAACCAAAAAAGAGCCCACATTGCCAAGACAATCCTGAGCCAAAAGAACAAAGCTGGAGGCATCAGGCTACCTGACTTCAAACTATACTATGAGGCTACAGTAACCAAAACAGCATGATACTGGTACCAAAACAGAGATATAGACCAATGGAACAGAACAGAGCCCTCAGAAATAATACCACATATCTACAACCATCTGATCTTTGACAAACCTGACAAAAACAAGCAATGGGGAAAGGAGTCCCTCTTTAATAAATGGTGCTGGGAAAACTCGCTAGCCATATGTAGAAAGCTGAAACTGGATCCCTTCCTTACACCTTAAACAAAAATTCATTCAAGATGGATTAAAGACTTAGATGTTAGACCTAAAACCATAAAAAACTTAGAAGAAAACCTAGGCAATACCATTCAGAACATAGGCATGGGCAAGGACTTCATGACGAAAACACCAAAAGCAATGGCAAGAAAAGCCAAAATTGACAAATGGGATCTAATTAAACTAAAGAGCTTCTGCATAGCAAAAGAAACTACCATCAGAGGGAACAGGCAACCTACAGAATAGGAGAAAATTTTTACAATCTACCCATCTGACAATGGGCTAATATCCAGGATCTATAAAGAACTTAAACAAATTTACAAGAAAAATCAAACAACCGCATCAAAAAGCGGGCAAAGGATATGAACAGACACTTCTCAAAAGAAGACATTTATGCAGCCAAAAGATACACGAAAAAATGCTCATCATCACTAGCCATCAGAGAAATGCAAATCAAACTACAATGAGATACCATCTCACACCAGTTCGAATGGCAATCATTACAAAGTCAGGGAACAACAGGTGCTGGAGAGGATGTGGAGAAATAGGAACACTTTTACACTGTTGGTGGGAGTGTAAACTAGTTCAACCATTGTGGAAGTCAGTGTGGTGATTCCTCAGGGATCTAGAACTAGAAATACCATTTAACCCAGCCATCCCATTACTGGGTATATACCCAAAAGACTATAAATCATGCTGCTATAAAGACACATGCACACGTATGTTTATTGCGGCACTATTCACAATAGCAAAGGCTTGGAACCAACCCAAATGTCCATCAGTGATAGACTGGATTAAGAAAATGTGGCACATATACACCATGGAATACTATGCAGCCATAAAAAAGGATGAGTTCATGTCCCTTGTAGGGACATGGATGAAGCTGGAAACCATCATTCTCAGCAAACTATCACAAGGACAGAAAATCAAACACTGCATGTTCTCACTCACAGGTGGGAATTGAACAATGAGAACACTTGGACACAGGGTGGGGAACATCACACACCAGGGCCTGTTGTGGGGTAGGGGGACGGAGGGAGGGATAGCATTAGGAGATATACCTAATATAAATGACGAGTTAATGGGTGCAGCACACCAACATGGCACATGTATACATATGTAACAAGCCTGCATGTTGTGCACATGTACCCTAGAACTTAAAGTATAATAAAAAAATTTAAAAAAAACCTTGAAAAATGGTTAGAGGAATTGCTAACTAGAATAACCAGTTTAGAGAAGAACATAAATGACTAGATAGAGTTGAAAAACACAGCACAAGAACTTCGTGATGCATGCACCAGTATCAATAGCTGAATTGATCAAGTGGAAGAAAGGATATCAGAGATTGAAGATTAATTTAATGAAATAAAGAGTGAAGAGAAGATTAGAGAAAAAAGAATGAAAATGAATGAACAAAGCCTCCAAGAAATATGGGACTATGTGAAGAGACCAAACCTATGTTTGATTGGTGTACTTGAATGTGACGAGGAGAATGGAACCAAGTTGGAAAACATTCTTCAAGCTATTATCCAGGAGAACTTCCCTAAACTGGAAAGACAGGCCAACGTTCAAATTCAGGAAATACAGAGAACACCACAAAGATATGCCTTGAGAAGAGCAACCCCAAGACACATAATCATCAAATTCACCAAGGTTGAAATGAAGGAAAAAAATGTTATGGGCAGCCAGAGAGAAAGGTTGGGTAACCCACAAAGGGAAGCTCATCAGACTAGCAGCAGATCTCTCTACAGGAACCCTACAAGCCAGAAGAGAGTGGAGGCCAATATTCAACATTCTTAAAGAAAAGAATTTTCAACCCAGAATTTCATATCCGCCAAACTAAGCTTCATAAGTGAAGGAGAAATAAAATCCTTTATAGATAAGTAAATGCTGAGAGATTTTGTCACTACCAGGCCTGCCTTACAAGAGCTCCTGAAGGAAACACTAAATATGGTAAAAGAAAAACCATTACCAACCATTGCAAAAACATATTAAATGCCATCAACACTATGAAGAAACTGCATCAACTAACCAGCAAAATAACCAGCTAGCATCGTAATGAGAGGATCAAATTCAAACATAACAATATTAACCTTAAATGTAAATGGGCTAAATGCTCCAATTAACAGACACAGACTGGCAAATTGGATAAAGGTTCAAGATCCATCAATGTGCTGTATTCAGGAGACCCATCTCACATGCAAAGACACACATAGGCTCAAAATAAAGGGATGGAGGAATATTTACCAAGCAAATGGAAAGCAAAAAAGCAGGGGTTGCAATCCTAGTCTCTGGTAAAACAGACTTTAAACCAACAAAGTTCAAAAAAGACAAAGAAAGGCATTACATAATGGTAAAGGGATCAATGCAACAAGAAGAGCTAACTATCCTAAATATATATGCACGCAATACCGGAGCATCTAGATCCATAAAGCAAGTTCTTAGAGACCTACAAAGAGACTTAGACTCCAACACAATAATAGTGGGAGACATTAACACCTCATTGTCACTATTAGACACGTTGACGAGACAGAAAATTAACAAGGATGTTCAGGACTTGAACTCAGCTTTGGACCGAGCGGTCCTATTAGACATCTACAGAACTCTCCACCCCAAATCAACAGAATATACATTTTTCTCAGCACCACATCACACTCATTCTAAAACTGACCACATAATTGGAAACTGCTCAGCAAATGTAAAAGAACAGAAATCATAACGAATAGTCTCTCAGACCTCAGTGCAATCAAACTAGAACTCAGGATTAAGAAACTCACTCAAAACCACACAACTACATGGCAACTGAACAACCTGTTCCTGAATGACTACTGGGTAAATAACAAAATTAAGGCAGAAATAAATTCTTTGAAACCAATGAGAAGAAAGACACAATGTACCAGAATCTCTGGGACACAGCTAAAGCAGTATGTAGAGTGAAATTGATAGCACTAAATGCCCACATCAGAAACCTGGAAAGATCTAAAATTGGCACCTCAACATCACAATGAAAAGAACTAGAAAAGCGAGAGCAAACAAATTCAAAAGTTAGCAGAAGACAAGAAATAACTAAGATCAGAGCAGGACTAAAGGAGATAAAGACACGAAAAACCCTTAAAAATATCAACTAATCCAAGAGCTGTTTCTTTGAAAAGGTTAATAAGATACACAGACCACTAGCCAGACTAACAAAAAGGAAAAGAGAGAAGAATCAAATAGACACAATAAAAAATGATAAAGGGGATATCACCACTGATCCCACAGAAATACAAACTACCATTAGAGAATAATATAAACACCTCTATGCAAATAAACTAGAAAATCTAGAAGAAATGGATAAATTCCTAGACACATACACCCTCCCAATACTAAACCAGGAAGTTGTATCCCTGAATAGACCAATAACAAGTTCTGAAATTGAGGCAGTAATTAATAGCGTACTAATCAAAAAAAGCCCAGACCAGATGGATTCACAGCCAAATTCTACCAGAGGTACAAAGAGGAGCTGGTACCATTCCTTCTGAAACTATTTCAAACAATAGAAAAAGAGGGACTCCTCCCTAACTCATTTTATGAGGCCAGCATCATCCTGATACCAAAACCTGGCAGAGACACAACAAAAAAAGAAAATTTTAGGTCAGTATCCCTGATGAACATTGATGCAAAAATCCTCAATAAAATACTGGCAAACTGAATCCAGCAGCGCATCAAAAAGCTTGTCCACCACAATCAAGTTGGCTTCACTCTTGGGATGCAAAGCTTGTTCAACGTACACAAATCAATAAATGTAATCCATGACGCAAACAGAACCAATGACAAAAAACATATGATTATCTCAATAGATGCAGAAAAGGTCTTTCATAAAATTCAACAGCCCTTCATGCTAAAAACTCTCAATAAACTAGGTATTGATGGAACATACCTAAAAATAATAACAGCTATTTATGTCAAACCCACAGCCAATATCATCCTGAATGGGCAAAAGATGGAAGCATTCCCATTGAAAAGAGGCACAAGACAAGGATGCCCTCTCTCACCACTCCTATTTAGCATAGTATTGGAAGTTCCAGCCAGGGCAATCAGGCAAGAGAAAGAAATAAAGGGTGTTCAATTAGGAAAAGAGGAAGTCAAACAGTCTCTGTTTGCAGATGACATGATTGTATATTTAGAAAACCCCGTCGTCTCAGCCCCAAATCTCCTTAAGCTGATAAGCACCTTCAGCAAAGTCTCAGGATACAAAAATCAATGTGCAAAAATCACAAGCATTCCTATACACCAATAATAGACAAATGGAAAGCCAAATCATGAGTGAACTCCCATTCACAATTGCTACAAAGAGAATAAAATACCTAGAAATCCAACTTACAAGGGATGTGAAGGACCTCTTCAAGGAGAACTACAAATCACTGCTCAAGGAAATAGGAGAGGACAAAAACAAATGGAAAAACATTCCATGCTCATGGATAGGAAGGATCAATATCATGAAAATGGCTTTACTGCCCAAACTAATTGTAGATTCAATGCAACCCCCTCCAGCTACCATTGACTTTCTTCACAGAATTAGAAAAAACTACTTCAAATTTCATATGGAATCAAAAAAGAGCCAAGACAATTCTAACCAAAAAGAACAAAGCTGGAGCCATCACGCTACTTGATTTCAAACTATACTATGAGGCTACAGTAACCAAAACAGCATGGTACTGGTACCAAAACAGATATATAAACCAATGGAACAGACAGAGGCCTCAGAAATAACACCACATATCTACAACCATCTGATCTTTGACAATCCTGACAAAAACAAGCAATGGAGAAAGGATTCCCTATTTAATAAACGTTGTTGGGAAAACTGGCTAGCCATATGCAGAAAACTGAAACTGGACCCCTCTTTACACCTTATACAAAAATTAATTCAGGATGGATTAAAGACTTAAACATAAGACCTAAAACCATAAAAACCCTAGAAGAAAACCTAGGCATTACCATTCAGGACATAGGCATGGGCAAAGACTTCATGACTAAACACCAAAAGCAATGAACAAAAGCCAAAATTAACAAGTGGGATCTAATTAAACTGAACAGCTTCTGCACAGCAAAAGAAACTACCATCAGAGTGAACAGGCAACCTACAGAATGGAAGAAAATTTTTGCAATCTATCCATCTGACAAAGGGCTAATATCAAGAATCTACAAGGAACTTAAACAAATTTACAAGAAAAAAACAAACAATCCCATCAAAAAGTGGGTGAAGGATATGAACAGACACTTCTCAAAAGAAGACATTTATATGGTCAAGAAATATATGAAAAAAAGCTTATTATCATTGGTCATTAGAGAAATGCAAATCAAAACCACAATTAGATACCATCTCACACCAGTTAGAATGGCCATGATTAAGAAGTTAGAAAACAACAGATTTTGGAGAAATAGGAGCGCTTTTACACTGTTGCTGGGAGTGTAAATTACTTCAACCATTGTGGAAGACAGTGTGGCAATTCCTCAAGATCTAGAACCAGAAATACCATGTGACCCAGAAATCCCATTACTGGGTATATACCCAAAGGATTATAAATCATTCTACTATAAAGACACATGCACACGAATGTTTATTGCAGGAGTCTTCACAATAGCAAAGGCTTGGAACAAACCCAAATGCCCATCAATGATAGACTGGATAAAGAAAATGTGGCACATATGCCCCCATGGAATACTATGCAGCTATAAAAAAGGATGAGTTCATGTCCTTTGTAGGGACATGGATGAAGCTGGAAACCATCATTCTCAGAAAGCTAACACTTGAACAGAAAACCAAACATTGCATGTTGTCACTCATAGATGGGAGGTGAACAATAAGAACACATGGACACAGAGAGGGGAACATCACACACCGGGGTCTGTCAGGAGGTGGGGGGCTAGGGGAGGAATAGCATTAGGAGAAATATGTAATGTAGATGATGGGTTGATGGGTGCAGCAAACCACCATGGCATGTGTATACCTATGTATACCTGTGTAACAGACCTGCACGTTCTGCACATGTATACTTAAAGTATAATAATAATTTAAAAATTTCACCAGTTTTCAATTTGTATTAAAGATGTAAGCAGGCCGGCTAATGTTAAATAGTTGTGAGGTAAAACATTTTACCTATTCTCATAATAATACAAAGATCTAAGACCTTAAATTGGTAGTATTTTTTGGATCAGCACCATTACAAGCTACTATGTTATTTGTAAAATGCATTTCTGTCACCTTATAACTTTAATAATTCTGTCAAGGATCCGCTTGTATTGTCACTGTGAGAAAAGATCATTAGATGCAAAATGCATCATAACTATGCCTTACTTATGTTTGCACTATTATATGTTGTTTTGATTTTTATAATAGTTTAATAGTTTATTATATAGTAATCATTTTTTTTTTTGAGATGAAGTCTCGCTCTGTCACCCAGGCTAGAGTGCAGTGGCGTGATCTTGACTCACTGCAACCTTCGCCTTCTGGGCTGAAGTGATTCTCCTGCCTCAGCCTACCGAATAGCTGGAGTTACAGGCATGTGCCACCATGCCCGGCTAATTTTTGTATTTTTACTAGAGATGGGGTTTCACCATGTTGGCCAGGCTGGTCTGAAACTCCTGACCTCAAGTGATCCATCTGCCTCACCCTCTCAAAGTGCTGGGATTATAGGTGTGAGCCACCGCGCCCGGCTATATAGTAATAATTCTAATATTGCTATATTTTATCCTAATATTACAGTCTACTAATACTGCTTCTTTATGTTTTGGATGAATGAAAACACTGGTTTGAGAGTTCTGACAGTTAGTAGAGGGTAAATACATTGAGAGACATTAACTGGAGAGGCGATTTTAGATCTTAAATTAATAAGGAAATGGAAAAATTAAATAAAATCTTACTTTGCACGATAGGTAGTAAGTTTATGGAACTCATTGCCCTAAGTTATACTTAATAGGTTAAAGAACACTTACATAAATACAGAGACTTTTGTTGATGCATAGCAAATATTAGAATTTGAAATGAAAGATATACTTTCAAATAACTAGTGCTTCACAAAAGCAGAACAGAAGCTACAGCTGGGATACTGAGGACCTTACGGTTGAAAGTGCCCAAGCATAGACCAGGTTTCACTGTTTGGGATGTTGTAAAGAAGTTTCCAGTACTGGGTGATTTTTCAACTGCCTCCAAGGGTTCAAGTCTATGATTAGTGATCATTTTGTATGTTCATGATTTCCTTGCCAAAGAGATGTAAGTGAGCTGGAAAAATATAACTATAAAACGTTATTCACCATCATGGTATTCCCCATGGCATTGCTTCTGACTGACAAACTCACTTTGCTGCAAAGTAAGTGCAGCAGTGGGCCCAGGCTCATAGACTTCACTAGTCTTACCATGTTCTCCACCATACTGAAGCAGCTGGTCTGATGAAACAGTGGAATGTCCTTCTGAAGACTCAGCTATAGCACCAGCTAGGTGGCAGTACATCAGAGGGCATGGACAAGATTCTCTACAAGGCTGAATATACTCTGAATCACTGTCCAGTATATGGTGCTGTTTCTCCAATAACTAGGATTCATGAGTCCAGGAATCAAAGGTGGAAATAGGAGTGACTCCACTCACTATTACCCGCAGGGACCCACTAACAAAATTTTTGCTTTCTGTTCTCATAACCTTATGCTCTGGTGGCCTAGGGATCTCAGTTCCTAAGGGAAGAATGCTCCCACCAGGAGACACAAAAATGATTCCATTGAACTGGAAATTAAGATTGCCACCTGGCCCCTTTGAGCTTCTCATGACTCTGAATCAATAGGCAAAGAAGTGAGTTATAATATTATACTGGGTGAGGTGGCTGATCCTCGCTACAGAAGAGAAATTCAACTGCTACTCCACAATTGAGGTAAGAAAGAACATGCTTGAATTCCAAGAGATCCCTTAGTGTGTCACTGAGTATTACCTTACCTTGTGATTATAATCAATGGAAAGCTACAACAGCCCAATCCAGGAAGGACTACTAATGGCTCAGACTCTTCAGGAATGAAGATTTGGGTCATTCTACCAGGTGAAGAACCATGACCAAATAAGGAGCTTGCTGAAGGGAAAAGGAACATAGAGTGGCTAGTGGAAGAAGGTAGCTGTAAGTATCAGCTACAAGTGACCAGTTACAAAAAAAAGAGGACTGTAATTGTTATGAATAGTCCTCCTTATTTTGTTTAGAATGTGAATATGTTTTAAATATAATTATATTTGTACGTATTAAGAAAATATCTTTGATTTTCACTCTCTCTGATTCTTTTGTCATGTAACTGCAGATGTATTGACTTTATATCATAGTTAAGTATTGTTAATTTTCAATCATAGTATTTCAGTTACTAGACATCAAGGAGAAGAGTGAATTTCAAAGACTTTGCCTCCTTTTCTGGGGAAGGGGTTAGTGCATTTTTAGTGGTATGCAGGATAATTGTATCATGTTTGGTGAAATTATGACCTTGTTATTGCCTTTATTTTGAGGTTAAGTATGGCTTAAGGAGATGTGTATGGGTGACAAGTTGACAGAGGTGGACTTGTGATGATTAATTTTATGTGTCAATGTGACTGGGACATAGGGTGCCCAGATATTTGGTTAAACATTATTCTGGTTATATTTGTGAGGGTGTTTCTGAGTGAGATTAGCATTTGAATTGGTAGACTGAGGAAAGCAGATGGCCAGTGTTTTTAGCCTTCATCCAATCTGTTGGAGGCCTGAATGGAACAAAAGGCAGGGTAAGAGAGAATTTGCTCTCTCTGCCTGACAGTTTGAATTGGGATATCAGTCTTCTCCTACACTTGGACTGGGACTTATACCACTGGCACTTCTGACTTTCAGGCCTTTGGACTTGGACTAGAACTACACCACCAGCTTTCTTCCACCACTTACATCATCAGTTCTCCTAGTCTTGGACCTTCAGACTTGGACTGGAACTATACCATCAGCTTTCCCGGGTCTCTAGTTTACAGACCGTAGACCATGGGACTTCTCAGCCTCCATAGCCATGTGAAGCAGTTCCTTATAATCTCTCTCTCTCCATATATATATATATATATATATATGTGTGTGTGTGTGTGTGTGTGTGTGTGTGTGTGTGTGTGTGTGTGTGTAAGATAGATATCTCTCCTATATACACATATATATGTATATATCTCCTATTAGCTCTATGTCTCTGGAGATCTCTGACTAATATAGTTGATCAATTTTTGCATCCATTCAGCAATAAACAAATATTTACTGAAAGTTACTATGTGCCAAGTACTACCAAAATAGATGTGTGTTCTCCTCTACCTCTGTGTTTTCATTTCTCTTCCAGTGACTTCCTCTCAAGTTCCTGTCCTTGGGGAAGCAGCTTCGGACTCAGATAGATCTTGGTTTTTATTTCTACATCACTACTTACTAGCTTTATAGCCTTGAAGTAGCTCCTTAGGTCCTTTGGGTCTCAATTACATCATCTGTATAATAGGAATAATAATAATAATACCATTTAGTGTTGCTGATAGGATTAAAAGGCTTGATGTTGGAAAATTGCCTAGCTCAATGCCTGGCATGTGGGAGGCAGACAACAAATGTTAGTCTCTTACCTTTCTTCCCCTCCCCATAGAAAATTGGGAGACTTCACCAGTCACCATCAGTTTCATTCAAAACTACCTACTTTCCCTGTATTACTGCCTTACATGTCCTGCCACTTTCAGAATTCAAATGACTTTCCATCTAAAAATACAATCTTCATTCACGTGTTTGCTCACATATGGGCTCAGACATGTTCACACAGAGATATACATTATGCTTAATGGCAACTCAAGTGGACAATAGTGAACTCAAACTTCAAAAAAAATTCTGACAAGATGTTGGCAACACAAGACTACATTCTTTACACCATTTATTCAGTGGTTCATCTTAAAAGGGGGAAAACCTGATCAGCCGTCAAACAATACACTAATTGGAATCTTTGTAGAATTACCCGCCTTTTAACGATGAGGTATGCAGAATGGGCAGGAATAAAAGAAGGGTCTGAAAAGTGTGTGAAAAGGAATAACAGATGGTACTTGAGTGAAATAGAATAGAAAAATCTGAGTAAAGGAAGGAAGAAAACAGAAAAGGAGAGATTGAGCATGCAAAGCTAAAGAGCCTTGGGCGTTTTATCAAGGATAGTTAGTCCTTGGAATGGCTAGCTTCCAGCTCCACTAATTACCGTCTGATGGCTGAATCTGGTTGCTATTTTTATTTACCAAGTTGAGACATTTCCACTCTTGCCTTTGGAATGCCATTCTGAGTTGTGGTATCTAAATGAATTCATGCCACACAATCAGTTGAAAGATACTACAAAAACAAAAAAATAGCTGAGTGAAGTGGAAGCTAAAGACAAAACCCACAGATATTTCAATGCTGCTTTTATTAATTCAAGCCAGCACTTGCCAGTGAAGTACTAACTAGAGACCTGGCACATGACCAAAATCTGTGAACTGCTTGGAAGCCTAGGTGCCTATGGACTATGATGCCTGTTCTATTATTCCTGCCACTGGGGTAGCAATTAGACCATGGCAACCAGAATCTGTGTAGGTTAGGGATCCCCCTACACATGAACTTAAGACAAATTTCAAAGTGGGGTGACTCCATGGATTCTTCCTTCATCCGAGTTTTATTTCAGGTGTCAATGGTCCTTGAAAATCTACAGGACATCAAAGTCAATCCAAGCAAAAATCTAGAATATCTACATGCTTAGCAGATTTCCATGGGTCCCTGTCTCCTTCACAAGATTAGAATCTTCCTATGCCTGGAACTAGACACATCTTAAAGTTTATTTTGTCTGATATAATATAGCCACTCCAGCTCTCTTATGGTTACTATTTGCGTAGTGTATTTTTATTCCATCATTTTTCTTTCAACCCACTTGCACCTTTCAAGCTAAAGTCTTTCTCTTTTAGAGGGCATGTAGATCAACTTTATTCTTTTATCAGTCTGAAAATCTCTGCTTTTTGATTTGGGTGTTTAGATCATTTACCTTTAATGTAATTATTGATATGGCCAGAGTTATATTTGCCATATTGCTGTTTGTTTTCTATATGTCTCCTGTCTCATGTGTTCCTCTGTTCCTTATTTACTGTCTTTTTTTTGCTAATGCTTGTAATGATGCCAGGTCTTTTGTTTCTGGCAAAAATTCTTTCTTTCTCTGGGATTATTAATAAAATAATATAGTTGGTTTGCATAATAAACAAGGCCAAATATGCTATCATTCTTAGTGACATTATCTTACCCATCTTTCCCCCATCACTCTTTGCTCTTTGCCCCATCCCACTTTTGCTTGAAGAAGTAGGTAAAGAAGTAATTATTCTCCATGCAGACTATGGAGAATTCTAGTGTGCCATATGTGTATGTGTATGTGTATAGCAGTTATTGGCTCAGAAGGAGAAGGAGGCGAGTGGGTAATTTTCTTCCTTATTGTCAACTTCAAAGCAAGGGAAAGTATTTGATGACCATCATCCTTTTTTTACTAGAGAAAAATTAAGAAATATAATATTATAGTTTTTAAAAGTACAGGGTACTATATTCTTTATGATTTTTAGCATATAATTTCTGGTACTGGTATGATGGCTATTTTAAAATTATTTCTTGTGGTTTTCAAATTATCTACATGTGTATACATCCCCCTTTTACCATAAATGTTTTCTTAACAATTAATATTCACATATTTTTAAGCAATTAAAATAATATTGCTGTTATAAAGAATAAATAGACATAATCTTCAGTCTTCTTAATTCATGATCACTTCTGTTTGGTGAAATTACACTTGACATCTGCCTATGCGGATCACATTATTTTTATAATCAAAGTAAATGAAGGTAAGGAAGTAAATGTTGTGATATTCTCTGGATGTACAAATAATAAATCTTGAGGTATACCATTTATTTTCCAGTGAATATATCCAGATTCTTCCTTAGTAACTCCACTGTATTCTCTTCCTGGATAAGGGGTGAAGAGAGAGAAAAAGCACTTACTTTACAGTAAGAGAGAAAAGATAGGGCAGTGAAAATGTGCTCTGCCAAAACTTAGGTAGATGACCTGACAAATAACCCCTTCATAATTCAGTCTGTGTCTTCTGTAACAATAGCTTCTCACTCACCCCACAGCATAGTTTGAGGGTGAAATTTTAAATAAGATGACCATGTGTTATTTTTACTAAAACTTCTTCCTGTATTTTCTTCTAGCCCTAATATGTTAAATAATTTTATATAATAAAGTATAAATTGAATAAAGAAAATAACTACGTTTAAATTTCTTGATTTTTTTTATATCACCTATGTGGTATAATCTATGTTTATACTGCAGACTATTTATTATTAAAACATCTCATTAGAAGAAGATATATAGTATTATAGATCCTGTGGTTTTTGTCTCAAGTTCACAAAAAAACTAATCACATTGCTAAATCTTGTACAGGAAACACCACAGACAGACTTAATTTACTTTTTGCTTTTTCCTTTTAGAGCATTAGAGTGAAAACCTGCCAAAGCATCAAAAAAAAAAAAAAAAGGTCGGAGCTTCAGAAGAAGTCACATTAATTTTGGAAAAAATATACACACTTAAAAATCACAGCAATCACATTCTTCTTTGAAAAAGTCATTTTTAAAATTTAACATATAAAACAGGATGCTCATTTACCTTGACGTAAAATACACAGCTGATGCACCAGATAAGACAGAATTATACAAAAATACCAAAGCTCTGACCTTCAATTGGTGTACAGGATATGCCATACATAGGACATTCAAAATGCTTTTTTACTCTCTCAGCTATTTCTAATTATATCAGATTAAATGACTGTTACCTGATTTCTTTACAAAATGGGTTTAAATGAAGCATATAATAAATTACAAGAGTCAACAAAGGTTATGCTTCTTTGTTCCTGAATGCAATCGAAACATTTTCTTCTAATGAGTTTATCCAATTAAAGTCTTGTAGAAATGCACATTCCCTTAAGTTAGTCATTTTAGTGAGGCAAAAAAAAATGAGCAATGAAATATAACTTTATGTTAGATCAGGCAGAACAGTTCATTGGAGTGATGGATATTTCAGGGCAGTAGTTCTTGTATGCAATATTTTTCTTGCTAATAAAATGAATACAATTCTTTACACTGTCCATTAACAATTTTACAGTCTCACAGTAGTAATACGCAGTATACCATTCTCCTTACAGGCCAATTTTTCCTAATAAGGAATGCAGAGCATCTCTTGCATCCTGAGTAATGGCAGGCAATATCAGAAATAAAACAGTAAATGTTGAGTTCTCTTGTATAAAACGGTTCTAGAGTGAAGAGGGTCTGAGATGTTGCTGCATTAAGTGATTGTTTTTACTTGAATCCAAAGTGTATTAAACTCCAGGAAATTAGCCTTGGTTAATCTACACATAAGAATATAGTTTTGCTCTTATTTAATCAACAATTTACTTATGCAAAGTACATGTGTTAGTATTGTGGGCAGGGTATATGGGGTCTGAGTGAGCTTAAAGTATTTTGAGGAGTAAGGATGTAGACATAAAAGAGAAATAGTTTCATCATCTTCCACTCCCTCACCCCCATTTTTTTTCCTGTCTCTCAAGGTGCAAAATGCTGCAGCAGCATGACGGAAAGATTGTCACCTGGCACTGGTCCTAAGTGTGGTGGTCCCCTTCTGCACAGCTATTCTGTAGAGGAAAGGACAATTATGTTGGCTCACTGCTTCCCAGTAATCTCTCTCTACCTCTTAAAAAACAAGGGTGAGGATAAGTAATGCAATAGAGAGATTTTTCAAGACCACAACTGGCTTTCATTGTGGTGTCATTTGGAAGATTTGTTTTTAAAATTTTGTCCCCAATCTAAAGGCACAGATCAAACTGAAATAAAAAGATTTAAACATTGGATCTCAGTCTATTGCAAAAGAGTTCCTACAATTCCATACTTCATCTTTTTTTCATAAAGATATTACCTGAAATATGCTAAAGCCAAATGTAAACATAGTTATGAGTGTCACAGGTCCTTAGTTGATTGCCAAGATTTCCCTGGTGTGTCAGATAATTAAAGGATCTCTGAGTGTCTGCTCACCAACAAAGATAACATGTCACCACCCAAGGCCCTGCTATGGGCACAAGGCAGAGAATGGCCTTGCTGAGGAAACCCCAAATCATCCCCACCACGCAGCTGAGAAGAGAAGCCAACTGGAAGGCAGAAGGAAAAGAGATCCTGCAAATTGGCTCTGGCTCCTACTGCCCAGTCTCATAGCACTGAAATTCTCCAGCCTGTGGGAGGAGGAAAATGCTAGGGAGTCTTGTATAAAGTTCTAAATTCATCAGCTACTGGGGAAAGCTTTTGCTATATGTAAAGAGAGAGAAAAAAATACCGATCTCAAAGCAAGGAGTCCAAAGTTAGGAGTGATGAGTCACCCTTACATATTTTTTGGTATGGTAAAATTTCAATGAGAAGCATTCCCGGGTGCCTGATGTAAGGTGCAGATCTTGGGGCATAAGAACAGTAGTGGGTTCAAGGGTTAAGCATCGGCCCTTTATAATGGGAAAAGGATCCATTCCCATTAGTTAGGAACTGGACTTCCTGGGTGGAGATGCTGTAGGGGACAACAGGGCTGGGGCTTAAGAGACTCCAGATGCTACTTCACATTTTCCTCAAGGTTAATGGTTAAAGGCTGTTACTTTGAATTTCTAAATTTAAGATTAAATTTTAACCTGAGGATCAAAGATGCTGATTTGTTCGTCCGATTACAATGTTACAGTTTAACCCTAATTTTCTTATTCCACCTAAGAGTGTTGTTCAACAGTGCTTCCACTTAGAAACAGCAGCATTTAGCCTTTTGTAATGTGCCTTGGTTTCCTTTCACTGCAGTTAACAATTAATACCTGGTGTTGGTTTCAGAAATTCTGTGTGAGAATGGTTTAGAATCAGCAGTCTGATTGGCAGCCAGAGGACTCACCTGGAAGCTGTTTGCATTTAAAAGCCTGCTATTTAGAATTAAACTGTACATTTTAGTTATAAATACAGCATCCATGTGAGGACTTTAAGGCCCTTCTTTTCATTTTTTAGATGATTTCCATGGGTGAGGTTGGCGATTGTTGGGTGCATTTGGAGGGCCATTGAAGAGCTAAATCCTGCTAGCTTCCCCAGGCGTAGTTGCTGATAGTGTCCCATAACAGTTTGTAAATGTCTTAAAGATGTTCCAGCTTGGAAGTATATTCTGCTTTGTCCCTCCTCCATTATACTATGTGAACCCTTTAGAACACCGCTGCAGAACAAAACACTGAAATCCTGTATAAATGATTGAGTCACTGAAGCTGGTACTCAGAGCAAATGTTTTATTAACAGATTTTTCTCCAGTAGTCTTGAAAATCTCCCCTGGGGGAGAAAACTGGCAAAAGGGGGCCTGAGGGTTGTTGGAAGAAATGAAAAGTACATAGGATGCTATTTTGAAAAACTGATTTGTCAGAAGCCACTTTATTTTAACAATAATGTGACTGCACCTGGCACATGAGACAGGCTCTGGGCCTGTTTCTCAATGTTGTGAAAAGCAGGACAGTCAGTTCCCATGGAGTAGATTACAGCGTGTTGGACAAGGACATTCCCCCGCGTGAAGGCACACTCCATGGAGCCAGTGGGGCCACCATTCACGGTGTGCAAGCTGTGGCCTTGGAGAGAACATGGGCAGGGATTCCCCAGCCTCTACTATACCCCAGCTTTACTCCATTGATCACAACAATGGCACTTTTTTCTTTTGGTGCAAATATTTCCATTTTCCAATTGAGCCTAGACTTTGATTTTATAAAAGGAAAAGAGAATATCTATATATGTAAATATCTGCATGTGAGTGTATGTGTATATATATATATATATATATGTATATACGCATTTATAGATAAAATTATTATGGTTGCAGAAGCATCAAATTTTGTAAAAATATCTGTTTACTACAAGCCTCTTTTCAAGCACACTTATGACACAGAAAATATTCAGAGATTAAATTGCCCATGAATCTAGTGCTCAGAGGAAAATAGTTTGACAAATTGGACCAATGAAGTTGAAATTGGATCATAGAAGTTCAAAATATTTACAAAGTGTCATCTTTTGTAATGTGTATCACAGGACTTTGAATTCCTTGGGAAAATGAGACAATTTTTTTGTGGCTTGTGTAGGTCTGATTTTCACTGTGGATCACCCTTTATATTTTCCTTCTTTCAACTCCTTCCTTCTCCTGCAAGTTCATAACATTTTATTAATATCAAAGGAAGGTTATAATTTTAGAAATCAAAATTAAAGAATGGGTGCTGTGTAGCATTATGTTTACTGGGCTTGATATAATCAGTACTTTTGGCATAATTTAAAACATGATTATACTGTGTGTCATTGGATATGTATATAGACACAACATGTTCTCTATCAATATCTATCTATCTATCTATCTATCTATCTATCTATCTATCTATCTATCTGTCTATCGTGTAATCTGTCTCAGTGGTGTGCTGAAGTCAGCTCACACTGGTTGGTAAGAGGTGGCAGATACATTTCCAGGAATTTTGTAAGCTGATTAGGGTCACTTTGGTAGTTTGAAAATGGAGAGAGAATATTTGGACCATGGAAATTGGCAAATGATACAAATCAGAGACTGTTTTTTTTTTCCCTCCTGGACAGTGTGTTGTTAAATAATTTACCAATATACCATTGTAGTTTGGTCAGAAAAGAGAGTGCATACATGGTTCAGTTTACAATGGGAGCAATAATCAATTATTTAGAATACCAAAGTTAGAGAAAAAGAAACTTTTTGGCAATTTGGCCAATAAGTTTATAAATAGTCTTAAATATCACCTGTTTTTCTAATTAAATGTTTTAAAAGTAAATGATAGAGTCTAGTACATTTCTTAATCATTAAATATGTTTTATAACATTTGTACAAAGCTGTTTTGAAACATTTGTTGACTTTTTTTAATCAAACGCTCTGTACTTGTTTTTTAAATAATTGCAGAACTATAAGTTAAACCTAAATATTAATAAAAATGAAACTATATGAAACTATATGAAACTAGATGAATCAAACTTGTCTTGCAGATATAGCTTTTGTGTTTATTTTCTGTAAACTCTGTTTTTTGGTGTTATAGAGCTATTTTTGTATTCAATTTATATGTGTACATGTGTCTGCACATGCACACACACACACACACAAACCTCAACAAATTATAATATTAGAGAAACAGGACTTCTGGTTCATGAAATATTTTACTTAATAGCCAGGAATGACTTATGTTAAAAATTGTGCCGGGCTTATAAGTATCTCTTTGATCTGGCCAACAGCTCTTCCTCTCTTTTCTAAAAACTTCAAAATGCCCTCATTTCTATTTTTTCCCTTTCAGTTAACAATTTAGTTTAAAAGTGCACACTTATGGTTCAGTAAATGGGCTTTGTCTAGTAGTCACAGATGCTGAGTATGAATTTCAATGGATCCGTTAGCTTTACTACTAAGATCTTGCTGAGATCAGAGAAGGGCTTCTGGGCAGGCTGAGCACTGGGGGTGTGCAACATGGTAACTCTGAATAAGAGAAACCCTGAGTTTTACTGGGCAAAGAAAGAACAAGTGGTAGGTATGATTTCTGAACCTGGAAATAGCGAAAATGAAGGAAATTCCAAAAGCGCGTATTTCCAAATAATGACAGGCCAGCAAGAGGACACCAAACCTCTAGAAAGAGGTATTCTTTCTTCCAGCTACTGATGGCTTTGGCATCCCACAGGCGCATTCCTTTGGCCTTCAGGATCTTAGATGCGGATGTGGAGAGTCAAGAGGTAGGCTGACTCTGAGTCTTCAGCTAAATTCTTTGGAAATTAGTTTAAAAAAATAAATTTATAACATTTAATTTCTATGTGGATTTGCTCCTCTTTGAACAAAGCAGAGCCCAGGAGTTTCTGGATGAATACATGTTCTGGTCTTGTTACAGGTTCTGGTAAATCAGATGGAGAAATGTTGTTGCAGAAATGTCAGCAAACTTTACAGCAGTAGTTCACACATGCAGCTACTATACATTCATTCATTGCTATTTTCCTAAGAAATGGAGCAACCTAGGAGCTTATGCTACAGTAGATTCCAATGAACCATAATGACTACTTCAAGAACAAAGAAGCACATACAAAGGTGTGATATCTTCCTGTTGGTTTGAGTTTTCAAACCTGAAATTCTTTAAAATACATTTCTGGGATTTTATTTAAATATTGATGCAACACACCTAAAAAGCAGTGACTTCTTGGTAAAATGTAATACTGAAATGGAAAATTGTCTTTTCAAAAAAATAAGAAGTGTGGTTGGAAATTAAATACCTTTTAAAAAATTAAAAATAAACACACTCTCACAGCTTGGGGGTTTGAATGAACCCTGTACCAAGGAGTTGAGACAACTCTTTCTTTGGGTCACATACTGGAACCCTTAGCATTCAAAAGCTGCTCAGCAAAGATAATTTCAGCATTTCAGTGGCATCTTTCTCTGCTGTCGTATTTCATTCAGAAGCCATTTTAGCATGTCCCCCATATATGGCTTTTCATGACAAATCACTGTGATGCCACACAAAACTACTTTAAGTGTTTTTTCAGTATAAAAGAGTTTTGCATTTAGAGCTCAATATCAAAATTAAGCATGTTCTGTAAAAGCTTAATTTAACCCATTTAATATACTTGTTTTTAAACGAGTCTATCCTGATTTTCCATCCTAGATAAAATTTTAGCTCAATTGCAGTACTTTCCAATCACCTTGGGCAGGGAGGGAAAATTTTTAGGTATAGAACCCAACACAAAGATGCTAAATGTATTCTTGGTGACTTAATTTTCAATCCATATTGTATATGGATTCTACCAAGGGAAAATATTCTCATTTGAATAGGGAGAAATGATCTTTTTCAGGTAATTCTTTTCTTGGCATTTACGAGTGCTGACTGTCATGCTGAACATGGATATCCAACAGGAATCAAGGGGAAAAGCTTAATTTATATTGTTTTGAAAATAGATGTTTCTATGATCATAAAAATCTTTTTATATATTCCTTAAATATTTTGGATGGTGATTTAATACATAAACATATTTGTACAGGTTTTTTTAAAAACACTTTGTAATTTTGCTTACTCAACAAAAATGAGTAATTATGTAAAATATTTTTTGTCATTTTATAAAATATGTCTTTTTGGTATTGTTTTTGGATAATGCATGACCTGTCATTTTCCAAGTAATGAATCCCTGATGGATTACATAGTTACATGACTATGTCATGAATTATACATTTCTTGTCACATATTTGAGGCAAACCTGAGGATAGATTATTGAATAATTGTTATTATTTTCTTTCATAAAATATTTCATTTCTCCATTTTCTTTTTCAGTGGTCTTTTGAAGAATCCAATCTGTTGAGAAAACACAAAACATAACACAATTAACTATTTTAATTTAGGTAGCAAATATTAATCCTTTGGATAGAATTAAATTTAATAGTATATTGGCAATGCTGGGCACACAACTAATATAATTAAGAAATATTTTCTCATTGACCTATTAATATTCAATGTCAAAAAATGACATTTATTAAATTGCTGTTTCTTTTTTTTTCTTTTCTTTTTTTTTTTTGAGACAGTCTCACTCTGTCACCAGGCTGGAGTGCAGTGGCGTGATCTCCGCTCACTGCAACCTCCGCCACCCGGGTTCAAGTGATTCTCCTGCCTCAGCCTCCTGGGTAGCTGGGACTACAGGCATGCACCACCATGCCCAGCTAATTTTTGTATTTTCAGTAGAGACGGGGTTTCACCATGTTGGCCAGGATGGTCTCTATCTCTTGACCTCATGATCTGCCTGCCTCGGCCTCCCAAAGTGCTGGGATTACAGGCGTGAGCCATCGCGCCGGGCCGCGGTTTCATTTTTAATATTTTCATTGGTTAAATACACCATGACCCCTAGTAAAATATAGTATACACATTGAACTAATTAAAAGCTTCTGGGAAAATATTTTGGGAGACAAACTGCAATTAGCTAGCATTGTCTCTTCTTTGCCATCATCTTTTTTTTCAGGGATGTGGCAGAGAAATTTCCATCAAATGATCGATGACCATAAGTTGAGGTCATTAGAGATGGTAGGGAATCTGACAGGTATATTATGGCTAGGGCGTTAGGGAGATTTCTGAGTTGTCTGTATTAACTTTAAATGCATCAGGACGTCTGCTTATATAGATTTGATATAAAAAGCCTCTTGAAAACACACTATATCATTTGGAAATAAAAAATGAAGTTGTTGACCATAAGAAAAATTTCACATCGTGGTGGATGGTGAGCCATATTTCATTATGCTTTGCAATTTGGGGCATCATAAAAAGTTATAAGTGCTGCAATTGTTTCCCATCCTATAGAATAACAAAACTAAGTATGGGGGATAGAAGGGATCTTTGCAATTATCTAACCTAAAATGCTTATTTTTAAAAAAAGAAAATTAAGGGTCATAGGTAAGTGATTTTTCAAATTTGTATATATTTTTTAAATTTGAGAGGGGGCTATAATAGATCGAGCAAAGGCAATGAGTTAATTCTTTAAAAGTGTGGCACCTCTACATCATTTTAATCACGAAATTATGGCAAATTATGCCAGGGAACTATGTGTTTATAAAATAATTATTAAACAACTGAGGGCTTAGAGGGGATAAACCCTCAAAAATATGCACTTTTAGGTTGGAAAATTTTTATTCAGGGCTCATGTCTTCTATTATGCCATCATCTAGTTGGTGGTAGATGAAGAAAAGGCGGTAACGGAACAAATACACATGAAAACAATAAGTTTTTCTTCCCCAAATGCCAGCTCTCCTACACGTCTCAGGCTTTTTCATATGAGCCAAGTATAAAAGTTCCAGATTCACAAACCATTAGGCTTCTTAACTTGTGCCTGCATGTCCTGAGTCAAAAATAAACAGACAAGGCTTTCACAAAAGCAGGTGGTGGATTCTAAGACTTTTTCTCCTTCCCACTCTGCTTTGCTTCTGATCTCTCACAGCTCTTTTTGCTTCTTTACAATGCTCCTTGGCTTCTACACATTAAATGTTCTATTTTAAAATAACTTCTGTTATCTAAGCACTCCACCCAACCAATTAACATGGGTTTTTAAGAGAAGTTGAGTGGCAAAGAGTGGAGATTAGGAGAAAATAGTTTATAGCTTCAAGATGGACTGGGCCAATCCTAGCCCAAATTTGAAACCAATAGAGTTTGTTTTCAGCCCCAACACTTTCTTTGCAGCACTGGCTTTCATTTTTTCCTTCCTGTGTTTGCTTCATGATCCCTTGTTCAAAACCCTATGGCAAAGGCTCTAATGAGGTGATAACTGTCAGAAAAGTAAGTGCTTAATGAATATAACATGGAATAATTGCTGAATGAATAAATTCATACTAATGTATAAAAGACTAAAAAGTGGTGAGACACCAGTCCCCATCCACACCCACCCAGAACATGTATATTGGATGAAGAATAAAGCTTTAGGATTAATAAATAAATCATCAGTTGAGGAACTTCAGGCATCATTATGACATCAAGTTAGGAGAGAGGAATGTTCTGAGTCTCTCATGGCTCCTGGTGTGCTGGCATCTCCCCCGGCATGTGGTACCACAGTTCAGGACAAGTTTCTCCACCTATTTAAACCTACGTCCCCTACAAGATTCCTCCCATCAATCATGAAGTGTATTAAGCAGCTACTAACACTTTGTCAAGCTTTAATTTTTGCCATGTGTATGATGAAGACAAAGATATAAAGACTGTGTCTTTTGAAAGTGAATCTCTGCTCTAAGAGAAACTTTTGGCCTGTCTCTTACACAGAGACTCAGACTTGGGAGTTCCAATGAACTCCAAACTGGTGGGATTCAGGAAAGGAAGGAAGAAGGGATAGTCCTGAGGTGTCTGATCCAGATCTAGTTAGAATAAAAAAGATGTCTGGGATAAGAGTAGCTCTTCTGAACCTACTGCAACTGAACTCATGCTTCAGGCAGCTTCCAACAGAACTTTAAAGTAGGGGGAAGTGGGATTAGCCTTCTTGATATAATGGAACTACCGAAAGTCTGAATCCAACCAGGGACCCTCATTCCAAAACCAAAGACAGTATTATGTGTTTAAGAGAGTTCATGACTCTCTTGAACAAAACCCAACTCCTGGAGCTCCAGAGTAAAGAGCCCTACCCTATAGCCTGCAGCAGTAGGATATATTGGAAAAAGAAAGAGCTCTGTAGATCATTCCTTGAATCCAGTCATTTACTAGCTAGTAATCATGGGAGAGTCACTTTACCTCCCTTTGCTTTAATGTCCTCAGGTGTAAAATGTAGTTAAAATACTTGGTCGAAAAGATTGTTGCAAGGACACCAGAGTGAATGGAAGCAAGAGAGAACACAGAGTGATAATAGTCAGTGGTTTTGGCACAGAATTCAGATCCTTACTCTGAATCTCACTATGTGTCTTTGGGAAATATACTTAAATTTTATGTTCTTCACTTAAAAGAGGAGGTTCATACGACCTCATAAGGTTGATATGAGTATTAAGTGGGAATGCTTAAAGCAGAAATGTTTAAAATAGCTCCCTGCACATAGTAAGCATTCGATAAGAGCTAGTTTCTTCCCTTCTACCTTAGAATCACAGTTCTGATTGCTGGGCCTCCCAATGAAGTGGCTGAACTATTTCTACCGGGTAAGACAGCCCAAAGTTTGTCAAATGATCTTCTTTTGGGCCTGCAATAATAATAATATTAATAATAACCTAAGAAGCTGTCAGAATGTATCAACACATCATTATCTGGATGAAACAATGAGCTTAGTTTTACATTTATGCTTTTTCAGACTACTGACTGAAAAATAGGTGACTGAAATTTCCTATTTGTTTGTCTGAAACAGAGGTACAAGGCCTGAAAGAACCTATCCAAATATCAGCTCTGGTTTTCCTCTTCTCCTGCCAGCGGTGTTCTAAAACCATAGAGGTAAGTGCAGTGCTGAGAACAGAAGACTATGCTGAAAAAAATCAACAGTAACACTCTCTATTAGAGGTGCATAGAAATGAAGAAACCACTTCCTATATTTCAAGTACAACCTTGACACCAATAAGCCAGGCCTTGGGTACCACAGTGTGGCAAAGCTAGGTATTACAGAGAGAACACTGATCCCTTATAAAGTAGAAGGAAGAGCTGGACATTGGCTATAGTGGAGAATTTTGTTTGGGGAACTTTGCTAGAGAAAAGCCATGGATTCTATTTACTGAATTAAATGCCACTGACCTACATCTGGCTTTGTTCACCATCTCCTCTGAGACTAAGCCCCTCAAAAGAGGAAGTGAGTCATAGGAGAGTAAGAAAGGATAGGAACAGTTGGTATTTCAGTGGGAGAGAAACTTGCTATTTAAACTATTTGATTAAATAATTATGTTGCTCAGGTAATAGAACAATTAATATGTAGCCACAACCTATATTTTTAACATAATTTAACTATTTAACAAAACAATAGGTAAAATCTAGGGGGATATTATGCTAGAATAAATGCTTATTTGATATTTAATTGAAAAAACATTCAACTCTGTATGGGATGTTATTCTCTATTCAACTTATCCCAAAAGCTGTCATCTCAATTCTACTTAATGTGAAAATTATACAGCTGCTAAGAGTTTTAAAAATCATGTCTATTTCAGCCTAAGCAAAACATTACATAAATATCCAGAGTTACTTGACACAAAATAGGTGGTTACTCACATTTACCACAGAATTTGAAATAGGAGTCTGTGAAACTTTAAGATCTCCCCTACATCAGCTGATCCCTTATCCTCCACTCAGGCACACAATTTATTACATAAAATGTGCCATATATATTTAAACATTAAAGAATTATTTGATATTTAAGACACATGGAGATGTGATTAAAACAAGGCTTATTTTAACCTTGAATCTACTGCTTATATATCCTTAAATTGACATAGGAATTCATTTTTTCTTTCTCTATAAAAGACAGTTTTCATTGTTCTCTGTTTATAAAAGAAATACATACTTATTATAAAATTTTAATTGTTACACATGTGAAAGTCCCCTATCATACTAAACTCTAGAAAGATACTTTTGTGAATTTTTGACTATTTCTAACTTAAAATAAGTTTTTTTTCCTTTACAAAAATTGGGTCAAGTTGTGTGCAGTGTTTGAAATACGCATTTTTCTTTTTTCTTTCCCTTAGTCATCATTTCAACGTTTGTTTCATTGCTGTAATAATACTATATTACATAGTCTGAATATATCAGAGCTTATTTCTCCAGTTTGCTGTTGATGATTGAAGTAGAGAGTCAAAGGAATTTTGGTGTTTACCTTCCACAGTGCTAAAATGAGCAGCATTAACAGCAACAATCCGGCAAAAGCACTCAGCAGGATGACCCATAATGGCACTCTGCCCGGTAGCCCATCTTTGGATATTTGAATAGCAAGCTGAAAATTATTAAACAAGATTGTTAACATAATAAACACCTATTAGAACTCCTGGAACATTGAGTTCTTGCAGGCTACAATTCTCTACCAGTGCATTAATCTCGTTACTATATAATGAGAAAACATTAGATTTACATTAGAAAATGCTCTTCATCTAGTCTAAATCTCTAACTATGTCAAATTTATTATTACCAAAAGGTATTTATAATATTATCCTTCTGAAATTTATACATAAAGGGTTAAATGTCAATGGATTGGAATGCTCAAGGGGAGGAGTGAATTTCTGTTTAACTCAGGGAGAACCAAAGTATTATGTGTGTTAAAGATTAATTAGTACACTACTGTATTATCACAATAGCATTAGTTTAGATTGGAATGTCGCAGTTTGTTGTCATAAGAACCTGAGAAAGTCTCCTTATTTTATTTCTAGTGTGCATAATTTTTTGTTTATAAATTGAAAGTATAATGCATACATGTCAAGTGTATGGGTAAGTGAATGTTTGCATATGTATTCACTCCCAGTGTGCTCTTCATTATACCACAATGTTTCTTCTACTTGACTTATCACTGGGTCCACATGTATAAATCAGGTTTTAACTGAAGCAAAGCTGTAAAATGGACCGCTTTTAGTGTTCCAGCTACTCAAGCTCTCTCAGGGTGGCACTCAAACCTCAATGAAACCTATCTGCTCTGTGTCTCATCCCTGGGGGATTTGAAAAAAATTAATTTAGGGTAGATATCAATGGCTAGTAATAGTTCAAGCCCTGTATTTGCCTTTAACAGTAACACCTCAATTTCTTTACCTAGAGGGAAGATTAGGGTAGAAAAAGAAACTAACAGGGGAGAGATTTGTATATGCATGATACTAATCAAAACCTCTCAAATCACTCCAGGTAGGTGACAGAGCTGGCAAGAATGTAGACATATACAGCATCAGACCATTATGACAGTTTCTTAAAACAAAACAAAACAAAACACAGATGGGGTTTCACTATTTTGCCCAGGCTGATCTCAAACTCCTGGGCTAAAGTGATCCTTCCATCTCAGTCTCCCGAGTAGGCTGGGATGACAGACATGAGCCACTAAGCCCAGCAAGGCAGATTTTAAACATATGTAAAACAATTCCCTGAACTTACAGATATGGAAACCGGAATCTAGATAAGATCAGTGACTTTCCTCAGATCACACAATTACAAAATGATCACTTTTAGTAATTTTATCAATATAGATATAATTTTTCCTTTAGGATGAATGTAGAATAAATATTTCCAGGGGAATTTTTAACTAATATTTAGGGAAAATAAAACTCATTATAAAATTTTAACACATAAATTTAGGAATCATATGTACTTTTCCAACATAAACCATACTCAAATTTTTTAGGTTTTAGTGAAATGTTGGCTATTCTATGTAAGGAACAACTTTGCATTTTGCATTGCTTATGCTAAGCGCTCTTTATGACATAAGTAAACATTATATGCATGTATTTTCCTTTTTCTTGAAAAGCGTATACTTATCAGAAGTCATTGATATTGGAAAAATTTGAAATAAGCAATTTAAAAAGAACATCTGAAAGTTAGGGAGCTTCCAAATTGAATTTTATGATTCACATGGTGCTGTTATCCACATGGGATATTTAAAGTCTCCCATGAGAAGGGGGGAGATCATGCTGAAGTGCCTGCATGTGTAACAAGTACTTATTTTATTTTATTTTTTTAGAGATGGGGTCTTACTCCGTCACCTTGGCTTATTAATTTATAAAAAGGACAAGAGTTAAAAACTCAAACCTTTCTATTTTTACTGAGGACTCAAGTCTGAATTTGTATTAGGAAATACCATCACTTTTTTGTTTCAAATTTCTCAATGAAATTTGAAAGAAAACTTTAAAAAATGTACATGTTTTCCTGTACAGTATAAAGGCACTTTTTATAAAGAAGTTGTTTTTTGCGGCTGCTCTTCAGATATCAGCTGCATTTTATAATGTCAGCTTTTAAGGAGGAAAGTTACAACTGCATCATTTGTTATCAAAGTGAAAGTAAAAACATCCATTTACCGTGATAGTTATAAGTGATAAAGTCAAATGCGGCATGTGAATTGTAAATATCATGATTTTCCCAGTGTCTTACAAGGATGAATAAGACTAAAATCACATTTGAAGCTAATGAAGTATAATTTGAAGCAAATAGTGTCTGTCACTTACCGAGAGCAATACCAGTCACTGCTTAAGGGACTATCAACAATTATAAAACATTATGTCACAAAATTCAGAGTGAAATGCATAATGTTTTCAAAACTCATGTTGCACTTACCTCTCTTTTTTGATTGCTGCTACTTAAAACCAGAGATGCATTTTCACTCCGAAGTTCTCCCCTTATAGTAAGATTTAAGCTGGAAAAATATGACTGAAAAGCAAATAGGATTTGTTCTTAATATATGATGCTAATCAAAATGAGAGCTAGTCATGTTTGAGTAGGACATTTATAAAAGCTAAGATTTTTCTGAGAGATTAAAAATTCCAGTTTTGTTAACTTCCAAATGGAACTGGTAGTATCAAATAATAACCGTGCACTTGTCCTCCCTCATTTGCCACTGAAAATCCTTACTTAGATCCTCGTTATGGAATGAAAAAAAATTTTAAAAATATTTTGTATTGATTTATCATTAGAAAAAACAAACCTCAAACTCTGCCTACCTTTAATGTAGCAAGACATGAAACAACTACATTCTGGTGATGAAGTTTATCTAGGCACTTATTTAGGATTAAAAATGAAATTGATGATCTAGGGGGACAAGATGGCTAACTAGACACAGCCATCTCTCCCACTAAGAGATCCCAAATTATCAAGTAAATAATATAATTTGGGCAGATCTGATCTCTAGGGAGAAAACACCGCAAGTGTGTGGAGAGGCAACACAGATGCTGAGGCTGAAGAGGGAGAAGCTGGGAACCCTGCGTAGGGTACCTGAATGCTTGGGCTACTTCCTGGCCCTAAATGGCTCCTGGAGAAGGGGTGAGGGAGGGGACTGAGGGACAGCTCACTCTTGCCACAGACATCTGGGATCTAAGCTACAGAGTACCCAACATCTCCAATGGATGTGTGAGCTGGCAGGTGGATTTTCCCAGGGAGCAGGTAGAGACAGGGCTTCAGCTAGCATGGAGCCCAGGAGCTTTTGTGAGCAGAGCACAGACATAGGTGCCCATCCCCTCGGACTCCCCATCTCCTTCAGAGAGGCTCTAGCCCCAGGTGACCACAAGCCAGGAGAAAGCAGGCATTCCCCATGGGACTGGGGCATGTCTGTTCTGCAGCCTCTCCCGCCTGCCAGACCCTCCCAGAGTCCCTGCCTAACTGCCCCACAGGAGCATGTGCACAGCGCAGTCTCTGCCGCCCAGCCTGGGTGCTGCGCCCCACCTGAGTACTTTCCCTGTGACCTGGGAGGACTTTGGATCCTCCAAAGCAACCAGAGCCTGACTCTGAGCTGCGGGGTGTCCTGGAGACCCAGAGATGGCATGTCCGTCTCAGGAGTACCAAGCTGAGATCTATGGCTGGCACTCAAGTAGGGGAGGAGCCCCCATCTCAGAGCACTGAGATGGGTAACAAACATGGATTCGTGGGCCAGCGTGGGCCAGCACTGGAGTAGGGCATGACTCCCTCCACAGGGCTGGTTCGGAAAAGGTGTCACCTATCTACCTGCCATGGCCTCTGCCCGAGAGAGCCTGTGGCCCAGAACACCTAACAAAAGAAACATGGGTACAGTGCCAGTGATTGGAGGAGGCCTCTCCCTACCCACTGCAGAGCACCCCTGCAAACATGAGCAAATACAAGAGTGGCAAGACTAAGAGCCTATCTACTGCCCATTACCCTTAATTGCCCTCTACTGGATCACAGCTCAAACAACAACACCAAAAATTACTTTGCTAATAAACACTCCTGTGAGCATACACCCACAAATAAAGATCCTGTACAGAGACTTGGCCCTCTGAAAGCATCCAGAAACAAACCCAAATGACTACACTCAACTTACACCACAGTTGAAGAACATCAGTCCCCCAAGATGAGAAAGAATCAGCACAAGAACTCTAGGTAGAGACAGGCATCAAAGAAACATACCTCCAAATAATAAGAGTCATCTGTAACTAATCCTAGCCAATATCATACTGAATGGGCAAAAGCTGGAACCATTCCCCTGGGGAACTGGAATAAGACAAGGATGCCCACTCTTACCACTCCTATTCAACCTAGTACTCTAAGTCCTAGCCAGAGCAATAAGGCAAGATAAAGAAATAAAGACATCCAAATAGGAATAGAAGAAGTCAAGCTATCTTTTTTCCACTGGTAATATGATCCTATACCTAGAAAACCCTTAAGACTCTGCCAAAAAACTCCTAGAATTCATAAATGACTTTAGTAAAGTTTCAGAATATAAAATAGGGGTACAAAAATTAGTAGCATTTCTATACACCAATAATGTTCAAGGTGAGAGTCAAATAAACAACACAACTCAGGGCTGGGTGCGGTGGCTCACGCCTGTAATCCCAGCACTTTGGGAGGCTGAGGTGGGCAGATCATGAGGTCAGGAGATCGAGACCATCCTGGCTAACACAGTGAAACCCCATCTCTACTAAAAATACAAAAAAAAAAAAAAAAATTAGCCGGGCATGGTGGTGGGTGCCTGTAGTCCCAGCTGCTCAGGAGGCTGAGTCAAGAGAATGGCGTGAACCCGGGAGGCGGAGCTTGCAGTGAGCCAAGGTCGCGCCACTGGACTCCAGCCTGGGCGACAGAGCGAGACTCCGTCTCAAAAAAAAAAAAAAAACTCCATTTACAGAAGCTACAAAAAACACTGAAATATCCAGGAATACAGCTAACCAAGGAGGTAAGAGATCTCTAAAAGGAGACCTAAAAAACACTGCTGAAAGAAATCAGAGATGAGACAAATAAAAGAAAAAACCTTTCATTTAATATCATTAAATGGCCATACTGCCCAAAGCAATGTATAGATTTAACACTGTTGCTCTTAAAGTACCAACATCATTTTTCACAGAATTAGAAAAAACTATTCTAAAATTCATGTGGATCTAAAAAAAGAGCTCAGGTAGCCAAAGCAATCCTAAGTAAAAAGAACAAAGCCAGACCCATCACACTGCCTGACTTCGAACTCTACTATAAGGCTACGGTAATCAAAACAGTATGATACTGGTACAGAAGAGCCACATGGACCAGTGAAACAGAATAGAGAATTCAGAAATAAAGCCACATACCTACAGCCGTCTGATCTTTGATAAAGCCAACAAAAACAAGCAATGGGGAAAGGAATCCCTAGTCAAAAAATGGTGTTGGGATAACTGGCTAGCCATATGCAGAAGAATGAAACTGGACCCCTAACTTTCCCCATATATAAAAACTAACCAAGACAAATTAAAGATTTAAATATAAGACCTTTAACTATAAAAATATTATAAGAAAACCTAGGAAATACCCTCTCTGACATTGGTCTTGGCAAATAATTTTTGGCTAAGTCTCTAAAAGCAATTGCAACAAAAACAAAAATTGACAAGTGGGATCTAATTAAACTAAAGAGCTTCTGCACAACAAAAGACATTATCAATAGAGTAAACAGACAACCTACAGAATGGGAGAAAATAATTGCAAACTATGCATCTGACAAAGGTCTAATATCCAGAATAAGGAACTTGAACAACTCAGCAAGCAATCAATCAACAAATAACCACATTAAATAATGGGCGAAGGACATGAATAGACTCCTTAAAACATGACATACAGGTGACCAACAAACATATGAAAAAACTCTCATTATCACTAATCATTACAGAAATGCAAATAAAAGCCAAAATGAGGTAGGTACCATCTCACTCCAGTCAGAATGGCTATTATTAAGAAGTCAAAAAATAACAGAAAATGGTGAGGCAGCAGAGAAAAGGAAAAGCTTATACACTGTTGGTGGGGATGTAAATTAGTTCAGCCAGTGGAAAGCAGTTTGGAGATTTCTCAAACAACTTAAAACAGAACTACCATTCAACCCAGCAATCCCATTACTGGGTGTATATACCCGAAAGAAACTGTTTACCAAAAAGACACGTGCGGTCATATCTTCATTGCAGTGCTATTCACAACAGCAAAGACATGGAATTAACATAGGTGCCCATCAACAGTGGCCTGGATAAAGAAAATATGTACATATACACCATGGAACACTGCACAGCCATAAAAAAGAACAAAATCATGTCCTTTGCAGCAACATACATGCAGATGGAGGCCATAATCCTAAGCAAATTCCACAGGAACAGAAAACCAAATACCACATGTTCTCACGTATAAGTGAGAGTTAAGCCTTGGGTACTCATGGATATAAAGATGGGAACAGTAGACACCATGGACTACTTGGAGGAGCTGACAAACTACCTATTGGGTATTATGCCCACTACCTGAGCGATGGAATCTGTACCCTAAACCTCAATATCCTGCAAATATACCCATGTAACAAACTCGTGCATGTATACTCCCTGTATCTAAAATTAAAGTTGAAATTTAAAAAATGAAATTGCCAATATTAACAGTTAATGACATAAAAATAGCAACTTACTATAATCAAATTCAAAAATGGCAAAGTCATATGTTCAACTAAATACTTCCTGAGAAATAAATAATACAAAATACAATAAAAAGTTTTAAAGTAGCTTATTGTCAGACAGATTTGGCTTTATAAGGGGTTAAAAATGTCTTCATAGTCTCTACTAAAATACAAAAAAAAATTAGCCGGGCGTGGTGGTGGGCGCCTGTAGTCCCAGCTACTCGGGAGGCTGAGGCAGGAGAATGGCGTGAACCCGGGAGGTGGAGCTTGCAGTGAGCTGAGATCGTGCCACTGCACTCCAGCCTGGGCGACAGAGAGACACTCCGTCTCAAAAAAAAAAAAAAGAAAAAAGGCTTCATATATACCTATATATTATAAAATTATACATATAATAACAGTCTGATAAAACACAGTAAGTCTATGGTATATGTTAGCTCTTTCCTTTGTTACTGGGGTCAAGGGTTGCCACTTTATTATACTCTGTACATTAACTGAGTTCCAAAGTATTAAGATAAGTGCAAGCTTTGGTACTGGAAAGGTATTTATCTCTTAAAGTACAAAGAAAAAGGATAAGAGAGATTGAAAAAAGTATATCTCTCCAGAGGGGACCTTGGTAATATCTTAGTTCTTAACAGACAAGGAAGATGAGACACACATAGCTGGTTAAGTAGAGCTGGGGCTTGGTCACATCCTCTTATACTTCCAGTCGCACATTCTTTCCAAAAGCAGCACAGTGCCTTGCATATTCTAAGTGGTAAATGAATATTTATTGATATTATTCAATAAGTGCATAGAACTATGTATTTACTTACTTTTATAAAAGTTGGTTTCCACAAGATAAGCGAAACATTGACTTGGCTGATGTCAGAAGAAGTGAGATTACATGTGATGGTAGCAAATTTACATGTATTGCAGTCCTGTTTAAATGTCCAGAGATACATATCAGTATTCTTGCCGTTTTATCAAATATCTATATTTAAATTCTTCAGATGGTTATTTCTAGATTGATATCAATTTTATTCATTTGGAAAGCAAAAGGTAAAAATAGCACTTGTCTTAATTTACCAGAATTGTGCCTCGTTTGAGATGGTCAGTTGATGTAGTCATTTTCTTTCCAGAGTTGATACTGAAAGGATCCTCAAAGATATGGGGTCTGCAGTTTGCATTCTAGAAATGAAAATATTACATTTATCAGACAATGCCAGATATCAGAGGAAAAACATGACTTGCTGCAGTAGTGTAAAGAATCTGTGAATGACAGCCATTGCCATATATTAGAGATCCATCTTTGTAAGTGTGCTGTATGGGAAAGGTTGTTATGCACCAGCCATACATACATATATATCCACCCCAAGATAATATGTACTCTTACCATGCTACTTTTGAATTGTAATGGAAACTAGTGAGGTTGTAATGGAAAAGAAAGAATGCTAATAGAACTTACTATTACGTGATTAATACATTCATTATTACCTTAATCAAAGATAAGCTTATAAATTCTATACTACAGAGAGAGAAAAGCATTTAAATTCTACTGATAAAAACAAAAACAACGGCCAGCCACAGTGGCTCACACCTGTAATTCTAGCACTCTGGGAGGCCGAGGTGGGTGGATCACCTGAGGTCAGGAGTTCGAGACCAGCCTGGCCAACATGGTGAGGCCCCATCTCTACTAGAAATACAAAAATTAGTTGGGTGTGGTGGCAGGCGCCTGTAGTCCCAGCTACTTGGGAGTCTGAGGCAGGAGAATCATTTGGACATGGGAGGAGGAGGTTGCAGTAAGCCAAGATCGCGCCACTGCACTCCAGCCTGGGTGACAGAGAGAGATTCCGTCTCAAAAAAAAGGAAACAAAAACAACAAAAATACTTGTTCAATATTATGGCTCATGAAACAATTGAAAAGCGAGAGACCTTCATCTGTATTTATGTATTCATCCAGTAATACTTTTGATTCCCTACACACCAAGGATAGGACACTCAGTCTACATGGGAGGTAGACGTAAGCAGACAGCCCTATAGATGTTAATATATTATGTTAAAATGCTATATTTATAAGATAGCTGGTTCTAGACTTAACCTAGTAAACCTTTTGCTTCCCCAGTACTGTCAATATCCTTGACAAAAGTTAATAAGATTAAAGTTTCCTAAGCAGTATGAAAAGTACAATTTTTTTTTCTCTTCTGGATTTTCACAAACCTGCTTTTTTGGATTAGAGGGAAATTCCAAAGGCTTATTTTTTCCTTGCCCTTAGGAAAACATTTAAGTGATCACAAGCCAATTAGCATTGTTGCTATTTCTTGATTTCTGGGAACACTTTAAAAAATGCATGAAAAGACAGATTTCCAAATTCTGACATCATGCACACATTAATTCAATACTTATGGTGATTTTTTGTTTTAGGCACTAAACCATAATGAACCATCATATAGTCTCATTCAAGCTAAAAATATAAAGGGGGTGCAATATTGCTATTATTTGGGATGTGAGTAAATACAATTATACTATTTTGTTTGCAGCTGTGCATGCTTAGGTACAATTAAGAAGTCACTTTATAGAGTTGTTTGATTACCACAAATCAAGGAAAAGTGTAAGAAACATTTCATAACAATGAATTATTTAAAATCTACTCTAGTGGATTGAATAGTGGTCCCCAAAGATATGCCTAAATCTCCCTAGAACTAGTAAATATGACTTTACTTGGAAATAGGGTCTTTGCAGACATAATTATATTAAGGATCTCCAGATGAGATCACTCTGGATTTAGGGTGGACCCTAAATCTAATGGTGAGTGTGCAGAAACACAAAGAGAGAAGGAGAACACATAGAAACACAGAGAAGGCCAGGTGAAGACAGAGGCAGAGATAGGAGCTATGCTGCCGCAAGCCAAGGAACGACTAGGGTTGCCAGTTGTCACCAGAAGCTAGGAAAACAGCATGAGAAAGAGTCTCTCTTGGAGCCTCCAGAGGGAATTAACACTGTCAACACCTTGATTTTGGACTTCTGGACTCCAGAACCGTGAAAGAATAAATTTGTGTTGTTTTAAGTCACTCAATTTGTGATAATTTGTTACAGCAGCTCTAGGGAATAATACATCTATTATTATTTGCTTTTAATTATCTAAATACCTCTCCATGTTACTTTGGTAAAATTCTTTATTACAAGTATCATGCAGAACAAAAGGCTTAAACATAAAGTGGAAAAGATAACAGTAATGACATAATTCCAAGGCACACATGACTTACCTCAGAAGATGACAATCCAGTTGGGTACAGCACAGGGTAACCATTTGATGTCATATTGGGGAATGAAATTGACAGCTTAAGCTCTGGCATTGGAAAAGATCCACTTTTTCTAATCTACAAGAAAAAAATGGAAATGTAATCTTTCTTCCTCTTTTAATAGAATTCTTCTGTCTTATGTAGGGCTTTGTTTTCTAGCTGATGAAGTAAATTGTGTAATATTTTGAATCCCCAAACAAATGTAGATCCTTTATGGTGCTGTACAGAGAATTGGCATAATTCAGCCAGCAGAAAATATGGACACTTAATGGTCAGTAGCCGTATGTATCAGCTATAATCATATTGTTCCTCCATCCCCCATTCTCTTAATAGACCTAGGATTAACAGAAGACCAGAATTGGAAGTTTTTGTCTGTTATTATGTTCTTGCCATGCTCATTCTTTTCTTTTTCTTTCTTTTTTTTTTTTTTAACATACCAGTCTTTTTGAAACTGGAAAGAAGGGAGACCACGGAACAATTTAGATTTTTGGTTGCCTTTACCCAGTTTGCCATAATTCCTTAAACCCATAAATCATCTCTAATCCTGGCTAGATGGGATCTGCCACCACTATACAGGAAAACCAGACTCCCATCTGCTTCCCTTCACAATTCTACCCCCAGCTAGGGCTACCGTGACACTGGCTGTTGATAATCTGGTTTTATGAGAGTCAGATTTACTTTCATCTCAGTCTCCATTCGATTTTATCCACTAACCCAAAGTTTCCACTTAGTATCATGTTCTGCTACCAGTAGTGAGTGTAGCTCAGAGGGAAAGGTGGGCAGGATAAAGTTCAACAGGAAACTGAACTCACTATCCAGAGGTCCTTCCCTGCTTAAAAGGTACAACTGAACTGGGACAACCAGATGCAGTTGTCCCCTTCCTACTGCTGAAGCATAATCTGCAGGCCTGAAACCTATGGCATCCCTGTGCAGCTTCTTTAGCTGGGTAGGGAACGCCTTGATCTACATAGATAGACCCAAGGAAAGCCAGTGATCTACCCAACTGAGCCTTCCAGACTGAGAGCTCCTCAGATCTGAAGCAGTTTCCTGGGTTTGTAAAGACGAAATACATCCTTTAATTCTGGAATTCTGGAGGTTCCTGACCAGCTGCACCTGGACCCTTAAACATGCTCCCTAACTCTTATCTTCTTGATTTCCAGTCAAATTCTGTTTCCTGATATTCAGTTAGAAATCCTGTGTTCTGGCCGGGCGCGGTGGCTCACGCCTGTAATCCCAGCACTTTGGGAGGCCGAGGCGGGCGGATCACGAGGTCAGGAGATCGAGACCATCCCGGCTAAAACGGTGAAACCCCGTCTCTACTAAAAAATACAAAAAATTAGCCGGGCGTAGTGGCGGGCGCCTGTGGTCCCAGCTACTTGGGAGGCTGAGGCAGGAGAATGGCGTGAACCCGGGAGGCGGAGCTTGCAGTGAGCCGAGATCCCGCCACTGCACTCCAGCCTGGGCGACAGAGCGAGACTCCGTCTCAAAAAAAAAAAAAAAAAAAAAAAAAAAAAAAAAAAAGAAATCCTGTGTTCTGTAATTACCATTTTTTTCTGATTAAAAAATGTTCCTTGTAGAAACATTGGAAAATACTGAAAATAAACGTTTCCTATACTTCAACTACCTTGGTAACATTTTAGTGTAGGTTACCTGTCCTATTTGCATATATGCATATTTATAAAATTTGTAACACAATAAAATACAGTTTTGTACCCTGTCTGTAAAATGTATTATGCTATGGCATTTTCCTTTAAATGTATAAGTTTATTGAGAATATGACTGTTCATAACAACCACAATATCAATATTGTTGACTATGTGCCACATGCTGTGCTAATCTTCTTATATGCATTATTGCTTTTAACCCTGTTAACAACTGCAGGAAGCAGATCCTCATATTATCTTTGTTTTATCTATGAGGTAAGAAGGTTGGAATGAAAATTAAGAACTTCCAAGATCACAAAGCTAGTAAATAGCAGCATTATGGTTTCTTACTCCAAAATGTGCCTTCTAAAATATTACGTTGTCTCTCCATTGAATATATGATAATCTCTTCACTAAATATATGATAATGTAAGTAATTTCATTGTGTTAAGTGTTTAGATTGTGCCCAGGCTTTAATTTTTAAACTATTATAAATAATATTGTTAAGAACATCCCTGAAATCTTTGTTTCTATCACCAAAAATTTCCTAGGGAAAATTCCGAGCAGTAAACTTACCGGGTTTCACCTTAAAAAAAGTTCTTTTAAAAAACTCCTTTATTCCAATTCTAGAATTTACTTCAGCAAAATAATCAGAGATACACACAAAGTTTTATGCTCAGGAATATTCTTAGCAATGTAATTCATATCAACACTTTTATAAGAGAGAGTACCTATTTCAAATCTGGACCCTAATAAGTTACAATATATAAAGTTCTGCAACAAAGTCTTTTTGTTTTCTTTCTTTTTTTGCTGAATTTTCTAGTTCAGGGAAAGTGAATAGGGCTGGAGAAATCTGATAGCCTGAATTCCAAAAATCTGTCCTAGAATCCAGTAGAGTGATTGGCATTTATGCTAATTTCCAGGGAAATTAGCATAAATTGTCATAGGAATTCTAGCAAAGAGTACAAATTTTAAAAAATGAAATTAATCTTGGGAGTATACGTTTATTTATACTCTATGAGAGAACTTTTTTTTGTGGTTGGCAATTCCCAAAAGGATTGAGGCTGTCTTCATTTATAATTTTGTTGCATTATCTCATATTTTTGAATACATATTTAAATCCATTATTTGAATTGTGCTCTCTTTTTTCCTTGAGTGATTTTAACTTGAGTCTGTGTCAGTAACTAGGCATTACCTAAAATAAAATTCCGTGATTGTTTGCTATAGTGGTATAGAGTTTGTTATGAAGGATTTAAAAGGAAAAATAAATGTAATAGAAAACATCATTTAAGGAGGTGGTAGTACCAACATGAGTAATTTATAGTACAATGCATGTGAAAGGTAACAATAAGGAGAATGTGATACATACTTATTTGTTAAGTAAAAAAAATTGCCAAGACAATTGTGATAACAAATTTCTGATATAGTCATAATTAATGAAAAAGTGCTTTTCTCAGTCACACTGATAAAATAATGTAAGTAAAGTCTACAGGTTTATCGGTAGCATCTATCTAGTCCCATAGTTTATTTTTTTTTTCTAGAAAGTCATTCTAGTGGTATCTTATTTTGAGGAAATTAGAGGCTTAGATCTCTAAACTGATGTGAAAATATAATTACAACAAATTTAAATCTTCAGTGAAATTATAAAGAAAAATATAAATTGAAAATTATATTTATATATTATATGTCTATATTTATATTTATGAAATTATAAAGAAAATATGCTGGAATATAGAGATTAAACATTGAAGCAACATATTTTTATGTGTCTGTTAATACTTTAATTTATATATTTACAAATAACTCCTTTAGAATACTATTTTAGAGGTAATTTCTTACCAAGTAGAAGATATTAATTTCATTTCCAATGTCCTCAGTAGAATTAATAACTTCAGGGACTGTCTCATTGGCAGCAATTGAAATGTGGTATTCACTTGCAGAGCTTAAAAAATTAATTAGAAGAAAAATAAAACATAACAAAGTTTAACTTTTATTTGGCCTCATTATTTTCTTTCTCCATATCATGTAATTCCACAAAAATACTTGTAGGGATTTCAAATCATAGGGGAATTCATTTACCTTGAAACGTAAAATTAAATCTTTGAGGAGAGTGAGAAGGATTATGTAATTTAGTTCAATAGTCACTGATGCTTATTTGACCCCAAAATGCTAGAATATGAGTTTTAAAAGTTAAAATTTCATGGTTAACAAGTGAAAAGTTTCTGTAAATTCACTAATACCATTTATACCTAGTGAAAAATGAAACTAAAATGTAATGCTGAATTCTAAATAGATTAAAAATTTTTACCATTTCATAATTTAAAGTCCTATATTTACTGCTAAACTTAAAAGTTCAATCTTCTCTACACAGCTTCATCATGTTCTTTGGATGAACTTGGTAGAGTAAAATAGTATGTTTTTAAGCAGCACTTCAGTCAAGGGAAGACAAAAAATATTTATAAGTGTTTGCCAAAATTTGATTTTAAGTAAATGGAAAACTCTTGGGGAAAAGTCAGTGCACCAATAGAAGTGGATACAGAAAAATACAGAAAAGTGGAGACAGAATTTAAAGGCTGAGAAATATTAGCACAATCTACATGTATGTCCTATAATCATGCCATTTTTGTAGTCTCCATTTAGTAAAGAGAGAGTGCCATAGATAATAAATTATTAAGCCAGAAAGAAGATATTGAATGTTCCCAATACAAAAAAAAGATAAATGTTTGAGACAATGGATGTTCCAATTACCCTGTTTAGTTGCTATATATTACTTGCATCACAACGTCTCCAAGCGCCTTATAAATATGTACAATTATTACGTGTCAATTTAAAACAGTTTTTAAATTAAAAGAAAAAAAAAAGCATGTGAAATGGTTTAAACTAACACTTCCTGAATATATAACCTTGGGTAAATTAGCCTCTCTGAACCTCAAATTCTTCAACTGGAAAATGGAGATAGTAGTTGTATTTGAACCATAGTGTTATCATGAGGATCACATAAGACAGAACACAAAGGCTCAATAAATGTTAGCCACTATTATTAAAAAATTAATAAAATGATAAGACTTTTAGAATAAACCTACTTGCCACTGATTCTTATCCTTTTAAGTATATTGCACATGTTTATTTGGCAAAAGCTTGGAGTTCTGCTTAAGCAGGGGAAATTATAGAGGGAAAGTTTGTCAACATGGTTTGTGTTGGGATAGATAAGAAGTTCTTAAGAGAAAGAATGGTTTATGAATGGTGGAAGAAATAAACAGCTCTTATCAATGAGAAATGCTTTAATCTTGTGTGTCCAGATTGAGAAGACTGATCAGCTTCCACAGGATGAGAACGATGACCAAGAAATATGCTGGCGGCCTCTAAGAAAATATCGTGTTTTGCGAAGGACTTCTGGGTCTTCAACTTGCATTCGGGAATTAAGACTGGACAGCAAATGCAATCCGGTATCACTAACACCTAACACTTTGGGTTATTTAGTATAATGGTTCTCAAACATTAGGATGCATGAGAATTACCTGGAAGGCTTGTTTAACCCCATCCTCCGAGTTTCTGATTTGGTAGGTTTCTGGTGGGGCCAGAGAATTTGCCTAACAAGTTTCCAGGTGATGCTGATGCCCTTGGCCAGGCAGGGACCACACTTTCAGAACCACTGGGTTAATAGAAAGGCATCCACATAAAAATGTAGTTTTCTCCTACCTGTAAAACTGTAGTCCAACTTCATATTTTACCGGGATAGAAATGTTTACTACATTATCAGAAAGGGTTTCAGGAGGTTCTTCGCTGTCACTAGAAAATACACGGCACATTCAGACAAACCATTAAAATCTTGACTATTTAAAGACATTTCTAAGTGTTTGAAAGAGAAGCTTATCCTGGCAACTAAATAAAAGCATGTAAGAGTATAATTTTTAATCATTTTTTTAATTGGGGTGAAGAAGGAGATCAGAGATGATTGGTATGGTTGAAAGTTCCCAAGTTGATTCTGATGTGCGACTAGACTTGACAATCACACTGATTTATGTTTTTCAAAATTCTATGACAATATTGATAAGAATCCCTCAGTTTAATTGTTAAAATACAAAGGTTACTGGGCTTCCCTTAGAAATATGGATTTAGGGGTTCCAACTTGGGGTGCAGGAATTTCTGTTTTTAACCACATATCTGCCCCCAGGTGATGCTTATTTATCACAGATGAGGACTTAGTAAAGATAAGTGATTAGGGTCACACAGCTGAGAGTAAATCTAAAATCTTTTGTTTTCTTCTTTAATAGTCTTTCCATACTAAGTACTTGATGATCATATTGTTTGTTAAACACTGATTTATTCTCTTGATTTTGGTTATCATTTAAATTATATATTATGTAAACACATGTATATATGTGCATACACACATATACATACTTCCTCGTATTAGAAAACACATACAAATGATATAACGAGTAATGAACACTGGCTCTGGGGCCAGAGAATGAGATTGTTCTTGGACACTGATACACTTTGGTCAAATTACTTATCTGTCTTTGTTTTGGTTTCTTCATCTATAAAATGGGATATCAAATGAGTAATAAATGATGATTAAATTAGTAATAAGTATAAAGTGCTTAAGATTGTGCCTAGGACATAGGAAATATTCAGTAAGTGTTAGCTTTCATTATTATTTTACACATACCCCTCCACCAACTGACCAAGCACCTAACATATTGTCTCACAGAATGGGCATAAGAGTACTTTTTAATGGCTCTGCTTATTCCCAAATGTATAAAGTGGCTCATAAGCAGCAGGACAGAGAAAGCAGCATGCTGCCTTGGATTATAGGTATTTGTGTGACTCAGCTCTTAGCATGAATGGTCCCCTTTTCTCTCACCCATTCCACACTGCAGCCTTCCTAAATTCATCTCCATAAGCAGCAGCTCTGTACAGATGACTTTACCTCTCAAAAACTTTACTGGCTTTTCAAGGTCTGTTCAATTAAGAAATAATACCTTGACTGACATTCAGTACCTAGCGTAATATGATAGAATGCACACTCCCTGTTTATTTTCATTGCTACTTTATGTATTCTTTATATTTCAGCTAAAATTGATAACCTTTTTAATCAAGCTATATATTTTGCCTGAAATGCTCCACCTGGTGCTATTCAGTGACCTCTCTGTGAAATGCTATCTACCCTTCAAGGTCTTTCTCAATTATAAGTTCCTTGATAAAGCTTTCTTGGGTTCCCATTGCCAAGTAGATATTATTTCAGCTTCTATTAATTTTCTGACAAAGCTTTCTATCTCTATAATGGAGTGTTTTTATTCTATCCCAGGTTACAATAATTTTATACTAGACTCAACCCCCTACTGTAATACTTACCCTATGAGGAGTTTCATGCCCTTAGTAATTTTTATATTCCTTACAGTGACTAACTCAATATCTTGTGCATAATAGATGTCAAATAAATATTTGTTGAGTTGACTTGAACATACAGAATTAATTAATCCATTAATTCATTTCTCTAATTTATTCATTTCGTCTACATCTATGTAGTGATTATAATATGGCAGGCACAATGCTAGTCACTGTGAATAAAACAGTAAAAGACACCATCTCACTGCAGACAGGTCAGTGGATAATTACAATTAGAAGAAAGTTAGACCACTATTTCACTTTCCTTATTGAGCCTTTGCTGTTGTTAGTCTGTGTGTTCTATGATACCTTTCAGAAGTACTGACTGATTTGAATAAAGTATATTAAATTACAAAAGGATATCATAAAACTTTAAGTCCATCTAATGATTCATTTGACCTTGATGGGCAGCCAGTGAAAGTTTTTAAATTATCAGTAAATTTTTTATGAATTTAAATGCAATTTGGCAGATATAAATGATGTGTGATTATGGTATCTTCTATAGCTCATAGAACCATTGCTTTAATCTAGGTGAATTATTTCTATTAAATGAAAATTTCTTTATTTTGCTAATTATTCTTAAGGGTGTTTTTGTGAAGCAAAGTGGTTAATTGCCTTCCACTTCTACTGATCTCCTACAACCTGGAAGAAACTGTCAGTGAGTTTATAGAGCAAAATATTCGACATACACAGAAGAAGCAATATACATTCATATACATACATTTATACACATGTAAACCAACCTTGTTGCACTTAAATAAATGGTCACATTTTCCATGAGATAGGATGTGTTAAACTGAAACAATATTTTGAAAGTTACCTATAAAATAAAAATATGTCTTTAGTAACAGATAAGAAATTTACTTTGACTAAAATATTCAATTTCCATAAATGACATTACCTAAACTCAAATTATGAAGTTATTTGAGAAACATTGTCTTACAAAATGAAACCTTATTGTATCTCAAAATAGATAGAATAACATATAATATACATATTCTTTTTCAATGTGAATGTCTACCATGTTTTACATATTGCTATAATGTGAATGTTTCCCCTCAAAATTCATGTGTTGAAACCTAAACACTAATGTGATGATATTAGGAGATGGGGCCTTTGGGCAGGTGATGAGATCATAAGGGCAGAGCCCTCATGAGTGGGATTAGTACCCTTGTAACTCAGAATGCTGCCTTCCTGGTTCTGCTATCTCAGGATGCATTGAAAAGACATCTTCTATGAAGCATGAAATGGGCCCTCACCAGACACTAGATCTACCAGTGTGTTTACTTTGGACTTCCCAGCTTCCAGAACTGTGAGAAATAAACTTCTGGCTTTTAAGCTACTCAGTTTATAGTATTTAGTTATAGCAGCCAGAATAGACTAAGAAACATGTTAAGTAAAACATATAGGAGGTCATTGGTTTGGACAGCTCTTGCTCTAGGCCCAACAGACTAAATAATGCTTAAGTTCCACACCACAAAGCCGAAATTAAGTCATTTGTCTGACTTTTTGGGAGATGAGAAAAGTGAGAGATAATCACCAAATCCCCAATCAAGCCAGTTTCAAACAGCATGATAAGAAAATCCCCTCTGCTTTCACTTTTACAAGGAAAATAACTTTGAAATGACCAATCAACTTTTCGTTCTGTTTCTGCTTTCTTCAGCCCTTTTCTCTCTATAAAGTCAACTTCCTCTCCTCAGCTCATCCACCATTCATTTTATTTTACAGAATAAGGTGTTGCCTGATTCTAGAATTGCCAATAAAAGTCAATTGATATTTGGAAATTCAATTTGTTCCATAGAAAAAGAAAGCAGGTTAGTGGTTGCCTGGGCTTGGGAGAAAGGCTGTTGAGGAAAAACAGAGTGACTGCCAATGCATACGTGGCTTCTTTGTGGTGTGTGAAAATGTTCTAAAATCAATTGTCGTAATGACTGTACAATTTATAATTTGGTGAATATACTAAAACCCACTGAAATACACACTTTCAACGAGTGAACTCCATGCTACGTGAATTATATCTCAATAAGGCAATTTTTTTTTAGAAAGAGAGAGATGGAAGGAGAATTTCTGATTAAGTTCTAAACCAATCTATTTGAAGCATTCTTTTTCTTGAAGGCCAGAGACACCTACTACCTAGGAGACTCCAATAACAGAATTTCCCAGCTCCATTTTATCAGATATGTTATGTAGTATAAATTAGATATGTTATGTAGTATAAATTTTAAATCTTGTCTTGGTGTTCGAGTTTGCCTGTGTAAGAATTGTTACAAGGTTGTTAAATATGTTTCTGTTATTTATAAATACCTTGTACAAAATACCTTATACCAAGCATTTTATAAATAACAGAAATATATTGCTCACAGTTCTGAGGGTTGGGAAGTCCAAGATCAAGGCACCAACAGATTCAGTGTCTGGAAACACCCAGTTCTCATAGATGGCACCTGCTATGTGTTCTGACATGGTAGAAGGGGTGAGCAGTCTCCCTCAAGCCTCTCGTATGAGGACACTAATCCCTCATGGGGGCTCCACCCTCTGGACCTACTGACCTCCTAAAGGCCTCATCTTTTACTACGATCACATTGGGGATTAAGTATTAACATATGAATTTTGGTGGGGCACAAACATTCTGACCATAGCATATTCCAATCTGTCACAATTTTGAACTGAACATTTTTCATCCGTATTATCCTAAACTACCATTGGAAGGATTTATATATTTGTCTTTGCACATATTACTTTTCATATTCAATTTCTACATGTATTTTGTATGATCTGCTCACCATCTCTCCTCTTCTCAGGAAGGGATATCCAACTTTACATGTGATATTATGATTAGATTCACAACTGTCTTTTTGGATAGCCTAGGAAGAGAAAGCAAACAGAATCAGAGTGGACAAGCAGGTGAAATATTGATACGTGTTCTTTCAGAATTTTCCCAGATGTGTCTTGGTGACTGCCTTGCCACTATTTTTGTCTCGATTTAGCTGGAAGAGGCACAGAATTCTGGGACCAGCTGTTCTACACTCATGGAAATCCTAAAACATCACTTGTGGGTGCCTGAAAGACAAAGCATATCTCACAATCCTACCTAAGTTTTCAGTTGTAAAATGGAAGTACTAATAGCACCTCCCTCACAGAGTGATTGCGGTGGCTGGATAAAATAATCCAGACACCCAAGACTGGTGCAGAGCAGTCTTCAGTGAATGCTAGTCATTGGAGGAGTTTAGTGCAGTGGATAAGAGCATAGGCTCTGACCCGTGACCACCAGAATTTAAACCCTGACTGCACCACTGTTAGCTTTATCCTTGTTAAGATTCCTCACCTCTCTGGGACTGATTTTCTATCAAGTGGTTTAGTCATATACTCTATTTTTTCCAGTTTAAAATGCCATTGAACATGAGATATGCCATTATTTTTACATACCCATAAGAAGTAAAAATAACACTGCCACGTAAATAAACATGTTATCAATTGTAAAATGCAATTACAAGAATGTTGAAACATGAAAAAAAGGTTTTATCTTCGCATCTCTGCAGTACAGTCATACCTACTTACAAAAGAATTAATGAAAATGAAATAAGTGAAATCCTTAGTACAGGGCCTAAACCATGATGTGACTCAAGAAATGGTTGCCATCATTATTACTGTTGTTACTGTTAATATACACAGAAGAGATGCACTGTCAGATTTTTTAGCTATGCCTCTCTGCCAGGCCATTAAGTCAGCATAGGAGGATACAGGCAATAATTTTTACTAGAGAAAAATTCTGTGGTAATATTTTCCCCAAGATTACTTTGTACATTTGTATTTATAATAATAATAATAATAATAATTTTTTGAGACAGAGTCTTGTTCTCCCTCTGTCACCAGGCTGGAGTGCAGTGGTGCAATCTCGGCTCACTGCAACCTCCACCTCCCGGGTTCAAGTGATTCTCCTGCCTCAGCCTCCTGAGTAGCTGGGACTACAGGTGTGTGCCACCATGCCTTGCTAATTTTTTGTATTTTTAGTAGAGAGGGGGTTTCACCGTGTTAGCCTGGATGGTCTCGATCTCCTGACCCCGTGATTTGCCCGCCTCGGTCTCCCAAAGTGCTGGGATTACAGGCATGAGCCACCATGCCCAGCCTGTAATTAATATTCTTAGTTGAATCCAAAATATAGTAATATATGACATTATTTTTAGGTTTGTCTTAGTCATCATGTCTCTAAGTGATATCCTAACAGATAGAGAGAAACGTCCATGAAATCTGAGTTTACAGAAAGTAGACAATAGTGTTTTAATACTATGTATAATATTAATAAGTGCATTGCTTTTAATATAAATTGTATGTAATATTAATTAATATAAATATACACAAAATTTTAACTCAGTGGGATTCATTTGGAGATCAGAATTAAGAGCAAAGTTCACATTTGGAAACACTGATTACCTCTGATATAGCATCTTACACAGATTAATATATTTTATTGCCAATGTAATAAAAGAAACCTCTGTTACAAATCAATAAGACACAGTTATTTAATACAAATATCTTGCCAAAGTAAGGATTTTGCATAGAAAGGGAGATATGGTATCTTGATTTTCCTGCAGGTAAATTTTTTTTGCTTAACACAGAGGTACCTCTCTGTACGTCTGTTAACTGTTTTGGCTTTGATTGTTATTATTTTCCTTGACTCTGTTTCAGTTTCAGTGGTTTAAGGATTTTATGAAACACACAGTTTTTATACATGAGCTATCCTTTTCTCACACAGAATCTAAGAAAAGACATACATATTTGAATAAATAAAACAAAACTTTTTTAAAAAGCTTAATACTTTCACCATTGGTGAGGACTAATGTAAAAAATTCCTTCTATTCTTTCAAAATCAATCTAATAAAAGCAATTATCTCAGTAGCATGAAAAGTAGGCCAGGTAAATGATGTTAAGAGAACAAATAAATGAAAAACTGGAAGTTTACCTCAATTCCTGAAAAAACTAGATTTGGAGAATAATGCACTATTGTCCTGGTGTTATAGGCACTGTCCTTTGTATTTTTGACTGTGAGGCTAACGTTGAACTTATCATTCTGGGATCGGACAATCAGCAGGTCCTTTTCAGTGGTGGCGACATGCAGGCTGAGGTCTGAGATACATTTTTCCTTATTTCCACAATCTTTGGCAAAGGGAATCTGAAATGATGACAGGAAAGAATTTTTCAAAATTTAGCTACGCATTGTTGAAAATTACCCATCAATTTGTGTAACAAAAATGGCATACAGCCAAAGTAAGTTAAGCAACTCATAAGGAGAATTTCCCTGCAAAAATCTTAAGGGATTTTATATTTATCCCTGTAATTTATAGGGGAGAAGAGTAAACATTTACTTACAAATGTAAATTGTGCTTGTCCTTTTAAGAACGCACAATTTTCATGGGTGCTTTGCACTGGCTTTTGTCTGCCAGGGAAGGACAGTTTTGAAATACAAAGTCAAGTACTGCAAGATCTAAATCTACTCAACTCTAATCATGAGATTTTTCTCTTAAAATTAATCAAATACTTAGGAATATCATAAAGCTCAGTTGAGAGGGTGGAAAACGGTCAAGCCACAAATCTAGGAGTTTTGCTTGATTCTTCTTCATTGACCGCCTCTCCACCACCACCATATGTAACTCACCAAGCCCTGTCCATTCTACTCCTCTTCTAAATATCTCTCCAATCCTTTCTTGCTTCTGCAGTCCCACCACCACCTCACACCCAAGCATTCTCATTTCCTCCCTGAACTAAAGTAATAGCTTCCCACGGGGCTCCCACATCCACCTGTTTCCCTCCAACCACTCTTCACTCTGCTGCATCCTGTCGTGTGGCTGAACCAAATAAAAACCTTCAAAAGCACTGCACTGCTCTTTCAAAAGTTTAGAATTTGTGCAGTGGCACCAAGTCCCGAATGACCCGGCCCCTGCCTTTACCTCCGGCCTCACCTCACGTCACCTCCTTTCTTGCTCTTTAGCGTCAGCCACACTAGCGAATGTCGTTGTTTCCTTCATGCTCAGGACTTTCACACTTAGCATCCCCTCTGCTCCCCAAACTCCCCTAAATAGGGTGGAAATCACCCTATCCTTCAGGGCTCCACTGAAATGGCACAACTTCAGGAGGGCTGTCCTGACTTCTCAGCCTAGGTGGAAGTTCCTAGAGAGCTCTGAAATCCTCCTCCATAGCATATGCTCTAATTACTACTTAATACCTGTTTCCAGTGTTAGACTGTAAGCTCCAATGCCTGGTATGTATAAGACAATCAATATATCTGGTAGGAAGGAAGGGAGAATGGAAGATAGGTGTATGGGGAAAAAGAATTCCCCATCCCTCATATCTCTTCCATTGGAGCCACGCTAGTGACACCCTCCCTCTTCTCTCCCCTCACTCCACTCTCAGGGGTGGCACATGGACTCTAACTTTGGGAACAGGAACTAAGTGAACACAACTCAGTCCCTTTCTCTCATTTCTATTCTCAGAGCAGCTGTACCCACAGGAAGCACACATTTGGCTCTACTCCATTTGACAAGTTTTACAAGGTGGGCTCCATGAAGAAGGACAGAGATGGATCAGCACTGCTGATGACCTAGGTGGTTACTGGTGGTCTAAGTCCATGCTTCAGCGTGAGGACACCCTTTATACCTAAACCATACACTGCAATCCAGTGCTTATTAGAATAATGGGGGAGATTTCTTTCCATTGGTCCTAAATTCAAATGAGGTAAAAATGAGTGTCATTTATTAGTTTTCTTAAACTCCAACAATAGGAAATTAGAAGGATTGGAAAAAGTCTAGAAGAGCCTAATTCTTTTTTAAAACATTTTAAATTGATTTAGGGTTATGTGTGCATGGGTTTCAAGCTTTTTCCTAATGTTACCAGGGCAAACCTGGAGATATGGCTGAGAAAGTTTACTATTTTCTTGAAGAGTAGATAACTGAGAAAGTTCATTATTTTGTTAAACAGTAGATAGCTGAGAAAGTGCATTATTTTTTCTTAAACAGTTTTTTTTTTTCTAGTCTATTTATCTGTAGGTAAGCTTGCTGAAAAACAACTATAGACGGCCTGGGAGCTTCAGGACCCTTTGCCAATTACCAGAGGAAGATAAAGCCATTGAGAAAACGGAGCAAACAAGAACCAGCAACCCCTTGTTACCTTTAGATCATTAACATGTCATTATAATGCTAAAGTCCCTGCCATAGAAGAAAATGGCCACCATTTCTTGAACATATGTTGTATAAGGAAGCATGTTTATGAGCTGTACTTGTACATCTGGAGTTCCTCTCTGGACATGCTTACATATACCTCCCTGCCCCACATCTAACTCCTTAAAATTCCCCAGGTTTTCACAGCTTGAAGAGAAGGTCTTTAGAGCAAGAGCTCCCTCTTTCTCCATTCCTGACCAGGAATAAAATCTGCTTGCCTTTTTTTTCTTTCTTCCAGTTAGTTGTTCGTTCTTTGTGATCAATGCAGAGTAGTGAAAAAACACAGTTTACTAGTGACATTAAAATGTTCACAAGTTGGTATTTTGTATTTTAAAGAAATCTGACTTACATATTCATGTACTGAGTTTGGTAGAGAATCATCAAGAACAGGCCCATTTTCTGGATCGGTAAGATTAAAGTCCAACGTTATTCTCACAGAGTCCTGAAAGTCATGCTTGTCCTAGAGGGTGAAACATAAAATATATCACTGGTATCATATTTACCGGGTGTTCTGATCTTGTTATGTCTCCTTCTTCTGTTCCCAAGGGTCAGGCTTACTGCAGCATTCTTGTGCATCTAATCTGACATATGATCTCATCAGGCTTTTGCTTCCCTGGAGAGGGATTGGCATTCTGACAAGGGGCATAGGGGAATGTGGAGGTTTCAGAGTATGACCTGTTGACTCACTTCCAGTTCCTCAGAGGGCCCTGCTGGAGTGATGGCAACATCACACTTGGCTGTGTCAACATAGGAGCTACCTGCATCACAATATAGTTTTTCTTGAGACCTCAAGCCAAAGATCATTATGTAACACTTCCGGGAACATTTCCCAACTTCAGAAGGGCAAACTTTCTATAAAATGAGTTACATTTCATTAATATAATATATACCTACAGCTATAAGTTTTTGTTTGTTTGTTTGTTTGTTTGTTTGTTTGAGACAGAGTCTCTCTCTGTCACCCAGGCTGGAGTACAGCGGCACGATCTCGGCTCACTGCAACCTCCACTTCCCAGGTTCAAGTGATTCTCCTGCCTCAGCCTCCCGACTAGCTGGGATTACAGGCATGTGCCACCACACCCAGCTAATTTTTGTGTTTTTAGTAGAGACGGGGTTTCACCACGTTGGCCAGGCTGGTCTCGAACTCCTGACCTCAGGTGATCCACTCACCTCAGCCTCCCAAAGTGCTGGGATTACAGGCGTGAGCCACCATGCCTGGCCAAGAATTTTATAATGTAAAATTATTTGGAAAGGATGTGAATATGATTAATACTGTTAACATGCCACCAATAACAATAATCATTTATAGTATTCAAAATTATGAGCTTTATATACATTATTGCAAATTATTTCAACAGTCCTCTAAGATGAGTAACTATTATTGTCCTTATTTTACAGATGAAAGATTGACCCTCTAAGAGACCAAACGACGTTGCCAAAGTCTCTCAGAATGTGGAATATTTGGGATACAAATTCTACACTGGCTGACTCCAGAACAAATTTCAAAGTGCTTCTTTCAAAATCCAAAACAATTTTCGAAATTTTGAAAATATTTCAGTCCTTTAAACACCAGTACCTGGACATAACTTAGACACTGAATTTGTGGACAAACATAGACTGAGATGATTTTTAGCAGGTTGGAGACAATGCCATATCTGGTTTCATACCCATTCAAATTTTATCCACATTCTAATTCCTAAGTGTTCAGTTCTGATTAACTAAATAGGAGGGGCAACTCCAGTGTTATTTTACCAAATAATAGATTGATCTTGGTCCTGACAGAATAAGCTTCATGATAAGTATCATGAAGCATATCAACATGAAAATCACTGAGGAAGAACAAATGTGGCACAAAAGGGTGCACATTTTCTGTCACTCCCCTGCCCCTGAACTACAATTTTCAAAATACAGACTATGAATATATCAATAATACAGAAATAAGTCAGAAGTAGGAAAATTGGCCTGGTTCCTTTAAAGCTCCAAGTTTACCGTCAAGTCTCTAAGTCTTAATGTCAGTTACTAAAATCAGTTTCCTCATTACCTTCATGCTGCTTCTTGTTTTTATCACTCTCATGTACATTTTAAGAAAATGTTTAGGAAACTCCTGCCCTCTGTTGGGAACATTCCCCATATACACAGTGTCCCAACAAAATACATTTTAAATGATTCACACTGGCTTACCAGCCATCTCTAAACATTAATAGTTTGATTTCCAAAACTCCCTCATCCACTAAAATTAAAAAAAAAAAAAACTGAAGTAGCACAAAGCCTACAGATGATAGAAAATACCAGATAATTTTCCCCTTCGCTCTAAAATCAAACGGCGAGATATGTAGTTACATGGATCCCAGAAAGCATACAGCCCAGCAGTCTGCCCCCAGAGCAGTTAATCACTTACCAACCACAACTGACAGACAAGGCCCACAGAAATTAAATGTTTTCAAGTTGAAGGAATAAATGAATGAGTGAAAGAAATGAAGACATGAATAAGGTTTCTTGTCAACTAGAACACTGTGTCTTTTCCTGCCGTTCCATAATATATGGATGTCTGATAATGCAGACAGGGAAGACTAGAGATAGTTTTACAAATATTTGGAAATGAGAAAATTAGACCTGCGATTTTATGATAAAAATGAACAAACAAGATTTCCTTTATGACATCATAAGTGCATTTTGAAATAAAACAGTAAGAATTTGATTGACTTGAAATAAGACATCTCTACTGTATTCTTGATTTGGAATAAGGCAGCAACGATATATGATTTACTTGCCAACATGTAGAAGGAGTGCTTAGTGCATTCTGATTTTCGAACTGTGATGTTCCTTTGAACCTTTCTCTCTTGAGTTCCAGAGAAAAAACTTCGTGATATTTGTCTTAGTGAATCTAGGGTGACACGGTACTGCAAATCTACAAAAATTTTAAAAAATAATTGATGGAAATGTTTATTTGAAGTGATTCTCATATTGTACAGATTATTAAATTAGCATTATAGAAAAATCTCTTTGGCAATCAATCAAAAAAGATTCTATTGTTCAGCATATCCACACTGTTATAACAATGATATTAGCAGTCATGAAGATAACCTTGAGGAACTCTATAGAACTGGTCTCTGAGTTCACTGTGCTTTCAGTGTCTAATTACATTTATTGTTTATAATTCTTATACACACATGCACACCTGCCTATCATCTAATTGCCAGGCCACCACTGTATTTATTATATTTTCACTTAAAACATTCTTTTTAAGTTTAGAAATGTTGGAACCCTGCTTAGAATATTGATTATGTTATATTTCAATAGGGACAAAAATATACTTTAGTTATTTATTTACAAATATATACATTTTAATCTATTTATATATAAAATGACATTATCTCAGCTTATGGTCAAACCACTATTAAGGTTCAATAAAATAAGCATACCACAATAAAGAAAATAAATGAAATCTTACACTGTATATGAAGGCTACAATATTCCTTATTTGATCACTTAATTACTTTGCAAAAATTAAATAAGACTGAAATAAAGTTACATATAAAACTCAAAATCATTATTTTATGTTCTTATACCTCATTGATCTTTCTAGTCAGGAGGCTATTTCAGAGCATATACATGCACATATGGAACAAATCAAGAAAAACAGATTTTAAGGATTAATGGCTTTTCTCATTCTGCTTGTATTTGGTTACAGAGTAAATTTCTCTTCTTTAGCCAATGGCCTTTATAGCTTTGATTCGAGCATATTTCAACATCATTAAAAAGCTGCCTTAGAAAGTGGAGAACGGAGGGAGGAAGAGGAAGCACAGGCTGACCTGATGCACCTGAGAACACACACACAGAACAAGTCTGACTCTCGGAAACTAGGGTCACCTCAATGGAACAAAGGATCTCGGAAATGTGGGAATGGTAAAGTATTAGGGTTCTCTGCAATATCAGTCTTTCCCAAGAGGGGGCAAGAGAAGGGAGAGAAGAGTCATGGTAGAAACCTACAGGAAGGAAAACTGGGCCCATTTGTAGCTCAATTTCTAAACTCTACCTCTGAATCGGTATTTTTTTCTTAAGCGTCTCATTGTACATAGCAAGTAGGAGAGCCAGACAGAAACTATGGAGTGTTGAGGGCACTGCATACAAACATGTAATTTCTGCTCCAGAATTGACTGGGTTCCATAACCTATTCCTTTTGCAACAGAATTTTTTTTCAAGGTTCTGCATCTTCACTGGGGCAAATATGACGTGCAGCTCACCATGTGGGGAAAATACAATATCCTACTGGACTTCATCATGCTAGAGCAAATATATTGTCCTCTACCCAAAAGTACTTGCTATAATTATTTTGCTTACCAGCTTCATAAATCGTGTCTTCTTTAGACTTTAATTTCACATCAAAACACACTGTAGCATTTATGCATACTGTTTCCTTTCCCTCCATATGGCAGTTTTTCTTTTGAATATTCACTTTATTTGGCTCAAAATTCATGGTCACTTTAACTACGGCCACATCTCGGGACCTACAAACAAAAACAATGGGATTACTCACACATTTTTACATTTAATGAATGTCATCAACTTGGGAGTGCAAAGTGAGTGCATGGAAGAGGGTTCTGCTTCATGTATAATACAGCGCTCAGGACTCCATTTCTTTAATTAATCATTGTTACAGAAGAGATTATATCTGATGTTCTAAGACATGTAGGTTATATTTGGAAACCATTTGGGGCTTTTGGTTCAAACACCAAAGATCTAGTTTTTCCTGTGATGGAAAAGAGATGGAATCAAGTGTCCAGGTGAAACCCCAGAATCAACTGTATTTTGGGGATTTACGAGTTTGTTCCAAATTTGAAAGAAGTCTAAAGGTCCCTGAACAGCCCGTAGACCCCTGCTATCTCTTGTCTGGACTGTAATATTGTCTGTCCTTGTGAGTTCAGCTCTTCCTCTATTTCTAGGAAGGAAAAGCAAAATAACATTTGAGGCATTGTGCTAGACATGGATGCTATTTCATTTAATTCTTAAGGTTAATTATAAGCAACATCATTTTTTTGTTTTACGTTTGATAACTGGGGCTCTGAAAAGTTAAATATTTTATGCCAGGTCAAAAGCTATTAAGAGGAAAAACCTGGGATTTTAAACTCAGTCGTTTTAACTCGAAAGCCCAGTAATGTCTACTAATCCAAAATGAGATCAGAGTAAGATCTCAGACATGGAGAATATATGGATACTGAGGTCATTGTCTTAGATCCAAGCCGGAACAATTACTGCACATTTTTACCTGGTTTCTGCCTTGTGGCCAGAGCTAGCCCCTTATAACTGTGTATGTTGTGAATAATGAGGTCACTACTTATGCTTTTGCATTAAAAAAAGGTGGTTTTCTTTTTTCTGTTAAAACAATGGACTCATAGAAAATATAAACATCATAGAAATGCATAAAGAAAACACAAATAACTTGTTATACTACCACTCAGCAATAATCATCATTAACATTTAGTACACTCAGTGGTTTTTTCTTTACAGAAGAAAACATGCATACACGTACACACATGCATACATACATATATACAAAAGCACATCTTCATATGTATGCCTACAAATTTTTAAAACATTATATTACAATGAACAGCTTTCCAATATTTACATTTTTCTGAGAACATTATTTTTAATGGGATTTATTATTTTTAATGGAAGCAGACTATACCAGCATATGCACATACCATAATCTATGCATTCAATCCCATCTCATTGGATATTTAGCTTAATTTAAAAAAAAGGTTTCTGAGTATAGTGGTAAATTTAACATTATTAAAAGATGGTATTACATACAGTGCTGTGATGACACCTTTAATTGTACTTCTAGATTGTATCTTTACATTTTTAGGAAGTTAAATCCTTGGTAAAAAGTAGGAACATTGGAATGCTTTTAAACACTTATTGATAAAGACCTTCGAATGAGTTTTAGCCAGTTTACCCTTTCATCAGCAATGAATGAACATGCCTAGTTTCCTGCTTAGTAATATGGATTCTCCAGGCATGAAGCTGCCTCGACCATTGTCCACCCCACACATCCTCTCTGCCCCAGCCAGATCTTTCTTGGGAGTCAGTCCAGGTCTCATGACAAGACTCTCACTATTTGCTTCCAAACGTTTTTCCTATCATCTGTCACTTGTATCCACTCTCACTTCTTGTTAGGCATTGTGAATCTTAGTCTTCGTGTCCCAGTATATCGGTTTGGTCCATTCTGCTGTCAGTGGAGCCTGGACTATGATAGGGAAATGACTATCATTTTGGGCCATCAATGCCTTGATTTGGGGCAGGAGAGGCCATAAATAAGTTTGCAAAGCTTTGCAAGAAAGCCTTGAAACAAAACTGGAGCATAAAAACCCTGAAAACATATTTTTAATATGAGAATTAATACAATAAATATTTGTGAGCTAAAGGGAGCATAATAAACTAATTCAGGATTAACATTTCAAACAAAATTGAAGTATATCCATTGTCCCTGACACTGCTGACTTCTGGTTTTGAGCCTTGGCTTCTGGTGAGTCCTCCCCAAAGTCCCAGCCACTGTGCTGCCTAATATTCCCTTTTCTTAGGTATCACCCTTCAGTCTTCTTTCCCCTCTATTGTAAAGGTTTTTTTTTTAAATAGTGATTATTGTATGTGCACAATTTACTGTACCATTTTAATTTGACCATTAGTTCTTAAGCATTATCTTAAATTATAGCAAAGTCATCTATTTTCACCTCTCTATCTTCACCTTTCTTTTATACTTTATTACTCTTCTAGGTAGATTTTTGGGAAAAAGAGCATTGATGTATGTTTCCACCCGAATTACAGTAAACCAATGCATTAATTTAGGAGAATCAACATGCGGACTTCCCATAAAGTCACCTGGCATAAATAGATTTTATTTATGAAACCCTTCCTTTATATTTCTTAATGAAATTTATTATATATTTTTCAAAATTATCATGTGGATTTCTCATTAAGTTGATTCTTGACTTCCTAGTAATTTCTTTCAAACAGAACAGTTTTTGAAATAGGATATTTAGTTTTTGAGATAGGATATTTAGTAAGCAATAATTATTTTTGCCTACTAAATTATTATTTATTCATAATTAATAAAGCATTATGAATGTATGTATCTGAAAGAACTGGGCCAATTTGGGGATTTAGGCATTTTAAAGGCTGAGCGAAGATATTACTTAAGATGCCTCTAGGCTTGACCAACAATATAAACAGAGTCAGAGAGTGCTACGCGATTATCTGTTTCTATGTATCAGGTAAATGAATACAAAGTCGATTATCTCTAAAACCTTGTAAGCAACCAAATATTAGGGATATTTTCTTGTTTATATACATCCTCTATAAGATCTTCTCTTCCCCTATACCTCTCCTAAAACAGAATACCTATTTTAGTGTAAACCACATAATAGACACACCAAATTAAGAGTTCATTCTACTTGTTTCTTTCATATAGCTTCTTTGTTCTTAAGATGTATTGACTCTTCCAGCTCACTCAACTGAATAACTTGTATTTGCATAGTGGAACACAAAAGGAAATAGATATTTGGTATGACATGAGCTCCAATCACACTGGGAGCTCTGCAAGTGACCCAGTCTCAGATTAACAGGATGTTATTAAAATACATACCAGAAGAGGGCAGCACCACCAAGGCCCCCAATAGTCACATCTGTCAGACCGTCACCATTTAAATCCATTTCTCCGTGGATAGACTGGCCAAAAAATTTCAGTGTCTTACCATCCCCACCTGATGGAATACGCTGTGAGAATCCAAAAAAAAGAGTTTCATATGAGAAGAGTCTGTTCAAAACAGTTTCAAATAAATCTGAGAATTTAAATTGTTTAACAAAATAATCAGTTTTGTTAATTTGGGAATCCGCCCAAGAGGTCCCTCATGTGGAGATAAGAGGAAATACTCAGATGTTCCCAGAGGATATTGCTGTTTTTATAGTACAGACAAAATCATTACAAGGTCACTGACACCAGAGAGAGGGAAAAATTATATAGTGTCATTGTGTCTAATCCTCAAAGGAAACAGTATGAGTAATTGGTTCTGTGCTTTCTGCTTCCTAGCCAATCCCATCACACAGACATATCTAAAGGTACTGGAAATCTTGAAAACATATCATATCAGCAAAGGGGGGAGGGGAGTATAATATTGTCCTAGGGGTCAATTTGGAGTTCACTGAACTTTGTGGCTGGGTATAAATAACACATCCCATCAAATACATTTTCCAATATGTAATCTCTACTGTCTTTCAAAAATTGTCCTAAAAGTTGAGGGCACAAGAGACTCAATTCCACTCAGATGTATTCACAACGTTGAGATGGCACAAATGAGTATGTCTTGAAGACTGATCTGTGCACATTACCATACATAGTATGTTTGATATCTGTACTTCCTGACTTAGCATTGGTTCAAGCTTAAGCTAATGCTTTTAACAGAAGCCCATGGCAAGCAGTCAGGACTTACAAACCCTCCCTAAACTTCAAGTCTTCTGAGCCTCTTGTTTTCCACATAAATAACATAAAATAAGAAGCCTACTAAGGCAAACCAAATGGAAACATTTTTCATCCTTAAACAGGTGAGGCTCGTTTGAAAGTATTTCCCCCCCTTTTTTTTTTTGAGACGCTATCTCGGCTCACTGCAACCTTCACTTCCCAGGTTCAAGTGATTCTCCTGCCTCTGCCTCCCGAATAGCTGGGATTACAGGTGCGCGCCACCATGCCCGGCTAATTTTTTGTATTTTTAGTAGAGACGGGGTTTCACCATTGGCCAGGCTGGTCTCGAACTCCTGGCCTCATGATCCGCCTGCCTCGGCCTCCCAAAGTGCTGGGATTACAGGCATGAGCCACCGCACCCAGCAATCCTCCTCATTTTTTTAAGTGAAGAATTCAGGAGATATCTGACTCCTTGGTTCTATGGGCTTGATTGATTCTGGATTATCCCATACATAAGCAGCATCTCTGGTTCTCATGGAAATGAGTAAGCACATCTTCACCTATTCCTTGGAAAAACATTTTGCCAGTAATTAAACAAATCCAACTCTAATATTCTTTTTGTTGTTTTTGTTTAAAGTTGCATCTTGATTTACCACCATTTAGAAAACAAGTTGTTTATGACAAATCTATTTCATCTGACAATGATTTAGCTTTCCTTTTCTACTTCAAATGCTACCCCATTAAATTTACAGGATTGATGCTGAAGGAATAAAGTATTAGAATATAAGAAAGAACTCTCTTCCTGCATTTCCTAATTCCATCATGCCCCAGTCATTAATATTGCCTGTCTCTTGTTAAGTAAATAATGCCATAAAGATTTTCAACAGAAACAAATTATTTATCAAATGGATACAAGTGCTCTTATTGAAATAAGCCCTTTATTCTGTTCACTATTGTCATTATGGTTTTATGAAAAATCACTCATGTTTGCATTACATGAATAGATTTTGAGAGCTCTGTTGACTACAGAACCAAAGAGAACACTCAAATAGAAAATGAAATAATTAATATTCTAATTTCTTTTCAAATTATATAAGCTAGAAGGTAGTGAATTCTGTTTTATTTGTAAGTAGTTGTTCAATATCTAACCAACTATGATTACTTGAGAGCAGACAATTACATTCAAACTCCTTTAAATTCTTTTGTTTTTATAGTGTAGTGCATTAAGCACTTTTGTAACTTGTTATTTTTCTAATGAAGGAAAAAAAATACACTTATGGATTAGAGCTGTTAACTGACAACAAATTACAAACAGGAATAACAGAAGTTCCCTGCAGCTTAAACTTAATATTCAGATTTATTTTTTCTAAGGATTACTTGCGAGAAAATTATAAACCTTTAGAAATCGTAATTCACTTGACGAAAATATATCAACTTAATGGATAAATATAAATTTAATGCAATTTATTATAACAGCATGGACATTAAATATAAAATCAAGAATCTAATTTCCTTTATTGGTTAAGTCATACAATTATTTTTGCCTTATTCAGAAAGCAGTGCCCTCTATTTAGAACGGGACACACTAAATGTCCCATTCTAAATTTAACAGATGTTAAACAGCATTGTTACAAAGTATTCTTTTTTTTAACTGTTTCAAAAAGTCAAATCCTGGAGATATGGAAAATAACAACAGAAAGGAAACTAGATAAATGTATAAAATATAAAGTAATTACGGCCAGGCACGGTGGCTCACGCCTGTAATCCCAACACTTTGGGAGGCCGAGGTGGGCGGATCACGAAGTCAGGAGATCAAAACCATCCTGGCTAACACGGTGAAACCCCGTCTCTACTAAAAATGCAAAAAATTAGCCGGGCGTGGTGGCGGGAGCCTGTAGTCCCAGTTCCTCGGGAGACTAAAGCAGGAGAATGGTGTGAACCTGGGAGGTGGAGCGTGCAGTAAGCTGAGATCGTGCCACTGCAGTCTAGCCTGGGCGACAGAGCGAGACTCCGTCTCAAAAAAAAAATATATATATATATACACACACACACACACACACACACACACACTATATATATAGTGTATCTATATACACACACTATATATAGTTTATAGATACACTATATATAGTGTATCTAGTATATAGATACACTATATATAATATATAGTGGATACACTATATATAATACCTATAGTGGATACACTATATATAATACCTATAGTGGATACACTATATATAATACCTATAGTGGATACACTATATATAATACCTATAGTGGATACACTATATATAATACATATACTGGATACACTATATATAATACCTATAGTGGATACACTATATATAATACCTATAGTGGATACACTATATATAATACATACACTGGATACACTATATATAATACATATACTGGATACACTATATATAATACATATACTGGATACACTATATATGAAATATATAGTATATAGTAGATATATAGTATATAGATAATATATATAGTATATAGTAGATACACTATATATAATATATATTGTAGATACACTAGATACAGTATATATATCATATCTATATACTAGATACACTATATATAGCGTATCTATATACTAGATACGCTATATATAGCATATCTATATACTAGATACGCTATATATAGTGTATCTATATACTAGATACGCTATATATAGTGTATCTATATACTATATATAGTGTGTGTATATAGGTACACCATATATAGTATATATAGTAGATACACACTATACATATAGTATATATAGTAGATACACACTATACATATAGTATATATAGTAGATACACTATATATAGTATATATAGTATATATAGTAGATACACTATATATATAATATATATATCTATATATTAGATATGCTATATATAGTGTATCTATATACTATATATAGTGTGTGTATATAGATACACCATATATAGTATATATAGTAGATACACCATATATAGTATATATAGTAGATACACTATATATATAGTATATATAGTAGATACACTATATGTATAGTATATATAGTAGATACACTATATGTATAGTATATATAGTAGATACACTATATGTATAGTATATATAGTAGATACACTATATGTATAGTATATATAGTAGATACACTATATATAGTATATATAGTAGATACACTATATATATAGTATATATAGTAGATACACTATATATATAGTATATATAGTAGATACACTATATATAGTATATGTATCTAATATATAGATATATATACTATATATAGTGTATCTACTATATATACTATATATAGTGTATCTATATACTAGATACACTATATATAGTGTATCTATACTATATATAGTATCTATATAGTGTATATACACTATATACTATATATACACTATATATACTATATACTCACTATATACACTATATATACACTATATACTATATATACACTATATACACTATATATACACTATATACTATATATACACTGTATATACTATATATACACTACATATACTATATATACACTGTATATACTATATATACACTACATATACTATATATACACTATATATTATATATACTATATGTACACTATATATACAATATGTACTCTATATACACTATATATACACTATATACAATATATAAACTATATATACACTATATACTATATATACACTATATATACACTATATATACTATATATACACTATATACACTATGTATAGTATATATAGTATATACAGTATACATACTATATATAGTATATACAGTATACATACTATATATAGTATACATACTATATATAGTATATATAGTGTATATACTATATACAGTATACATACCATATATACTATATATAGTATACATACCGTATATACTATATATAGTATACATACCATATATACTATATATAGTGTGTATATATACACTATATATACCATATGCACACTACATATACACTATATATACTATATATTTATACTATTTGTATATATAGTGTGTATATATAGTAATTAATCTATAAGGAACACTATACATACTATATACACACTATATATACCATATATAGTATATAGTGTGTATATAGTATATATAGTGTGTATATATATATACTATATACACATTATATATACACTATATATACTATATACATACTATGTGTATATTTATAGTTTGTTTGTGTGTGTATATATATATAGTAACTAATCTATAAAAAACACTTAAAGAGAATTAAATCCAGTTTCCCAATAAGGTCAGGAGGAAGAAATTAAATAACTCATGAAGTTAGACAGGTAATGCCTGGCATTGAACCGACTTATCACTGAAGGGTGGGAATCTGTAGGTTTCAATTCTTACTTGTGCATACTCTTTCCTTATAGTCTTGCCACTTCCATGATAAATGTACACAGCTCCCCCGTGATCATCTTCCAGCGGAGCTCCTATCACGATGTCATTAAATCCATCAAGATTGAGGTCTTTTACAGCAGCAATTGCAGTTCCAAAACGAGCCCCGCATGGCTCATTTTTGTTTTCTGTTGTGCATGAATTGTGCTGCCGAGATGAACAGCACGTCTGCTTAATAGGTTCCAGGCTCATTTGATATTCAAACCTTGTCTGGAAGAAAGATAAACAGGATATTTATGTATTTCCATCATTACTACAGCAGAGTAGAATTTTTAAAGTATACTAAATCAGTGCTATTAACAGCCATTTGTACATTAGTGGTAAAGTTGGTAAAATTTCTTAAAAAGTGTGCCTATCTGAGAGTAAAGTTAGGGATTCCAAAGAGCAGATGGTAGAAGTGTGGGAGACATACTTTAATGGAATCTCTTTTTAATGCAATTGAGTATACAATTCAGAGCATCTTTTTCAGGCCAAATAATATTATATCCTTAATTTGTGCCACTATCCCTTCTTCACCCAATATTGTGCAAAGCGAAAATTTATTCTGCTCAGAAAGGAAACTTTCTCTAAAGCTGCCTAGAGTGGAAGGAAAAAAAAAAAAAACCCAGACAGAAAGTACTAGCAAAGGTAATCAAGAATACACTTTCTTGGAAAAAGGACAAAACAGCCCAGGACAAAAAAAGTTGACAGGAGGAAGCCAAAAAATGATAGGAAGAAAGACACATGATTTATTATTTAAAATAATCAATTTAGGAGAGAATGTACATATTTGGAAAAGCTAAATAGATAAACACTGGCTTTGCTATAAAGAGCAAAACACTCTTCTAATGAAGAAATTAAAAATTATTTAACTTAAAAAATGATGTCTAAAGTCAGGAACAGAAGACAAAATCTCACTCCAGCCCAGTGAAGTATTTCCTGGAAGCCTGCAGTGTTGCTGCCTTGAAACTCATGACTTCTCCCCCTCCACCCTATCCGATTTAACTGCTGAGGTTATTATCTATCTCCAAGCCAGAGCTGATAAGCCTCCCAGCCTAAATAAGCCTTGTGGGTTTATTTAGCAGTTTAGTGAGATTTATATTTACCTCCTTTATCCTATATATTGTTAAACATAATTCACATTTCCAAGCAGAAAATATCTAAGAGTTGGAGCTACTTTATTAGAATTATAAATGGTCATTTCAAAACTGAGGGGTTGGTGGAGTGAATGAATCCTGATAGCTTCTTTGCTCTGTTTTTTCAAAGTGAGTGAAAAATTGGAATTTATTATTAAAAAATGAAGAGAAGGAAGAGATTTTCCTGGATTTCTACCAAACTCAGACACCATTACCTGATTGAGAGCATACACATACACTTTTCCTTGCTCCTCCTTCTCTGTTCCCATGTACATAGGGGCTCCGACTAGAAGAATGTCAGTATTAGAATCCTTGTCAATGTCAGTTGTTGTTAAAATACTGCCAAAGTAGGAACCAATCTAGGACACAAAATGAAACAAAACAGCCCAATGAACAACAGAAATTCTCAAGGAAACTGAAATCTACATTTGTTTTACTTCTAGCAATCTAGAAGAGGAGCTAGTTGGCAAAGGAAATGAAAGATAAAAATTGATGCTCCCTGAAAGTTATTTATTGGCTCTTTCATGAGGATAAAGAATATCAGTCGGTTCCATCTTTGAGGATGAACAGCTGTTACAGATTTCATCGCTTGACAGTAACAAAATGAATTTCTTTAGATTTCACTCTAACCTCTCTTTCTTCTCCACAAATCAGAAAAGGTCAGTAATACTATAGTGATTTTTTAAGGAAATAAAATTAGATAAGCAGTAGAATGCATGCTGCAATGGCTGAATATATGTTTAAATACATTATAAGGAGCTGAGTTGTCCTGGAATACTGGTGTGGCATATTTCACCTCATAGTCTTGGAAGATTGTCTTCTCAATGAAATGGTTAAGCCTTATCCCAGCAGCTATGGGACATAGAAAAATATGGAAGGATTGCAGGGGTATCATCCCTTGTAGCAATATGTTTTCTCATTTAAAGATAGAAATCTGTTTAGAGAAAAGCAGAGAACTTATACTTCATTACCTAAATGCTTAATTTTTTCAAATATTATTCTATGTTTAATATTTGATGCTCTTAACAATTATCTTATGGTACATCTCCCTGTACTGGCTTCTGCAATTTTACTCTTACTCTCTTGCTTCTGCCCCTGTGGCATAGACCACCCTTTTCATATTTACTGGCTTCTTCCCCAACTCTCATTTTCTGAATTTTGGCCTCTTCTAAAGCTCAGACCTGTAGCCTTTTTCCATTCTCTTACCCTAGATGACCAATCCTTCTTAAAAATTTCTACTAAGGCAATTGCAAACATCATTCTGTCTTCCTTCTCAAGGCTTCAGTTCTACAGTCCTAGACATTGCTTCTAGGCATGTGGGCAAAAGACACTGACTTTTGAATGCACTTTTCTCACAGGCTTTTGAGGGCCTTGAGAGGTTTTTTTAAAAGTTGAATTAATTATAAACATAAATAAAATAGAAGATCTTGCAACTCTGGGCTTTCCTCCCCACATGGCAACCGTCAACTGGAGCTCAGTGGAAGCTCACAAGCTGCCCAGGGCCATGGTTCCCACCACTTCCTGTGTTTTTTTGCCCAGCAGCTTTACTCATTGACTTTACCTATTTTGATTTTACTTTACTGGCACCTTCAAATATCTGAATTTGTGCTTACTGTTACAAGGAACATGTCTAAAAGCCAAACGTCATTGTTAAAAAATATCTAAATTGCTTGAGGTGTTGACATTCTAATCATGGAGCCACCTTTCTTTCAGATTCCCAGGCTTGAAACTGAAATCATTCACGATTTAAATCATTCATGATACTCTCCTCAACTTTCATATGCAAATTTTCATAAAATTTGACACTTCTTGTCTTGTATACAATTAATGGAGTGATAATGGATCAAAGACGTCATCTAAAATGCTTCATTTTACTATTGTCAACTTCCTATTATTGATATCTGTCATGGCCCTTCCTTTTCCATTTTTACTGCTGACATCTTATTTTACGTTCTCTTACCTCCAGTTTGAGCTACAACAATAGCCTTTTTCTAACTGTTATGCGTTTTCCAAGCGTAAATGTGGGCAAAGAGTTAATAAAACCCTTTCACCTGATACTTGAGGAGCTGACCTTTAGCTACTCTAACTCTGTTGCCCTGGGAATCTGCTGTGGCTGGGATTTCAACTTTACCACTAAGGCTAAGCAACGCTGACAGGGGTAAAAATAACCTCTTACTGGAATATTGTATTCAGGCTGTGTGGAACTATAAATGAATTATAAGTACCTGATGAAGATGACATATTTTTGACTTCCCAGAGTGCAGTTACTCTTGTAGCCGGCCTGCCCTTTGTAGACACCCTGGAAGCTATGTCTATGGTGTTGTCATAAAAGATACTGCTCCTGCAGGGCATGGGGCTTTAAAGCGAGTGCAGTTTGTGGACCTGCCTAATGTGAGTATCCCTGCACCTGAGCTTTACTGCTGCGCTGGGCTGCAGCTTGGACTCTTGCAGAGCAGGAGGGCTGATGCAGTCCTGCCCCTCTAGTCTAGAGAGTTGGAATATTTAGTGAAGGCTAAGAAGAACCCCTCTCCCACCCTCTGTAAAAGGACTGTGGAATAAAGTTAATAAATCCTCCTTGTAGAACTGTTGAAAAATACAGAAAACTTTTTAGAAACAAAAGTTCCCAAGCTATCACAATTCAAAAATAACAACAACAAAAAGCATGTTAGATCTTTCTTTCAGTTAATATGTGTGTGTGTAAATGTTTGCATATTTACGATGTTTCTTTCAGTTTTTATATATACATATGTAAATGTTATTTCATGTATCATTTCCCAAACTTCTTTTAATATTCAATACTACCTAATAAGAATTTTTCAATTTTAAATATTACAGACAATTTCCCATTACCTCCAGGATAAAATCCAAGCTCTTAATTTGCCATTCAAAACCTCACATCATATGGGTCCATGTTATCTTTTTAACTTTCTCTTTCACTGCTCTTTCTACCTATCCACATTCTATCATCCCTTGTAGATTCAGCCCGAATTTCATCTTCTAATAAGCTTTTCTGCACCAATCCTAGCTTAAAGCAATCCCATCATATTCTGACTGTATTGTCTGGGCCACTGGTAATTTCATGCCTCTTAATGTTTTGGATCTCTTTTCTTGTGTATATATTTGTACATCTGTATCCACATCTATTGTATATCTTACCTCCACACCCATCCAACATGAAGACAAAGATACAGACACTATACATCCTTCCAAAGAACCTAACACAGGGCCCTGTTCCCAGTTGTTACTGAATATGTGGGTATTGCATTTTTAAGTTTAGGACAATAGACAGTAAATATACATAGAGTATGAATAGATTAATTTAAATAAAAGAATATTTTTCAAGTTTACCTGTTCTCCACTGAGCGTCTGGAGAATTTTGATGTTTCCATCTTCCATCCTGTAGATAATGACCTGGCCTGTATGATTGTACCGAGGCTGTCCAGCAATATAGAGCACATCTCCAGAAGAAGCAGTAGCAGAGTTTACAGTGTAACCTAACAAAAGAAAGATTCCAGGTATACCACCTGGACCCTTAAAGGCTTCATGTAATAAATTAAGACTCTTTTTAAATGGCCAAGATAATCATTTTTATATGGTTATATTTTGAAAATAATATTTTTTCTTCAATGCACGTAAGAATTTGTTTTGGTGGAAGCTTTTAATATGCTCTCTATCTACCACAACTGCTTTCTCCTGAGAAGTTATTTTCCCCCAATCTGAGTTTTTCATTATTTAAAATCACAAATGATATAACAATGATGACACACATAAAAAATTGCACATCCCCACCCCAATTTGTAATAAATCAATTGTATTTCATTTGGATATATGTGTCTGCACTACAGAAATTAACACTTTTCATATAATTGGAATCATAGAAAATGTAAACCTTTTCTGTGCTGCTACTAGCTTTTAAAATTGTAATTTTAAATAATTGAAGATGATTTCTCTTGGTTAAAGCATAAAGACATTGCATTTATATTACATGGCCATTTCCCGATAAAACACTAGAATTCAGGTGGTTTTAATATTTTTGGTATTATGCTTCAGATTTCAAAGACACCTTGGAGCATTTAAATTTGTCCCTCTTCTGGATTTTTTGACAGTACATTTCAAGGAATAGATCACTGGATCACGTTTTTAATGGTTCTTATAGTGTCTAGAAAATTGTTTCCAGAAAATTTGTACTACTTTGTTCTATGAACCGCCATATGAAAGACAATTTCATGAAACTGTCCCAGGCTTTGTGTATCATCACTATTATTTAAATTTGTGTATGTTTTAATAGGTGTTAAACATTGTCTAACAACAGTACCTTTCTGTGATTTTAATGTGACTTTATTCAACACAGAGCTTGAATCATTTTTCACGTATCTGATCTTTCCTCCTTTTTTTTTTTTTTTTGAGATGGAGTCTTGCTCTGTTGTCCAGGTTGGAGTGCAGTGGCGCGATCTCGGCTCACTGCAAGCTCCGCCTCCCGGGTTCACGCCATTCTCCTGCCTCAGCCTCCCGAGTAGCTGGGACTACAGGCGCCCGCCACCACGCCTGGCTAATTTTTTGTATTTTTAGTAAGACGGGGTTTCACCGTGTTAGCCAGGATGGTCTCAATCTCCTGACCTCCTGATGCACTCGCCTCAGCCTCCCGAAGTGCTGGGATTACAGGCGTGAGCCATTGTGCCCGGTTCTCTCCTCTATTTTAATTGAGCTTCCATGCTCTTTAAAATTTTGATTGTCTTTTTTCTACTTTTGATTTTATTTGCATATATTTTATATTGAAATTATTCCTGGGTCATTATTTTTGTTTCTTCGGTTTCTTCTGGAATACCTTTTTCTTCTATGCAACCTCCTCCTCTGGCTTAGAAAAATTTGTTCTATTTCAGTAAGCATCATTTCAGTGCGGTGGGTGCGATAGTGGGGGTGGAGGTCACGTATGGGTTAATCTGACCATGAGCCCTGTAAACAGAGCCAGTGTATCTTGGGTGCTTCGCCCACCTAGATGTACACAATGATCAAGAGACTCTACATACAAACCTTTAAGATCAGCACTGCTTTTTACATTTGTATGCATGTGCAACAAACTTTCAGCACTCTTTTGGGGCCATAAACCCTCTGTCCAGCTCCACGGTTTGGCTTTGGACACATCTACCAGCTCCACCATTGCAATGATGGAACGGCACACACTGCTTCTGTAAAGTCACATCTTTCAGATACTTGGTGGCTTTTCAGATATACATAACCCTTGATTGCCTGGGTAGCTTCATGGATGTTCTTAAAGTGAACACGAAGATTTCAATCTCTTGATTTGAATGATTTTTTGGGTTGTTCTGGGTCAAGTGAATAGTAAACCATTTTAAGAGATCATCTCAGGCTGCTTACAGGAAGAGCATAAATTGTGTCTTTAAGATTAATTTTTGAGTGAAAAGTTAGATTTGTTCTTTGTGTTTTGAGAAGAGAGCCATATCAATGAATAAAAATTGCCACATGCAGATTTTGATTTTATAAAAGGAATAACTCTTTTAATAACCAGATTTCTTCAGTGGAGCAGAAGTAAGATTATTTTTCAAAATGCCACAGAATAGCACTTCTCACTGAGAAAAAGATCATTTTTCTAACTCACTTACCAAGTATTTTACTGTAAAGTAGGTTTGACTTTCTTTCAAAAATGTTAAAAAGGAACAAAAGTTTTTATACAGTATGTTTATTCTTACAAGTGCTAAAGGAACACTATTCCTCAGGCATATTATCCTTTATGAATATTCCTCACATTCTCATTCCTTCATCTTTCTTTGAGGGTTTTTTATTATTATACATAATAGAATCTAAAATATTTTTTCGAACATGTAATGTGTTACATGTTTGTATTACTAACCACAATATTGTTTTAAAATGAATCTTTCAGGCCATGTTTATACATACATAAAATGGAAAAGAAGAATGTGCAAAATGAAGGCTGTTTTATTTCATGCCACTCTGCTAAGAAATATAAAGAAGGGAGTAGAATGAGAGTGTTAGTACGTGTGTGTTTGTGTGTGTGTGTGTGTGTGTGTAATTTGCAGAGCTGTGAATGTAACTTGATAAAAGGCCTCCTTTAAAAATGAGTTAAAAATTATGTTTGAGGCTAGGAGTTGTGAGATTATTTAGTTAACTCTCTTTGATGACTTATACTTGATAACTAAAAATATTAGCTGAAATAATCTCAGGGACAGTAACTACCAGTTAGCGTAGTTACTAATTGAGGCTTGGGTGTCTAAAGACAAGAAAGAAGAAAAGAAAAAGAGAGCCAGAGCCAAGTAAAGCCTAATTTTAAAAGAAGGAAAATAATTATAAATATTTAAGCTTAATAGTGTTTCCTGAAAAAGAAAAGAATAAGATGGAAGAAAAGGGCTGGGCGCGGTGGTGCATGCCTGTAATCCCAGCACTTTGGGAATCCGAGGCAGGTGGATCACCTGAGGTCAGGAGTTCGAGACCAGTCTGGCCAACATGATGAAACCCGGTCTCTACCAAAAATATAAAAAATTAGCCGGGGATGGTAGCAGGCGCCTGTAATCCCAGTTACTCAGGAGGCTGAGGCAGGAGAATCACTTGAACCCAGGAGGTGGAGGTTGCAGTGAGCAGAGATCATGCCACTGCACTCCAGCCTGGGCAATAAGAGAGAAACTCTGTCTCAAATAAAGAGAAAAAAAAAAGAGGAAAAAAAGGCTAAAATGGATGGCATAGCCCTTTGCATGGATTTATGAAGAATGAATTCTGTCAGCTCTCATAATTCACTTCTTGGGAAAAGGGCCAGGATCTAGTGAGGTAATGGGAAACAGGTATGATCTGTCTTGATGCCATGACATTGCCTCACATCTTTCCTTCTCCTTTGGAAGCTGTATGGCAGGAATAGAATTCAGCAAACTGTGGGTGGAGGAGGCAGGGGAACATAATCCCAGCTGTATTTTCACCACCAAATTCACTTGCAATGCCTGTATTGGCATAAGGCAGTTTGGGTAATAGAAAGATGGGGTAGGACTATGTCCTGAGACAGATGTTTGACAGCTTGAGTTCTTACAGTTTCCTGATCCTTATTGATAAGCATGGGATTTTTCTAACAGAGCCTCTGCCTCTGCTTCCTTCATAAGATTTTTCATAGCCTTACAACTTGCAATCCACACAGTTTATGAAAAAATACACTCAGTCTCTTCTCAATTTGTGACCCCCACAAAGAAACATTTTGAAAACTTCATTTCAGATTTAGAATATTATTTTGGGTGAAAAAAAACACAAGGTATTTGTCCTGCCTTTTCTGAATGCTTTTCTATTTTGAAAGAAATCTTACATGTATTAGACTTTATGTTGGCAAAATGTCATATACCCTCACTTGTGAGTAAGCTAATGAAATAATTTCTGAAACAGAAAAGAAAATCTCAGCACACTGTAGAAAACATACCCAAAAATTTCCTTTTTGGACAGAGAGAAGTCATATATTATAAATACTGTGCTCAGAAATAAGATTCTTAATATTTTCTTACTTGCAGTGGCATCTTTAAGTTGAATTCTCCACATCTGCTTTAAGCAACGTTTAACCAAAGGTTTTTGGGAATGACAAATTTAGGATTCTTAAGAGTTTATTTACTTTAAAGGAATTTAATCACATATAATTAAGAATACCAAAAACTACAGTGTTATCAATTAAAATGTGTGGGCTTCCTAAGAGTGGCAACAATATCATACACATCTTTGTGGACTTCACACAGTGTCTTTAAATTTGTAAATACTCAATACTTATTAGTAATAGTACTAATGTCAGCTACTATTATTATTTTGTATTATGTATGAGTTTTCTACTGCTGCTGTAACAAATTACCACAAGTTGGTGGCTTAAAGCATCATGAACTTTTTATCTTACCATTCTGTTTATTAGAAGTCTGGCATAGAGCTTCCTGGACTAAACATCAGGATATTGGCAGGTCAGTGTTCCTTTCGGGAGCCTATCAAGGAGAATCGGTTTTCTTGCCCTTTGTAGCTCTAGAGCCATCTACAGTTTTTGGCTTGTGGCCCCCCTCCATCTTTAAAGCCAACAACACTGCATCTCTCTGACCATTTTTCCATAGTTCTGTCTCCCTCTGGCCACATCCAGGAGAGGTTCTCTGATTTTTAGAATGCTTGATTGTATCAGGTCCAGCCAGATATCTGAGGATAATCTTCCAACTCGGGATCCTTAATTTCATCATATCTGAAAAGTCCCTTTTGCCATGCAAAGTATGGGTCCAGGGATTAGGACATGGACATCTTTGGGGATCATTATTCTGCCTACCACAATACTAATAAGAGGAATGTTTATTATATAACATTACACAATAAAAAAATACATAATAACATTTACATAATAAAATAATAGACAACACCCATTGAGTGTTAACTGTGTGTCAGGCACAGTACTAAATATAGTCATTACTTAATCTAACAACCCAAATGATATATATGGTGTAATTATTTCCATTTTAGAAATAGGAAAATTGAGGCTTTGAGGGGGAGAGTAATTTGCCTAAAGCCATAGCCAGGGGCAGAATCAGAAAACAAGCTCAAGTCTCTATGACCTCATCGCTATCGCTAATTGTACACCTTGTACCATAACTGCTTCAAGTCTTTAGTATCATAGAATCAGCAGCTTTATAATTTTTATTTTTATGGGTGTGTAATATTCATTAAGTGGATTTACTATTTACTTAACTACCTGCATATTTTCGGGCATTTAGGATAATGGCATTTCCCCCAATAACATAAATAATAATACAATGGAAATCATTGTTCACTTGGCATTCTTAAATATTGGATTTTTTTCCCTAGGTTAGGTCCACAGAAGTGAAATTTCTGTATAAATGTGGTACGAACATTTTTTATAGCTCTGTAAACACATTGTCAAATGCCTTTCATAAGGAGTTTTACTAATTTATATGTCATCCATTATATAGGAAGATAAATGTTCTATATTTATTCTACATATAACAGAAGCCTCAGGTTAAGCTGGTTCTTGATTCCAAGGTATTTCACATAAACAGTCTCATAGAACCTTAGGATGTAATGAACTTTTAGAAGATATCTAATCTAATCCCCAGCCCTCTTTTTTAGGTATTCTGTGTCATAGCACATATCATACTGATAGTGATTGCTTGTTTCATTATTGTCTCTCACCCAAAAAAGTAAGGTTTATCAGTGTAGGAACTGACCTGCCCCATCTATCTTTTTATTCCCTATAAACTCAGTGTTTGGCACATTGCTGGTACTCAATATTTGTGCAGTGCTTTCTTAATCAACCCAGAATCAGTTATTTTGGTATCGTGATATAAACACTGACATAAGAATCAAGAAGCCTCAATTGTGGTTTCACACCTGCCATAGGCAGCTGGGACATAATTGTTCTATCTCTCAGTTTCTTGATTGGAAATTAAGACTACATGCTCCATAGGATCTCTTTTAATGCTAAAATTTGAAATGAATTTTAAGCCTAACCCCTATATTTTATATCACAATCCTCCAAATACCTAAAATACATGCAATGCACACTTTGTTTTCTAACCTTCAATTTCTTTAAGTTTTCGAGAGAGTGAGACTTGTAGCAGGGAATTGCTTCGGGAGCTGACTTTTCTGTGTAATATTTTACTGGCACATCCTAGTTTGTCATTTTCTCCTTGTAGTATGTGATACTTAGAACAACCAGATACTCTAGCTGTTGTCTGACCAGAGTGGAATGTAACAGGATTTCTATGAGAAACAGACTGGACTTTCATTCATGCAGTTCTACATGTCTTAAGAGATTTTAGCAGTCACAGTGCAGCTGCTGTTGACTGTTACATTTTTAGTCATCTAAAACTCTAGTCCTTTTATTCTTCTTAAGTCCTGCTGCTCCTACAGCTTTAATAGGTGTCCTTCAATAAGGAGATGTATAAACACCGCAGTAAAGACCTGCCACCTTCCTGATAAAATAGAAAGCAACTGGGACAGAGAGAAAAAGACTTGTCTCCGGGACAGAAAGATCCCAGAGAGGAAGGCTAACACGTGAAGCTGTGAATGCTTCCAGGCCAAGGTATGTGTTTTCTTTATCACTTTATTCCCAGCACTAAGATCAATGCCTGGGGCAAAAGAGGATCCCCCAAATATTTGTTGAGTGAGTAAGAGCTGGGAAGCCATATCCTGATGGTCCTTTTTATTTTAGGTCCTCCCAACTGTTGGTGAATATCTTTTTTCAGTGAGGGGAGAGTTCCCTGGCATCCCCCAGGTGTTGCTCAGCTTGGTATAGATCCCAAATAAAGTGGTACCAGACATACAACTCCTCATTTCTGGCAAGACACTGGGAAACAAGATCATGTTATATCACTGGGTTTAAGTTCAATATTTGTCTGATTGTGAATGGAGCTATTAAAGAAGAAGTTACATGACAAAATACATTTTTCTTTTCCCAAATTAGGACCCATAGAGAGAAATTAATGATAGAAGACATTTAAGACAATATGAGTTTGGTTTTCAGGATATAGGAGAAGTCGAGGTTTCCTTTTCTACTCTCATTTCTTGTCCACCAGGTTCAAAGTTCTCCTTGAAGTTAAAGTTGATACCAGACACAGAGAAACTGAACATATCAGAAAGGGCACATATCAACCTAAACCATTCCCTGCATTAGACAGCCCTACTAACAAAAAAGGACCCCCATGTATGTCATTTTGACTAACTAAAGCTGCTCAGAGGCCTAAAACTTTGCATGGGTTCTGGAAAATACCCAACTTGTTGAAATAATCCTGCTATATGGTTGCAAGCCTATAGAAACATAAGCAAATAATGCTAAAGGTAAAAAATGGAAAAGTAAAACAACTCTTTTATAATTATATCCAAACCTTACCTAAATAAGAAGCAAGCGGTTCATTCTTTTTGGTAGACTCAACATTAAAGGTTGTGTTTCGAGGGATTATGATTTGACTAGCCTTCTGCATGACAACTGTTCCATTCCAATCATAGGCTCCTACTGCTCCAAGCATGACCCAGTCCTTACATGCAAATAAATAAGATAATAATATTTAATAAAAATAATAAGGGGAAATACTTAAACACCATTAACAATGTGTATAGGTATACTGTTCAAAGTGCTTTACATTTGTTAGCTTATATAATCCTCATGATAACTCTATGAGTTAGATGCTATTGCTACCATACCTGTTTTACAGAAAAGGAAATCAAGGCACAAATAACTTACCCAAGTTATACAGTAAAATTGCACATGGAAATGTCAATATTCTTTTGCAAGGACCATTATGCCTTTTCTTTCATTAACTGCAAATGATATATTTTCTAATCTTGTCTTTCTACTTTATTCTGGGTGCCCAGCATCCTAGGTCTTGAACATGGAATTCTAATAAGACCCTTGAATTCCTTGACCTGTGGAAAAATATTCCACATCTGTAGCAAATATGTTAAATTATTTCATTTAGACAGATACATAATTACAAGGCAAAGCTCACACTGTCTGATTCACAACTATTAGTACAATGTAGTGAACTGTGTGAGAGAACATATTTTCTTAATAAGAAGCTTGTGAAATGATATTTTCCTATTTGAATTAGAAAACATCATCATAGCCTGCATAATTGTTCAAGCTATGAACTGCACGTTGCACTTACATACTGATGGCTAGATGTTGGTTTTGGGAAGGGAAGTCTTGCAAACATATATTTCATTTTTCACCAACTGGTCAACATACCTGTGAATAATGAGCACTGAAGCCAGTCTGAGACATTTCCATTTCAAATGAAGCTGCTGACTGGTCAGCTGTGGCTATAACATAGGAAAATATCACTGTAAATAAGTAACAATGCCTTTTCATGCACTACTGACTTGCAGAATACAGATACCTGGTAGAGCTTGTGGTCTTACCAACCAGAACTTCAAACATCTTAGGGCATTTTCAGCCATACATTTCTCAACCCAAAATTTCTAGGTAGGCCTGGGTAGAAGACAGAGAAAAATAGTCAAAGGGCTCATGTCTCAAATTCTTGTTCATTAGCAGCCCTGTCCTCGCCAGAGGGGTTGAGAAATCTCCATTCTTATACTGTAGCATGTTGTGGATCCTATGGTGCTTTGGGTCCACAAGGCTCAAGTTGGATGTACTACAGTAGGAAATTCCTGTCCAAATTCATGCCTTGGGAACCCTGCTGAGCCCTTAGGCTAAACTCCCTTAATATGTTATGGGACTGAAAAAAATTTCATTCACATATTTAAAGAGGTTTCTCAACTCCATCAGTCCCACCCATATTCAGGCCATAGATTCTGTCAGAATTTCATTGTGTGATAAAGGGTTTAGGTATTTTAGTATGCATTTATTTGCTCTAATTACTGGTGGTAAGTATCACTCACAGATCCAGAGGGGTCTTTGTGATAGGGCTGCCCACATGCCATTCAATCATACATTTTTAAAAGATCCTGTACCCATTTTGAAGCTCTTTACTGAAATGCAGAGATAATTCAGAGCATTCCATGGCAGTCTGCTACTCTCAAATTATTCTCAAAATATTCACAAACCCAAAGCCACAATTTCCTGAGGGAATTGATGGAATGTTGATTTATTTGCTTGCACTAGGGGTTACTGATTTATTTGGCCTTGCAGATAAGTTAAAAATAGCACTTAAGAAAGTCAGTCTGCCCTTTCGTTGAGGCAAGAGAATAATCAAATTTGTGAATGTAACTATTTGTTAGTTATTTACATGGATAAAATTGTGAACAAATACATCAGTAATTACCTTTGTAGGACTAGATTAGACGCGGCAGTGAAGAATTCAAATATATCATTTTAATCTCTTGTGTGAATTGCCCTGTAATTTAAATGACTGAGATGCATTTTAACTTTAATTTAAACATGTATTTTCAGTCCACAATGCTTTCAGGTGTTTTCTCACTTATCTGCAAGATCAATAAGAATGCAGCAACGGAAACCTGCATTATTTTCAGCACCTGCCCTGCCGCTATTCTGCCTTCAGCTGAGAACAGACAGAAGGACGCTATGTGATGTTCTTCCTGCTGCAGTGGCATCATGGTAATAGACCACTATATTCTCCTGGGCTTCTTGCTTCAAACTTCTCCCTGGACTGTTCATGGGTGTTTGGGCCAGCCACTCTAACCACTGTGCAGCCTCTGGTTAGAAATGTTGGCATTTTCTCCCAGTGCTCAACGGGAAATGGAGACAGTAGACTATTTTCTGATGTACTAAGCAAGTCCTTGGCATACTTGCCTCAATAGATGGCACTGTCCTTGGCAAACAGAAATTTCATAATCACAGCTACTTGTCATCTTAAGATACATGTTGACAGGAAATGGAGATTTCCCGAGCAACAAAGAAATAAAGCCTTTTTAAATATCTCATGAAAAAAATAAGAAATAGTCTAGTCAAAACACTGCTTTTGGTGTAGTGTAGCAACAAAGATGATATAGAAGACATTTGTAATCTGTAAAGTTCCTTATAAAATGATGTCATATTTAAATATAGAGACTTCTTGGAGTGTTTGGGCTCTTCAACCTGTCACCTTTAATCCATGGTGTAGTTAGGTTAGAAATAATCTGAAATGTCATTTCAGGCAATTGATCTCCCCCTCCCCTAGCTGAAGTGGGCTTCATTTTTGCCAGTTTTAGGTTACTTGCTTACTTAAAAGGAGATTTAGAAATGACACTGTATTCTGTTGAACTATCAAATGTAACTATGTAACTTTTCTTTTAAATTATTTTTACAGATTGTTTCTATCATATCTTAGCCCATGTTATTAAAAATTAAAAGTACACAATTAGTTGGAAGACCTTATGTATTTTCCTTAAGGCCAGCCAAGCTCATAATCTGGTTTATTGGTAAATGACACCGGGAGAGCTGTTGAGAGACCAAAGCCACTTAAAAATGACTTGTACACAGAGCACAAGACAGCTGAGTTCTTCAGAAGCAGCTGGGACTCCAGACTCATAAACAATTAGAGTGTTCTGTTTCTAAAGGCACAGGGGAAAGAGGCCAGGGGAAAAGGGAGGCACAGAAATTCAGTCTGGCTGGCCTGTAGATTCCTATCACCTCTAAATCAAATGTTCTAAGTACGGATTGTGACCCAGTCATGAAATCAACAGACTGAGTATAGCCAGCATTTTTTTTTCATTGAAAGAGATTAGGGTAGAATGGAATTGATGAGAAACCATCACAGTGCATCACATGTAATAAGAATTATCTTGTGAAACTTTGCCTTATTTTTATATGTATATATTTATGTGCACTGGGTCAAAAAGCAAAATGTAGTTATTATCGTGAGTCACACTCAAAAAAAGTTTGAAAGCCATAACTCTAAATAATTATCTTTCCTTTCTGTACATTTTCATATTCTAATTTTTCTGCATTTTCCCAGCCCCTTGACGCTCAATCAAAATGGTCTACTTTTTTTCAGTTGTGTCTCATTCCCATTTTGTCTTTCTGTTTCCTATTATCAATCAAATCAGGGAAACTGAGAAAGTGCTTTTAAATTTCTATTGTTAAGATGTAGAAACAACAGTCTTTCAGTGTGTCCTCACAAGGACAGGGTCAACTGGATTTGGATGTAGCCTAAGGGGAAAAGAATTCTCTGGTGGTTTCTCTCCCTAGTTGGAGAAAAGGCGCATGTTCCCTGAGACTAGAGATCATCAAAGAATGTGAAGAAAGAAGCTTTGCCAGTTTGCCTGGCATAACAATTCTGAAGACTTTTTTTTTTTGTTTTTTAGGAAAGATCGAGTTCCAAAGTAATTAGCTACTTGACATCCTCTACCTAAGGCAGAATAGGGAATGCCATAACTCGTTATCCTCAACAGCCAGTCACCATTGAAAACTCAAGGAAAAATCTGCAAAGAAGTAACATGATTTAGACAAATACAGTGAACCAATGTTTCATTGCCATGGATTTTAAGGCAAATTTCCATGAAGACCTTTAAAATGGGCAAGGAGCAAAATACAGAGAAAATAAGTGAACAAAGAAGTTATTGCATAAGAGCACTCTTGTAGTAGCTCAATATGAAATGAAGAAACAAACAAACAAAAAAAACCCAAACCAGAGGTAGTACCCTCATTTTCCAAATCTATGTAACAGAAAAGGAACAAAGCACATGGAAACATTTTTGTCCTGGCACATCTACATTGACCATTGTCTTCATCGGCTGTCCCATCAGCACTGCCCTACCATGCCCTTACAAAGAGAGTCTCTAGCAGACACAGTGTTGTGAGAAACAGCCATCTTAATGGCAGATTTATATAAAAGAGCATTGTTCCATGCTAGATATTGTACACAGTAAAAAAAAAAAAAAAGTATTACTGATGTATTAGGAATAAATACAAAAATCCCATTATACTGATTTTGAATTGCAGAGAGAACATGCAGCAATAAGATAAATAGACATACCTTCCAGGGCAAATATTCTTTCTCCCAGAGTTTTAACAATGGTGACTAGAGCCAATTCATCAGAGACATTGAAGAAATGCTTTTCAGTGGGTTCACTTGCAATTGATTTTATTTCCTCCACAAATTTTTCAGTGCTTAAATTTCCTCGGTTATAGCTGCCAAGAATCTAAGACACAACAGAAACAGCAAGAATATATTTTAAATTCTATGTGTTAAATAAAGGATCTCAAGCATTTTGTCAGTAAACAACAGTGTAGAGTACCTTAGCATAATGGAATTTTTATGTACTTTCATATTTATGGAAGAGTGATTTTCAAAATTTGTAGACTCCCTAATATTAACTGTTATATAAACACCACAATTGGTGTAGAAAAATATAAAGGGCAATTTTGTATGTCTGTGAAAATTTCTCCTCTTGTACTCTGTGTCCCTGTTACTAACAGCTGTATTTTTAAAATCTGACAGTTCAAAAGTAATGTTATATTCATAGTTTCTGAATGTCTTTGATATTATTCCAGCTAGTGATGTCATTATCTGCTGGCAAAGGCAATCAGCAAGTGAGTTGCCTGCTTTTGAATGAGCAATTCTTCCTGAAACTATTACCAAGGCACAGTCCAGCACATATATATTTTAAACACATACTGGACTAAGTGGTAATCTAAATTGGCAATCTGGAAAATAAACAATTGAGATATTCTTGTTTGAAACCAAATGCTGGAGACAGGGGCATTCTTTTTTATGAAGAGGAGAGAGAAGCAGGAGTTATATATGATTGTTAACTATAATTATTTAGATGTCCAAGCAGGTTTTCTCAAACATTTAGTTTTTTTTTAAGGTAAGGTTTATTGCAATAAATTATATACAGTAAAATTCACCCTGTTTAGATGTACAATTCTATGAGTGTGACAAACCAATATAGTTGTGTTACTGCCACATCAAGGTGTAGAATATTTACATCACCCCAAAAAGTTCCCTCCTGCCCCTATAGTCAATCCCTTCCTCCCCTCGTTCAACCCTGGCAACCACCGATAAATAATCTGTCCTTATAGCTTTGATTTTTCCAGAATGTCAGATTTAAGGAATCATATAGTATGTAGCCATTTGTGTCTGGCTTCTGTGACTTTGTACAATGCTTTTCAGAGTCATCCGTGTTGCTGCATGTAGCAGTAGTTGGGTCCTTTCTATTGCAGAGTAGCATTCCATTGTATGGATGCACCACAATTTACTTAATGAGAACATTTGAGTTGTTTGCAGCTTCAACATATTATGAATAATGCTGCTGTAAATATTCACATGTAGGTCTCTGTAATAGACATATATTTTCTTTTCTCTTGAGTAAATAACTAGAAATGAAAGTGCTGGGTCATACAATAAGTGAATGATTAACTTTTTAAGAAACTGCCAAACTGCTTTCCACAGTAATCGTCCCATTTTGCCATTTTACTATTCCCATCAGAAATGTCTAAGAGATCCAGCTGCTTTGCATGCGTGTCAATACTTGTTATTGTCAGTTTTTTTTGTTCACTTGTTAGTTTTAGCAATTGTGTTAGCGTATAGTGGTGTCTTATTTAATTTGCATTTCTCTAATGACTAATGATGTTGAGACTCTTTCATACAATTATTTGCTATAGTATTTCTTCCTCGGTGTAGTTAGTGTCTGTTCAAATCTTTTTCCCATTAAAAGAAAACGAGATGTTTATTTTCCCTTAAATGTGTTGTAAGAGTTCTGTATATAGTCTGGATGCAAGTCCTTTATGTGTTTTGCAGATGTTTTCTTCCCGTCTGTAGATTGTCTTTTCATATTCTCAACAGTGTCATCTGAAGAGTAGAAGTTTTACATTTTGATGAAGTCCAACTAATTAGCTTTGTTGAGGTTTGTACTTTTTCTGCCTAAAAAAATTAGTTTTTAATGTAAAAATTTTTTATGTTAAAACTGTTTTTAATATAAAAATGTTCAAGATAATGAAAACATTTTTAAAACAATATGTAAAATTTAACATGCAAAAAAATTTAAAAATCCCCAATATGTAGATATGACCTAATTCTATTTTTTAAATCACATAAGTACATGGGCATAAAAAATGTGAAAAAATGTGTATCATAATATATTATTTTGTATTTCTGTATATTAGGACACTAGGTGTTTCCTTATATTTGCTTCAATATTTTTTTTAAAACTTTATAATAAAAAATCACTTCTGTAATAAATAAAAAAATTAGTTTTTACCATAGTTGCAAGTGTTACCTGAAGATTATCACTTTGGTTTTTTTTTTTTTTTTTTTTTAGTGTTCATGATACATTTATAACAATAACTCAAACTGGACACAAGCAAAATGTCTATAAACAGTAGAGTACAAATTGTGGTCTATAAAATAGATAACAATAACAAAAAATGAATCCCCAGTACACAAAATATCACAAGCAATAATTATGTTGAGTGAAAAGCTAAACACACAGTACATACTATACAGTTTTATTTATTTGAAATTCAAGAATTGGCAATCTAAGTGAGCTATGGTGGTATGTCACATCAGTGGTTACTACAGGAGGTGTGTATTTAAAATGAAAAAAAAAAAAGAAAAAAAAAACATTGCTGGGTATATATCCCAAAGAAAGGAAATAGTATATTGAAGAAATATCTGCACTCCCCTGTTTATTGCAGCACTGTTTACAATAGACAAGATATAGAATTAACCTTAAGTATGGATCAATGGATGAATGGATTTAAAAAAACATGGTATATCTTCACAACAGAATATTATTTATCCATTAAAAAGAACAAAACTTTGTCATTTCCAGCAACATGGATGGAACTGAAGAACATTATATTAAATGAAATAAGCCAAGCACTGAAGGACAAATATCACTACGTTCTCACTCAAATGTGTGAGCTGAAAATGTGGATCTCATAGACATACTGAATAGAATGGTGGTTATCAAAGGCTGGAAAGAGTAGTGGGGAAGAGCAGGGATGAAGAGGGGTTAGTTAATGGATTTAAAACTATAATTAGATGGAAGGAATAAGAGCTAGTGTTCAGTAGCACTATAGGACAACTACAGTAAACATATTGTATATTTCAAAATAGCTACAGGAGAAGATTTGGAATATTCCCAACACAAAGAAATGATAAGTGTCTGAGGTGATGGATATTCCAATTGCCCAGATTTGATCATTAGCCACTGTATGCCTGTATCAAAATATCACATGTACCAGGTAAATATGTACAGCTATCGTGTATCCATAAAAATTAAAGATACATTTTAAAAAAGAAAGCACAGGAAACTTTCTGGGAGTGATGAAATTGCTCTATATCTTGATTAAGTCTTATGTGGGTGCACGTAATTGTCAAAACTCACCAAATTGTTCACTTCGTGCACACTTTTCACACTGAAACCTTGCATTTCACTGTATTGTAAATATCACTTCAATTTTTAAAAACAGAATGAACTATACAGATATGCAACATTATGGATGAATCTTAATATAGTATTAAGTTTTAAAAGTTCCAAAATATTATATACAGCATTACACTCTTTTTAAAATGTTAAAAACAATGAAATATTCTTAAAATTTATTTTTTTGGATATGTATGGGTGCCTAAATATTATTTTGAAAAGTAGAGCCAGGGTTGAGGAATGTAGAAAGTGGACTGATGGTTACCCAGGTGGAGGAAGGCAGGTGGTAAATGTGCTCAGATGTAGTTACCAAAAAAGAGAGCTAGCTCTCAATTTGGGTGGTAGGTCCATGGATGCTTATAATATTATTAAAATAAATACACAGATATAGTTCTAAACAGAGAAACAAATAAAGTTTGTTTCAACAAATGATTACAATTTGGCCTGAACGAAGCAAGGATCGGATTAATTCAAGGCTATGCTCCTGGAATCCAAAAAATAAAGGAAAGACACTGAGCCCTTTGCTATTGCTTGATTTTTTTTTTTAAGAATATCCAAATCCTCTAAGAAGAAGGAGAGTCTTGGCCTCCAGTGACCATGAAGGTACAGGAATTTTTTGGCTTCACATTTCTTTTTCCAATAATAGCCTTGTCTGGCATCATTAAAAACGAAGAGCTCCATGGTGCTGCCTTCAAAGTCCTGTTACAAAACAGACCTCAAGCACCCTTCCGACCATGGTTCTGCACTGTGGCCTGGGAGGATAGTGGGCACAAGGGCAATGGGCTTGAGGGCTGCCCCCACCCCTTTCCTCCAGGTCTGAGGCTCCCCCTACCCATCTGAGTAGCTCACCCCCACTGCACATCTACATGTAGTTTTTTAAAGTTAGATTTAGAATGGTAGATTAAAAAACTGATAGTTTGATTAAGAAGGATACAGATTTTTCACTTATAGAAAGTTAGAAAAGAACTAAAATTACTGTTTAAAGTGCTGCTGTTTATAATCTACGAAAGACTTGTTTATTTGTATCATTAAATGCATAGTGGGCTGGGCACGGTGGCTCACGCCTGTAATCCCAGCACTTTGGGAGGTCAAGGCAGGTGGATCCCCTGAGGTCAGTAGTTCAAGACCGGCCCGACCAACATGGTGAAACCCCATCTCTACTAAAAATAAAAAAATTAGCCAAGTGTGGTGGTGTGCGCCTGTGGTCCCAGCTACTTGGGAGGCTGAGGCAGGAGAATTGCTTGATCCTGGGAGGTTGGAGGTTGCAGTGAGCCGAGATCGTGCCACTTCACTCCAGCCTGGGTGACAGAGCGAGACTCCATTTAAAAAAAAAAATGGATAGTAGTTTAGAGCAGCAACTGAAATACTATAATGTACACTCAATGTTAATGTGAGAAAGTGAGTCTTGAAGGCAGTGCAGTGGCTTTTGAATGTTCCTTACTAGAGAGAAGGCAGTGGCAGATTTATTCTCAATTCTTTTCTTTTGCTTCAGTAAAGCCCTCATCCTTTTCCCTGGGGAGTATCAGTGACCATCCCAGAGGAAATACCACACGTCTCATCAGAGGACTTTAAGCCACTTTGCCCCTGTCCTCTGGGACCACCCAAGTCACTGGGTGCCCTTGCCTCTTTCTCAGCTCCCTCACCTGCTGTTCCATGAAGCTATAGGAATAATGAGGTTACAGGAGTAATGCACTAATGTCTGAGAAGAACTGCAAGCTGTTTTGAAGAAGCACACTGTTAAAACTAGAGCTAGCTCTGAAGTAATTGGCATACCATTTGGGTAACTTTTTATTTCAGAACTTGTTCCCCACTAGAATGTCTACATTTTAGGTCGAAAGGTCTATACCAGGAGCTTATAAATTGCATCAGAAAACAAAAATTCAATTCCTGTCTACTTCGCTGAAAAGCAAGTGTCAAACGTCAGAAGTTGTTAATATTTAAACAGAGACAACTGGCACTTTCCCCCACTTTAGCTAAGTGATGGGGGAAGATAATTAATGAAAAAGAGAGTCGAAAATTGCTCAGACGGGGAAGGGAAGCCCAATGGCCACTGCTCTTGTTATACTGAACAAATCCTCTCTCTTATTTAAAGGCAAAGGCATTTTTCCCGCCTTCCCACCCTCTTCCCTTCCTTTCCTCCTCTTCTTTTCCTCTTCTTTTTTTCAGTCCTCTTTTTCTCACCCTTCCTTCCTTCTTATGTTTTTGCTTCCTTCTTCCTCTTTTCATGTTTCCTTATTTTCTTCCTTCCTTCCTTCCTTTCAATGATTGTTTGTTGAGTGTCTGTTTGGCCTGGCATTGTGCTGGGTACTAAGGACCCAGAGGGAGCAAGATCCAAGTCTGTCCTCCCAGGGCTTACCTTCAAATGGAGACCTTTCTCTTTTCCAACCTGGTTTGTGTGACTTTCATAAAATTACCCAATATGCACACAGCTCTTCTCTACACCTAAGAGTTTGAAAATATCTCCGGCAACACACTTACAGCTATGGAAAACCGTTGAATGTTTTCATCTTCACAGTCTTGGATGACCTTCTTCAGTCGATGATTGTCATGAGACTCTCCATCTGTCACAATAACCATGACTTTTTTAACTCCTCTTCGGGCACCCCGGGCTTCCGTGAATGCCTCCTTTCTAAAGTAATCACAAACAAAAGAGAGGTTGATAAGACACCACTTTACAATAGACAAAGTAAAAAACTAAACAAAAACACTGACTACTCTAGGTAGCCTGGTGCTTCCCTCCAAAATTAGCATCAATGCCCATCATTCAAGTTGGGAGGCATAATGAGCCTTGTTTGTAATAGTTTTAGATTTATTTCAGATGATGGAGAGGTCTCCGTTTTGCTAATCACCACACATCCTATATATAAAAAGGCAGCAGTATTTCATTCTTTGGAAATTTCAAAGGGAGGGTGTGACTGAGGCATACATCATGGTCAGAGAAGGCCAGATCTGTAAACACTCCCCCAGGTGCTCCTTTCTCTGTAAACACCCCTTCTCTCATTTAACAGGCCTCTTTTCTTCTGCGTCTAGCAGAAACTTTTGCTTGAGATTTTGCTTCCCCCACAGCTACTCTGACATTTGTAGAATGGCTCGAAAATCCTCTAATCTGGGGAGGAGAGATGAGAGAGAACAGAGTATTAGTGGGGCTGTGAGTGCTTGAGAGTGTCCTGGGGATAGGGACATCTGCAGTCTTTCACATGGGAGTAATAGACTGCAGATGGTGATGCTCTGAGTCCATGGAGTAGTCAGTTGGGTTTTAGGGAGCAAAAAGTGGTTGAAGGAGTTACAAAACATTTGGCCTGAACTATGTGTTAGCACACAGGCTGCTGAGAGCAGGATGGGAGAAGATGGCAATGGAGAGGAGGGGAAAATGCTATAACCTAACTGCAAAAAAACCCTGAATTTCAGGGAGGCCGAGGCGGGCAGATCACGAGGTCAAGAGATCGAGACTATCCTGGCTAAGAAGGTGAAACCCCGTCTCTACTAAAATACAAAAAATTAGCCGGGTGCGGTGGCGGGCGCCTGTAGTCCCAGCTACTCTGGAGGCTGAGGCAGGAGAATGGCGTGAACCCGGGAGGCGGAGCTTGCAGTGAGCCAAGATCGCGCCACTGCATTCCAGCCTGGGCGACAGAGCGAGACACCTTCCCGTCTCAAAAACAAAACAAAACAAAAAACCGAATTTGAATTTAATTGAACAGCACTTATGGAAAGAAACAGAAGACAGGGAAATGGAAAATTTTTGTTTTGTATGTATTCTATATAAATATATACACACACTTCTCCCCTCCCCCTTTATTTCCTTTTACTCAAACCTTTTCGCTCTGGAGTCTTGGAAGAGATGAGTATATTTTATTTAGGACTAAAGTAATGAAAAGACTTCATATATTTCTAGGATTTTGGTACAAAGTACAGCAATCATTGTACTGAATGGTCCATTTAGATATTTGGTTGTACAGACAAACAGCTGCCATTTGGGATAGATTTGCCAAGGAAACGCCTGTCTTAAGCTAACATTCCAAAGAGTTTGCACAACAGATACACACTAAATATACCATAACTGATATCTTTAAGCAGGAAGAGAGGATTCTGGTGAAATGGGGAAAAGGATTCTATGTGATGACTTTTCCTTTCGAAGGACTTAAAGCAAATATGACAAGATGTTGACAACTGTCAGTTCTGAGTGGTGGATATACAGGATATAGTTGTACTAATTTTTTACTTTCTTTGAGTCTCTCTGCCCTCTATACTTGACAAAGACCCTCTCCTTGACCAAAACCGAGTCAGGCTCCTTTACATCTTCTTCTAGACTGGGCTCTGACCCTGGGCTGTGTTCTTTACCCACTTAGTCCAGTTTAAGCAAGAATCTGGCTTAATCAATTTAGTGGAAATCCCTCATCCTTGGTATCTGATCACATTCCTCATTCCCCACCCTCTAAATCTTATTACGCTGTTCCATGATATTATCTTTTAAAAGAATTGAATTTATAGGCAATTAGGCTGAGACAGCTCCAGTGCCGTATGTTCCTATATAATCAAACCAAAGTCCAATTCAATGTAAACAGTAAAACAAAACTTAAACATTACCAATTAGAAACTGCAACTAACTTCTAACTAGAGACTTTACCAATCAGAACCTGGCAAGTAACCTCTAACTTTCCACCAGATCATACCCAAATAAGGTAAATGCCTAGCTATAGCCAATCAAGTCATTTCTTTAATTTGATTTTGCATTCAGCTCGTAAAAGCCCATTGCTCACACTGCTAAAATGGATCTTTCCGAACTTCTTATGGTTCTGACTGCTGCCTGATTCATGAATCATTCTTTGCTCAAATAAACTCTGTCAAATTTAATTTGTCTAAAATTTTCCTTTAACAAATAATAAATATATATTTGGTCTCTGCCTCTGGTTTCTGGTGCAGAACTCCTAAAACTCTCATAACTTCCTGAGCAATACTGGTGAGAGGTGTATCTTTTGTTCTAATATATGGTCTTTAACCTGGGTTTCTGACATAGATATTCTAATCTGTTGAATTTCCTAGGTGATAGGAGTATCTTTTGTTCTAATGAAGTAACTCTTGGTGGGCTCCTAAATGGGAGCTGATCACTAGAAGGACCAGGCCATGATCAGAAGCTTGAAACGTTCAGCCCCAGCTCTCATTCTCCAGGAAAGATTGAGGGGCTAGAGAATCAGTTAATAATCAATCATGCCTGTGATCAAGCCTCTGTAAAACTTTCTGAACTACGGGGTTCAGAAAGTTTCCAGGTTGCTGAACAGGTGGAAGGAGGTACACCATGAGAGGGAATGGCAGCTCTGACACCTTTCCCTCATAGCTTGCACTACATATCTCTTGCTGTTCCTGAGTTGTATCCTTTTATAATAAACTAATAATAGTAAGTAAGATACTTTACTGAGTTCTGTGATCCACTCTAGCATATAATCAAACCCAAGTAAGGGGTCTAATTTGTAGCCACGTTGGACAAATCGTGGGTACCTGGAAACCTACTGGCTCTAAATTGGAATGAATTCTTGAAGGACTGAGCCGTTAATCTGTGGGAGGTTTGCATAAACTCTAGTTGGTGTCAGAACTGAATTGAATTCTAGAACATGCAGCTGATGTCAGATAACTGGTCGATGTGGGAAAAATCCCACACATCTGGCATCAGAAGTGACATGTCAAGTGTTTAGAATATAGAAAGAGAAAAACAGTTTATTTTTCCTACTATTTATCTGCCTTCAGCAAGAATCCTGTTGAGCCAGTCTAGCAAGAATCCCCCTAGCCTTGATGTTACTGCCAATCCCTGCCCTGTTCCTTGACTATAAATGCCCACTTGTCCTCACTGTAGTCAAAGCTGAGCCCTATCTCTCTTCCTTACTGCAATACCTTCATCATAAAGGTTCCTCTTGAGTGATGTCTTCCTTACAATCTTTAACAAATATCATGAATAATTTTTAACATACTATACAAGTAGATTTTCTGGCTTTTTTTTTTTTTTTAAGGCAGAGTTTTGCTCTTGTTGCCCAGGCTGAAGTGCAGTGGCACGATCTTGGCTCACTGCAACCTCCGCCTCCTGGGTTCAGGCGCTTCTCCTGCCTCAGCCTCCTGAGTAGCTGGGATTACAGGCGCCCACCACCACGCCCGGCTAATTTTTTTTGTATTTTTAGTAGAGATGGGGTTTCACCATGTTGGCCAGGCTGCTCTCGAACTCCTGACCTCAGGTGATCCAGCCGCCTCAGACTCCCAAAGTGCTGGGATTACAGGCACGAGCCACTGCACCCAGCCGATTTTCTGACTTTTTAAAGTATACAAACAAAGGTGAAAACAGACGTTACATGTTAGTCTTTAACAGATCTTTGTATGCGAATATCATATGAGATTCAATCACTTTTGAAATTCAAATTCCTTAGGTCACTAAAACTTCCTAATTCTCTTAAATATCAGGGTTACAAAAGAATTGAATGAACATCAGCTGAAGGAGATGATTAAAAGGCCTTTCATAAATAAAATGTGACTGTTCTAAACTCAGGGCTGGCTTTATGTAATATTGGAAGATTAGACATTGACAGAACTCCTGAGTACACCTTTCCTGTTTCAACTACATTCCTTAAAAAATTGTCATTGTCCTCAAAGTACCAGTATCCAGTGTCCTTTCTTGGCACTAAGCATTGACTTTCCTGCATGCTTTAAAAAATTAAAATATATCAAGAGTGTCCCTTTCTTCAAGACAGGAGAATCCAGGCCTCATGATTAAATACTGTAAGTTTATTGACAAAAGTAAAAATTTGGGATAGGAAGAAGGGAACACACACACACAAAACTTTGAACTGGGATTTACTGAAAATGAAGGTAAAGAATTCTAAAAATATTAAAAATATTGTTTGCAACTTCTGCCTGAAAGGAATAAAAAACAATTAAAATGTGCTTAAACATGAAAAGGTAATTAATGTAGGAGAAAAATACTTGGTACTATCACTACAGAATTTTAATGTATAATCAAAATTCAATAAACTCTGTGTCCCACAGCTATACCCTTTGTGAAACACAGAGGCAAAAAACACATAGGGACATGGTATTTAGAGCCGTATTTATGCAGAAGCAAAAGCAGCCAGAATATTTCTTCAGTTAGTTTTCAGAGATGAATATTCATTCTTAAATGGTTGCCTTTGGAAAACGTACAGCTCCCTACAGGCTCAGAGGTTTCAAAGAACACTTTGACTTACTTCGAATGTGCAGTCACATTTAATTGATTATTGAATGGGGGTGCATTCGGTACACCTAAACATGTGCACTCTTTGTGTATACAAATTGGTGATCCAATAGGTGATCCAATAGGTAGGTAAATGTCCAATTACCTCCATCTGTTTGTGGTTATTTTCTCTTGGGCCCCATATAACTAGAGCCAGATGATTTTCTAATATTCATGAGGCAAAAGCTGTACATGAAATTATAAAATTTTGAATATCCAATCCATTCTTTGCAGGATCATTATTAACTTTTTTAACCTTCTTAAAACAGTCATCTTAGCAGGCAGATGAAGTGAGAGCATGGGTAATTAGCTTTCCACCTAAGGCAAGAGTTCAGAAGTTGAAGACATTTAACAGAAGGATTCTTAACATTAATCAAACTACTTATTACATTTCCTGTGATTTTTGTATTGTTTTGAATTTGTTCAGAAGTTTGCTAGTTTAATGAATGAGATAAGAGAACACACAGGAAATAAAGTGTTCTACATTTGTAAGAGAGGACAATTCTGTTCGTTCTTATAAAATGAAATTCAACCACAGACTGAGTTATGTGTTCACCATAAGGAAAACTGCAGATGGAAGAAAGGAAGGGTTGTAAATTGGAGGGAATCTAAAGAAAGTAAAAAAGGAGAGAGGATTACAAATGATAATATCCTTTCCATTTCTTTCAAACTTTGCACTAAAAATGATTTTAAATAGACAATATTTAATTTGGCGCCTTAACACCTCTTATCTAGTAGCTTCGATAACGGTAAATCAAGTACTGAAAATACATGGACATTCTAGAATATAAATATATATTGAGTAGAGGTAGACCTATTTTTAATCCGTTCTTTTAGATTGAGACTCTTAGAAGTTGAAAACAAAAAATAAATGAAACAAATATTAACTAATATTGTCTTAGTACCCAAGAACATGAAAATATAGATGCAGTGATATTTTAAAATGGATTCTCTATCAATTAAACCCTTGTAACAAGAGAAGGATAAGAAGGATGGTGAGATTGTGTCATACAAACATCTGATCTTGTAACCATTATTTAATCTTCTGAATCTCATTTTAAACAAAATGGCTTTAAATATTGTCATATTAAACTTTCAATTGATATGCCAAAAGGCTAAATCATGAGCAGTTATTTTTGCAGTCTTTTACTTTAGTTTATTTTTTTATCCATATACCTTGCTGTGTCTATTCCAAGAGCTGTCATAGTCTGGCGGCCACCTCTCTGGACTATTTTCTTTGCTGCAACAAGTACCTCTTCGGTGGAAGAATACTTATTGAGGTTGAACTCATGGGTCACGTTTTCTCCATACTGTACAATTCCAACCTGAAATACCAAGCCACTGTGAGTTATACGTCAATCCAAATTTCCTGTTCAGATTTCTTCAGGTTAACCATGTGAATCAGATATAATACATTTCAGATGAGTTTGCAAACCTATCAGTACACAAATGCTTCTATTTTGACAGTAATAAGCATAGCCATTCTGTGACTGTTCGTAGTCCAAAGAACAAAAGCAAACATGCTGTTACTAAACTTCTCAAACGATTGGTTTATCTAATTCAACAGATTTTACAGAGTAACTCTGGTAGGCCTTGGTGGGTAGAATATGAAACACACTGATATGGTCTCTGCCTTCATGGAGCTTCTCTAAAGCTAGAAGGAGAGAGAGATTAAACACGTGATCATTCAAATACATGAACAATTGCAAACTGTGGAAAGGACTGTATGGGAAAATCCCTAATCAGCCAATATAATCTAGAGGCCAGACTGAAAATGGGGGTCCAGGGAAGGCTTCTCAGAAGCTGAGACTTCAAGAGTGAGTGCTAGAAGGGCAGAGCGTCCATACAGGGGAAACTGTGTATGTGAAGAAGACCAGGATGGGAAAGAGATAGATCTACCCTAAGAATGGAAAGAAAGGCAGTGAGCCATGGCCAGGGCTGTGAGGAAAGAAGAGGGCACCATGAAGCTGGAGGAATAATCAGGTTATGTAGCCTGCAGGGTTACACACTTGAGCAGTGAGCTTTGTCTAACCTTGCTGCAGCCTCATTTCTCCCAAATCAGCCCTTCCCAACTCCACCTTCTTTCCTTGTTTTGTCTTCCTTTCCTACTGCCTTCCTCCTTTCATTCCCTTTAGTCCACAGATTGGATAACGCAGGCAGCTAACTGCAGAGCCTTCATGCAGTGAAATACAGGAGGGAAAGTGCCCCCAGATTTGATTTCCCTTGCTCCATATTCTTCCTCTTCCCACCTGCCTCCTGGCCCCAGTAATGGCTATCTCTCCTACACTTTTTCCACATCTCCCTTTAAAGGTTGATGTGAACCAATAAACTAATCTGCATTAAAAATTGTGACTGAAGATGACTTTTTGTTTAACCATCCTATCTCAAAATCCAGACTCAGAAAATTATTTGCCCAAAGGAATGTCTCTTTAATTCAGGAATTCCAGGTGATTCATTACTTGGGTAAGGGAGGTAATTTGCAACAAGCCTGCCTTCTTTCCAAGGCAATTGCCTACTTTGCCTGTTGGTGAAGTTGCCTCTGTTACTTGCTTTAGAGCAAATCCTATTTCTTAGTCTAACCTTATTCTTAAGTAGCATGAAGGCTCAGTAACTGGTTTCCAGGCTCCTCTGCTGAAATCACTGATGTCAGAAAGCTTTAGTCTTAATTTCATGTCTGTTTATATGTACATTTTCACACTAAGTCTTTTTGGAAACTAAAAGCATATTCTGGTGTGTTTTTAGAAACAAATAAGAGAAGCCCAAATTTAAAGCAATTTTTATCATCTTTGAGTTACCCTCTAGAGTACACTGGTTATGTTGGAGCAATTATGTCCTTATGCTTAAATAAGAATACTATGATATATATTTAATGGTCTTTTTAAAACTTTCTTCTCTAATTATTTAAATTATAATAACAGAAACATGATAATGTTTCATAAGTGAGGAAACTGAGTTGAAAACACCCAATCCCTATAGTGAAGTGGTGGAAGGGGGGTCTAGTCTAAGATGTGTATCCCTTATCCAAGGGCTCTTTCAATCACCCTATTTCCTCTCAGTAAAAAGGCATCTATCTAAAATCCTCCATTCTTTAGTCACCTCAACCTGCTAGCTTCTGCTGAGTGCCACTGCCACTTCATGGCTACTCAATGAATTTGCTTAACTAGCTAGTTAACTGAGATATGTTAGAGTATATGATGAAACAAACACATAAATACATATATCATATTTTGTAAAAAATAATAGAACATATGAATTCTCTCCTAAAGTTGCTTAGTTAGGTATAAGATAAATAAGAAATAACTAGAGAATATATGTAATTGTAAGATGAGGTTACATCATCAGCTGAATGAACATGCACTCTGCTCAATTCATGTCCAGGTTAGCCTTGTTCTGTGAGTTTATCTTTCACCCAATATCCTTTACCACCTATTCTGAGAGAGCTACTATATTTGGAATAAAGGTGACCAAAAGACCCTTTGGGAACAAGATAGGATACAGCCAACTAATTACACAAAAATAATAAAGTGGATAAAGACACATCTATGACTGCAATTCAGGATATTTTCTTTATTTATAATAAAATGTGAGGAACATTTTTATTACCCTCTGCATAAATTTAAAATTCTTTTCTTCAATGACCCTAAAGTTTTTGATTAGTAATCCTTGGAAACACTGAATAATTATTAAGGGACATATCCATGGATACACATGTCTTTGGGTATATAAATGTTCAGTGTAAATAAAAGCAAAATGGTTTTGTTACTTGGATAATCATTATGGCTAATTCTAGGTATCAAAGTGAACAAACACTGTTGTGGAAGTTAATTGCTCATCAATTAAGGACATCTTACAGTTTGCTTTGTTTTTCTTCCCCTTTGTTTTTATTTGATTAAGAGGCTAAAGAACTTTGAAAATTTTCCCTCCTACTCCTGTTGTTTTTCTTGAAAATTTTGGCATCTACTTAATAATCTATTAATCTAGTATCCACTGATAATCTGTGGAATACCCTAGTCTCTCATTTCTTTGACCTCCCCAGCATCAGTAATCTTTCCTCTAGCCATCTTCTCCCAAGGTCTTATCCTTGACCTTGTCATTTGGAAGACCTTGTCAGCAGGTCAATCCCAATTTCAAATGTCCTTCTTTTTGAACATTAACTTTGGCTCATTTCACTAATTCCCTGACCATATCAAGACCTCCAACTAATTCATTAATACTGCCATTTTTTTTTTTTTTTTTGGTACTTAGACTAGATTCCATGGTCCAATGACTATAATCATTTATTTGCAAACATTTAACTCATTTAACCTTTTTTTCCCTCCAATGACTCACTTGGCTAACTTCCAACTCGGGTTAAATCCAATTATCTCCTCCTCTCTATATGCTTCTGTGGCTTTGAATGCTGCTAGACACAAGTCACACAAATTGTAACCTGGTCTCCTTTTAAAGGAATGACCATGAATCTCAAAGGAGGTTGCATATTTGAGCGCTGTCAAACACTACAACTATTTTTTACTAATGAGTCCACGTTGTTCTCATTTATTGGTTTTAATCTAATTGTCGTAAACTGCCAACTCCTTGGGAAAAAGGGTTATCTCACTTACATGTGGGGATGAGCTCACATGAGAGGAGCTGAAGAGATGCCAACTTAACAAGACTGCTTTTTGCCACATGTGTGTTAATACTTTACATTTACAACACACTTTACATATCTTAAAGAACCTACTATGAACCATTGGATTGTCCGGAAAAATTATCTTCACACTAGGAATAGTAAAAAACTCAAAATGTTGGTAAGTCAGAAATCAGTGCTTTAAATTTTACATCTCTATCATCCATCTATCCACCTCCAATATGTGCCTGGCTTCTAAAAGCTTATTCTTTGTAAATCTTAAAATATAAGATGAGTTATAACTGCCTATTCCCTTATCTGCTCTGGATACTTTGCTTCTAACAACTCTACCTGAGACTCTCTTCAGATGACTGCACTTGAGCTACTAGACTGCTTTACCCCAAAGACTGAAAAAACCAGGAGTGTCTGGGAGTCCCCCGTCCTCCTCAGCTCCCCATCACCCTGATCCACAGGCAATGGTGAGTGCAGGGAATGAGAAATCAGCCCCTTGACTCAAGTAGAAACTCCCCTTCCATATCAAGCTGAGGCCTGGATTCCACTTGAAATTACACTTTCCTTTGTCCTCTGTTGATACCTTGTTTTGCTTCCCCAATTCATCTGCTTTCTGTTGGAAATGCTTCCTCACAAATATATCACTATCATGTGAATCGTCCTCTCAGGGTTTGCTTCTGGGAGCTGGATCTAAGGCAGCTGTCAACTGTGTCCCTGCATTCCTACTCATGCAGGACAGGTGAGCCCCAAAATGGGTCTCAGCCCACAAGGGTTCTTGGCTTTGCTCAGGAAAGAATTCAAGGGCAAGCCAGAGGTGGAAGAAAACAGCTTTATTTTGAAGCTGCAGCGTTACAGCTCTGGTGGCCTTACGGCTCCGTGACTGCTCCTGCCAGGCAGGACTACCTCACAGGCAGAGAGGAGAAGCTCAGGGCAGTTTTGCAGTTATATTCATACTTAACTTTAATCACATGTACATTAAGAGGTGGTGTATGCAGAACTTTCTAGGGAAGGAGTAATAACTTTTGAGTCCTTGGGTCATTGCCATGGAATGGGACAGTAACTCCTGGTTGTTGCCATGTCAATGGTAAACTAACATGGCACCCTGGTGGGCGTGTTTATGGAAGGCATCTTCTGCCTCATCCCTGTTTTATCTAGTCCTCAATTTGATCTGGTGTTGGAGCCCGACTCCAGAGTCAAGTCTCGCCTCCTACCTCATTACCTTAGCTCAGGCCAGACATCATTGCTTTGAACTTGGACCATGGCAATGGTCAGTCTCTTTGCTGCTGATCTCCCTCTCTTCATTTCCACTCTCTTCACATCCTTCTACATATTCCTGGCAGACTAACTGTCCTGAAACTCTGCTTTCATCCTATAACATACTTGTTCAAAAACCTCCAATAACTCTCCATTGCCTGTATCAATGACTTCGAAATATACTTTAAAAGATAGATTTTTATTCTAATTTTTTAAAAATAGATAAAACTTCAAGCTACTCCTTGAAATACTAGGTCCATATGTTAAAATCCAGTTTTCTCCTCTTGACCTTCAGTCCCTTAATATTCCAATGCTAAATTCTCCATTCACCCCCATCTTCAGGACTCCCCAATATGAACTCCACTCCTACCAAATGCACTTCTTTGTCCCTCCTACTAAGCTAATCTTGTAAGATTTAATTCCAGTTCCACTCTCTCTGCAAAACTTTTCTTACCTTGTTGCCAGGATAGCCCATATTGAGCTTCCCCTTCTTGGAACTCTGAAACAAACTTGTCTGTGAGTATTGCATTCTTCTCAACTGTTTGAGTGCACACTATATCTTCCCAAGTACATCCTAACTTTAGAGGGACAGGCAGGGGTAAAGAGTATGGACTATGTCATGGCTTTTGATATTCTCTTATCCTTCACTGCTGTTTTGCTTTGCTCACAGCTGACCCTAAGACATTCTTACTAGATGACTGTAACATTTCGCATAAGCAAATGGAAAACCGAGATAGCAGGGAAATAATGATAAGCAGAAAAAGAGAGATACAACGAAGTCTGGGAAATGTGAAGAGGGAGCAGTGGAAAAACTCAAGTCTCAGGGAAATGACATTCAATGTAGTTCCCTGGCTGATACCGGGGTGCTTGTTTTCTTAGGAACCAGAAAGAGTAAGGTGTGCTGTGAGTCTTCCCCAGAAAAGGGTACCATTTATTAAAAATAATGGCAAAACCGCAATTACTTTGGCACTAACCTAGTGTTAATTTTCATTACAGACAAGGGTCAAATCACAAACAAACAAATGTAATGTTGTGCTGAATATTGGTGAGATTCAATTCAACAGAGATAGTTCCCATTTCACCTTAGCTTATAATTTAAGGCTAATAAAACAAGCATAATGTAAATGTATGTAGCAGAATCAAATAAAGTATGAGAATTAAATAGCAAGTTAAAAAGTGAGCCAAGTGATGAACATCGTGAGGAAGCAAGAGGAGAGAAAATCACAAGCATATTTATTCTCTCCCACGTGAAAATCCTCAAGGAGGAAGGAGGATTCAGCTTCCTGAATCTGAAAGCCAGCTCAAAAATAGCCAAGAGATTATGAAAGTACTATGGAAGGAAACAAAGTGGCCCTCAGCCTGGAAAATATGTCAAAGATGATAATTAAAGGAGTTTAAGTCATCCTAGAAATTGAGAGGAAAAAGGAAAAAAAAAACCAGTAATCCTAATATTTGACTTGAAGTAGCCAATTACGTTGGGATGATACAAAAGTCAGATGGTGGAAGTTGGATAGAGAGCTGATGACAACAAATCATGGAGGTGGAAATATCCTAGGCATTTTGATGAATAGAAATGGGTATGCAGGGATGACAGCTAAAAAGGTGCAACCGGGTTAAATGTGGACATTCTTTCCCAGAGATTGTAAAGAGCAGTTTGTGGTATCAGTAAAAGAGTAGATGAATATAGAAAGAACAGTTTCTTATAATATCACGGGGGATAAGGAGTCACATGCAGAAGGAAAATTCCTTTTCAGAGACAACTGGAAAGGATACATTTACCTCCTGGGGAGATGTGGTTTAAACCTCTTGATTAAGTAGAACAAAATAAATAGATGGGTAGATAATTACAATCCAAGGCCAAAGAGACCTAAAGGCTGATTCAGGCTATGGCATACATCAGGTACACAATTGGCTATGAATTTTGTTACATGAACAAGAGGTTTGTAACACTTATTAGAACATTCCACTTAAATATGAGATTTACAATCATATTTTCTGGTAAGCCCCCACACAAATATCCACTCACTTTTTTTTTTTTGGGAATACTAGCATCCCTTTGTATGTTACTAAGTTTGATTTAAAAAAGAATTCTATGGTCAAATAATCTTGGAAAACAATGAGTAAAATAAAGTTAAATATATATCTTTACGGCAGACTCCTCCCCATCTCTACCTTTCTCCTATCACTATGAAAACTGTCACAAATTGCAAATGGTGCAAAAGAGTAAGGTTTTCTCTTACTCCTATCCCTACTTGTTCTATTTAGACTTATAAGCAAATTCTTTTGAAAGTTTTCTCAGAGTCTTTAAAAACATGCATTGTGGATTACTAATTGGAAGACCTGGTATATTTTATTCTTATTTAAAGTAATATTTTTTTGTGAGGATCATATTCAACACCTCAGACTGGGAAACAATGTTCTACAACAGTAAGACTTACTTACTTGTCAAGATCAACTAATTGTTCTGTGTTTTAAATTCACCTTCATTATATTTATGACATACCATCATGCATTGTAGCTGTCCCAATATATTATTTTACCTCATTTCTAAATTGGAAGATTTTAGAATCAGGAACAACATTTCAGTGATTTTTTTTATTGCTCTTGACACCTAGCATAATACTTGATCGTCCAGACACTTTATAAATATCTGCTCAATTAAAGCAAATTAATTATCCAATGACTTCATTTCTTTTGGGTGCAGAGAAGAAAGAGGGAGAAAAGTGAGTGTGTGAACATGAAAGGAAGGACACTATCAGAAAACACTGAAAGGAGGGCCTTTTGGATTAGTCTCTTATGAAACTGAAAGTCATGTTTAAGATTTTAACAACTATCTTAAATGATAAGAGTGTTTAAGAAAAAGAAGTATCTAAAGTAGCTATGTTTCTGCTACAGCTTGAATATGGTTTGTCCCCACCGAGACACCAAAACTCATGTTGATGCTTGGTCTCCAATGGAGTGGTGTTGGGAGGTGGTGCCTTTAAGAGGCAAAAAGAGGAGTCAAGAGGGACTTTATCACAGGAGTGAGTTCTCACTCTTGTGGGGCTGGATTAGTTACTACAAGAGAACAGGTTGTTACAAAGCGAGGCTGCCTCTTGTGTTTGGTCTTTTTGCACGTGGCTGCTTCCATTCCTGTTTCTCCACCATGTTATGACCCAAGCGCAAGGCCCTCACCAGAAGCTGAACAGCTGCAGCCACCCTATCTTGGCCCTCCCAGCCTCCAGAATCATGAGCTAAATAATCCACCTTTTTTTTTTTTCAAATTGTCTAGTCTTGGGTATTTTGTTATAGCAACAGAAACTCAACTAGGATAAGTATATTTAGTCAAAGAGTTATGAAGGAATGGAGTTATCTATTAATTAATAATTATATTATTATCTTCTATATCTATCTTGTTAAGTCAGGGTTACACCAGCACCCAAATTTTAATGCCCAGCATAAGCTAAGTTTCTGGGCTTTCATTCAATAACTAATATTACCAAGTCAATTGTTCCTTTACAGAAGTAATGACAAGGTGAAACAATGAGGTGTTTTTGTGTGTTCCTGTAAGATGCACAATTGCCTAATATGAAAAGAGCTCAGGCTTTATGTCTGGCCAATGTATATTTCCTTTTATCAAACTATGGTACAAAGCCCTACCCTACAACATGCTTCCAGTGTGACTAAGTCAGGATATAAATGTAGTGATAATACAGGATACAATCCCAGTTAACTGTTAGCACAAACCATTCTGAAGCTATGTTAGCAGAGGCTAGGTTTAACATTTTGTCATTATAAAGAGGGATATAAATGGGACTGATTTACAGGTAGATGATTATTTCCTAAGGAAACAAGTGTTCAGAAACATAATAAAGTTGATACATAATAGATACAGGTTCTAGAAAAAGGGTATCTTTATCTGGACTCTTGCTTCATGGAAGATGCTACAATGAAAGTGACGTAGGCTCAAAAATGCAAAGATAGGAGAGGTTAAAACAAAGTTAATTCACTGTGTTTGTGGAGAAGGGCAAGGGCTATAGGAGAAATTAGGGCTGAGGGGAATAGGGCTAGGTGGGTAAACACCTGCAAAGAAAAGACTGAAATACAATGTAAAGGGTTGTCCAGGGGAATCCCCCACAAGCAAGTACCTTCCAGCTCAGTGGATCAATATGACTTTATGAAGCAAAGTAAGGGAAAGAGGTCACTAAAAACAACGATTTTATACATGAGAAGGTGAAAATTCAAAAACTCCCATTTTTTCAACATAAATGGCTCATGTCATGTGCTAGGAAACATAAAACCCTAGACTATCTTCCATAAATGAAAAGACTAAGGCACAATTCTGTCGTCATGTAATTCAGTCTACTAGAAGAGACAGACCCAAAAAACAAAGAGCAATGCTACTGAGTGATAAGAGCAGTAAGGAAATGTGCTCTCACGGTTGCAGCTGCTATGGGAACATAGGAGAGGAAGGCATTTTTCTCAAGAACAGTGGGTAGGATAATCATAGAAAATTACAGAGAAAGTGACATTTGAAATTCTCCTAGAATACAGCGCTTGAGATGGAGCAGGGAATCACAGGAAAAGCAAGTAACAAGAGCACAGCACTTCATGAACAAGGAAGGCAAGGGCCCAGGAATGGCTGAAGGGTAAGCTACTCGGGAGCCTGAGGCAGGAGAATAGCTTGAACCCGGGAGGCGGAGGTTGCAGTGAGCTGAGATCGGAGCAAAACTCCATCTCCTCCACCCACAAAAAAAAAAAAAAAAAATTGACTGAGGCGGGTGTAAGGGGAAGCAGGATGCATGAGAAATGGCTGGGCCAGGTGGTCAGATGCCAGTTAGTCCACTAGAGAGCTTGGATATTATTTAGCAGGCAACAAGAAGAGTTATTTGTTTCTTTTTTGTTTGTTATTAGGGAAATGTTCTGAACTCACTTCGGAATGATTATTCTAGTGCCTGATGGCTGGAGGGGTGGGAGAATGGAGACTAGAGGCTAGTGAGAGAGAAGATTCACCCCATTCCCTACCCCACATTCGGAAACTGTAAGCAGACTGACAAAGGTATGGCTGCATGTCTCCCTCAGGCTTCTTTTCAGACCTACAAACAATGAATCAGGCCCCAGATTTAAGGCTTCTAGGGAAATGGCCATAAAATCAGCAGTAAAAAGAAAGATAAATAATATTCCTAAAATTTAATTAATTTCTCTGTTTCATTTTGCTTGGTTTAATGCTATGCTACACTTTTGATGTGAACAATCTAGACATTGTTCCGTTAGTATATTTCACTTTTATATCAAGCCTCACAATTTACTGGTTTTATTTAGGGTAATGCACACTTATTTGACATATTTATATTATCTTCATTTATTATTAAAAGCAATGTTATGTTTAGGTATTGAGGATCAATAAGACCTCCATAATGTTTACACCATCATATCTTTAATGGCAAGCTCAGAGTGTTTCAGGTTTGTTTTTATAGGTGATTTTTAAAAGGCAATTTTATAGCCTTTACTCTGTCTTGGGTAAAAAATTGGTTGACAAAAATTCCTTGACTATGCTTGCAAAAGTCTTAATTGGGCCACACAGAAACATAGAATGGATTTTGAGTAACTCTTTAGAGTGAATGTTTCCATCGTTGTGTTGTATTTCCCTAATGTATACTAAATTGTCACATGGAAAACTTAATGTAAGTTTCCTTCCTTCCTTCCCCCTTTCCTTTTCTTTTTTTTTATTTTTGTTTTTTGGAGGTAACAGTTACTTTGGGAAATATTCCATATCTTTGACTCTGCCTTTTATTGCTTGCAATTACTAAATGACAAATCTATGACTGCAGAGAATAGGAATCATATTCAATCTATATCTATTGTACCAAATGTGTAACTAATCAATACAGCAAACAAAAATACAGGAGGTGTAATTAGAATATAACCTTTATTTGTGGCCCACCAGTCCTTCAAAATTTATTTAAAGTGAAGTATTTTGCTATCCCTAGATGGAAAGATAAATATCTTATGACTTTTTTTTATTCTTAGTTTTAAAATGTCTGTTAATTTAAAAAGTTATATATTTTAATTTAGGCTGTACCAAATGAAATTGCTGTATTTGTAGGTTGGGAAAAAAAAGATCAAACAGCAATACTTTCATATGGTTCTGTCTAAATTAAAACCAACAAGGCGAAACATCAAAGCGCATTTGTAGTTAAATCTTCTCTCCTACTTCTACTAAGGGCTTACACGAGGTAAGAAGCCTGTAGTTGAGAAAGATGCATGACTGGCTTTTATTTGTTTTCCTACTTGTTTTCACTTAGAGTGCTAACTGTGATTTCTGACCTTCCAGGGACAGAGGTAGGGAAGATAAATAAGGATAGAGAAATTATTACTGCATTGGTATTATCCTAAGATGAATCAGGTCCTAATAGGTATGTACAAGTTTTTCAAGGGTTCTTTGGAGAACTCCCTTCATTGAGATATCTCACCTACACCCTTGCCCTGAGTGAATGCATCCCACTGCCTCAGTTCCTAAGAATTACAGAGATCTTCTGCATTCTCTGCAGAGGCAGCCACTCACTTCCAGTAATCCCTAAGGACAGGCCCTGACATGACCTCACACTGGCTCTTGCTTTTGAGTACCCATGCCAATCCTGGGAAAACACATGCATTCTAACAATCTCTGGGGATGCAGGCTGACTCCAGTGCAGTGACCTCTGCTCCGACTTCCCTGTCAGCAGCTAGACATAACAGCTGCTGTCATGCTCTGACAATTCAGACAGGAGTTAGGCATTAGTCAATCAACTATGTGTCCCAACTCCAGTATACACATACTAAGATGTGTATGACCCCACTGAAGCCTTTCTGAGTAGGCTCTTTCTACAGAGAAATCCTCTCTACAAATCTTACAACTACATTCATAGTCTTTTAGAAATTTGGTATGGATGAGGAGTCTAAAAGTTCTCTGTCCAGCTCTTAGCTTTCTATCTTTTGCACCCTCCTCTGGGTAATCTTTCTCACAATTCATTTTTACATCTGTTCCTTTCAGAAACAGAGATAGAATACATAAAGGGGAGAATAAATTCCAGAAGTTAATTCTGCCAATCATAGGGTGGAATTGAATGCTTTCATTAAAAGAAACAAATAAAACTAAAAACAAACAAACAAACAAATCAAATGGATTTAAATTACATTAGCAACCAATCAAGAAAAAGAATTGATTGTCAAGTAAACAGTTTTTGGAAAGAATTACTGTAAGACTACATGAAAGATAAGCATGCTTTTCAGCACATATTTTCTTTGAAAAGGAAATGTCTTTCCAAATTTTCTATGACAGGATTTCTTTTCTGAATCCACTGAAAGATGATCAAACTTTAAAAAGAGTTCACATGCATTATACTTAAAACCCTATTAAATGTTATTTAGCAAAAGCAATGGCTTGGTAAATATGTCCTTTCCAATCTCTTCATTTTAGAGAATTATTTATGAATTTAGTCACTGATAAAACATAAGCCAAAATAGAAAAAAAAAGATTAGAAAAGACTGAATACTAGAGAATAAAGTATAAAGTAATATACTTAAAATAATTTTTAAAATACCAGTTATAGAAAAAAGACTCATTAAATGTCCAATAATCAGAGAAAAATACAAAACTGGACTCAATATGATACAAACATTTACTCAACAAGTGCTCATTGAGGACTTACTGTGCCACAGTAAACCACTGGGCTGGCCACTGACGAAGATAAGAAGATGATGCAGACTTTGCTCTTGAGGTGCCTATTATCTACAGTATGCAGCAAACACAGATAGACAGACACACACTCACGCACACTAATATAATAATTATGCCTTAGTCCAGTGTTTCTCAAACTTTAATCTGTTTAAGAATCATATGGGGCCAGGCACAGTGGCTCAAGCCTGTAATCCCAGCACCTTGGGAGGCCGAGGCAGGCGGATCATCTGTGGTCGGGAGTTCAAGACCAGCCTGGCCAACATGGCGAAACCCTATCTCTACTAAAAATACAAAAATTAGTTGGGCATGGTAGCACATGCCTGTAATCCCAGCTACTCAGAAGGCTGAGGCACGAGAATTGCTTGAACCCAGAAGGTGGAGGCTGCAGTGAGCCAAGATCGTACCATTGCACTCCAGCCTGGGTAGCAAGAGTGAAACTCCTTGTCAAAAAAACAAACAAACAGAAAAGAATCATATGGGTTGCTTATATATAATGCAGGCTTATAGCCCCACCCTCAGAGATTCTGATTTTGAAAATCTGGGGTATAGTTCAAGCATCCCAGTGATTTGGAAGCAGAAATTCCATGAGCCATAATTGGAGAAACATGGCATTAGACAGAAGCACCATTAAGGCATCACCCTTGTCTGTCATCTTCCCCACTATTACCCAAGCTATAGCATAGAGCTTGGAACATAGTAAGCCCTTAGTACATACATCTGAATAAATGAATGAATGTATATGGTTAAGCTCCACAATCAATGATGAAAGCAAGATGTGACATAAAAATTCAGAAATATAATCAGCTTCTCTCTTTAAAAATCAGGTTCCCTTGGGTGAAGTCAGAAGATAATGTAAACGACACTGTGCAGGGTGCTTCATTCAGAAATATTCTTCTCTGTGGATTGAGGTCCTGGATCTTGGTAAATGTAACTGAACTCTTCTGCTGCAGGGTAAGTTCATTTTCCTCCCATTCACTGGTAGCATCTGGACCCCAAGGGCCCTCCTGAATTTGTCTGAATAGAGCCATTGTTCCCTCCAGAAAATACATATAACTTCATGTTGCCCACTCTGGCAGGCTAGAATTCCTCTGGTGGACAGGCAGAATAGCTCCTCTTTTAGGACTCTCAACACAGAAATGTAAATTAATTATAGTTCTAACTGAAAAACATCGAAATTGCAGAAGAATAGCTTGAGCATATAAGCAATTGACTGTTATTTATTTCTTTACAAAATGGAGTCACTGGCATAGATCTTCACAGAAGCTGTAATTATTGTTCTAAAAGAGCCGTATGGATTTTCTTTCTAAAGTTGTGGACCAACTTCAGACATGTCACAGCTGCACTAATTTTCACAAATAGCTACAAATAAATTAATTTTTAAGAGTAATATACATAAGTGAATTTAAAGGTAAAATAAAATATTTAGATGGCTGTATAATAAATTGTAAAAAATATTTCAAGCATGTTATTAGCTTTGGAAGGAAAAAGTTAGGTAAGAAGATCAAATGGGATGGACAAAACAAGAAGAAGGAAAGAAAGCACATCATGGGCAAAAGTGGAGAAAGCGGGAACACAAGCCATTTCATTTAAGGTATTAGTCCAGGCAGTGAGTCATTGCCAAGCCTAGCACGGTTTCAGCCAAGAGGCTGCCTGAGGAAGGATGAGGACAGTCATCCTCATGAAATAGAAAAGGATTGAAATCTACTATTCAGGGGCATTAGATGGTACTGGCTCTGAAGCTTCTCTAGAAGTAGAGCCCTCAGAAAGAAAAAAAACAACAGCAAACTGGGCTACAATTAGAGAGCTGTGTGTGTTCTAATCTGCCATCAGCAAGCAGAAAGACCTTAAACAAATCAGTTAGCCTCTCGTGTCTCCTTCATAAATTGAGGTTGGGGGCCAAATGACCTTTAAGATTCTTTCCAGCTTTAATCTTATGACTCTATGCTATCTTATTGGCCAAGGAGAGAAGGGATAGGGGAAGCGAGGAAAGGAGGAAGGAAGAGTGGTCTCAGAAGGGAAAAAAGGAGGTCCATGAGGAACAGGTGCCAGAAGGAAGAGCAAGTCACATCCTGGAGTTGGTCTGTTAAGATGCAGGCTGCCCTGTACCCTGTAGCAAGACGGGATAAAAAGGTCCCCTACCATCCACTAGTAATTTCACTTGAGAAGGTCAATTGCAAATAAGTCACTTCCAGGGAAAATTACATTTTGTGATACGTAAAAGCCCATTTCATTTTTAATGATTTTACACTGATTTCAACAAGTTCTCTATTGTCCAGCAGGATATTTATAACCTTACCCTTCCACTCACTCTCTACAGAGACCTATTCAGCCTTGGAATGCAGCAATACATTTCACTTTGAAGTTTGAGTTCAACTTTGAAATTTTCAACCACCATCCTTTTAGAAAATTATATATACATAGATATCAAAATATTAAGAGAGACATAAATATACACAGACACATGAAGACACATGTATGTATATATATGTGCACATATTATGTTCCAAATTTAATGTAGGTGTGGCAAACATTAACGCAGTCAGTCTGCTTTTTCAGTGCCTCAGAAACTTCTCCCAAAGTAAAGTCCTCAGAAAAAAAAAAAAAAAAGGAAGATCACTGTATTGATTGCAGTACTATAATCTTAAAGTCTCCTATGCTCTCTACAGCCTCCAAACCACACAACAATCTTTTAGGCTCTGATTCTAGGGCTAATTCCTGACCTGAGGCATTGACTTCATTTTGACATTTTATTTGCCTGTTATCCATTATGTCTGCCCTGTATTTTAATATATATGCCCATATGAGTTTAATAAACATTAAATCAGTCAAATGTATTTAATTAAATGTAATTAAATTAAACTCAGTATCTAAAGTGGAAAAGCTGTGTGAGAAGTTCCACTTCATTTAGTGGCAATAAAGGAGATGTGTTTAGAAATAGATATTAATTGGGGGGATAAACAAACAACTATTTGATTTTATGCAGAGATAGCCAGGGGCATTTTCTTTTAACTTAGGGAAAAGAAATTATTAACAGAAAGGACAACAGGCTTTAAGTAGTATCCTCTGGTCAGTTACTAACTTATTTGTATAATATGAGAGGAGAGATTATAATGTGATGGGTTGTTTGGGATGTCAGATTAGTTTTTACAAACTCTGACACCCGGCTCTGACATTACCAAAAGTGGCTATATCCATTTTAAGTAAAAATTAAACTATGAGTTTATAGAACTCTATAGGAGTTATTTTTCAAGTGCATTAAAAATGGCAGCTTTCATAATATTTTCTGTTTAGAAAATAACACAGCCTAGGTTGGGCACAGTGGCTCACGCCTGTAATACCAATGCTTTGAGAGGCAGAGACAGGTGTATCAACCAGAGGCTAGGAGTTTGAGACCAGCCTGGCCAACATGATGAAACCCCATCTCTATTACAAATTTAAAAAATTAGCCAGGTGTGATGGCGCATGCCTGTAATTCCAGCTTCTGGAGAGGCTGAGAAATATGAATTGCTTGAGCCTGGGAGGTGAAGGTTGCAGTGAGCTGAGATTGCACCACTGCACTCCAGCCTGGGCAACAGAGTGAGACTCTGTCTAAAAAAGAAAAAGAAAAAAGAAAAAAGAAAAAAATAGAAAATAACACAGCTTAAAGTAATGTCCTTTTTATCAGAAATAAGAACAGGAAATGGATATAAAATTCATTCTCAACTTTAGTTTTATTGATTAATTTGCTTTCAGAATATTTGGTTTTATTAAAAATTTGTGCATTTTTATCTTTAGAACAACAGAAATCAAAACACAAAGTCACATACCTGTGTCTGTTTAGGACCAATATCCATTCTTTCAAGAAGGTCATTTAAAAAAGCTGTAACACTGTCCCATGGGTAAATACTGTTGGAACCATCCAGCACTATGACTATGTCCAGTTGAGTGCTGCATTCTGCAATAAAAGGAGTCAATTGTCAAATTTGGAATCTATTTTTTTCAGAGGCATATGAAGTGCTTTCATGGCTGAAAGAAGTTCATTTTAAAAGATGAACTGATGTTCTCCAAAGTAGACACATTGTTTTAGCAATAAAAAATAGTTTTCGAAAAAGTAAAGATGATAAAAATATTCATTGCTTTCAATAACAATTGGTGTGGGATAAAATTCATACCTACTGAATTTTAATTAGTATTGTATGAGAGTTATCTTTGCAAATTTTCTCAATATGAATTTTATATAAGTTTTTATAAAACAGTTTTTGAGCATATCTCAAATGAAGTTACTTCTTTCTTCAAAGAGACTCATTCTTTAAATATAAGCAGCATGACAGCTTTATCTATGATGTTTAAAAATGACTTTGTAAAGTTATTTACACTAATATCAATTCCAAAAATAGCAGTCAGATTTTGTTATATACTGGCAAAGCAAACATTTACCTAAATTGGTAATGCTGGTAGCTAAGAAAATACTTTAAGCTTTTTGGTATGTTCCTTTGTATACATACGTCTCATTCATTGCATAGGCTTTTCAAACATGCAAGAACATTGCATAAAATCTGTACCTTGTACAGGGGCAATGGAATTCACGACTTGAAATGTGGGGCTGACGTCAGAACAGATTCCAGTTGTGTAATGCAAATGTCCACATCTATAGGCATATAAGGGCCCACAAGCCTTTAAAAAATTGTTTTAAAATTAGAAATCATTAGACTGAAAATTATATAACAGATCTTACAAAGACTTAAAATGATAGCATATCTGTTGTCAATAAATATCATTCTCTCCATTCTTACCAGAAATCCTCCATTTGGGTTGGTGACTAAAGTTGATCCAAATGTCATGTTCTCCTTTACTTCTGTGACATTGGGAATTGATGTATTAACTAAAAATAGAACAAAATTTTATGAGGGAGGAAAAGTTTCACAAAGTGAAATTTTAAGCATCTCTCATTAAGACATTCTATTTGTTTTGCTCATATCATAGCACATTCTTCTTTTGGTTCAACTAATTAGTCTTCCAAGTCTTCTTAAGGAATATAATGAACAAGCTAAGGCTGAAGAGTTGGCTCATGTCCCAGAAACTATTTCAGATAGTTTTGCTGAACTGTGAAAGAATGCAGAACTAGCAGGGCAATGAGAATGTGGGATTGCTTTTTGCACGTTCTTGCTAATTAAAGCAAAGTTTTTAATCTCATAATACTGTAGATATAATGTAATCTTATAACTTTGTTATAAATGACCAGTGATGAAACACGATTTTTGGCAAGAAAAGGGGAAATGGGTAGAAGATCAGAAAAGAAAACTCAAACACCAGTTTTTTGACCATGACTTCCAAAATCATGAGGACATCCTTTGGGTGACAAAGGAAACTAGAGGAATATTAGAGCAGTGTCCAGAAAGTTTTGATAAAGGAAACACAGTAAAGAGACTGCATTTGACATTCTGAAGGGAATGTTGGGTCCTGAAGCATGAAGCATGCCAGCCTAACAATATTGGCAAGAAGTTTCACTTTCTCACACTAAAAAAGAAAAAAAGACTGGACAGGAAAAACAAGAACTTCTAAATCTGCTTAGTAGAGTGGAATATTAGAAAGAGGCAAAATTCAGGTTGAGAAAGATTTGTCTCACTGTTTGTTCCAGAGGTTGTTTTCATGTTAAGACTGTATGTGGATTTAAAGTGGGGAATGGAAGCAGAGATTCTGGAATGGTCAGTTAGACTTCCTGATCTGCGCAATGGCCTTTGTCCAAGAGTTTAGTCTGGTTTGCTTTGAAAGCACCTAGAGCTGGGCGATTGTATGCATTGATCTTGTATAATCTGGATTAGAGTTTTATATACAAAGCTTGACCCAGAAAAAGCATTCCTGGGACAATTAGGGACTACAGTGGAAACTTCCCTACTGTACTTGATGTGGCTAAAATCTCTAGCCTAATTTTAAAACTATTCCAATTTCCAGTAAGGGAGGAGTAACTCCTAACAAAACAGCTCCTCTGCAAATCACAACTATAAATTCTAGGAAGAATTAAAAAAAATACATGAAACAATCACCTGAAGGCACTAGAAAGGTGGCAGAAAATGGAGGGGAATCCATACTTGGAAGAAGATACTGGCACTAAATGAGTTTTGTGCTTTTGTGTTTTGTTTTGTTTTTGTCCCCCACCCCTAACCCACCCCCAACCTAGGGAAGGCCCTGGTCAGTGGCTAAAACTCAAATAGAACTCCTAGTCTTACTGTACTGAATAAAAAGAGAACAGAGATTGAGGGCAATGACAGCAGCTGCAAAATGAGGAGGAGAGTAGTATATCTTAGAAAAAGAGCCACAAAACAACAGTTCTATAATATGCATATATATTTTATCCAAATAACTAGATGACTTGAATAGTAAATGCGCAGAGTATATTTCAAATAGCCCAGCTGAAATAAAACCTGAATAGAGATTTTAACTACTTGTCATTGCAAGAAAGTCAATGCTTGGAAATTGAGTTGAGCCAAGTAAATTTCCTGCTAATAAAAAAAGTTAAGACTATTCACAGGCATATAACAGAATCTAGAATCTCCACACCTGTAATTCAAAAATATAATCCAGGTTATGATCCAAAATTACAAGACAAGACAGGAAAATGTGATGCAACCTCAAGGAAAGGTAATAAATGGAAAGTGATGTTGAGATATTCCAGATGTTGGAATTATCAGGCAAGGATATTAAAGCAGCTATTATAAGTATGCTTATGCATGTAAAGAAAAAAAGTTCATAAAAACAAACAAATAGAAAATTCAAAAAAAGGAGAACTGAAAAATACAATATGTGAAATAAACTTGTGGGGCTATAAATAATTTCCATAGTATGTAATATTGTATAGAACATTGACAGGGTTCTAATTTCTAGATAATTTTAGTAGGAATTTTCCGGTCACATTCCTACTATTTATGTCAAATACATCTATTTCAATATAAATTTATCTTGTGTGATTCTATTTTTAAAATTAAATTTATCTATTACAATTCCTCTGATTCTATTTCCTCTTGAAAACCAGGCACTAAGTTAAATTTTGTGGAGGGAATGTGGTGGGCAGGTTTATTTGGAGAAGTTCTTTCACATTACCACTGAATTAGAAAGAATTCTGAAAAATGCAGAGAGTTAAAAGTTATAAAATTAGTACGGTATTCTAATTTATGTATGCTCCTTGATGACTTTCTAAAGCAAATTAAGGACAGAGGGAATCAAAATGGCATTCTATGTCAATCTGGAAGATAAATGATTATAGAAAAATGATTATAGATTATAAATGATTATATGAAAAATGATTATAGATTACTTCTTGAACTCAGCGCCTTAGACCGCTCGACCATTCTGACACACAGATTACTTCTAATATTTTCTTGAGTTGATTAAAATCTGTTTTTTTTCTTTTCTTTTTTTTTTTTTTTTTGAGATGGAGTTTTGCTCTTGTTCCTCAGGCTGGAGTGCAATGGCGTGATGTTGCCTTAACACAACCTCTGCCTCCCAGGTTCAAGCAGGTCTCCTGCCTCAGCCTCCTAAGTAGCTGGGATTACAGGCATGTACCACTATGCCCAGCTTAATTTTGTATTTTTAGTAGAGGCAGGGTTTCTCCATGTTGGTCAGGCTGGTCTCGAACTCCCGACCTCAGGTGATCCGCCTGCCTCGGCCTCCCAAAGTGCTGGGATTACAGGTGTGAGACACTGCGCCCAGCCCAAAATCTGTTTTCAGTGAGAATACTGGGCATAATTTAAGACCTGATTTTTTTTTTTTTTTTTTTTGAGACAGGGTCTCACTCTGTCACCCAGGCTGGAGTGCAGTGGCGCAATTACCATTCACTGCAGTCTCAAACTCCTGAGCTCAAGCGATCCTCACACTTCATCCTCTTGAGTAGCTGGGACTACAGTAGTGCACCACCCCATCCAGCTATTTTTGTATATTTTGTAGAGATGAGGTTTCGTCAGGTTGCCCAGGCTGGTCTCAAACTCCTGGGCTCAAACGATATGCCTGTCTTGACCTCTTAAAGTGTGGGGATTACAGGCGTGACTCACCGCACCTGGCCTAAAACCAGATTTTTTTAATTTTACATACCTGGTAGATCCAACTTTACACAAGGTAATGATTCACCTCTCCCAACTGGACACTTATAGACATCTCCAGTTCTGTTTTTGGGTTGGCCAACTAACGGAGAACCAATAAGCACCCTGGAAGTTAAATAAATCAGTAAACATTTTTGAACATTGAGAAACAGTTTATATGAGTTGTTTTATGACTGATTTTAAGATAATTGACAATAACACTCATAATCAGATAATAATCATGCTATTAGTAATTTAATGTTATGTAAACTAAGCAGAGAGCCTACCTCTTGCATATTGATGTGGATTAAAAAGTATATATACACACACACACATACATATACAATATACATATATAGCATATACATGTGTGTATATACATATATATGTGTGTATATACATGTATATGTGTGTGTATATGTAGGATAGATATTTCAGAGATTTTGCTTTATTATTTTGTTTATATTACTTTATCATATTTTTTATTGGGGTACTGAAATAATCAATAATTATTGGCTAAGTCTGCTACTGTATTAACTTATAAAACACATGTGGAAGTATAAGTGACTTTTTCCTATGATGAACTGCTAATTTTATAGAGAAGTCAGGAAATATAAACATTGGAACATCATAAGATTTAATATTAGCATGTGCTAGTTTATAAGTGCTTAGAAAATAAGGATAGTTTATGAGATCCAGGTTAAAATCACTTACTTTCCTTTTAGACAGAATTATAAAACCATTCTAACAGTAATTAATGGAAAAAACATATAATCACAACTGATTTTAGTTCCAACAAGTCATTTAAGTCTCCCATGATATCTTCAGGAATCGGATGAACTAAAGTAAATAGTAAGATACTTGGGTGGATCCACAGTTGCTGATTTATTGCTGGCTGAGTAGCCATATCCAAAAACTCTGGCTGCTAGCAATCAAAGGACTTAATTACATAGTATGAGATTTTGTACTTGGGATTGTGTTAGATTACAACTTTATTTTTTTATTTTATTTTTTTATTTTTATTTTTTGAGACGGAGTCTCGCTCTGTTGCCAGACTGGAGTGCAGTGGCATGACCTTGGCCCACTGCAACCTCCGCCTCCTGGGTCCAAGCGATTCTCCTGCCTCAGCCTCCCAAGTAGCTGGGACTACAGGTGCACGCCACCACGCCCGACTAATTTTTGTATTTTTAGTAAAGACAGGGTTTCACCATGTTGGCCAGGATAGTCTCGGTCTCTTGACCACGTGATCCGCCCACCTTGGCCTCCCAAAGTGCTGGGATTACAGGCATGAGCCACCACGCCCAGCCAGATGACAACTTTATTAATGACTTTAGTCAAGATATAAAAAGTATAAATATAGTTATCAATCAGCACCATAAGACAGAGCAAGAAAAAAATACTTATCAAGTATATCAATATACATACTTAGGAATTCAGATGAATCTCAACATTCTGGAACAATAAACATAAATAAACTAAAGTTTACTTAGAACCTACATAAATAACTTCGCTCAGCTGCATACTATTATTTATATCAGTGCAGGATGTGGGAGCCCTCACTTAATGGGAGTTCATGTGAAAAAGGCATGGGGGATTTAGATGATAGCACATAAACATGAGCAACAGCGTATTTTAGTGCCAAAAATGCTAATGTGACTTTAGTCTGCAGTGCTGGAAATAGATGCCCTGGTCAAGCAGTGATAGTCCCCCTGTGTTCTGTGCTGGTCAGGCCATGTCTGAAATATCTAAATTAAGAGGGACATATGCACAATGGAATGTATTTAGGAGACTATGACTCAGATAGTTAGGAGTCTGGTAAATTTGTCAGACAAAAGATGCTGGGAAAGTTGGGGATGTTCGGCATGGAGAAAGAATGTCTGCAGGAGAACTGAGAAGTTGCATTGAAGTACAAATTGATTAGGCACACATTTTGAAAATTTAAATATTTGAAAGTCTGTCATATTGAAAAGAAATGGGATTTATTTTGTGTAGGCCCTATAGGCATGCTAGTATTAATGAAAATAAATTTTATAAAACAATTGTAAATATTAAGCTATTGAGACTCTAAAACATGGTTTTAATATAATGCCTTTGGAAAGCAATTTCTGATTTGTATAAAGAACTACAAAAATGCTCAAACCCTTTAATACATAATTTTTACTTCTGGGAATCTATCCTAAATAAAATGACCTAAAGTAAGAGGGAAAAGCTTAATGCACAAAGATAATGCTCATAGTGTTATATATAATTATGAAAGAGTAAAAGAAATATGGTAAATAAAAACTAATTATTTCAGGATCATTCTATAGCATATTGTACATTCATTGTATGGTAGGATGAAAAATTATTTATGATCGAACTCAAAGTGAAAATTTATCTAATTTAGTGAAAATCTGTGCCCTAATTTAACATGAAAGACACCAAATTACTATGTTCATTATACTACCACTGATAATGGCAGCTAGGCTTTATTGAATTTATACCATGTGCTAGGCCCTGTTCTAAGTGCTTTCTGTGTATTAAATAATTTAATCTTCTCCATGAAATATAGCATGAACTTTGGTGCCAGCCTATATGAGTTCAAATTATGGCTTTACCATTCACTTAGCTATATGGTTAGGACAAGTCAATTACTCCATCTGTGATTTAGTTTTTTTATCTATAAAATGGAGATCCATTTCAGAGGATCATCAAAAAAATAAATAAGTTAATGTATATAAAATGCTTAGAACAGTATTTGGCTTATAGTATGTGCTATCTAAATGTTAGTTCTTATTATTATTAGGTATTTATTTCAGATGAATAAACAACTAACATCGATGTTGAAAGATTAATCAGGAATACATCAAGAATATAACAAATTATATTAATGAGGTTACGATTATTTTTTCCTAATATTTTCAGTTGTAAAATACGTAATGGAATAAATTGGTTTTACAGTTAAAAACAGTTTAGAGAAAAAAATGAGCCTACGATTTTAGAAAGTATTTAATTTGAGGCTGGAGTAATTAATGTTTATTAACAATATTTTACATGCTGGGCATTTATGCCAGGTCCTGAGGATATAAAATGATACAAAAGTGAATAAAACACAATTTTTAGTTTGCTTATAACTTAGAGAGAGAAGCACAACTATACATGTACTATTGCAATATTGAATAGGTCTGAACTTGATGCAACTTCAGCAAAGTCTTAGAAGTAAGAATACCACTCCTTTGATAAATGCCAAGTAGCTCAGTATAACTGCAGTAGAAGTTGAGGCTAGAGAGGTAAAAAGAGTCCAGATCATGAATGTTCTCATAGTCAGCTTTAAGAACTTTGGCTTTATTCTATGTAGGGGGAAGTTGGGAACCAATGAAGCTATTAAAGAGGGGTGTAACATGATCACCTTTTTGATTTACAAAGCTTATTTGCTTGAAGTGTCATAAGTAAATTGAAGAGGAACAAAATTAGAGTCAAATGACAAGATATGGATTCCTAAAGTAATCCAGATGAGGATTTGGATTCAGGAAGTACAGAGGATGGAAGGACTAACTCTATAAATATTTAGGATATAAGCTGTCTTAGTTCGGGTTTCTCCAAAAGTAGATCCAAGACAAAAACTTTGGTTCAGGTAAGTTTTTTGGAGGCAATTCCAAGTATGCATAAGTATAGAGATGGGGAAAAGAAGAGTGGGAAGGAAGAAAGGCCAAGAAAGGATGCACTGATAATGAGTTACTTCTGTAGGCAAGTGGGCTCAGTCTTGCTGGGGAACATCTCAGAAACCATGTGGAACATGTATGAGCATGATATGAGCATGGTTGAGGCCCTAAAAGTAAATATTACCACCTCGAAATATAGTGAGAAGAGCACTAAATGTTGACATCTGAAGGTGAAATAACACTTAAGGTTTCAATGAGCAAAGGAAGAAAACTAGGCAAGGGTAATCAGAAAGGGAGCAAGAATCAGAAAACAGCAGTGTCACAGAAACCAAAGAAGGAAACAATATAAAGAATAGGAGGCAAGAATGAGAGGTACATGTTTGTGGCAGATTTCATTTCAAGTAACTTGGCTAAAAATGAGGGAGATGGGCAGTGTTAATAAATGTGGCTTTTTTTTTTCAGGGCAATGACAAACCATTAAGGGCTTGAGATGTGTCCAAATTTATCATGGAGGCAATCTGCATATGGCTAAATGATGGCAAGAAAGAAACAGTAACAAGAGAAATCCTGATTTCACAGGAGAGGGAGTAGAATCTCTGAGCAGGTAGACAGGGTGGATCCAGAAGGAGAGGTTTGTCTTAAAAATGAGGAAGAGCGACCATTCCCTAGGCAGCACGCTGAGCAGCCCAGTATTGAGCAGTTTGCAAGGGTGGTCGATGGTTTGGAATTGTGTACACTTTTGCAACACGACTTTGACTTTTATTATTTCATGAGGTAGAATCTGTTTTTCCACCCATTGAATCTAGGATTTGTTTTGATGAATAGAATGCAGCACAAATGATACTATGACTTCTAAGGCTAGGCCTTAAAAGGCCTTTGCAGATTCCATTTTACCTGTTTTTGAAAGCTGAGAACATCAGGATGTGAAGAAGCCCAGTGTTGCTTAACAGAGGATAAGAGGCCACGTGGAACAGAATTGGTGCTTTAGCTGACAGCATGAACTTCCACTCGTGTGAGGAAAGCCAGCTTGGACACTCCAGCCCCAGTTGAGGGACCAGATGATGAGCCCAGGCAATAGGGGAATACCTATTCAATCCTCAAAAATCTTGAGAATTTATAGACCATTGCTGCTTTAAGTGACTAAGTATTGGAATGACTTATTATGCAGCAATAGTTAACTGAAACAGGAAGTGAGGATTAAATTTTGACCTAGTGGCTTCTCTCTCTCTCTCTCTCTCTCTCTCTCTCTCTGTCTCTTTTTCTTCTTTGGAAAATAATAGCTGCAGTTGTCTAGTGAGATTTACAGAGGAGGTAGAAGGGTGGTGGGCTTGTAGAGAGCGATGAAGATTTAAACTGATAAGGCATACGTAGGTCTGTCAGGCAGCTCCTCTGGTCAAGATGAGGTGGGTTGCAGCTGGCCAGGGATGTTTCGGAAGGTGTTTTTATAGTGGATGGGAGTTAGGCCCTCAAAGTCCTTTCCAGTTCTAAGATTCCATCATCTGAATAGAACAAATATAAGTTTGTAGAGAAGAACTGACTCACTAGTTGGAAAACATGTAATATCAAGTGGGGGAAAATCTAGGATAACTGATGAAAAGTGAGTCTTGTACAGCATGCTAATAGGAGAGCTATTGTGAATTGTAAGGCAGAAGGAAAGGGAGATATGGATAGCCCAGGGAAAAGTGTGGAGACAGGAGAATGAAGATGGAAAAGGGAAGATAATGAGAAAGTATGGGTGGCTAGAACTCAGAATAAAGCTTGCTTATAGACAGGAACAGAGAGCTTGAGATTTGGCAAGCATTTGGCTCTGGAGGAAAAGGTCTGGAGTTTATGTTTGATCTCTAGGGCAAGAGAAAGCACTTAGGATATGGTGATAATTGGAAACTGACCTGATACAGCAATCTCAACCACGGCCTATTGCATATTCTGAGATAAGTGAAGATTGCGGAGTGAGAACTTAGAAAGTGGTAGAGTGTAGGAGCCCAGGATTGAGACAGGGAGTTTGGGAGTTGGGACCAATAGTAAAGACCAGGTTAGCAGATCATAGGACTGCTAATTTTCTGTATTTTCCTAGTATCTGTTTTCTTTGAAAACAAACATGAAACTTTTAATAACAAGCTTGAAAGTACGTGTATCTTACCACTTGAATCCTAAGGAAGCCTCACTTTTCTCCAACTGCATCAAAATAACAAGATCCTAGAAAAGTATTAGCATAGGGTTTACAGAATTTCAGGAATCTCCAGCATTCTCAATCCACTCTCTTGCTCAGTTTTTTCTCACAACACTGATCCTATTCTGGCATTTGATGTAACCTACCTGTTTATTAACTTCATTATTTAATTTTTGTTCTCTATTCCCCAGTAGAATATAAGCTCCACAATAGTAGGGATTGGTTTTTCTATTTTGTTCACAAACACATCCTTAGTGCTCATACTAGTACCAAGCACAAAATAGGCATTCAATAAATATCTATTGAATGAATGAATTAACGACTGTGTCAAGTACTTAAAAATCTGAATAAGGCAGACCTGAGAATTTATACTTATGTGACCAGCCAAGAGGTCTGGATTGTAAAATCTTTTTTTTTCCATTTTAGAGAATATATATTCAGCTTAAGTGGGATGCTATACATGCCTTTGAGTGACACCAGAGGCATTTCTCCAGGTCAAACAGCTAGAGAATCCTTGTTGCTAAAGGGGGAGAATTGGCTAAAAAGTCAGAAGGCTGGTGTTCCATATCCTGACCCTGTGACATACTTGCTATATTAAACCTTTGGACATTCATTCTCTGTCTCAGTTTCCTGTCTAGAAAATACAGATGATAACAATGATATCCGCCCAAACCCACAGGGTCAAGGTGAAGGCCCAGGCACATTGTTTTATAAACTGTGAGAATCATTATTTTAAAATTTAATGCAAGTTAGTTTTAACTTATTACGTTTTATTCCTATTAGATCTTGCTTTTTATATGGCATTTTTGTAATGACCTGTATGCAGACTGAGAAGATCAAAACATGTTCTGGATATCGTTACTCATTTCTGGAGAAACATCTGATCAACTCAAGGATCATCAAAGTGAGAGAAACACTTTTCTCCATGAATAAGCTACAATTATAATAATATTTAGTAAGCAGAAATATTTGCTATTCACAATAGTTATCTTGTTATTATGCCCATTATTATATTTATTTGAAGAGTAGGTGGTGTCTGATGTCTCTGTTTCATATTTATGTTTTCTTCCCTGCAAAAGATAGTTTCTTGGAAAAGAGTGTCTTATATTTACATTATTTCATTAACATCCTTTTCAACTAACTCTGCCTTGATGTCTAATACATAGTTCAAGCCAAAGTCACTCTCAGAGTGCCAAGCAAATTCTGCTCGCCAATTTCTTTTTAAATAAATGGAATAAGCATTTTTTCATCTTAGAGAATGAAACTTACACAGTGACCCATTAACTGCAGTGATTTGCTCATAAAAGGTGGAGGGGTGGAAATGAGGGGAGCCAAAGAAATGACAAGTTTGGCAATGAGGAAATTTCAACTTCAAAAGGCGTTAGAAGCAATGTAAAATAAGCATATTAAAATCTGTTACAGAAAATTGTGTAAACCCTTAAAATGTCTCTCCTCCCCAGTCTGGAATAGCTCTACATTAGCAGGGATTCTTTTTTCTTTTACAACACAGACTTATTGGAAATAGGGCATCAATCACATGAGCCCATTGGTACCCTGACCTGGCATAAAGCAGGATCCTCTAGAGAAAAGGCATGAAGTCAAGATAATTGATAAACATTGGCTTGAAGGTTGGCAAGGGTGGATCCTGAAAATCTACTTTGAGATCAGACAGGTCCAGTGAAGTCACTGAAACCCCCAAGAAAGGTTGCTTGAAGGGCAGTTAAAAGGGTAGGCACACATGCTGGAAGGAATGAAGCAAAGCAGCAACAGATTAGAGTGGAAAGCCCCAAACAGACATCTCACATTTTCCCGTTCGGCTGAGACCTGGCCATGCTGATGTTTACCACTAAATCTGGAAATCTGGAAGGCTTGTGCTGTGCTGAGCATGTTTGAATTTCTTTTCCTCAAAGCAAAATTATGAAGGCAATTATATTCTTTCTGAATTCTTCTGAACCACATTGCAATTACTTGGATGCTCCAGCTCATGCTAAACATAATGAACAACAGCTGATCTTAATCAGATGTATGATGTGTTCTGCTACTGAGAAAGCATGTGGCTTCTGAGCAAAAGATATAAATTACACTTCAGAGCAAACTTCTGAACAGTAAAGAGGACATAAGGCTACCTTTTCTGTCAACTTATATTTCTTTCGAAAGAATTAAAGCTATGTTTTTCAAATACACAGACTGTACTTGTCATGGGCTAACAAGTGCTCCTTCTATAGGCGTACTATAGTCACGACGTAAGATGGGTCAGGATGATTTTTTTAAATATGAGTTTATGAAATTCGAAAGCATGAGCAGTAAATATGACTTATGAAGGTGCCTACCTCTAGAGATAATTAAATAACAAAATCCATGTTCCTCCAAATATGTCAATTATTCTGTAGCACATTTCTCGAAGTAAGTCTGCAATCTATCTGTTTTTATAGACACTTACAGAACATCCAAACATGTTTCTACAGGTTATTTTGCACTACCAGATCCCAGATTTCTTTAGAACAATATGCTGCTACCATGCTATCCTTAAAAGTTTGGAAATTTAGGTATTTGTAATTTGCTTACTTTTAAATTCAATTGCCCACATCTTTTTGGTTGCTCTGATTTTTCACAACTTTTCCATAAAATCATTGTAAATAATAAATGTCAACGTGAGATTTAGGTTTCTGATATCATCTACATTCAAATGCTTACAAACTTACACACATATTAATATGTAAAGTCTGGTACCTACCACAAAGATAGTTTTTAACAACATTTACTTTTAAATATAGTTCTAATGAAGAAAAAGGCACAAGACTGAGTGTAGAGATGAAATCTATTACAGCTCTGGTCCTAAGTAGTTGCATTTCCCTAGGAGAGTCACATTTAACTTTATTTTTTATGCAGCTTTTTTTTAATTGATGATAACAGAGTGTTAAACTAGATTTAGTTGTTCAGCCAACAAATAATGATTGAGTGCATATTATGTATAAGGCCTCATGCTAGATGTGGGGTAGTGCCCAGGGTTGCAAGTGGGCTGCAAAATCAGTCTTTGTTTTCTAGGCATTTCCACTAACACATTAACTTCTCCCTCTTACCTGCATTCCAGTCTGAGGTTTCCAACTACCTAGAAATCACCTTGAACTGGAGCTATTTAAAAATAGACTTACCCACTTCCTGATAAGTGAATTTCCCTTTCTCTGTCAATGACAACCCATTTCCCAATGAGCCAGTACAGAAATTTTGGAATCTATCTGACCTCTCCTACACCTTCATTGACCATTTCCAAACTTCCACCAAGATTTACTGATTCATCTTGATTTGTCTTGAATACACCTTTCTTTTTTCTTCCAGTTGCCCCTAATACAGCCTGAAGGCTCATCCCTTAAGTACCAGATTATAGTTCTTGAGTCTATATATTTCCTAGTTTTCAGGAACTCCATTCTCCAATCCAATTTATATGTAAATTCCCAAATTAAGTTTCATAAAATGACAACTTATGATGGCTTCTCAACGTCCTCATCTTAGGTCCAAGCTCCTGTGTTTGTCTTTCAAGATCTGCCATCATCCTTTTCTCTTTTTTCATCCCAATATGAGACCTGTTTACTTACCAACACACTCACCTCACTTATTCTCAAGTCTGGGCCCTTGCTCTTGTGGCTTCCCAAGCTTGGAGTGACATTTTTCTTCTCATATTGAAAGTTAAGTCATCTTTCAAGACTTAGGTCAAGAACCAAGAATCATCTCCTCCTGTTTTGAATTCCCATTGAATTTATAGTCTATTCTGCACTGGTTGTTGGCACTATTCTCTATTCCTAAACATTTCATGTATGTCCTTGACTAGGTTAAAGCTTTTATATTTGTTTTATGTATAAATATTTCCCATGGAATTTAGCATAATGCCAGACACATAAAATGTATTACATAAATACATGTTGATTGACTGACCCACATTTATGCTATGGCTAAATAAAAAAAACCTAACCCACCAACAAATATTTTCAGAGACAATTCAACTCAGCTTCATGGGTAAACCAAGATATAAGGCATAGTCCCCGATCTCTTATTAACATTACCTCACAAATGTATGTAGAATTGTGATGGTTCAGTCCAGTGTAGATTCATTCAGACAGACCATTAGCAACATCGTTCTTGCAACCTTATTCTTACTATCCAATCTATGCACTCTTTTGTTCCTTAACCAGTGTTGGCTGTCTTTCTTTTTCCTCATCCATACCTTAACTTTCTACAAAGATAGAATAACCTTAGGAAGGACATTCCTCATGACATCAAGGCTTCATTCAGGCCTGATTTTTCAATTTTCCATTGCTTTGACTTCTGGTGCCTTGAAAGGAGGGACTGTAGAATTTAGAGGGTGGAAATCTCACAATAGGATAGGTTCTTATCATGAGAAACAGTGACTAAAGAGATCAAATGGGGGCACTAAGGCTTCTAAAAAGAAATATGAACCCCTTTTCACTCTACTAAGGTTCATTCATATAATTAAGGACTTCTGACATCAGATTTTTCTAAAATCACAGAGACAGGACTGGATAAGAAAGAAAACATACAGGTTTTTCTGATATCAGAAATTGAAAATGAGAATTTCATAAAATATTTTAGCAATATTTAACCATCCTTAAAAGAGATACTTCATTTTAAGTAGGTGGTTTAAGTCTTAAAGCTTGCTATTTGCTATACTCCTCTTTAAAATTTGTGTAACTATTAGTAATTAGTGAAAATTAACTTTTATATGTGTTTATGTAAAGTTAAGCTTTTTAAGAATAACATGTACTGCATTTCTGTTTATTATAGCTTACGCACAAAGTCTGACCAGTTGGTCTACTCACCATTATTCTCCCAGAGGTACCTGAATTGAAGGTATAATTCCTAAAAGAATAAAGCTGGTGTCTAGAGGGAGGGCTGTACTCATTTAACCTTAAAAATTGGGGAATGGGATGGGTGGAGAGTATAGGAGGGAGGGAAAGGGAACTTAAAAATTTAGCATGTAGCATTGGGTTTGTCATCTGAGATATTTGTAAGGAGAATAAAAGAGTGAAGTATCTCAACAAATTCTAGTTTATACCTAGCATAAAATAATGTACTTAAAAAATGTGAGAACTCATTACTTTTTATAGTCTTTAGGGCATTATTATCAAATTAACCAAGTCTAAAAGATAAAACAAAATGCAGAAAATCCACATATTTTTATTAATGAAATAATTATAGTGATTCATAGATCTTTATTATCCAAGTAGATATAAATCTCTTTTTGCTTATTATTACAGCTACTAAAAATGTAGGCTTGTTTAGTTTAAGTTATTAAACTAAAGTTTAGCTACTGCTCTTCTTTCCTAGAATGTCCAATTAAACAAAAATTGCATTTACTAAAAATTCTATTAAATATTAAGCAAAAGAACTCTAATATTCAGTTTATATAATTTTCAACAAGTTAAATATACTTTAAAAATCATATCTACGGCCAGGTGCTATGGCTCACGCCTGTAATCCCAGCACTTTCGGAGGCTGAGGTGGGTGGATCACGAGGTCAAAAATTCAAGACCAGCCTGACCAACATGGTGAAACCGTGTCTCTACTAGAAATACAAAAATTAGCCGGGCATGGTGGTACACGCCTGTAATCCCAGCTACTAGGAGGCTGAGGCAGGAGAATCACTTGAACCCAGGAGGCGGAGGTTGCAGTGAGCTGAGATCGCTCCACTGTACTCCAGCCTGGGTGACAGAGCAAGACTCCATCTCAGAAAAAAAAAAAAAAAATCCTATCTACAATGAACTTAACCAATATTAAAGGGTTTGAAGGTAGATACCAGAAACCCAATAAAGTTCATTATAAACATTAGACCAAGCTCAGTAGATCAGTAAAGACCAAACTCACGGAAGTGTGTTAAACCCTTTCAGAGCACCATCTCATTTGCCTCCGAATCCTTCCTACTGAATTTCAAACAAGTGCATTTAAGCTACTCTGAAATGAGAACAATTAAAGAATTCTTGCCAAAAAACATAATTATGGAACAATAGCTTTTTTGGATACAGACCTTCCTTGAGGTCAATCCAGGCATCAACAGAAATCACTAATCGCTTCCTCTAATATTGCCAAGGAATTTTTTTTTTTTTACTTTAAGTTAGCTTCCATTGCCAAATGACTAGACTGCATTTTCTACCATAAATAATTCATTCTGTTAAAGTTTCATTCATAAAAGAAACTGTAGTCAAATAATATTTCTCATTACCTTGTGAAATAAGTAAATAACAACAACAAAACCCACTGGCTTACCATTTTCCTTCTTCATTTTCATATTGTTGAACAGTATATCCAAACATGTCTTCCACCGGGCCGCTGAAAGTCATTGAATTTTTCACATCAACATTGAATGATACGCAGCAGCGTAGAACAACTTTAGGAGAAAAACAAAATCCAGTTACATAGAGTTAACTAAGAGTCCATCATGTTTTGAGTTATGGAAGGCATGGTTAAGGTTACCATCGAAAGCTGTTTCTATTAAAAAAAAAGAAGCTCAAAGAATGAAAACTCAAGGAAGGTCTCCACTCTTAACTGTATTACTAACTGTAAACCAAATAAACTAGTTCAACCATTGTGGAAGACAGTGTGGCGATTCCTCAAGGATCTAGAACTAGAAATACCATTTGACCCAGCCATCCCATTACTGGGTATATATGCAAAGGATTATAAATCATGCTGCTATAAAGACACATGCACACGTATGTCTATTGTGGCACTGTTCACAATAGCAAAGACTTGGAACCAACCCAAATGTCCATCAACGATAGACTGGATTAAGAAAATGTAGTACATATACACCATGGAATACTATGCAGCCATAAAAAAGGATGAGTTCATGTCCTTTGTAGGGACATGGATGAAGCTGGAAACCATCGTTCTCAGCAAACTATCTCAAGGACAAAAAACCAAACACCGCATGTTCTCACTCATAGGTGGGAATTGAACAATGAGAACACCTGGACACAGGAAGGGGAACATCACACACCGCAGCCTGTTGTGTGGTGGGGGGAGGGGGGAGGGAAAGCATTAGGAGATATACCTAATGTAAATGACTAGTTAATGGGTGCCGCACACCAACATGGCACATGTATACATATGTAACAAACTTGCACATTGTGCACATGTACCCTAGAACTTAAAGTGTAATAAAAAAATAATAATAATACAATAAAAAATAAAAAACCATAATGACTTTAAAGAACACAAATATTAACATTCAAAAAAATTCCATACTAATTTAATATCTGTACCATTCCTAGAGCTGAGGTTTTCAGAATGTGTGGAAAAGAGCAGGCAGAAACTCAGATTCATATATGACTAATACAGTTGCAGATAGTTTTCCAGCAGTGAGCCCTGCAGAAAACCATGGCCATCAATGAACTCTGAACAGCTCATTTTCCCATTTCAACTACAGAGAATGCACATATCACCATGTAAAGCTTTATAAAAATAGATGTTGTCCTTGCTGCTTCAAAAGGAAAAGGCAAGCTGATGGTCTCCACTCAGAGATGGCTTCCTATGCAGGCCTGAGATTTGCTCTGTTTCCCTTCCTTAATTGGATGGAAATTTATACTAATTCTCTGAAGCCTCCTTATAATGTTGGTGTTGATAAATTCACCAGTTGTTATCCAGATTAAATCACATGATATATCTAAAGGGTCTACCCAGTGCCTGGCACATACTACATATTTGATGAGGGTTAATTCTTTTTAATTTTCTCATAGTACAGGTTGTGGAAACTCTTAGTAAGTAAGACTGTCTCCTAAAGAAGTTCTAGAATCACCATCTCAAATGGATGGTGCCAAATTCCTGCTTTGGTACTGGTTTTTAAAGTATGCTTGTGAAGTTCCAAAATATTCTTCTCCTAGATGTAACTAAGAATTCTTTCCAGGGGGCCATGATGGCTCATGCCTGTAATCCCAGCACTTTGAGAGGTGGGTGGATCACCTGAGGTCAGGAGTTTGAGGCTAACCTGGTCAACAGGATGAAATCCCATCTCTACTAAAAATATACAAATATTAGCCAGGTGTGGTGGCATGCCCCTGTAGTCCCAGCTAATCGGGAGGCTGAGGCAGGGGCACCGCTTGAACCTGGGAGACAGAGGTTGCAGTGAGCCAAGATTGTGCCACTGCACTCCAGCCTGGGCAACAGAGAAAGACTGTCTCAAACAAACCAAACAAACAAACAAACAAAATTATTTCCAAAGAGCACTGTCTTATAAAATTACAGAGCCTCATCAGGTACATTCAGAGGTGGCTAAATTCAGTCTTCTTTGTTAAAACCACCATATAGCCACATAGATCCTGAAAAATTATCTTTCCTAGTCTTATAAATTGTGAGTGGATTAAATCACTCTAATATTTTAACCCTTGCTCACTATGAACTTTTTTCATAAATATACTTTAAATCCACACTACTCTAATTTATAATCTTTAAATTTTGGCGACAATAGTAACTGCTTTTTCCTTGAAGAATAAATTCATCAAAGAAACAAAAAAAAAGATACACCCATATATCTATTTGTAAAGTCTTTCTTGACCTCCCTACCTAGAAGTAATCTTTAAACTTCTAAAACCTCCTTTCTTATTTTTTAAGAAACCTCTCATGGAGATAATTATTAAATACTATATAGTTATCTGTGTCAGATTTTTCCCCCCAAATTGGAAAATTCCTAAAAACAATGACTCTCTTACTTACCTTTTTTTAATCCTTTATCAAAATCTAGCACAACTCCTTGTACACAGATGGGCAGTAACATATTTTCAGACTGACAGATAACATGTTGAAGGAAGAAGTATGCCAGCTCTAGTTAAAGATGAACTGGCAACTATTTCATCTTAGTTAAGGAAGATTTTATGGAGATAGAAATTTTCAATTAAGATTTTTAAAGGGAGAAAGAGATGAGATTTGGCAGTGAAAAGAAAATGTGTACCCAGGATTTGGGAGGGTCTCTGCAAGTATTAAGACACAGGCCAGGACAAATATGGTTGCAAGATCATGAAGAGATTTGTCTAGCTGGCATGAAGGAAGCAGAAAAAGAATGGGTGAATTGCACGGGTCCTTTTATGTACATTTCCTGTTCATTCTTCCAGCGTGATAGAGAACAGCTGGTTACCATCTTCTGCATAATAGTCTTTCACATATTTGAAGACAGTTTTAAATGCTGCTTACTCTCTAAACTAAATAGTCATGCACTGCATAATGATGTTTCGGTTAATGACAAACTGCATATACAATGGTGGTGTCATAAGATTATAATACAATAGCTTTAGTGTACCTTTTCTATGTTTAGATATGTTTAGACACACTAATGCTTTACTTTTTTTTTCTTTTTTAAGGCTGAGCCTCACTCTGTTGTGCAGGCTGGTGTGCAGTGGTACAATCTCTGTTCACTGCAACCTCTGTCTCCCGGCTTCAAGCTATTCTCATGCCTCAGCCTCTTGAGTAGCTGAGATTACAGGTGCCTGACACCACGTTTGGCTAATTTTTTTATATTTTTAGTGGAGACTGAGTTTCGCCATGTTGGCCAGGCTGGTCTCAAACTGCTGGCCTTAAATGATCTACCTGCCTTGGCCTCCAGAAGTGCTGGGATTACAGGTGTGAGTCACTGCGCCCGGCCGCCATTGTGCTTCCGTGACCTACAGTATACAGTATAGTAACCACTTGTAGAGGTCTGTAGCCTAGAAGACATAGGCGATATACAGCCTAGATGTGTAGCTCTACCATCTAGATTTGTGTAAATATACTCTATGATATTCGCACAATGATAAAATCACCTAAGGACACAGTTTGCAGAACACATCCCTAGTGCTAGGTGATGCATGACTGTAGTAGATGCTCCTATTCTTTGCTCTCACAGGTTTTGTGTATTTATTTTTTGAACAATTTCAAGAAAGTATTTTTTGATACAAGAAATGCATAAAATAATACTTCTGCAGCAGGGTTTCTCAACTTTGGAACTATTCACATTTGGGTCAGAAAATTCTTGTTATAAGGGGCTATCCTTTATACTATAGAGTGTTTAGCAGCATCCTTGTCCCCTACCCACATGAAGCCAATAGCACTTCATGAGTTGTCATAATCAAAAATCTCCAGACACAGCCAAATTCCCATGAGGCCAAAATTGTCCCCAGTTGAAAACCACTCTTGAACAGATGAAGACAAGAACATCACCACCAATTATTTTGTTGAAGAAGATGACCGAAAACCAACCACGGCTCATAAACCAGCAGCATCTGTATCACCTGGGAGCTTGTGAATAATGCAGAACCTCAGGCCCTATCCACATTCCCTGAATCACTACCTACGCTTCCACGAGATCCCCAGGGCAGCCCTGCCTATTAAGGTTTGGAAAGCACAGCTCTGTAACGTGGTATTTCTTTTTCATAATGTCAATACAGGTAATGGAAGTTATCTAAATAAAAAATACTCACTATGCTGTAGAGAAAAGGGGAAAAGGATCATCTTTAATCAGGGTCAATTTCACCCCCCTGAAGGATTTTTCTAGCATGTCATCATCTTTAATACATTTTCTCCAAAAGCCATTTGTGGTACCCCCTCCTCAACATAAGACCAAGCAGTTTTGGTTTCCTTTTTGGGGCTGTTTATTTATTCTACATGTTGTGTGGAATGTCTGGGGGTGTGTGCTGTACTTCTTTTTTCATTTCCTGTCCTTAGAATTCTACAGGCAATTTGCCCAAAATGATTGTAAATCAGACTCTTTTATGTTTTCTGAGGCACCGAAGAGCCTGAAGAACAGGAGATGACATAAAAAAATAGTTTACATCCAGTTCTTTTGATTTAAAGGAGTGAGTAAACAGTAAAAGCAGCTTTTCATAACTTTTAGTTCAATGTGAATTTTGTTATACTAAGTTGTCTTGGAATTTTATGTACCAGAAGTAAAGCAAAATTGTACTTATTCACAACCGAGCCTCCACTTCCACTCCCAGAAAAGCAAAACACAGAGGTGGCTTCAGAGACAATATAGAAAAAATACAAAAAATAATGGGAAATAAACATAGATAAGACAGATGTCAAAAGAAATTCTGATTTCACATGTACCAGCAATTGAAAACCAGTAATTTTTCCCCTTATAAATAATAACTATATTGTGTACTAACCATGTGTTACTCTCATTTAATTTGCCAGCAACTCTATAATTAAATACCATTACTATCATCATTCTGAAAATAAGGAGAAGAAAGCTTGGGAAGGCAGAGAAATGTGCCCACATTTCCACAGGCTTCCAAATCCAAAGTAGTAACCACTATTCATATTAATTCAATTTTTACATCTTAGTCCTAAAACTAGAAAGGGCTAGTACAAAGTGATATGAGGATGAGCTTAGAAGACAGCCACATATTAGTCTGCATAACTGCATCTCCTGAGAGGCAAATTTGGGGAGAAGACTTTTCTACAATAGCAATGGGCTGGAAAGGATTTGGGGAATGACTGGAAAGTCTGAGTAAGGAGAAAAGTCCTGGCCACAGAGCTCCAGATCTAACTTCTTGAAGGACTTCAGCTAGAACTTATAGGTCCAAGTAGAAAAGAAATGAAAAGACTTGCTCCCATTCAAATATGGTTATATATGCTATATATGCAAGAGTTAAAAAAAGAGAAAGATGAAATTGCTGGTGTTGAAGGATATCTCTTATAAAAAGAAATTGTGAGCAATTACTTTACCCCAGGATGGAATTTGATATGTAAGAAAACTAAGTGAGAAAGAGGGAGAAGCAACCTACAGCTCTGCAGTGCTTTCTGCTTACAAACATTTTAAAATATAATAATAATAATAACAGTAATGATATTGAGCTATTCAATAATTTGAGGAGGTGAGGCAGGACAGCAGACATTCCCCTCTTTTTGTGTATTAAGAAACTGAAGCTCAGAGAGGTTGAGTGATTTGCCAAAAGCCAGGTTGCATTAATGACAGAAGCAAGATTTCAACATTGATCTTATGAGGCCAAATCATAGGATTTCTGTAACTAGGGTGCTATTGAGTTGGTCTGATTAATAAAAATAAAAATAAAAATAACAACCCAGCTCACAACAATCCTCAAAAGTCTCATGATGGCTCTTAATCATCTTGTAGCTCTGGAGTATTTGAGAATAGGACTGGCAGAAAAAGGATAAATGGAGGTGACAGAGGCTGTTGACAGATTGAAGGAAGCCACCCTCTTGTACGCATCCTTGAGTTCCAAGGAGTATTACTGTAGCCTGTTTAGTTGTTGGCTTCTTAATAAAGAAATTCTGTCTTTGGACTAGGTGGGTCAGAAATCCCAATCTAGTAATATCCAGATAGGAATATTCAACAACAAATGCAATTCTGAATATTGCAAATTCCAAGCCAAGGCAAGAGGGTATCAAATAAATGGTGACAAGGGAATGTATTAAAATGCTATTGCTTTATTTCAGTAGCTTCTTACATATGTTTATGCAATTTAGAAATAGGAGAAATCATAGAATTAACATTATTTTTATTATTTTTAACATAAGGAATGAAATAATGACATAAGATTAAGACAAGATATAATCATAATTATGTTTTTACAGTGAATGGTTTTAGGGCAAATTCTTTGGTGGTATAGAAAGATAGTGATCCCTGGAGATACAGGAACTAATCTTTTCATCTATATTATTTATTCAATCATTCATATATTCCACTACTCCACAAATATAACCAAGTGTTTACTCTGAATTGAATATATGGTAGGGCCTGGAAATACAGTCATAAAAAGATGATGCTAAGCCAGGCACGGTGGCTCACACTTGAAATCCCAGCACTTTGGGAGGCCAAGTCAGGCGGATCACCTCAATTCAGGAGTTCAAGAGCAGCCTGGCCAATATGGTGAAACCCCATCTCTACTAAAAGTACATTAAAAAAAATTAGCTGGGCATAGAGGTGCACACCTGTAGTCCCAGCTACTCAGGAGGCTGAGGCAGGAGAATTGCTTGAACCTGGGAGGCAGAAGTTGCAGTAAGCCGAGATCGTGCCACTGCACTCCAGCCTGGGTGACAGAGTGAGACTTCATCTCAAAAAAAAAAAAAAAAGATGATGCTCCTGAAAAAAAAAAGCAAGTGATTTCACCTCTATGAACCTCAGTTTATCACATTTGAAATGAGCTTACAAATAACTTTCAGGTATTAATTGCTGCAAGAAATACAAATTATGCATTTAGCAAAAGAGAATAATCAAAAAATGAGCTAACTGATTTCGTAGGTAGAATCCAAAGAATCAGTATACCATTTGGCAGTTGATTTTTCTTTCAAAAGAGGACTTTTCCCTAATTTTGATGACTGTATCTTGAAACACAATACAGGTATGTTACATCAGTGGGGATGAGACAGCAGATTCATGGACTTATTTTCATAGCAAATCTCCTGTTTCTAAACTTGGCTGCAATGACATACATGAAGAAAATCTAAGATGAGGGTGTCAGGCCTTCTAAGTGGAAGAGCTAGCCAGGGAGGAGGAGTACAGATGACACCATTCCATTCAGTTAGAGTCCTTGGATTCTCATCTCAGTTGCTCAAAACATGATGCATATCTGTGATACCACCTAGGATCTGAGCCAATCACAAGTTGGGCCTTCTTTCACTCTAATGAAAATTTACTCCCCTCTAACCTATTTTAAGGGTTGCAAGTCTATTACAAGGACAGGGTGACCCTGCAGTGACTCTTTCTAGTATATTAATATTCTACTAAGGAATTCACCGACCTGAACCACCTGAGAATCAGACAGCATATCTAGAAAGTATGAGCTCTATAATGAAGAGCTGGAGAGGCCCCTCTCTTCCCCAAGCCTGAGCCCTGGTACATTCTTGGTAGCTCTTACCTCTTGCCAAAGCCTCCTGGTGGAAAGAGTTAATTCACCCCATTCACATGGTATAAACTCCTAAAGTCATATATTCTCACTGTAACTAAAAGGTGATATATTAAGTATTTTCTATAACTCCAAATTTACTTTTACCTACTAAATTCAGATGAAATATATTCCATTTTGAGGCAATACAGGAGGTTGGAAGAAAAACATTTTAGTAATAAGAGTTTGTGAAAGTTGGAAGCCCTTTTCCTTAATGTATAACAACTTTATAATATTAGTCTTATGGGTTGGAAATTTTAATCAGTTTTATTACTCTTAATAGGTTAAGTGAGTTTGATCTCAGTGTGGATGTATATGGTTGCTGTAAAAGATAAAATTTGACTCAAAGTATAACTGAATCCAAAAACTCTATAGTACTACATCATTCTAGTTGGTTTGAAATCTGAAATGAGTATTTTTATAGCACCATAACCTTGAGAAGGAGGAGCCACAGACCTCTAGTGGTAAAGATATGGGGAACAAAGAGAATTAAAATATGACAAATAATTATAGGGCCTTGGCCAATGAGTACAGAAGCAACACAACCATTTGGAAATGACATCATAATCTCAAATACAGAAAATTTATATTTGATGTAAAAAATAATATATCCAACTCAGTGTCTCCTTCAAACAATTGGAACTTCCCAATACAATTAATGTTAAGAAGAAAATCTGGCTCAAGAAATCTTACTAAAATTCTTTCATCAGAAATGATGTAATATGTCAGCAAGATACCTACCTCCATCAACAAGTTTAGAAAAGCAAATCCAAATAAACACCTCAGTATTTAAGCATTTTCCAAGTTTCATCCTGGGAAGCTGCTTTTTAACTTCATCTTGCCATAGCAAGCGAATTGTTTTGACTTTTAGTGCTAAAGTCCTGTGGGTCTCCAGTTATTACAAATGGTATTTGAACTTCAAAGTGAGTGTGTGTATATGTGTATATCTGTGTCTGGTGGAAAGGAGGCAAGGAAGTATAGTTCTTGATACAAAGTAGCTGTTTAATACAAGTTTGTTAAATGGGACAGGATGGAATAAATCAAAAGAAATGAAGACTTTCAGTATAAAGGTCATTCTGGCTGTAAGAAGTTGTCCCATTTTATAAGTGCTACCCAGAATAACTCCTAGAGTGTTTCCCAAACATCCTTTCTTAAAAAATCTTCCTTTAAAATTTTTCTACATAAGTTTGTTCTTTCATGGTGTTTATTTTCCTTTGTAGTATCTACAGACATCTGCTCTTTCCCCATATCCTCCCACCACAAATAAATGCCTGCTTTGCCAGCTCCTCTCAGACCTACTCTTGATCTCTAAAATTCTTAAACAGTTTCAGAAACCAACCCCCTTCACCACATCAGCATCATCTTTCGGATCTATGTTTCACCAAATAAAAAAGCTGCAGAACCTCAGGGGTCCCTGGATCCCACTGTGGGAAACACAACTCGTGTGTTTGTGTAAGCCACATGAGCACAGAACTCTGTTCTCCAGCTGCCCTGGCATCCTGAACGCTGAACTCATTAATTTCCGTGACTGCACAGCATGGAGCACTGCATACGGAAAGGCGTACTACGCTTCAAAACAAAGCAGGGTGGCATCCTATTTAAGTATTTACCCAGAAATATGATATTGTAAGCCTTTGCATGTATAAGAATCTGAATAAAAGTGGTACTTTCGTTAGTGGAATATTTTCCATGAATTTTATTCATTTACTTATAACTTTTTCTCAGTAAGATATTGCCAGTTATAAAGGTATTTTTGTTAGTATACACAGCAGGCGTTTTTGAGGGTCAGTAAAGCAAAGAGGTAGTATACACTGTAAAATAAATTATTTTTAATTTACCTACTAGCTTTAACTGGCAATTGCAAATTCCAGGCACTAAGAGATTCCATTGTTGATTCTCCTATACTATTTAACAGGCTAATTTTTCTGGATGACTTGGATGTGAGCTTTTGAAGGCATACACATGTTCCAAGCATGAGGGTGAAACAGGAGACACAGTTACTACTTCACTTACTTTCATTGCTTCACCTAGGGACAGTGAGTTATCTTACTTCTTTTTTGTTTATTTATATGTTTAATAATTCCAGTGGAAATTAGAGAACTGAAAATCATTTCTTTAACCTTGTATACTATTTCTGCTTTCCTGACCCATGAAACTACCTATTGTGCATACTAACAAAAATAACCATAGGATTGGCAATGTGTTGCCAGCTCACATATCTTACTGAGAAGAAATTATATGTTAATTAATAAAATTCATTTAAAAGAACCTGCTAATAAAGGTACAACTTTTTCTTCAGGTTCTTTCTTTTAAGGCATGAATGGACAGAGTACATAGGACAGTTGGGTAAGACTTGACCCTGAGATTGAACCAATGACATCCTAAAAGTGTGCAGAAGACAGTAACCAGTTACCTAATGTTCAAATAGTACAAGAAGAGCCAAAAGCTATTCTCCCTTTCCCTAATAGTGCAATTTGGAGTTTGGAGCTAAAATTGTTTCGTGAAAACACATTCAGATGTAAATAAAAATAAAATAGAAATGAATGAAAACAAAAAACATATTCAAATATACCTCAAAGTATTTATTTAGATTATTGAAATTTAGGAGCCAAAGTAAAAAGTTTTTTAGAAATATGATCATTCATATGCCTTACGGTATCACCTATAACATATAACATATAACAGGTATTCTTCACTTAGTGAAATTCCAACATATGAAAAAATCTATTAAATTATGTTGTGACTTTGTTGTTGTTGTTGTAGTTGTTGTTTTTGTTTTGAGGCAGGGTCTCACTCAGTCACCCAGCCTAGGATGCAGTGGTGCAATCATGGCTCACTGCAGCCTCGGCCTCGCCAGCTCAAGTGATTCTTCCACCTCAGCCTCCCAAGTAGCTAAGACCAGAGGCACATGCCACCATGCCTGGTTAATTTTTGTATTTTTTGTATAGAAAAGTGCTCGTCACGTTGCCCAGACTGGTTTTGAACTCCTGGGCTCGAGTGATCCGCCTGCCTCGGCCTCCTGAAGTGCTGGGATTACAGGCGTGAGTCACCACACCTGACTCAATGTTGTGATTATTTAGACTGGAAAATAATTACTGGCATTTTAAGTTATCTACCACATTATTTCAAAAATGAAGCATGCCTAGACTTTTACAAATGTTTTAACTTGTATACAAGGTTTTCAAGACATAATCAAAACATAAAATGAGGCCTACCTATGTTTTATTTTGCTGTGGGACTTAAAGAGGTATTAGATTTAGTTTGACCTCTCTTTTTTTATTTGCCATATTTCTCAGAAACAGGAGGCAAAATATACGGATTCATAACATTTCTTTTGTGATGGAATTCAACTGACTAAATACTTTCTGGTTTAACACACAAGTGGTCAATCATTAACATTAATAAATTAAGGTCTTCATGAAGCTAACTAACAAAATGAAATACTGTGCACACTCTGACAGTGTACCTCAACCAAAACCAAAAACCTATTAAAAAAAATTGTCCATCCTAGAGTCACCTAGTAGCTTTAACTAGCAATTCCATATTCAGAGATGCCATTGTTGATTTTCCTATGGTATGTAATAGACTATTTTTCTCAATGTCTCAGTACTGCTTCTAATCATACACTGCCACTTAAACTAAAATGATTCTGTATAATTTCTCTCCCTTCCTTGCTTCTTCCCAGCTACTTATTATAGCAATTTTCCATTATATCATTCACTACCAAATATTTCCTTCATTCAGAAGTTTTTCGGTTCCTCTGCTCAACTAAAAACTTGTCCATTTTATGAAGAGAAAATAAGCCAAACGAATGTAACTTGTTATTCACCTGAAAACGCTTAGAAAAGAAATCAGAAAGTATTTTAAAGGGCATTAAAGTTTGTTTATAAGAAAATAAGAAAAGTCTCAGTAGCTTGGAATGTTGAAATATTTCAGAAGGCAAGGGTCACTAGAATGCTTATTTTTGTTTCAGAGGAAAGAGATAACTTTTTGATGCTTTCTTTTCTGTTTTGAGATAACTCTAAACTTTGTTTTCTTAGTTATAATTGCTGTTGCTAAGACCAGGATGATCTTTCAGCACTTAGAACATTAGTTGGGCAGTAACATCCTTCGATCCAAACTCTATTTCTATCTAGTAGCATCATCTTTTACATTCTTTCCATTAGTCTACAAGAGTATCTTGAAACTGAAGTAACTGCAGATGTTATAGTCAATATCCCCAAGAACCGGCAGCCAATATTTCCCTTAAATGGAAGCATTCTGATACTTAGAATCACAACACTAGTGACTAAGTATTTGTTATATATAAGGATCTTAAAATTCAGGGTAGAGGTTACATTTGCATGGGAGAAGGGGAGGAAAAAATAGGGTCTAAAAGGGAATAAAAACATGGCTTTAACTTTATATGTTTTTAGAGGGAAATGCTAACTTTCCACTTCTGACATTTCCTTCCATGGGGTGAGTGCCTCACCGGTTGTAATACTTCTCGGCTATTTCTCAACCTGCCCTTCCTTCACACTAATTGATTGGTGAGTCTGGAAGGAGACACTGTGTGGCCAGCCCCATCCTCTCTTTCTCATTTTCTTTTAGAACTGAGCCTGCCTACGTTAAGAAAATGCTTTGCTTTGTTCGTCCAGTGTCAGGCTCTCGGCTGGCGCTGGAGTGTAGACAGCCTCCTCTACGGTTCAGTAGTGGGAATTTAATTCATCAGCCATGCTGATTCATCAGTCTGATTCTTTGTCATTTCCCAATTGGTTCTGATCTCAAGTGAGGAAGAGGTTTGGTCTTTACTGGACTTTCTCAAAAATCCTAATAAAGTTTTATTTCTTATGAAAAATAAACAATTACAGAAAAATGTTTAGATTTTGCAAAGCTGGGTAGAGGGCACATTGCTATTTGATATATTATTCCTCATAATTTTCTCGTTTGCTTGAAGCATTTTATGATAAAAATGCCTTTAAATTTTCCTGTATAATTATCATTATACATTTGAAGACGTAGTAACAGGATACTTCTCTAAGATTTTCTAATTTTATCAAAATTGTCCCCTATTTTCTTAACTATTTCAACAATGAAATCACAGTGCCATTCTTGCTTCTTAGAGAAGCAAAAAATGCACAAAATAGAAGAGCTTGATTGAATGACCTTTATTATCTTTATACATGCTCTAAAATCTTAATACTTTCAGCCACATTGAGATCAAGGAATGGGCCAGGAGCAGCAGATCTGAGAAGGCACAAGTAGACAAAGGCAGAGATTTGCTAATTTCAGAGGTAGGCAAAATGAACAACCAAGTGGCGGAAATCTGGCCAAGGGTGATTTGTTATGGGAGCTGTCATCTCGCATTCATATTCTGGTGTACATGACTGAGATTCAACTTCCAAGGCGGGACCAAAAAAAGACAAAGATTTTGGAAATCAAATTGGCACTATATTATGATTAAAGTTCAATTTGCTTACACAAATGTACTGGCCAGAAAAGATACTGACTTGCTAGAATTTTCACTAGTTCCTCTTTCCATAATTTTGTCAGGACTTGTCCACAGTCCACTTTCTTATTTTATGTACTGGCTCTGTGCTATTTTGTCTGGATGGACCATTGCCTCTTCAGAGATGTGCAAATAATCCTCACCATGGAACTGAAATTTTCTGTAAGAAAGAGACACATGTGCTGCTCCAGGAACTCATAATTCCTTACTCTGGGAGAAATTTAATAAATACGGAAGTAAATTAAGTAACACTTACTGACTTTCTACTGGCCATTTCTAGTTCATGAAGATTAAGCATTCAGGGAAGATGCAAAATAAATAGGTCATCGCCCAATTTAGGATTGGTCAGCATGCAAGAGGTAGACTGAACATCTATTTCTAATGATATCAAGAAAATATAAAGATGGAAGAAAGAAATGCCAAGGTGTTTCTACAATTATCGGCAAAGTTCAACAGGATATAGAAAGATAAATGCAGATAAATAAGAATGTGCATTGGACAATTTTCCTTATGTATTGCAATTTTCGAAAGCTTTCTAACATCAATCATTTCTCACCATTCCATATATTCTTGCAACTCCTTGCTTTTAAGTTGTGATTTGAATCTTGAAAAGGGCAGAAATTAGAACAAACGAACCAATAACAACAACAAAAAGAACACCTTGTGACATCAATGGAATCTAATAACTAATTTCTTCAGAAGGGTTTCTTGTATCAAAATATATACACACACACATCTATAAATTCATCACCCAATAAATGCTGTCCCACTTTTTAAGCACCATTTTAGACCCATTAAAATGAGGGCTCATTTGACCTTTCCAATCTCATTACTACTCTGGCTCAGAATGTCAAGTAATGGCCACCCTTCAATATGCGCAGTTCCCTGAAACATCTTGTATTCTCAATCGAACTTCTGCTAAAGTTTTCCCCACTTCTGGAAATTCCTTTCTTCAATTCTTAGCCTGGTGAACTCTCCCCAACTCCCCCGTTGATAATCATTCTTCCTCTGTTTTTGCAGAACTTGTACACATTTATCCCATAGGATGTATCGCTTTATATTAAAGGTAACTGGTTTACATGTACTAGTCTCCTGTTAGACTGGGAATTCCTTAGAGTACTTAAAAATAAGAACTTATATTCTCATTCTCAACGCCTAGCACAGTTCTGGATATGATTAAGAAGGCTTATTAGCTCTTAATATCCGTTTTTTTCATTAGTAATAAAATCTTTACTTGGGGCAGCAGTGTACACAGCCAGAAGACAACAGGTAGATAGCATAGCTGTACGACTAAATACTGGCCCAAAAAAAGTAAGTGGAAGTATTGTATGGGATATCCCAGAAATCCCCTGTGCAGAACTGATTCAACTCAGAATGCCTTTTACGTCCTTCTACTTTCTCTTTTATCCTTCTTCTACCTTTCTTCTTTGTCCTTCTCTCAGTTATGAACTCTTGTATAATAGTTAGCGTTCACTCAATAGAGTGAATTGTGTCCCCTGAGATTCATATGTTGAAGCCCTAACCGCTAAAGTGACAGCATTTGGAAATAGGGCCTTTAGGGAAGTAATTAAGGTTAAATGAAATCACAACCACTGGGGCCCTAATCTGATAGGACCATTGTCCTTATAATAAAAGAAAGGGATACCAGATCTCTCTCTCTCTTTCTCTCCTTCCTTCCTTCCCCTTCCTTCCTTCCCCTTCTTTCTTTCTCTTTCTTTCTTTCTTTCTCTTTCTTTTTCTTTCTTTCTGTCTTTCTTTCTCTCCCTTTCTTTCTTCTTTCTCTCTCTTTCTTCTCTCTCTCTCTTTCTTTCTTTCTTCTCTCTTTCTCTCTCTCTTTCTCTTTCTTTCTCTTTCTTCCTCTCCCTTTCTTCTTTCTCTCTCTTTTTCCTTCCTTCCTTCTTTTTCTCTCTCTGTCTCTCTCTCCCTCTCTCTCTCTCCACCCCCTTTCTCTCTGTCTCTCTCCACTATGTACACAGAGATAAGGCCGTGTGAGGATACGGCAAGAAGATGGCCATTTACAAGACAGGAAGGGAAGCCTCATCAAAAATCAAGCTGAAAGCAACTTGATTTTGGCCTTCTAGCTTCTAGAGCAGAGGGAGAATACATTTCTGTTATATTAGCCACCCAGTCTATGGTATTCTGCTATGGCAACTAAGCAGACTAAGACAGGCTTCAACTGCCCTGTTGGACTATGAAGTGAACTTGAACAGAAGTGATGTGCTAGGTGCTGAAGCAGAAAGATGAAAGTAACACAGGGTTATGCTGACAATAGAGCCACCACACCAGGAATGAACTGCCTTCACATGGACTGTCTTATGTTATGTGTTATTGTACATTGTTCTATATTGCTAAAGTACCTGATCTTCATAGATTCATTGGTAGATGATGTGTTTAATAAAATTTGTTGAATGAATGAATATATCATATGAATATTCTTTTTCCATTAGGTGTCTTATTGATTCTAATTATTATCTCATGTAAGTTTGCAATTCTATACTACTTCATCCAGCCAACTGCTTTTCTTTTTTCTTTTTCTTTGTCTTTAATGGCACAATTCCACAAAGTTAATATACCTCCCCTTTAAATGGCCACATCATAGTTTATGGAGTTATATTTTAATTTAGATAAACATTTATCAGAACAACTTCAATTTGCTTAAAAAATATTACACCTAAATAGACTCTTGCAACAAAATAACCTTGTTCTAAACTATAACTTTATGATCACATAAAGAAAAAACTCAATACCAACAAAAATGGCCCAGGAAAAGTAACATTAGTTAACACTGAATAAGCTTTCAGAAAACTCTTAACTCTAGCAAGAGCAAGGTAGTAAAATCAGATGGAATAATTTAAGAGAAAGGTAAAATGTCTGGGGTATGCATGTTCACTAGGAAACATTTTTCCAGAAAATACATTGTCATAATGTTTTATGGAACCCATAATACAATCATATAGTATTATGAGTTCTTTTAAGTCCTGTAGAGTTATAGAAGAAGTACATCTTACATAACTGTGTGAACAATTAAGTTGCATTAGGCTTGGTTGTACTCTTTATGAGACAACAGTCAGTTTACTAAGGGTTCCAGATGGTAGCTTTTCATAGTAAAAGTCTGTTTTACTGTCTTTTCAAAGATGGCCTTTTAAATTGTAGTACACACAGGTAAAGGCTAATTTCAAAGCATTTTTTTTTTTTTGAGACAGAGTCTCGGTCCGTCACTCAGGTTGGAGTGCAGTGGCACTATCTTGGCTCACTGCAGCCTCCACATCCTGGGTTCAAGTGATCCTCCCACATCAGCCTCCCAAGTAGCTGGGATTAAAAGTGTGTACCACCATGCCCAGCTAATTTTTGTATTTTTAGTAGAGATGGGTTTTCACCATGTTGGCCAGGCTGGTCTCGAGCTCTTGAACTCAAATGATCTACACACCTTGGCTTCCCAAAGTGCTGGGATTACAGGTATGAGCCATCATGCCCAGCCCAATCTCAAAGCTTTTGATGGCTTAACAAAATGAAATAAAAAAGTAACCAAAAAAAATCTACCAAAAAAAAACTCTTTTGAGAAATAGCACCAGAAGACACACACACACACACACACACACACACACACACACACACACACACAGATTTATATATTTCTGCCAGAATAAAAAGGGTCTTTTCGATACCTATAATATTTTTCAGTATTTAAATCTGCTTCCAAGTTCTAGTGATAGTGTTCATTCTTTATTCTAACATAGTGTATGTAATATTTGGTTATATAATTCTTGCAAGAGAGATGTATTTGACCATAGGTGTAAGAAAATATGGAGATTAGAAGAACTTGTGTAGAATTATTTATGACCTCCTAATATGTGATTGTTTTAGTGATAAATCATAGAATCTTATGGGTAGAAGGGATGAGACCTCAGCTATTATTTAATTTGACCCTTCCATTTCATCAGAAGCCAACAACTACCTTTTTTGGCATCTATTCTACTCCAACCAAAGATTTCTGAAGATGCTGCAATGTTTTTAAGTGACTCTGCCACCCAGGCCACAGCTGACAAGTCCAGGAATGAGTATCAGATCTGAATGAGCCATCTAGTTACCTACACTCTTGGCCACCGTTGATTAATTCTATGGGGACCAATCAGAGTATGAACTCTCTAATCTCAGGTTGGCAGCCTGGAGTAGGCTCTTGTCTTGGTGGAGAGATCCATGGAACAGGAGGCTCAAGAGCTTACATGGGTCTGATTCTCTCCAGGAAGCAGGGTTATAGTGTGGCCTAGTGAAATCAAGATGAGGGAAGGAGAGAGTTCTAAAGTACAGAAGGGAACTGAGATTGGGTAGTCCAGTAATGAGCCCCCAGACAACTTTATTTCTCCACCGTGGCTGGGGGAAGAATGAGGAGGAAGAATGAGGCAACAGAGCTAAGAAATCTAGATGGCTACAAAGACATGACTCATTGTTTTCTTCTTACTTTATTTTCCCCAAAAAGCTCTTAAAATTCTTAAAAGGACAGAGAGTAAAAGAGAAAGACTGGGCCTACTCTGCAGTTGATAACAAATATGTTAATCAATGTATAGACATGACTATATTATGAATATGTTATATTCATTCAGCGGACATTAATAAAAGTCCCATGTGAAAGGAAAGGTAGAAGGTCTTTAAGGGATTAAAAGGTAAAAAAAATATATTGTCTCTGCCCTCAAAGAATTTGTAGTCACTTGCGAGATGTATTTAAGATGTAATTAAATTAACTAATCTTTAAGGTTAAAAAAAAAAAAGAAAAAATTCTTAGGAGCCATAAGTGATTACTGTTATTGTGATGCCAATTTTATGAATCCTAAAAATTCTAGAGTTTTTTTTTCTTTTCTCTTTCCTATTTAATCAATAAAGAGGTCTATGCTATCTAAAAGTCATTAGAAACAGGTATCTTGAGACTTAGTTTGGGTAACCCTCTGTGTGACTTTCTGGCTGGGTGCAGTGGCTCACTCCTGTAATCCCAGCACTTTGGGAGGCTGAGGTGGGCAGATCACTTGAGGTCAGGAGTTCGAGACCAGCCTGGCCAACATGGTGAAACCCCATCTCTACTAAAAATACAAAAATTAGCCGAGGTGTGGTGGTGCACGTCTGTAATCCCAGCTACTCGGGAGACTGAGGCATGAGAATCGCTTGAACCCAGGAGGCAGAGGTTGCAGTGAGCCAAGATTTCGTTATTGCCCATCAGTCTAGGCAACAGAGGAGACTCCATCTCAAAGGAAAAAAAAAAGTGTGACCTCTTGTAGTTGATTAGACAGGTGATTCCTATGTAAAAAACTTCCTAAAAGGTCTCTATATTTCAAGTTGGAAACTCTCTGTGTTAAAAGCACTACCAGAAAGTAAAAACATAGCAGGATGAAAACATGATGCAGGACTCACACTGACTTTCATGGCTAGGTCAGATTTAAAGTTGAAATCTTCCATTATGCACATAAAAATAAGGGCAAGACGGTGGTGATGTCATCAAAGAATAATTGCTGCTTTGTGTCAGGATGGTCTTATTAGGAGGGCAGAGCTGAGGGAGGTCCCAGTTTGCCTTTCCACAAACTGACAGCCCTGCCTGGCGTATAGATGGAAAGTATGTTAGGGTGAGTGCCTCTGCTGTATGTCAGTTATTTCAAAGCCAAACCCTGTAACATATTTTTCCTTCATATCTTGAGTGCAACTACTATTCCACATTATGATCAAAGATCAGTAACACAATTTACATCAACACTTTATGAAATACTTGGCCTTTGACTAATTTAAAAGTATAAAAAGAACTTTGTGAAAATTTTCAAAAATTGGACTCTCTTAATTTTTAACCTTTTACCAACATGGAGTAACTTTCTGGATGAACTACAATCAACTTAAAAATGACTAAGTTATTTTTTTTAAAAAACCTGTCAAATAAAGCCAGAAAAATTTGTTTTAAGGTATACTCTCTGGTAAAATGATTAGGATTTATTTAAAACATTCTTACAGTCCTACCTATGAAAACTTCCAAAGTTTATCTTTGAAATAAGTTTTGTAGTGGGAACAATTTGAGAATGTACTGAATTAAAGCCTCATCATCTGTTTCTTAACAGGGAATACTATCCAAAAAAGAAAAACTGAGAGAAAAAAAGAAAAAAGATATGCCTCCAAAATAGCACTACAATCTAAAGAGTAGGCTTCTAAGCTTTTAGTGTTCTGAATAAGGCCATTGTCCAAAGTTTTAAATTCATGTGTTCTGATACTAAAATTGCTTGCCACAGAGCTACTATACCCTACTGGCTTTTTTATGTTTAGGGACTCAAATAACTTTTAATCTATTGAATCAAATATCACTCTTGGGAAGAAAATATTACTTCATTCATATATTTATTTAACTGATATATGAAATGAGACCCAGCAAGGTTGATCATCAGCCACATGTCATATTAAAATACAAAGGTGCTGAGGCTCAATAGTAAGCATAATATTCCTTTTATGCCTTGAATCCTCAGCCAGTTGTTAACAAGTCCAAAGGTAAGGATCACAATGTTCAAAATGACCAAATACCAATATTATTGATCACTTAAGGACAGAAACAAAAACAAAAAACCAGGAATGTGCCATGGGTAACAGTGTGAACACACACAAAAAAATGTCTTCTGGAAATTTTAATAGAAATCTCTGTATTTGGCAATACTAAAAATATGCTTTTTAATGTCTTGAAAGATATTCTCTACATAAATGAGTATTGAACTGTTTTCATTAGCTTCCTCTCCAAAAAATGAAAAAAAAACCCACAACAGATAAATATCCTTTGAAAGTCTTTTTTATATAAGTCCCCTTTTCCATCTAACTGTGCTTTTTAAACAGTGAGATCATTTTTCAAAAATTAAGAATTTCTAACTTTTATGGTGGTGAGCATCCCGTGAATTTTTTTTCCTCCTTAACCTACAGATATTTTGACTCAGAAACCTAGACTACCACATTTTTCTAAAGTAGTTTTCTTTTTTCTTTTTGTTAAATGTTTATTATCATTATTACTTTTTTTTGGTAAAGACAGGTTTCACTATGTTGACCAAACTCATCTTGAACTCCTGGCCTAAAGTGATCTACCCACCTCGGCCTCCCAAAGTGCTGGGATTATAGGCATGAGCCACCACATCTGACCAGTAAAATTGTTTTCCATTTTGTTTTTTAAAGCCATCTTTTAAAAACTGAAGCCTAATATATGTTCATTATAGTGGGCTGAATTGTGTTCCCCCACACAAATTTGTCTAAGTCCTAATCCCCGGTATCGGTATCTGTAAATGTGACCTTATTTGGAAATAGGTTCTTTACAGAAGTATTTAAGTTAAGGATGTCTAAATGAGATCATCCTGTTTTTTATGGTGGGGCCAAAATTCAATGACTGGTAATCTTATAAGAGAAAGGAGAGGAGTATTTAAGATACCTATATACAAAAACAGAAACATGAGGGAGAAAGAAGACCATGTGAAGACAAAGTTAGAGATTAGTATCAAGTGTCAAGAAGCCATGCAATGCTAAGGATTGCCAGGAACCATCAGAAACTGGAAAAGGCAGGGAATGATTCTCCCATAGAGGCTTCAGAAGGAGTATGGCTCTGCCAACATCTTGGTTTTGGACTTCTGGCCTCCAGAAATGTGAGACAATATATTGTTTTAAGCCACTAATGTTTGTACTAATTTGGTACAGTAGCTCTAGGAAACTAATACATTCAAGAAAGGAAACACATGCTCATTTTTGAGAAATATATAAGTGCACAAATTATCACAAAGTGAACACATCCATGAAACCATCACCCAGACCTAGAATATTTCCCATGCAACTAAAGTCCTCTTGAGTCTGATTTCTTTTAAAATAAGAAGCAACTCAACAACAAAAAGGCAAGCAACCCAATTAAAAAATGAGTAAATATTAATAGAGATTTCTCCAAATAAGTTACACAAATGGCCAATAAGCACATAATAAGATGCTCAACAGCATTAATTATTAGGGAAAGGTAAATTAAAACCCCAATGGGATATCACTTCACAGCCAGTAGAATGGCCATAATAAAAAAAACACAAAAACAGAAAATAAGGATTGACAAGGATGTGTAGTAATTGGAACTCTCATATATTGTTGGTGGGAATGTAAAGTGGTAATGTTGCTATGGAAAACAGTTTGGCAGTTCTTCAAAAAGTTACACATAGAGTTGCCCTACAAGTCAACAATTCTATTCCTAGGTATATCACCCCCAAAGAATTGAAAACATATGTTCAGAGAAAACTTGTTCACAATTGTTCATAGCAGTAATATTCACAATAGCCAAAAAGGTGGAAATGACTCAAATGTCCATCAACTGCTAAATAGATACATGAAATGTGGTATATCCATACAATAGAATATTATTCAGCTATGAAAAAGGAATGAAGTACAGGCACATCACAGAGATACTGCGGGTTTGGTTCCAGACCACTGCAATAAAGCAAGTGATGCAAATTTTTTGGTCTTCCAGTGCATATAAAAGTTGTGTTTGAACTACAATGTAATCTATTAAGTACACAAAGCATTATTTCTACAAAAACAATATGCATACCTTAGTCTTAAAATAATTTATTGATTAAAAACGCTAACAATCATCTGAGCCTTCAGTGAGTCATAATCTTTTTGCAGGTGGAGGGTTTGCCTCAATGGTGATGGTTGCTGACTGGGCAGGGTGGTGGTTGCTGAAGGCTGCAGTGGCTCTGGCAATTTCTCAGAATAGAATAAAACCATGAAGTTTGCCACATCAATTGACTCTTCATTTTACAAAATATTTCTCTGTAGCATGCAATTTTACCCACGGTTGAATATCTAATGATTAATGCTGTTGAGCATCTTTTGTATCACACTTTACCCACAGAAAAACTTCTTTCAAAATTAGAGTCAATCCTCAAATCCTGACATTGCTTTATCGTCTAAGTTTATGGAATATTCTAAATTCTTTGTTGTCATTTTAACAATGTTGACAGCATCTTCACCAGGAGTTGATTTCAGGAATTGATTTCATCTCAAGACACCACTTTCTCTACTCACCCATGAGAAACAACTCATCCACTAAAGTTTTATCATGAGATCACAGCAATTCAGTCACATTTTCAGGCTCTATTTCTAATTCCAGTTCTCTTGCTATTCCCACCGTATCTGCAGTTACTATCTCCACTGAAGTCTTGAATTCCTTAAAGTCATCCATGAGGGTTGGAAATCAGTTTCTACTAAACTCCTGTTAATGTTGATCTTTTGACCTCCTCCCATAAACCAAAAAAAAAAAAAAAAAAAAGTTCTTAATGGCATCTATAATGGTAAATCCTTTCCAGGAGGTTTTCAATTTACTTTTCCTAGATCCATCAGAGGAATCACTATCTATGACAGCTATAGTCTTATGAAATGTATTTCTTAAATAATGAGACGTGAAAGTCAAAATTACTTTTTGATAGATGGGTACAGAATGAATCTTGTATCAGAAGTCATTGAAACAACATTTATCTCTGTACATCTCCACTGGAGCTCTTGGGTGACTGGGTATATCACCAATGAGCAGTAATATTTTGAAAGGAATCTCTTTTTCTCAGCAGTAAATCTCAACAATGGGCTTAAAATATGCAGTTAACTATGCTGTAAACAGATATGCTGTCATTCAGGTTTTGTTGTTCCATTTATAGAGTGTAGGTAGATTTAGCATAGTGCTTAAGGGCCCTAGGATTTTTGGAATAAGCTTTGGCTTCACCTTAAAGTTACCAGCTACATTAGCCCCTAAGAAGAGTTAGCCTGTCCTTTGAAGCTTTGAATCCAGACTGACTTCTCTCTAGCTATGAAAGTCCTAGATGGCACCTTCTTGCACTAGAAGGCTGTTTCATTTACACTAAAAATCTGTTGTTCAGTGTAGCTACTTTTACCAAATTATCTTAGCTAGATCTTCTGGATAACTTGCTGCAGCTTCTACATCAGCACTTGCTGCTTCACCTTGCACTTTTATGTTATGCAGATGGTTTATTTCCTTAAACCTCATGAACCAACCTCTGCTAGCTTCCAACTTTTCTTCTGCAGCTTCCACCCCTCTCTCAGCCTTCATAGAACTGAAGAGAGTTAGGATCTTGCTTTGGATTAGGCTTTGGCTTAAGTGACTGTTGTGGCTAGTTTGACCTTCCCAGACCACTCAACTTTCTATATATCAGCAATAAGGCTGCTTTGCTTTCTTATCATTCATGTGTTCACTGGAGTAGCACTTAATTTTCTTCAAGAACTTCTCCTTTACATTCATGACTCAGCTAACTGGACCAAGAGGCCTAGCTTTGGCCTATCTTGGCTTTCAATATGCTTTCCTCACTAAGCGCAGTCATTTCTAGCTTTTCATTTAAAGTGAGAGATGTGTGACTTCCTTTCACTTGAACACTTAGAGGCCACTGTAAGGTTATTTTAGACTAACTTCTTTCCTTTTTTTTTTTTTTTTCTTTGACAGAGTCTCACTCTGTTACCCAGGCTGGAGTGCAGTAGCATGATCTCAGCTGACTGCAACCTCTGACTCCCTGGTTCAAGCGATTCTCCTGCCTCAGCCTCCCAAGTAGCTGGGATTACAGGCAGGCGCCACCACGCCCAGCTAATTTTTGCATTTTCAGTAGAGACGGGGTTTCACCATGTTGACCAGAATGGTCTCGATCTCCTGACCTTGTGATCTGCCTGTGTTGGCCTTCCAAAGTGCTGGGATTACGGGCATGAGCCACTGTGCCCTGCCTATTTTAGACTAATTTCAATACTTTTGTGCCTCAGGCAATAGAGAGGCCCAAGAAAAGGGAGAGAGAGAAGGAAACAGCTGGTCAGTGGAGCTGTCAGAACACACACACTTATCAAAATTTCCATCTTATATAGGCACAGTTCCTGGCACCACTGATCACAAGGCCCCATAACAGATATAATAATAAGGAAAAATTTTGAAATTGCGAGAATTACCAAAATGTGACATAGAGACACAAAATGAGCACTTGCTGTTACTTGTTCAAGTGAAGAGTGGGCCACAAACCTTCAATCTGTGAAAAACGCAGTATCTATGAAGCACAATAAAGTGAAGTGCATTAAAACAAGATGGGCCTATACTGATACATACTATGACATGAATGAATCTTGAAAACATCACACTAAGTGAAAGAAGCCAGACACAAAATACCTTTTTATTGTCTGATTTCATTTATATGAAATATTATTTAAAGCGGCATGTTAATAGGAACAGAAAACAGATCTGTAGTTCCCAGGAGCAGAGGGAAGGGAGGAATAAGAGTAACAGATACAGAATTTCCACTGGATGTAGTAACAAAAGTTCTGAAACAGACAGTGGTTCACAATATTGCACAACCTTGTAAATGTACTTAATGCCACTGAATTACAATTTTAAAGCAGTTAAAATAATACATTTTATTTTATGTATATTTTACTATAATAAAAATAAGAAGCAGCTCAATTATCCACCTTAATCATACAATAATAGGCTTTGTTTAAAAACTAAACTTTTCATTTTGAGGTAATTATAGGTTTACATGCAGTTGTAACAAATAATATATAGAATTCTGAAGTACTATTTATCCAGTTTGCTTTTTAAAGGATCTTCTGTCTTTATTTTTTCTATTTAAATAATGTAATACAAATTTAAAAGTATCTTCTCTTTGGTGGCTAATAGAGGATTGTGTAATTGGGCATTCTGCAGCTTGGGCTTGCTGCCTCTAGCATGGGGTAAAAGTACAATATGTTTTACTTGGTTACTTATCAGCCCATTAAGAGAGAACAATCTGGCCGGGCACAGTGGCTCATGCTTGTAATCCTAGCACTTTGGGAGGCCAAGGCAGGCGGATCACTTTAGGTCAGAAGTTCAAGACCAGCCTGAGCAACATGTGAAACCCCATCTCTACTAAAAATACAAAAATTAGCAGGGCGTGGTGGCACATGCTTTTAATCCTAGCTACTCGGGACCCTGAGGCAGGAGAATCTCTTGAACTCGGGAGGCAGAGGTCACCATAGGCTGGGATCATGCCATTCCGCTCCAGCCTGGGCAACAGAGCAAGATTCCGTCTAAAAAAAAAAAAAAAAAGAAAGAAAAGAGAGAACAATCTTCTCAGCTATTTTATCATTAATGGGAGACAAAAGGAAACAGAAGTAAGGATAGATATTAAAATGTGGATGAATCATGTACATATTCAAATGCATTTTCCATATTTAATTCCTTTGGTAAGTGACTTATAATTATTTGATTTAATGATTACTATATATATATATTAAAGGTCATGAAACAAAGCATAATCAGGGCTGAAGAAAATTAGGTCCCAGATCATTAAGTATGAGAACATAAAACAAATATAGCACTCTTAAAGTAAGGCCCATTTTCTTCAAGCTAGAGCTCTTTAAATATCTGACATACTATCACCAGAATGTGCTAATGATATTCCGTATACTTGTAAAATAAATTGGCAAACGTTGATAATATGTTTAATTTATTTGTAAAGCTACCACAGACATACAAAAGTCAATTCTGTTTTCTAAGCATGTAGAGGAAGTTGAAAAGAAATGCTGAAAGCACTTTCCCCTTCTTTTTTCCTTGTTTTCTCCTAGTTTCCAATTCTTTCTTTTCCTTTGTCTGTATTTTAGCACTCTCTGCACTGCTTTCTCAGTCTCCGTTGGGATATTTAAAAGCCAACCACAGGCTAAACATTGATCAAGTAAATAAACATTTAACTGGTGTGGGTTCTGCCTACAGCAGGATCATGTGACAAGATCTTAGGAGTTAGAGGACCTCCATTTTCCTAAGGCAGGAAAAGGTTGAGATGCCCAAGAGAATAAGATGGACTTATTGGACATAATCATCACCATTTAAAATGATTTGGATAGGTGCCATGGCTCACACCTGCAATCCCAGCACTTTGGGAGACTGAGGTGGGTGGATCACTTAAGGCCAGGAGTTTGAGACCAGCCTGGTCAACAGAGCAAAACCCCATCTCTACTAAAAAATACAAAAATTAGCTGGGCATGGTGGCGCAAGCCTATAATCCCAGCTACTCGGGAGGCTGAGGCAGGAGAATTGCTTGAACCCGGGAGGCGGAGGTTGCAGTGAGCCAATATCGTACCACTGCACTCCAGCCTGGGCAACAGAGCAAAACTCTGTCTAAAAATTAAAATAAAATAAAATGATTAAATACCTCATACAGATCTGGTGCTACCATTTTGGTCATTCCATGAGTATCTCTCTCCGAGGCTTGTCTAAGATTCAGAAGGATGTCAGGAAAGTCGGGGCACCATTGAGAGAACTCACTCACCTTAAAGCTTGTTAGACCTGGTTCCTTGGAGCCCTCTTTTGACCATGCAATACAAACTCGATGTGTCCTTGAGGAATCTCAGAAGGCTATAGCTGGAAAAGTCCCTATTCGACCATCTAATGAGACAGTGTCCTCAAATGATGAGAACACTGATGCCCAAGCAGTTGAAATATTTTGCCTAATATACTGTGGCTAGTTTAAGTGACCAAACCTAGAGCAGAAAACAATTTTCTTGCTCTGATTCAAGTTCCCAGTCCACTATCTCACACTATGAAGCACATAAAAAGCAGTGATGAACCATCTTCATTATGTGTCCCTGGGGTGTAATTACCGATCATACGAAGCAGAAAGATTAGAAGTAATAGGCCTTCTGCAGCTCTTGCAGCTGTGTTTCCACTGGGTGAGACAGTGTCAAGGGTAGAGGCTACAATACGAACTGGCGAGGGAGGAGAGCCAAGTGACAGACTTCCAGTCAGCAACAGGCTTGGGCCACTTGGCCAGGAGCCACCTAAGTGTCCCATATCCCCTATGCAGAGCAGTCCGGATACTCAGCCTCCAGCTCTTCTAGGAAACTAGCAATGCAGATGCCTCTATGAGTTTGAGATTGTCTAGCTCTGCCCAGTCCAAACGGAAGTGTCCCTGAATCAGTGGGAGGAAGAAGAGAGGCAACTGGTTGGATGAGGACTGAGTTTCATTTTAATTATCTTTGTATCCCCAGTGCCCTAAGTAAAATCGAAGCTCAAATATGTTTATTTGAATAGAGTAACTAATTATAGCCAGAATGTTGTCACCAATCTACTGTAGGCAAAACATTTGTCTCCTCTGAGCCTTGATTTCCAAGTCTATCAAGTAGAAATGTTAATAATGATCCTTGTAGTATTGTTCAAGGATTGACATAAAATTCCACATATGAACACCATTTGGAAACTCTAAAGCACTCTAGCATATAAAGGATAAAAGGTCAGGAAACGGCCTCCACATGGCAAATTCTCAAATAGTCCCATTGCCAATTTTGTTGTTGACATTCTTCCATTCATAAAATATATGCAATTTAAGTTGCAAGAAAACAGATATTTCTATTATAATGTGATATATTCATTCCTAAAAGCAATCTTGTGTTTTCTACAAAATCACACATAAAAATCATACAGCTTATGATAAAAACAGAGTTGGGGCAGTCAACTCAAAGTCCATACACCTTTTTAGCTAAAACATAAAGTCGAAACAACTCAAATAAAAATACTAGCATAATTTTAAAGGCATTTAGATTCCTAATAAATTCTATACTAAATAAATGATTACAGTGGAATGAAGTAAGAAAATGTTAAGGCTGAATAGTTGTGGGGACAAGGGCAAAATGAACTAAGTTTGGGGCCAATTATATAAGCCCTTCCAAGAAATCACACACAGCAAAACTAGGCAAAGAGGAAGAATACAAGGAGAATGGGAATTCCTTACAATACTGTATGAGTATATGCTTACTGTGTCCAACTCTTAGTGTATTTGGCATTCAAGTGGTGGCATTGGTAGTATAAACATTAAGGTGCTAGGGAAAACTGAATTATAGTGACTTATGTATTATAGTGACATCATTTTTCCATTTACCAATTCTGTATGAGCAAATTTCCTTATAGCAACATTCATTGGGAGGGAATATTCTTATTTTTTATGAATATCAGTGGGGCCATCTTCACACGGAATGGGGTGAGGAGAGCTGTCTAAAAACATACTTTTTTGACTGACATAGGTTCCTAGACTTCGGAACAGATTTAACAGTTTAGACCACTGGAGATAACTTTGAGAAACATTGACCCAAATTAAGCAGTCTAAAAATGCAAACTAAAGGCCGTCACAGTCATCCTTAATCTTAATGCTATTGAATGGTATCAAACTTTACTGAATCCAAGTCTTCGTATTTGCTGGTATATATAAACGTGCCTTTATCTATTAATCAACCAACATTTATTAAATAGATAAATCTGTGCTAGCTGTTGTCAGAATACATAATTGTTTCATACAATGACTGTAATGGCAGAAACACATGCACATACACACACACACTTAGAAAGTAGGCTATCAATACTGAAGAGTACATGAAACCTATCCATTTAGTGATAGAGATATTAAGGACTAAATAGATGAGAGTTTCATCTTTCCACTGGGCTAAGGGGTTTTAATCAAAACAGACAACCTTAAATTGGGGAAACTAGCAGAATATAGCAAATATCCTCCCAGCATATGCTCTTGTTAAAGCCAATAAAAAAAAACTGAGATAATACTATAAATTTCTTATTCATGTTTACCTGATTGATTTCTGGTCTCGGGAGAGAACTAAATGCTTCAAAAGTTTTTCTGCGGCAGTTAGGGCTCACCAAATATCACCAAATAATTATGTGCTTGTCTGTATGTCCCAGAGTCCCTAGCAGTAGGTGGAAGCCATGTGGGCTGGTTCTCATCAATGAACAAGGATCAGAACTAACAATGTATTACCTCCACCTCCGGCCAAGGGAGTCAAGAGCAAGTGTGCCATTTTCTTTTTCTTTTTTTTTTTTATTATACTTTAAGTTTTAGGGTACATGTGCACAACGTGCAGGTTTGTTACATATGTATACATGTGCCATGTTGGTGTGCTGCACCCATTAACTCGTCATTTAGCATTAGGTGTATCTCCTAATGCTATCCCTCCCCCCTCCCCCCACCCACAACAGGCCCTGATGTGTGATGTTCCCCTTCCTGTGTCCAAGTGTTCTCATTGTTTAATTCCCACCTATGAGTGAGAACATGTGGTGTTTGGTTTTTTGTCCTTGCGATAGTTTGCTGAGAATGATGGTTTCCAGCTTCATCCATGTCCCTACAAAGGACATGAACTCATCATTTTTTATGACTGCATAGTATTCCATGGTGTATATGTGCCACATTAAAGTTCATATGGAACCAAAAATGAGCCTGCATTGCCAAGTCAATCCTAAGCCAAAAGAACAAAGCTGGAGGCATCATGCTACCTGACTTCAAATTATACTACAAGGCTACAGTAACCAAAACAGCATGGTACTGGTACCAAAACAGAGATATAGACCAATGGAACAGAACAGAGGCCTCAGAAATAATGCCACATATCTAACCATCTGATCTTTGACAAACCTGAGAAAAACAAGCAATGGGGAAAGGATTCCCTATTTAATAAATGGTGCTGGGAAAACTGGCTAGCCATATGTAGAAAGCTGAAACCGGATCCCTTCCTTACACCTTATACAAAAATTAATTCAAGATGGATTAAAGACTTAAATGTCAGATCTAAAACCATAAAAACCCTAGAAGAAAACCTAGGCAATACCATTCAGGACATAGGCATGGGCAAGGACTTCATGTCTAAAACACCGAAAGCAATGGCAACAAAAGCCAACATTGACAAATGGGATCTAATTAAACTAAAGAACTTCTGCACAGCAAAAGAAACTACCATCAGAGTGAATAGGCAACCTACAGAATGGGAGAAAATATTTGCAATCTACTCATCTGACAAAGGGCTAATATCCAGAATCTATAATGAACACAAACAAATTTACAAGAAAAAAGCAAACAACTCCATCAAAAAGTGGGCAGAGGATATGAACAGACACTTCTCAAAAGAAGACATTTATGCAGCCAAAAGACACATGAAAAAATGCTCATCATCACTGGCCATCAGAGAAATGCAAATCAAAACCACAATGAGATACCATCTGACACCAGTTAGAATGGCGATCATTAAAAAGTCAGGAAACAACAGGTGCTGGAGAGGATGTGGAGAAATAGGAACACTTTTACACTGTTGGTGGGACTGTAAACTAGTTCAACCATTGTGGAAGTCAGTGTGGTGATTCCTCAGGGATCTAGAACTAGAAATACCATTTGACCCCACCATCCCATTACTGGGTATATACCCAAAGGATTATAAATCATGCTGCTATAAAGACACATGCACACGTGTGTTTATTGCGGCACTATTCACAATAGCAAAGACTTGGAAGTGTGCCGTTTTCTATCTACAACTCTCTCCTTTGACTGTAACCATAGAGATGTGTGTTCCCAAGGGCATAGTACAGGAGGGATTGGGGTCATCTAACTCACACAGGAATGAGATACATGAGCAAAATAAACCATTGTGGTATGAAGTCACTGACATTTTAGGGTCTCTTAAGCTAGGTAATAGTGTTTACCTAGTTATTAGTCTTCCATAAAGGTTCTGATCCCTAGATACTCTCAAAATGGAATAGAATTAAAATTTATAAAATTAGAATACCAAAATGGTGAGGAATTAGATACCTTTCTAATGTATGTGTTGGTGCTGGATGCTTTGTCAGGGCACTGATTAAGTTGGCTTGCTCTGTTACTATGACAAAAAAAGAAATTAGCATTCTCTACTGATTTAAATTCTCTAATGGTCTAATCATTTCATTATTTATAATCTCTTCCTGGAGAAAAAGAATCACCCAAAAACCACTTCTAAAAGGCATTGTTTAAGGTGAATGCGGGAAATAGTTACAAAACCACTGAGGGCTAAGCCTAACTAATTCAATCCCTGCAGGAAATTCCTTATAACACAATGGCTCAGATGCTGTCAGGTAAGTGATACTTGAATATACTTCCCAGGAAATTCACAGAATATCCTGTCTTGGCCATTTGTGTAATGGATCTGAATCAAATTTCAGTATTTGTCTATCACAGAAAAACAGTAAACCCTAATGTGCAAATAAGCATATGTTAGAACTCCAAAAAGTAATAGTGGCCAGTTACAATGTGATTTACACACCAGCAACTCAACAGAATATAGTTAGAGAACCATACCATTTTTTTTTCAACTCAGCAAGCCTTGATGCTAAAAGAATAGATGTATGTACTACAGTTGTGTTTATGTAATTGCTGAGTTAATCTAAGCATATACATTCTTTTTCCTCTAGAATAGTTATCTTAATTATGCCCAGTTTGTAAGCATACTCTATATCATGCTCTAGGCCAGGGTTCAACAAACTGTGTCCTACAGACCAAATCCTGCCCACTACCTGCTTATGTAAATAAAGTTTTATGGGAACGCAATCATATCCTATTATTTACTATTGTCTGTGGCCCTGAGACCTGCTTTTGCCATACCATGATAGAGTCAAGTAGTCACTACAGAGCTTGTGTGGCCAGCAAAAGCTAAAAACTTTATTATCTCTGACTCTTCACCAAAAATAGGTTGTCTGCTCATGCTCTAAATTTCACTGAAGCAAACTTTTAAAATATGTATATTATAATTTGCATATGCAAAGATACATATTTATAAATACGTTATATCTTTATAAGTCTGTACTATCTTAGTTTCCTATTCTTAAACTAATCAAAGGCAAGAAATAGGGTAACATTCTGGTAGATGAAATAAATGTTATTCTGACTGCATTATTTTTAATCTTTGGTGCACTAAAGTACAATTGTATAATTTTGCAGACTTCTAGCCTTTCCTTGGAATGATATTTGTCTTCTCAATCCATTTTAGTTTCTTTGGAAGGAAGATAATCTCTACATGGCCTGGGCATAAAAGCTTTGACAGTACCAATTTATTTTTACATTTCCTTAAAGAAGGAGTTTTAACAAAGCTTGTAACCAGATCACTCCTAGGCTACAGAGTTAACATTTATTGAACGTCTATTCTGTGTGCCAATTACTTACAGAAAGATTTCATAATTTTAATCTTTATCCCTCCTTTATAAATGAGGCTCACAATGGCTAGTAATGCTCAAGGTCACAAAATCACTTAGTTGTAGAATCCAGGACCTAGTTGTCTTGAAACCAAGCCTGGGACACTTCCTTCTCTACCTCTGGTATTCAGCCCTTTTGTTATATTAAACTCAACTGACTTTTACAAAAAGAAAGAAAAACAAGTTTCGAAAAGATTAGCATCTTACTATATTTAAGCCAGACTAAATGTTTAATGGAAAAAAATTCCTCAAATATGATTTCTTAGTGGATAGCATTGAAAGCTTTTGAATGTGTCAAGTTTGAATGGTTTTAAACTGATCTAAATTGATTCTAAACTGACAAAGTTTATCACTCCCAGTGCTTCCATCTCTTTTGCTTTTAGGGTGCCAATTCTGTTAAGGCAAAGGAATCCAGCTGCTAGGTGATACCACTTGAAAATATTACTGCAAAGAAAACCCCCACCTGTTGTAGCTAGTCATAATACAGACAGACTTTTATTATTTTCCCTGTGTTTCTGAATAAAAGTGAAAAGGCCTGGAGGGGAATATACTCACTACTCTCCAGAAATAGCGGAGTGTTAGAAAAGAGCTCTGCTATCTTCCTGAGAAGGTTATACCTCAGGAATTCTGGGAGGAGGTGTGCCAGGCAATGGGCCCTGAGACCTGCTCCAACCCTCTGGATATGGCCACATGGTCCTTCGTTGGTAACCAGGACCCCAATCTCTAAGAGAGGTATGGCCAGAATAGCTAATGGTGGACCTATTCCACACTCCTTCAGCCTGTGAGTGAGCTCTTAACTAACAAAATGTCCATTCAGTAGCCCCCAGCCTCCCTATCCCTCCCTAAGAATGAAAATTTCTAGTGTGTTTATGTGGGTTGGGGCAATAGGAAGACTTCATGCCATGGCTGGGAACAATTGTTTTTAGATTCATAAAAATAAACACTAACTTCACGGTTTAAACCTGTGACTGTGAGTGGCTAACATTGAACTATCTCTAAAAGATCGTTAATTTTCATCTTTCTCATAAAGAAATGATCTTTATTTGAAAACAAGAATATTTGTTTTATTTCTGCTGGCATATTGGTTTCCTTTCTGAATTTAAAATATGCTCGATGTGCATGGATATATATTAAGTCCCAAAAAGATTAAGTTTAAATTTAGCATATAAAATAGGTAAAATGTTTGGAGCATTACTCTGGACCAGGCATTATAAAAAGTGTTAATAATCTCAATCAATTAAAAAAACACAATAGGTTGTAACTTAGTTTGCAGGTGAGGAAACTTCAGTAAGTCACCTCAATAATCAGTGTTAGATATTAGACTCAGGTGGTGTAATTCCACAGCCTTTCCCCTTAGCCACTACTTACTACTGTCTCCCTGCTGTATGTTATTCATGTCATCAAGGAGTTTTTGTGACTTAGTTTTTGTTTAGTTATACATTTTAAATTAAGCTACCTTAATTTATTAAGATTATAAACTCAGCTGTAGTTATTTATTACTAATTTTATTTTCTAAGAGAATCTCACATTATCAAATTGCATCACAACCCAACTACTATTACTGTAAGTATGTCTTACAATTAGGCACCTTCTTGAAGTAACATTATTTTAAGACATAAGAATCATCTGGAAAAGATGATTGCTAAGTAGACATTCATTGATATTCAAGGCTATTGTTGAAAGCCTTAGACCAGTGTTTTCCAAACATAGGGAAGGAGATCCCTATTCCATTTTTTGGAATGGAGCCCTTCTCCATTCTTCCAACAGAGGCTCCAGAACTAGAGCCAAGACCAATCCTGGGAAGGAATACATTCACCAGGCTCCTCCCAACATCTACCCAGGCAAAGATCTCTCCTGCCCAAGCCAGTCATGACCAGGGGAGTAGGAAAGTTGAATATCAGGATGTAGGGTTGCTAGATACTCAGTTACATTTGAATTTCAGATAAACAGCAAGTAAATTTTTAGAATAAGTATGTCCCATTCACTATTTTGAATGTTTTATAATAAGTATGTCTCCTCTACTGTTTTCCCCCATCCCAGGCTCCCAAAACCTAGCAACCCTAGGAAAGTAGGAGAGAAACACTGGCTATATTTTTATATTTTTAACTTTGGCTCACCTCCAAATTTATATTTTACTTTAGGAGAGTAAAAACCGTGGTGGATCTTGTTTTTTTGATTAAATGTTTTTGGCCTACCCTGCTTAGCATTTGGTGCCCAGCAGGAAATCTGGATATATTTGCTAGCTGATTTTTCTCCTCCTCTTCCATACTTGAAGTTTGACAGCTGGATTGGAAAACAATGTTTAGGCTAAAGACAAGTGTGTGTTGGGAGTGGGGAAGTACATCATCATTTTCCTCTTTCCTGACTTCCATTTCATTCTAGAACCAAATGTCAGCTAAGGAAAAGCACAGATAAGAGATATAAGTGGCCTGAGGTAACCCCAGGAAGCCCTGGGTCTGTAGAAACTGAGTTTCCGTACTTTCGTGATGCATCAGGACTAATATCAAATTCCTGGCTGAAATTTTCCTAGGCTGAAAATTTAGAGACTGATAAACTTGTAGTATTTAAATGAGCCATTTAAAATCTACCAATTGGACTGATTCTTTTTCTTTCCCCCCCTTTTTTTTTAATACCTCTCAGAAGGTGCAGAGGACTAATTCTCTCTGATTGTTGGGCAGATACCTGTTCAAATATCAGGAGCTTATGAGCAAACTGAAGCCAGGTTTAAGGTAATTTATTCAGAAAAAAAAGTCAGATAAAAGGAAAAATAATTTTGTATTACTCAACTAATTTATATGATTACGTAATTTATAGGATTGTGCTTTTTTCTAAGCAGATATGAAGCCTGAAAGGGATGCACTTTGTTTTCCTAACAAATTGGCATCTCTGATGAGGAACAGTAAGTGTTAAAAACTCATTGTGGGCTCGCACAGTGCTCACACCTGTAATCCCAGCACTTTGGGAGCCTGGGGTAGGCAGATCACCTGAGGTTAGAAGTTTGAGACCAGCCTGGTCAACATGGCGAAAACCCGCCTATACAAAAATTAGCTGGGTGAGGGGTTGCATGCCTGTGGTCCCAGCCACTTGGGAGGCTAAGGAACAAGAATCGCTTGAACCCAGGATGCTGAGGTTGCAGTGAGCTGAGATCGCGCCACTGCACTCCAGCCTGGGTGACAGAGCGAGACTCTGTCTCAAAATCAAACAAACAAACCAAAAAACAACTCATTGTGAATTAAATCCTGAGACTAAAAAGAAGTGAAATCAGTCCAACAGGGCTACATAAAACAGTGATATGTCATCAGGATCTGGAGTCCTGCCAGTCCAGGCTCAGCATGACCATTGTTTCTTCCAGCAAGTGGCTGAGCTGGGATTTGAACAATGCCAGTCTGACTGCAAGGTACTAATAACAGCACAGTCTACCAGTTCCCCTAATACCAATGCAATGGCTGGCTTTGCAAGGTATTTGGTAAATGTTAGTTCTCTTACTTCAACTTCTTTAAAATGGTTAGTGAATATTTTCTTTTGTTTTGGCTACCTAGAATCCACAAATTCCTCCTGGTTGGGGAAGGTACATAGGAGATGTGAATGAGAGGAGGAGATGTAGGCATATAGAATAGTCCGTTATCCTGCTCCTGGTTCATAGAATGTGGGCATGTGACCTTTCAATAGCCAATCTGATTTTCACACTCAGAGATTATTCTCAGAAGCTCTGGTTGAGTCTCTCAGAAGCCCCAGTGTATTGGTGATGGTTGTCTGGGGGTGGCTATTCCATCAGCTGCATTGCCTTACACAGGTGATTTCTATAGCAGGGTTCTGACTGTGCCTCCCCTCTTTGTTCCTATCTGAGCCTCTTTGCCTTCTTCCAGAAAATTTCTTCATTTCTTGTATTATCAGACTTGGTTCCTGTTGTTTGCAAGTAACTGAGAAATAGTAAGATAATTGTAGTCTGTTTATGACTTATATATGGCTGAAACACCCAGGCTGAGCAGTTAAGGAGATTCAAATCATAATTAACAGGTACCATAGGAAGTAAGATGATTAAATGGAGGCAAAGACAATACCTAACATCTAACCTAATAGCTAATATTAATTTTACTTGATTGGAAGTTTAATGAGGGTCATGGCTGCTATAGAACCAGTTTCAGGGATGAGTTTCTGTGGTTTCCATAAGCAGAGTCAGGACCTCCCAGCATTCTGTGTGCACTCAGTGGTATCCTTGAAGAGGTTACTATTCCTGGCATGAACATTACAATTGAAATGTGCTCTTCTGTACTCCTCTTCATTTGTGTGTAAAACTCACAAAAGTGGGTCTTTCATCAAATTTAAAGAAATAAAAATATTATAAAGACAGAGAACCAGCTGGGTAGCCTGTCTCATGTTGAGGGTAACTCTGGACTGAGTGGGTCCACTTGTTCTGGTTTGAACACAATCTCTGACAGACAGCTTTGGTAGAGAGAGATTTATGTTAGGAACAGGCATGAGGCAGATCTTCTGCATCATATTTCCATGGCTGATCTGTTGCCCAAGTGGTGTATTTGGCAAAAAAAAAAAAAAAAAAAAAAAAAAAAGCGATAAGAAGGAACAAAATGAACTTAAATTGCGCTCTTAGGAATTTTCAGATATTTTGCTTACATCATATCATTTATTCCTTGCAACTCTATGAGAGCAGTTTTATCATTTTTTCCATTTTACAAATTGAAGCTCACAAAGCTAAGTTTGAGAATCATAAAGGTAACATTACTTGCTCAAGGTCACAGAGCTCACCTGTGGGAGATCCAAGATTTTCTAGTCCAGAGCTAATGTCCTTACCTACCGGATAAGTGAAAAACATTCAAAGGGTGCCCAGATCCAAGTACCATCTCCTGAGGTGATTCTAGCCAATTGTAATGTCTTCCTGTTCTCAGTGATATTAGCTTTTAATTTCTGTAACATGTGTGATTTTTGTGTCTTGTTTTACACAATCCTTGCACCCCAAAATGATTATAAGCTTCAAGAAGTGGGTGGGATCTGGGTTCTCTACCTTTCTGTAGGCCCCCTCCCATTGTATTTAGCAACACATATGCATGTAAATGGCATCAATAAATATTCACAAATTGATCGGTTTTGGTACTAATTGTGAATTTATGATAGTAATTTAAAAATACATAAATGTATAGACAAATCCCACAGTGAGGCATTAAAGCTAAAGAAATACATTCCCCTCAACTTTATAAAGTTGCCTTTTCAGAATGTCTATGTTCATCTCTTTTCTTAACCAGAGAGCTGATTGGTATTGTGGTCACAGGACACATTAAAGCTAATAGTCCTACTCAGTGATGACACTCCTGGTTTAACCTGGCTGCAGATAAGAAGCACCTGAGGAGCTTTTAAAATGTACAGATGCCTGGGCTCCTTTCCCAAATATTCTGACTTAGTTGAGGTAGGGCTCAGGCATCACCATGATTTTAAAACTCCCTAGGTGATTGGTGCCGCCTGGTTTGAGAAACCTCTAGCCAAATGGAAAGAGCATTCCAGTAAAAATTAAGACCTGTTTTTTCTCATTGCCTATTTCTTTGGGAGAGTGAGCAAAGTTGATAGAAGAGGAAAATAACAAGAAGAAAAGTGGCAGGACCCTGCAACTTGACATGCCATTGAAATGTGGCAAACTATTAAAAAATATTTGTAAACCTCAAGATTTTCATGCACGTATTTACAGAGTGGTTCAAACAATTGTCCTACCACCCTATATTCAAGTTTAAAGTCCCCCAACAACTTTAAAAATAGGGGAGTGTTTGGCAAAGCATTCCAAATAAATGACCCTCAGCTCTGGAATTTGCTCCTTCTAGCAGGCTGCTCTCCTTAGTAGTCAGCCAAACCCCAAATCTGGCAGCTTTTAAAATAGGGTGCAAAAAAGATTCTTTTTAAACCTGAGAGTCACTAAAGATTTATTTTACTGGAAAGACATGATCGCAAAAATAACAAGCAATTATTGTTACTGCACCAAGTAGAATCAGATATCTGCAAGAGAGATTATGAAGTCAAGAGCCACCCTTCTTTGCTCATTCTGCAGATGAAGAAACCAACTCTCAAAAAGATGAAATTATTTCCTCAAGTCACACAACCTAGTGGCAGGGCCTGGTGTCATGAGTCATGGGCCAGTTCTTACACCATATCCTCTGAGAATGACATGGATGATTTCTTCCTTGTATCATACTTGGTTATTCACAAATGCAATGTTCTTGCAAATGTTAATATTATAATCTTTGGTAACTGTAGCAAATAATCGTTGAATTATTTTGTAATTTTTGGTGTGCAACATCCTTTGCAAAGTCCTAAATTTCATACAGATGTGAAAGCTGGTTGCGCTACTTTATTGATCCTCACAATTAAAATTTCTAATTCATCCAGAAGAACATATGTGAATCTGTATGAAATACATATCTAAGAATTTTAAATTTACAATGAACCATTATAAAAAGGCCTTGACCTTCTCCACATTTCCTACCTACTTGCCCGTTTCCCATTATATTTTACTCTGACCTAGGGAAAGTACAGGATCAGAGATAAAGGTGAAAATGATTCCCAGAAAGACAGGAAAAATTTGAACTTATTAAGCTCTATTAAGTTTTAGATAAGGAGTTAGGCCCAGAGTGAGAAATTTACTGTGGTGATAACAGACTCATTCTCTTGAAAACCTACTAGTGTATTTAATGAGGCAGATAGTGAATTTTGCATCAGTCTTCGCACTTTCCCACATTCCACATGCTATCCCATTTTCTTCCAGTTCAGGCTGAGAACACACTGACACACAAAGGGTCAGAGAACTATTCCCAGAGTTCATTCCTCCTCATAAAATAGATTGTGGTTTTTTTCTCCCTTCTGCAGAAAATGTTCTTTCCTTCTACCATATCCAATCCATGTTGGCCATTTAGTAAAATGAACAACTTAAGAGAGAAGTTATTTTTGTTTGTTAAAGGTGTTTTCCTGAGTTTTACAACGAAAGATAAAATGTTGAATATAAAAATAGAAAAGACCCCGGTGGGTCTTTCTAGTGTCCAGCCCCAGGGCCTTCCCCAGGCCCCAGCTAGCTCCTTGTCACTTCTTTATTCCTGACTTCAGTCCCCAGGGGTCAGTTTCCCTTTCCCTGAGGTGGCTGTGCCACCAACCAGTTAATCCTGGACATTCTTTCTTCCAGGAATGGCTATGGAAAGGGACAGAATGTCTCAAACTCCCCTGTCACCATCCCCATCTTTGCTGTCCTAAAAACGAAAGAAGCTAAGCTTCCTTTTCTGGTTTAACCAGTCAGTGCTTAGTCATGTAAGAAATGCAGAGGAGACAACAAAAACATGGATACTATTATACAAAGGTTCCACAATCTTTCAGAGTCCTTTCAGTCATGGTCCCTGGTCTGTATTTGATTTTCATTTTCTTATGAGGGTAGGAGGTAATGGAATCTCCTTCTCCATGATGTCTCCTCTCAGGTTTGTTGACTCCACAGTAAATATTTAACATTTAGAGAGATCAGGGATTACAGAGACCACTCTGTAGAAGAAAAATATTACCAAAGTGAAGTTGAGGCCAGGTGCAGTGACTCACGCCTGTAATCCCACTTGGGGAGGACAAGATGGGCAGATCACTTGAGGTCAGGAGTTTGAGACCAACCTGGCCAACATGGTGAAACCCCGTCTCTACTAAAAATATGACAATTAGCTGGGTGTGGTGGCACGCACCTGTAATCCCCAGCTACTGGGGAGGGTGAGGCACGAGAATTGCTTGAACCCAGGAGGCAGAGGGGCAGTGAGCCAAGATCAGGCCACTGCACTCCAGCCTGGGGTATAGAGCAAGACTCTTGTCTCCAAAAAAAAAAAAAAAAAAAGTAAAGTTGAGAGGCCTTAAAAGAGGAATAATCTCAGGTCCCTTCACCTGATCTCTCTAGAAACTAATGGAAGATCAGTGTGGGCTTCTGGAACTTGCCAGTTTAAACTCTGGGAATACCTCCTCACTAAAGCCAGGCTGAGTTAGCCCTCTGAGCTCCCATGTTCCTGTGCCAGATTGCACTGCTATTACTACTGCTTTACCATTCGTTCCCCATTGTAGACTGTGTTTTTTTGCAAGGAAGAGACTGTGATCTTTCTTTACTTCTGATCACTGGGGGCTATTAGAGTCCCTGTCACATAGTAGGTACTTAGTACATGATTTTCAGAAAAATGAAATGGTTCTCAGAAGAAGAAAGGCAGGAAGAGTTCCCTATAGGGAAATATAAATACTCCTCCAAGGAATGAACAAGACTTCAAAACTGAGTTTGAGTCTCAGCAATGCTGCTCAGAGAAAAACTGCCTTGCCACAAGATGATAATTTGATAAATAAGGAGGGTTTAAGGCATTTTTGAATCCTGCATTGTTCCTTGTTCCTCTACCCCAAATGACTCAATATGAATAGGTGACAAAAAGTAGGTGACATTGGAATCAGATATATCAAACAGGAATGTGGACCCTGTGAAAAACTCCTATTGTGTTTGAGCAAGTTACCAACCCTCTCTGGGCTGGCTTAAATCTGTAACATGAAGGAACTAGGTCCGATGATATATAAAGTTCCTTACAGCTTTAACCTCTTATGATTTTAAGTGATTCAGAGCCATGTACTGAAATGTATTTTAAGCTTCCTCTTCAAACTCATCAAACAAAAAAAAAAAAAAAAAAAAAGAAAGAAAGAAAGAAAAAGAAAAAAAGAATTATACCATAGTCAACAACACACTTGGGGAGGAAAAATAAACTATAAATTATGGTCATCAGATCAAATGAGCTGAAACACAAGATTAAAATGTTTTCTATCCACAGAGCAATTTTTCACAATGGTGTCAAACAAAAAGTTCTAGTCAATGTTTACACTAGGACTTGATGAAAAATTCCAGACATAAAACTTCTGGAACGTAGACTTGAACTCAGAAGGACCTCCTATCTCTGAATAAATTGTACAACTAAAATCTATTGGGATTTTTTTCCTTAACAAAAATTCATCCTTCAACAATTATTTGAGTTTTATTACTGAGACTATTAAGGCATAGTAAAACTCTGGTTATCTGGAACAGTCATTCTAGGTATGACAGCTAAAGATTTTTTAAAGTACCACTATTTTTGGATGAAAATCATTGAAAGACATTACATTTATTTGACTTCTTTAACAGAATACACTGAATGTAATTTAATCTTTTCCTCAGTGTGAATACCAGGTACTGGTATTGTCCTCAGTAACATCCTCAAGTCCCAGTGAAATACTCTATAATACTCTAGGCTTTTTTTCTTTTGACAGTGTTTCAGAATCCACTCCCACTATCAGCTGTCACTTTTAACTGCTGTCAATTCTGTCAACTTGGCCACTTGTGGTCATCTCCTGCTGATATCTAATTTCTAGATTAAAGGCAGGGAAAACTGTCTTAATTCATCCTTGCATACCCAGGGGTAGCATAGTTCTAGCTACTTAAGGTGAGTCATTAAAAAAAAGTTTATTGTAATAGTGCATGACTTAATTGTAGGTTTAAAATTAAGCAACAAAAAAAGCTTGCTGAAACTAGGTGTGAAATAACAATAAATGAATGCTGGATAGTGCTTGAGGGGATTGCTTTAATACATAGATTTGCCACATTTTCTCTGCTTTCTAATTCTCCACTATGATCCAGGTAGATTAGAGGACCACAGAATTGAGTTCCTGATTTTTCATAAGATGACAAAATAATAGAATAAAAACATTAAAAATGATTGCATAAACTTTGGCTGATTATATAAAATTTAGTGTCATCAAATAATTTATTTTTATTTTTAGATACATGTTTGCCTACTCCAAACTGAAAGCTGAGAAGAACTGGCATTCTTAGATTTTTTAGGGTGATAGCTGAGGGAGCACCTCATCACACCCACTAACTGTTATTTTGGATAAATTATTTAATCTTCTTTAATTTCATTTTTTTTGCATCAGAAAATAGTAATGACAAAACCCTTCTGACTGGGTTCTTGAAAGACTAATGCATTTTAAAGCACTTACCATAAGACCTGACACTTAATAAGCACACAGTTACTTTTGTTATAACAGGTTGTCCATTCCTGGAGTGGGGACAGTGGTACCAACCCTGGGCAAAGCCAGGCAATATGACTGCCAAAACATTTTGCTCTTGAATTTGCTACTTGGCAAATACTGCTCTTGCCTCAGTATTGGGTGTTTTGAAAACAAATGTGGCACCCAAATAGAAATAAGCTTTAAATTCCTTAAATCTCTGACATTATAGAAAACAGGCACTTCCATTGAACTAACATTCTAAAGAATGGGGTTTTAATGTAGGCAATTTTAGGAAATAAAGAAAGGAAATTTAAAAGAAGACTGATATCCAAGTCTCCACAATTTATCATAAATGTTATCATCCTTAGCACTGAAATCTGAAAATTTAAGACCTTCCCATATCAATGTCAATTATTATAGAGTTAAAATATTCATTGTAAAAAGCAAACACTGTAGCCTCAAATTTGTATGCAACTATAATACTACACACAAAGGTGTTTGTCCTTACAGAAACTCATTCATTTCTCAATTTAAATTAAAACATTCATAATATTCCAATTTATTAATCAGTGTTATTTATCTCAACACAATATAATAACATGTTACTGAAAATAGAGATATTAAATACTGCAAAATAGTTATTTTACAGATTATTCTTGGAAATTTAGAAATAATAGTGTAACATGTGGATGAGAATACAGATGGTGATATATATCACACACTTCCTAAAAAGGACTAATTCTTACTATATAAAGAAAAACAATGAATGAGACTTTATCATCGCCACTGAAGAAGGTATCTCCATTAATAAATACCTTCTCCCAATGTTTTTGAATGGTATTTTTAACCTAAATAAATATCTCTTTACTGAACTTGGTCAATTTTTTTATTTCTACGTGAAGTTTACTACTTGATGACCATATTTAGCAACTCCTGATTGTTCTCCTTGTTAAATCCAAGACTACTAATACAGGTTTTATTTTCTAACAGCTTCATTAGCTGCATTTTTAACTTCTAAATCTTTTCCTAAAAAGGCATAATTGATTCACAAAAATATTATAATTGCATCCTAGATCCTTTATAAATCATGTTGGCTGTGTGTAACACTTTTACACTAAATTTCTAAATCAATTCAATTCATGAGAGATACATATAATACATTAGGAAAATCTTGAAGAGCACTTTTCTAAAATACTGAATCTCTTAGAGTATATAAACTGAATCACACCACAAAGTTTAAATATGCTGACATCCATTGGAAGAAAATTATTTTACTGAGCATTTTACCAACTTTATTGGAATTAATTGTTCTTTCTTAAGTTGCTCTTCAGCTCTTCACTTTAGTTGTGCTTCACTGCTGGAGAATTCATTTACTTAAACATGATATACCAGCAAAATTGTGTGCTGGTCAAAATCAATTTTTGAAACAAATTATTTTCAAATCATTAAGAAAGATGTAAATCCAACTGCAAAATTGATGCCACAGTTCAGACTCTTGTGGTTCCTCACGGAATAAAAGGGGAAGTGTATCTCTGATTTGTCTGGTGAGACAAATCAGAGATACTATGTTAAGATGGGGAGCACAAGGCCATGGGGTCCGCTAGCAGTAACTGATTGGCCTGAATGAGATATAGCTTGCTAATTCCTGCACTATGGGAATCCTGAAAAAATCTTTTAGTAAATTTAACCACCACTGCATAAAACATTTTTTTTTAATTACCATTTTTAAAGTTACATTTTGTGTCATCATCTCTCCCACCACTCAAGAAATCTGAGATTTACCTTTGGATTCTACTTTTTTCCATAACTCTAAACAGCAATCTGCAGTCATGTCCTTTTGATCCCATCTCTTAATATTTCCTGTTGACTTCTGTTCATTCCTATTGCAAGGAACATTATTGCTGCCTTTGATAAGGCCATTATCATTTTTCTCTCATATCTTCCTAATATGCATTTTTTTAACCAGTCTTCCTGCCTCCAGTCTTGCCTCCTCCAATCGATCCTTGATGCTGCCAAAGTGGTATTTGTGAAATGCAGTTTAGCATGCTGCTTCAGCTTTGTAATTGTTTCTCCTAATGGTCAAACCCAAACTCCTTCTTGTAGCACGGAGGTTCTTAGGTGATTAGCACACTTCCCCTCCCCATCTTCCCACTTAATTTCTCCATATTTCTTCTTCCCCTTTTAGGTAAACTTACTGGTCCTTGCTCTATAAAGTTTCTCCTAAAAGTCACCCCTTTCACCACTGTGTCCTTTTACACACTTTGTACAAGTTACTTCTAACAGTGATTTGCTTACATGTTTGTCCTCCCCACATCTAGCCCAGTGATTGGTTCAAAAAAGGCACTAAAAAAATGGATAAAATTAAATATATTACTCTTAATGATTAGTGTAATATAAATATTTACACCCCATATCTAAGTTCTGGCTCTAAGCAAAAGGGTTCATCTCTCCTCAAGCCCTTAAAATCACTTTAGAAACTCTTCAACTTCTAATTCAACATATTCTGACACTAAACACAAATAGCCAGTCTTAACTTGCTTGGAAAACCACATGGTTTAAATGTACTATAACCCTTTCCCAAATAAGAGCTGCTATTATGAGGCATTAATGTACAGACCGTTTCATATGTATACTTGGTTGCTTAGGAACAAAGATAATTCCAGTTCCAGAATATATGAATTGCAGAATTAGTAACTTCTGTTAAAGATAATTGGAGGTTAAGAGAATTAGTCAGGGAAGCTGAAAAAGGAAACTAAAGTTAGAGACAGAAACTAAGTAAAGATAAGAAAAATGAGCTTTACAAAGCTACTCTAGTGGCATCTGGGAGCAGAAAAATCCAATTTGTTTCTAAGACGGTAATGAAAGTGAAATCCAAGATCAACAATCTTGTCATAAAATTAACAAGGAATTTAACATACAAATGAGGGACCAGGAGTAGCTGTCATTTGATATGTATCGTAGCTATAGCAAAATGAAATAATGTGCAAGCTTCTCACTTATTGAGTTTAGTGGCATAGGAAATCTTTGTTTGCAAGCACATGATAGGAAATGGAAATTTACAGTACATTAGAGAAGGTACATTGGAGTTATCGATAGAGTTTTTATCACATATCCAATACTTAATGAGTAGCAGTTGGAATTAGACTACTGTATATGCTTTCCAGAGATAATTATGTCTTCTAGAAAAGTCAAAAATAATTATCTGAATTTTTAATTTGCTCCTATCATTATTGACATTTTCACCTATGATCTAGTAAGAATTGTATTCTTGATAACAGAAAATGTAATTTCTTAAAAATGAGTTAAATTTTATTTAATAATTCATAGACATAAAAACAGAAATTTATAGAGGTTTTATAGACAGTTGAGTATGGCCAGTTAACTTTTTTGAAAGACCTTAATACTCAAATCTTTTTCCTGACTGGGGACCCCTGCCAGAGATTTACCAGCACAGGAAGAATAACCTATTGCCTTTGTTTATCAGATTTTATTATGCACAGGAATCATCTAGAGATGTTGGTACAGGTAGCGCCTGTCTCAGTAGGTCTACAAAAGATCCCTGAATTCTAGTTTCCAACAAGCTCTCAGGGATGCTGCTGGTTTACGGACCATACTTTTGAATAGCAAGGCCTGAATCAGTGGCTATTAGCCTTGACGCCTATTGGAATCATCTGGGTAGCTTTAAAAAAAACATTTCTAGGGATAAAACGTTATTTAACTAGTCTGAGCTGCAACCTGGACACTGAGGGTTTTAAGAGCTCTCAAGTTGAGGTGAACAGGTAGCTAAATTTAAGAACCTATGGCCTAACATGTATTGGTTATATTTATTAGACCTCATTTCAGTACTGCATAGATTATGAGAGTAAAAATGTCCAAAAATCTCCAAATCCTTACTGAAAATATAATAACAATCAGGTTTCAACTTTAAGGATCTCAGTGGCTTCATTTCTATATTCTTATTAAATTATTTAGTAACATATTTGATAGTAATTTAAAGATACTCACGGAATTATAATGAAATGACAATCTCAATTACTTTTGAATTAGGAGATAGATGTACAAAAATATACATATGTGAGTTTTAAAGTATAGGGAAGTGTCAGTTCCCAATAAGAAATAAAAAGGTTCAGACTAGTTAGGAAGTTTACAAGAAATCCCCAAGTCTGTCACACCAGGAGGAAGGCCCACAGACACAGGAAAGACCGGCGAAAGTTTAGTTAGTATCACTACTTGAAATAGGCGTCGCTGATCCAGCAGTTAAAAACTGTATCATCACTATTAGATCGTTCCTAATTATTTTGCTAAATTGAGGTTTGCAAAAGGTCAAGAAGCAATTCCATTACTGAGGCTCCTTCCTTAACTTTTAGGAATGTGCACCAAAAATAATAAAAATAATATTTTAAACTCAGAGGTATTTGCACAATTCCATAATTATAGTAAAGAGTATCAGAGTTTAAGTCAATGATAGTAAAGAGTATTGGAGTTTAAGTCAACTGCCACATACTAGTCATGTGACTTAAACTTTAGAACAGGCTTCTTCACAACTAAAATAGTCCAATAAAAATGTGCAAACCCAAATTAATGCCACATACAAATATAAAACAGAATTAAGTATAACTTTGACAAGCAAAAAAATAAATAAATAATATAGCATGTTTTGGCGCAAAGAACTAAAGTCCAGACTGGGAATGACTTCCAGCTTTGCCACTAATTAGCCACATAACAAGCAAATCACATACTTTAATCTCATTTTAAAAATAAAGATGCCTCAAGGAGATTATTTTGACAATCCCTAGCAGATCAAAGTTCTAAAAAGCTAAAAATAACTGATTTAAGTTACCCTCTAAATCAAATATGACTAATGCTAACAACAACAAACCAAAACCAAGAATTTCCTTTTAACATGATTGGTTTAACAAGCCTTTGAAGAAAAATATTTAAAACTTGTCTTCAAGTCTACTAATTGTACGGCAATCATTTAAAATAGTAAAACTATTTAAATCTAAAAAAAATGTAGTGTGTGGAGGTGGGGAGAAAAGGGATCATTAAATGCAATGCAAGAACACCAAGCAGAATTAAAATAAAGAAATAATGTAAACAGGATAAGATAGCAAAAGCTTTTTCTAAGGAAAACTGTTTCAAAGCATGCAGTGTGAAATTTTGCAATCTATCCCAAACAATATACTGCATAGGCATCGTCTTTAAATACACACATTTTCTGTTTCCAAGTACTACAGATAACTCATAATTCCTATAAAAAATTACACAATTTAATCAAGATGGTAGTACGTGGAGATTATTTCCTTTTAGTTTATTGTTTAAATACATGTCTTGCCAATCACAAAATATCTAGTGTAGCCAAAGACATAAGAAATCCCTGTATGAATCAAAAAGTGCCATTCTTGCAGCTTTCTGTCACAAGGATGCTGAGAAATGTACTGTAACAGTTTAGGAAACACAAGATTGTCTCAATTTTAAGTTTCAATCATTAATCCTCTTCAGAACTGGAATCACCCTCTTGGTCAGAAAGTTCGGGAACAGGGAAGCGGAGAATGGCAGCTACCCCAGTCAACTGGCTGAGCTGTTCCCCAGAAACGTGAAGACTAGAGAATATCCTAACGGTGCCTGCATTCTCTTTCACACTGTCCACCAGCCTCACATACCGGCTCCGTGTGGCTACATCCTGATGCCTGAAGAGCTCATCGCTGATGAGCAATGTGTCAATTGCCATGGCTTCATTGGCCTTCTCCACCTGCTTGAGTCCATAGAAAGCTCGATCCGGTTCATGCTGTAACATTTTATAGAAGTCATCCAAGGCTTTGACTTCCCCAGCAGCTTTAGTGTCTGAAAGGCGGCTAGCCACAGTAGGGTCACAAAGGGCCTCTTTCAGGGAGTACTTGTGTCCGGAGGAGGCATGTACCTAGAATCACAATTACAAAAGTTAGGCAAAATAATCTCCTAGAACACCCATTAATCAGCTCACAAAGGCTTAAAGCCAAAAGCGCTAGTAAGGCTTCATATGTTTCAGCGAAGTTTACTCCATAAATTTGCTAGACATTTAACATTCTCTTTTTATTTCATTATCTCATGAAAATCCCAGCTAAGTAAAGACTTTCTCTTCTTATTTTTCCCAGTTCTAAAACTTTAGGAGTAGTTTATACCAATCCCTCTGCCCATTCTTAATTATCCCTGGGTAAGATTGTTTTACCTGAAGAAATTTGGACCGGTTTTCCAGGAGCAGTTTGTTGTCGGTCTTCACTGCTTGTTGAAACAGGTAGTCGCAGAACTGCTCCCTCACAAATCCTGGGCTGGCCACCAGGATGCACTTTACAACATCAAAGTGTATGTGGCGCTGGATAGCCTGGACCACCTGTTCATAGAACCGCTCCAAGGCCCGGTCATGCTGAGAGCAATTGCCTTTCCTTTTCCTAGGGATGTTCACCTCCACCTTGGCCCGAGTGAGGGTCATGCTGGGAGTGACTAAGCAGATATGGGCGAGGCCTTCCTGCATGACCACAGCCGCCACATCAGCGCTCCAGGCTGGGTCACAGGCCTGCTCGATGCGCTCCAGTACCACACTATCCCACTGCTTCTTGGCCAGGGTGAACTGGCGGTTGGGCTCCAGCTCGATGGTGTGGTAAGCCCCCATCTTGACATACTCATTCTCTTGGATGTTGGTCCCCTTAACCCGCAGCTGGCAGGCTTGAGAGTCGAAGTCGATGGCCTCCACGCAGAGAGTGAGGGTAGTGCGGACCCGGTTGCTGCCCACGCTGCCCGTGGAGGACTCTGTCTGTACCTTGCGGATGGTGGAGGCGCGCAGGCTGTCGCCCACCTGCACGAGGTTGTAAGTGTGCCACATGTCCTCAGGCTCCTCGGGGACCAGGGTCACCTGGCCCGCATTGTCCTTCTCGATGTTCTTCCTCACGAGCTTCATGGCCAAGGAAGGGGCTCACTGACAGAACCAAAGGAACCAAGGAGGTCCTCACCTCCGCCCCGGGAGAGGGGATGGGAATGCAGGCCAGGAAGGGGGCGGGGCCCGGTTTCTAAGGGCACTTGCCTGGCGGGAAGGAAACACGCTTGCTTCGACTCATGCAGCCTAGGGCAGCACTTCCTCTATCCTTTCCTCTCTCAGTCTCCCGGCGCGCTGCGTCTAACAGGCTCGGGGAACACTGCAGCGAAAATCTACCCCTACACAGTTCCCGCTGGCAGCACGCAACAGCGGGCTGACGAAATGAAGGCGCATGCGCAGCCCCCGTCCCGCGACCCGACGCACGTCTCCCGTCCCCAAAGGAGAGGCGGGGCCGCAGTTCGCGCGTGCGCAGGCGCACTAAGCTGTGAGGCGCTCCGGACGAATGAACTCCCTCAAGAAGGTGCACAGAGTGGTGGCGAGTCCTTTATTTTAATGCCAAACTTCAACTTCCTAAGTTTTCTCTTCCATCCCTGTCTGTGAAGAATCCGGGGAGTGTGTGAGTGCAAATACTAGTTTTACCTGCCTGCGGCTGCCACTGCAACGCTTCCCTCTGGGTAAATCCAATTTCAAAGCTTAGCAGTAAAAGTAGCTCTCAGAAGTGCAGATTTGGCCCCAACGGCCCAAACTATGCTCGTTTTTGCTCTTGCCTTATCCGCACTCGGACGCTACAAGCCTGTTGGAGCTGGTATTTAGAAGCGGTTTCTGAGAACTACTGGTCACGTTCTGTCTGGGCTCCCAGCAACGTGTCCAGCTGTTTTCTGCGCCTAGTTACCGTGTCTGCACGATCTGATTCACCCAGATGTTAAAGCGCTGGTCCCAAGAGAGAAGAAACTATGTGTGGAATTTACCCCTGGGTGGACCTCTCAGTTGCTTGACCTGATGTCCTGGGAATCCTAGGCTCCAAAGTTGGCAGCCTCAGCTTTCCGCAGCCCAGTAGCCTGTGAAATGTTTAGGTTGGGGGTTGGGTCGCAAGAGCTTAGGGCCAGATCTTCACTGCCAAAGCTAAGCTAAAAGCCGAGGCTATGGGAAGTGGGGAAAAACTATTAACTAGGACTGACCCTGATTGAATAGCTACATAATTTAAAGAAAATCCTTAAGTTACTTAGCATTCTTTATTAGGAAGTGGAAATGGAGAAGTGGGATTGCCTCTTTAAGAGACCGATGAATAGAAAAAACAAAAGAATCTAAAAGTTTCTTGAGAGCTTAGATGGAGTGGAGGGCAGAGAAGTCCTGCACACATAGCTTCTCACTGTCTTTTCTGTCTTTCTCTGTGTGGATTGGAAAGGGGAACTAACCAGCCTGAACAGATGAAACAGGGATGAAAGGAAGGAATCTGAGTTTGGCATAGGCGTGTGGAAGGAAAATAAATCTCGGATCCCCAAACTCATTAAGCCAAAGGGAAAAGTTAAGCTGGGAACTGGGTCACGCAAAACTGCCTTGCCTCTTGGTTTTTAAATGAGATGGCTACCAGATGAAAAGCTACACACCTCGCTCATATTTTGCCCACAAGGAAATTCTCAGTGAGCGCCAAGATCTTTACCATAAAGTGTTTCTATGAAAATTTACCATGGCAATGTAAATAGATAGCTTCTGTTTTCAGGTACAGTCACCCCTCTGCCCTCCTGACACAAATGCATATCTGATTGTTCCCCTGCCCCATTTGTCTATGTTATCTTACGTAAAAATGCAGATTCAGATTGACTAAGCCAGACAGAGGCATGAATGACTATTTTCCCCCTGCTACCCTCTCACATGAAAACTGTATTTCTCAGTATCCCACCCTTTCCCCTTTAAATTTGGAGCCCTCAAAATCATCTTCCCAGAAAGGCATAGACCTGTCTTCCCCGCGCACGTCCTTAATTTTGGCAAATAAACGTCCTAAAATGATTGAGACTTGTCTCAACATTTTTCTCAACTGACAGGCTTCACAATTTAAACTTAAGTGTCATTATCTTCCTAAGAGATTATCAGGGGACGGAAAGGTCCCCTCCAAGGGGAAAGTCCAAATAAGAACCACTACTTATTAATATTTGTGGCCTCTTTTCTCTTTGTTTCTCGCTCTCTATGTCTCCCCTTACTTCCTCCTTCTTCCCACCTTCCTATCATACTGAGTACCCTCAAGAAGTTCCTAATTCACATTGCCTTCTTCCAATTCCAGGAGAACCCAGCAACTTTTCACTAAGCAAAGAACTAATCACACTCAAGTGTGAAGGTGATTTGCCTATCCAAAGGACACTGTATTTTAAAAAAAGTATCTTGTTAACTTAAAATTCCTAATTGGTAGGGTGAAAGTGTGCTTGTGTGTGTATTTGTGAGAGAGAAAGAGAGAGAGAATGAGGAGATAATTTTGAACTGGGGCTTTGAAGTGCTCCTTGATCATCTTTCTAAGTACAATTTATCTTTCCCATAGTCTGCCAAAGATTAAAAGCCACAGAATCACAGTGGTAAGCACACAGTGGGATCTTAACAAAAGGTTTTTATTGAAGAGCTATCACGTATTGAATGTTTATCAAGTTCTTTCCTATGCTCTAATTCTCCCCTGTAAGGTAAATATTTGTTATCCTAATTTTATAGAAGAAAATCAACTATGGGGAAGTTAAGAAATGTTTTCAAGATCACATGACTAGCATTGAAATTCAGGCCTGCATAACTCCATACCCTCTCTTTCTACTACCACCATCCTATATTATGAATGTTTGTAATCATCTCCTTCACTGCAAATTATGTGCTATTATCCACTGTCACTTCCCCTCAACTGTCACCTTTACCAGCTAAACAAAAACTCACAGCTTGGGAACCAACCTAGAGGATTTGAAAGGCACTAGTCCCTTTCCTGCTCTTTTATCACCTCTTAAAATTATTATACTTTTCTCTTCTACATAGTTTTTTTTTTTCCTTCTGTCCAGCCTAGGTCATCATCATACTCTTAGAGAAAGATCTAATGTTCTACTTTAGAAAAATATACATATATTTATCTGTACATTAGAAACCTGTGAAAAACCCTTATTGACTCTTAAATCCATGGTTAAAAAAATTTTTTTTTAAGTTATGAGGCAAACCACTTTGGGCCATTTTAAAAAATATCAGTGTGCCTCCATAATTCAGTATACTATAAAATCTTTCATAGAATTACTGTTGTATGTGAAACAACTGCAATAGTTGGGAACTTTTTTTTTTCCTTAGTAATTTAAGCCTGTAGTTGACTATTAGATGTTTTCACCCAGATTTTGTTTATGGCTTAGTATTTCTAGACCAATCATTATATTTTTATTTTGATTCATTTTGGATTCCCATTCCCTATGAATTAACGTCTACAATCCCAATTTGCACTGGCCTTACAAATTTACTTCCCACTTTTCCCCTCAGGGCACCCTATATTCCACCTTGAAAGTAACCTTTGTTCCCTACATATGCTAGGAACTTTCTCGTTTGCTACCTTAACTCATACTAACTTCTCTGTTTAAAATGTCACTTCCTTTCATCCCTGCTTCCTTTAGTGCTGCCTATCTTTAAAGTCCAGCTTAAATGTTATCTCAAACTTGAAACCATGTAAACTTGAATCCATGTTAATTTAAACATGTATCTTTTTTGTTGAACTCTGGAAGGATTTATCTTTATACTCCTTTGTCCTTTTAAAGGTCCTTTGCACATAGTAGGCACTCATATATTAATGATAAGCTAGGTGAGTCAAATGTAAAGTATGGCAGCTATTTTAACATTATTACAGACATTTCAAGACATTTCTTAAGGCACTTACTTATATTGTTATTGACTGTATTTCACTTAATAATGGTAGTTCAGAAACTGCTGTAGTTATATATTTATTTTCATTTTTTTCCAAATGAGCAAAGTATTGAGAAAAATACCAGGGCTTTTAGCTCTTTTGCTTTAAATACTAATTTTATACTTATGTATTGGCTGTTTAAAATAGAAAACTTTATATCAGTAACTTTATATCAGTATAAATCTTTATATCAGTAACTTTAATTATATCTATTTTCCCTACAATGTCTTATTTATATTAATCTCTCCAGAAGGGGAAAAAAGTATTGTTACCTCCAAAAGTTTTTAATTTGTTGCTCTTGAGACACTTCCAGTGTCTCAAGAAGAGAACTGGGCTAGAAGTCAAGCATCCTGGATTGTAGCTCTTACTCTTCAATTGTTTTTACTGTAACTTTTGGCAGTACTCAGTCTCTCTGGAACCCAATTTATTTCACTGAAGAATTGAGGGAATTGAATTCAATAATTAAATTTCTAACTAAAAATTATGCTGCAGTAATATTTTTTAAGTGTTTAAACAACACCTATAATCTCATCCTAACATATTTGTTTTCAATTTTGCGTGCTATCTTTCAAATCTGATTTTTCTAAGACCCATTTCAGAGGTGAAAGACTGATTCAAAGTTTCTTGTTTGTGGACCAAGAATTGGCAGACCTCAAATATGGTCTTTCCTGGATGGATTCTACCAACTTGAAATAAGTCCCAGACCGCAATAAAGCTAATTATTTTTCATTCTAAATGATAAATAAGATTATTTGTCCTGCTCTCTCATTTGACCATCCTTATGAGGTCCTAGTGATATTATGATACTTGATATTAATAAATTATAGAGCTCTAAAAATGCCTGGCTTGAAGCTAGAAAACTGGATCAGACAAAACAAGGGACAAGAGCTCATTTTAACATGATCATAATTATTCAGCCTTGGAAAAATAACTGGTTTGGTAGAGTTGACTGATGGATAATCTTTGGGGTACATTTATTTATGTTATTTATGTTATTCAGCTCTACTGAATAAAATGGTTCATGGACCTCATTGGTGAGTTGAATTACTATCTTTCCTATTATAATAATATAAAAGAAATGGTTTGTATGACATGAAATGGAATTATGGGCTCCTGAAAGATGGAAATCTTGTTTTAATACCCTCTGCTTAGCTTGTGACCCTTAAACAGTCGGGGCTGTATAAATTTTCTTGTTTTCATCTTGTATTTTATTTTGGAAGGCTTACTTTCCTGCAACACAAACCTAATCTTTTTGTTATTCCTTATAAAGCACCTTGGGAGCCTCTCCCACCATTGTGTCTTTCCATGTCTACTACCTCTTCCACCAGTAAAGGCAGAGACTTACTACCTTTTATTTGTCTTTGTTCTCCTGGAACACAGCATAACAAGTGGCACATACTCATATTTTTAGTATGCAAAAATTAATGGTTATTAATTTTTCTTTAATTCAGAGTTTTTAACTTGTCTGTAACTGACATTCTAAAATTAGGAAATCACATTCTGTTTTATAATGTTACTAAAAACTTAAAAAGAAGGTTACTCTTAAGGTAAGTTTGTATAAGCCTATTTCAATATTTGAGATAGCCGTGCTTAGGTAAGAAAATGGTAATTTAAAATACATCTTCCCCAGGAAAAGTTCTTAAAATATTTTAGAATAACACATAATGGCAATTAGTTTTATTATACATGGTTTGGAAAGTGAACTTTACAAAATAAGAAGCCAGAGCTCCAATTATGAATATCTAGTGATAAACGCAATTGTTTATTTAGAGAGAATGTGCAAACCTCAGATTGTGCAAAGGTTCCCATGTGACCTCCACCAGCAAAGCTAAGTGGATGACTGGGAGGATTAGTTAGCTAATATAGACAAAAGGGTAAAAGGGAAAGTGGTTTTTTTTGTTTGTTTTATTTGTTTTTTTTTTTAAGGAACTTGTACTCACTCACTATCTAAATTTCTCATGATGGAAAGTGCTTACTTGCAGTTGTCACAAAATAATACAAAACCTCCTACCAAATAAACAAAATCCTATGAACAGAAGTGTGTGTGTGTGTGTGTGTGTGTGTGTGTGTGTGTATTTCTATTTGCATGTATTCTTATACGGCATAAGATCATTTCACCAAAAATATTATAAGTAAAATGTGTTACACAGATATTTTTAAGGATTGGCCAGTACCCATGTATTTCTAGACTTTAGTATTTGGTAAAATAAAAGTCTAATTAATAAAATAATTTTGAAAGTACATTTAATTTGTAGTAAGGATATATGATTTGTAACAAAATATATAAACCATCTTAACTATTGATGTTTTAAAGTGACTTAGGTGCTATATTTAAATTTAAGAATTTGCATTTATTTTAGGAGATCTCATATAATTCATACAAAAAGAGTATGTGTATCCACTCCTTTGCATATTTGAATTACAATGATTTCTCATTTCAGATCTCTTACTTATCTTGTTAATAGGGATCTCCTGTTTGGATAAAATTGATTTTTTTTAACACATAAAGTGAATTCCTAACACCAACCAGCATATGCATTTTAATTTCCTTTTAAAACTTAGTTGACTTTTTTATCTTCCTTTTAAATCATAGGAAAGTTTTGATTAAAATTAGTCTTCTTCCTATATACACAACCCTGGAGCTTACCACCAACATGACAAAAAGTTAAGAGTTTGCCAAAGCTAGAGTCATTAATCCTGTGCAACTGGAACATTATATGATTACTTTATTGTCACCTTTCTCCTGAAGCTCTCTTCTAAAGATAGAGCATTTGGAGGGAGCTCTGTTTTTGGGATCTGGTGAGGCTGTTGGTGCCAGAGGAGCAATTATCCCCTAAATCAGATATAAACTTGGCACTTGAAGAGAACTGAGAGGAACAATGTTATATCTCTGTATCTAGATGGGGTTCACATACTAGCCTCTTCAAAATCTTATGACACAATTTTTAAGTGTCCAAACAAATAGAAAAGTACCATGGTAAAAAGTACCATACACTGTATATTATTGATTGTAATTTTCAGACGCACATTTTCCCAATTTTGACATCTCTGAAACTAGGAACTATCTAACAATCTAGCAATTATAATTGGATTGGGAGTGGCTTGTCTTTTTTAGTGGTACATAAAATAATGGTGCATCTTTCAACTGATGGTGTCTTCCATTCCATTATTTATAAATTTGGATAGACAGAAATATTTCAGGCAGAGGTATAATAAAATAAGGCAGAGGTATATAATAAAGGGACAATCTGATCCCTTAAGTATTTTCTGAGTTTGTCAATAGTCAATTCTTTTGCGATTCATTCAATTAAAAAGTGCCTATTATTTCTAGGTGTTATGGTTAAAGATCCTACCCTCACAGAGCATACAGCAAGCTGGAAAGACAGGCAATTAGATAGTTAATTATAATACCGTGGTGCATTATATAATAGAAGCAAAGGTGCTGGGATACACATGTCCTAAGGTAGGGTCCAATCTACTTCAGGGTATCTCTTGGAAATGACGTTTATTCAGGGATTGAGATCAGTAGCAGTGGGAGTAACTACTTATGCAAAGTCCCCAAGGAGACTTTAGAGTAGCTGGCATAATAAAGGAGCTGAAAGAAGCTCAATAATCTTGAAGATAGAAATATATGCAGTCATTTGCATCTCTTGATACTCTACTGTACTTGCTTTGAGGGCGAATACAATTCTCCAGTCACAGACTGCTCTGAATAGGCAATCTATTCTGACTTTAGCACTGTGGCAACAGTTTCAAAATATCTTTCATCTCAGTTTCTTAACATGAATTTGAGTACACTATTTTGTATTTCACACAACAGAAGAGAAGTGTAGGTAAAGAATAGCATTTTAGTCCCCAACTTTTCTAAATATATTTTAAACATGAGCTACTTTATTCTACTAAAATATGTTAAGATGTGGAAATTCAGCAAGTTCTAAATCTAGTGGGAAGTTTATTGGGTTGGAAGTGGAGGAACATGTTAGAGGAGCATCTATCTACTGAAGTCAGAACATCAGTGATAAGCTGTGGCCCAAGAGCTCATGCTTCAAAATAGCTGGGTAAGTGTTATGACAGGAGGGAAGAGAAATAGTTAAACTAGTATAGCATATATATGTGTCTCATGGTTACTCTCATTGCCTGTTTACTAAACAAACAAAAATCCCGTGAATTCATTGCTGCCTTTACAAACATCACAATGAGTAAGACAATTTTCACCATCTTCAGCAATTCCTGACAATACATTGTCTGCCATTGGGAGTCATTCTTTGTTTTGAATAAGTGGCTGACTTCCTCCCCATATTCAGCCATCTCCCATCTCCTCACTGGATTTCATTTTGAATAGGAAATCTTGCCTGTGAAAAGAAGACCCTTGCTTCTAGGCCAACCAAAATGTTTCTAGGGAAGAGAGACATATAGTTTAATTAGGGCTAATTCTATATTTATATTCTTAATAACGAGAAATAGTAGTCTTACTTGAGTTACACTTAATGCTGTACACCTAAAAATCATGGAAATAAAAGATTGACTTGTATCATTAATTAGGTCTTTATCCAAGTATTTTAGACAACTATGTTTGGATTTCACATTTAGAGGAGTGAGCAAGAGAGAATGAACTTATCTTTAGGCAGCCAATATAGCATATTATTTTAGAGCATTTAATTTGAGGTCAGAGATATGAATTGAGTAGATTTGTCATTAGTTCTTCAACTTTGGACAAATGAAATTAACTTCTTAATACTATATTTTGATTTCCTCATCTCTAAAATATTGATAATAGTTATAAAGTTTTAATTTTTTCTTTTCTTTTTTTCAAGGCTAATCAACAAGCTGAGGGAGTGAAAAAAGAACAAAGAAATCTGTGACTGCTTGTGATCAATTAGTAAACTTAATTTTTTAGATTAAAATGAAATAATACATGCAAAGCCCTTGGCACAGTGCCTTGCACATAATACATTTCGGGGTTAAGTTGTGCTAGCTATTCTGTTATTGATTGTCTTGCCCTTTGTTCTCTGGAAGGTTGGATCTTGCCATTTGGGGATGGCCAATGGGAAGGCTGAGCAAGACATCAGAGGGTGGGAGGAAAGGAGGTATATTTATTTTCCTTACTCCTTCTCTGCTGGGCTTCAATTTTGTCACTAGCTGCATTCCTTTTTATGACCACAACTCCAGTCTAATGGCCACCCTCCCATAACTAGAGTTCATAATCAAACTAACACTGCCACCTCCTCAGGCCTAGGAATGGTCATGGTTTTTCTTCTCACCTTGCTTCAGGTTCTTTTTTCCCTACTGTTGCTTGCGCTAGATGCTCCACCCTCTTTTCTTGTTCCTTTAAGGCCTCTCTAAACTGTCACTTTATGAAACTGTCTTCAGTTAAATCCTTTATATGTGACATCAGTTTATGCTGAGACTTTGACATACATAAAATAACAATCCTTTGGACATAAGGACATCTTTTTGATGAATCATTTTAGTAAACGTTGTAAGGAGCTAATATAAGACAGTCTAAATCAAATAGGAAGTTTATTGGGATGCTGGTGGCTTGTTGTTCTGATGTAAACCCAGTTTGGAAGGCTGTAGAGAGTTTATTTAGATGTCAGAGGGTGGTAGGATGGAAAGGTGGAATTCTTTTCTCGATGTATAAAACAAGGTCATATCTTCAGTGGCAAAATGAACATGAGGATTATGGAGAAAGTAAAGAAAAGTGATTGGCTATAATGGACAGTTTATGCTTATGGGTTGTGGTAGGCAGAATAATGGTCTCCCAAAGATATCCATGACCTAATGCCTGGAACCTGTGAATATGTTATCTTAGATGGTAAAAGGGACTTGGAAGATGTAATTAAATTAAAGATCTTGAGATGAGGAGATTATTCTGGTAGGCACATTGTAATTACAAGGATCCTTAGGAAGGTAGTAGGGTCAGAGTCTGAGAAGGAGATGTGATGATAAAGCAGAGTCATGGGGGAAGATCTGAAGATTCTACCCTGCTCGGTTGAAGATGGAGAAAGGGGCCACAGGCCAAGAATGCAGGTGGTGGCCAGAGGCTGGTGAAAACAGGGAAACTGATTTTCCCCTAGAACCTCCAGAAGAAATGCAGCCCTGGTGACATCTTGATTCTAGCCCAGTGATACTTCTGACCTACAGAACTGTACAATAGTAAATTTATGTTGTTTTAAGCTGGTGATCTATGGCAAGTTGTTACAACAGCAATAAGAAACTGACATAGGAGTAGTAGGAGATAGAGAGAGGGTGTTGGATTAGGGCAGTCAGTTGAGAATTTTGGATTTTATCTTAAAGGCAACAAAGAACCACCAAAGATTTTTGACTAAAAACAGATATAGTAAAAATGATGTATTAGGAGGGTAGACTGGAAGTTGGGTTCAAATTGAAGACAGAAAGATAAGCTCTACAGTAGTGTGCATGGATAAGTATGGTGATGAGTCCCCAGGTTACAAACGGACTCTGAATTGATGAGAAGTTTCCAAATCTGAAAGAGATTGCTAAAGAAGAGCCTACAGAATATAATGACTGATGGGAAAGCAGTCCAATTTCAGATCCCTCATGTGTTGCGAAATGGGCATAAATATAGTGCACACAAGGTTTCTAAATATTTTAAGTCTCTTCCTGGATTCACCAATGTATATTTCACCAACATATATATGAAATTGTAACTTGTTAAACTTCTCTGTTACTTCAAGTTTCACTCTTGTCTTTTTAGAGGATACGCAAACCTCATTTCATCATTTCTACTCTAGAGACTGCTTATTTGGTAGAATGAAAAAGTACAACTTGGATAGTAAACTACTGTATTCAGATTTTGCACAAAAACAACAAAATACAATCTAAAAAAATTTGAGTTGGAGAAGAATCATAGGTCAAATATGTGTAAAAAGTAGTGGCAGTAGCTGGTAAGTTAAACCACTCACCGGCTATAATGCTGTTCAGCAGTTACCACTGTTTGGATTATTGGACATTTCCTGAGTAGTGGGAAATGTTTGGATGAAAAGCCAGTAGCTAATTATTAACTCTCTTTACATTACCTCCCTTCTGAAAAAAGCTCTGCTTGCTGATAATCAACTTCTAAATCATCTTCATAAAACTTAACAATGCTTGGCCATCTAAGGCAGGTCTAAACTAGCTGGCTCTACCCTGTTTTTAGTGGTAAAAATGCTAAATTAACTAGTACTAATAACCATGCCAGCAGTAAAAACACTGAACAATTGAATATCAATGATATGTTAAAGCCAGCTGTTAATTAACCCATTAATAAGGTGATTTTCTTTCACACAGAGATTCTATCGATACACTTTCCCCCCACCTTCTTCCATTTTTCACCATTTCAACTTTCCCCCACCCCAATCAGTAACTGGTAAAAAAGATCTGACCATGAGTTCATTATTGGGAAAATCTTACAAAATGCTATATTTCAAGCTTTTTCTAAATTGGATACAACTTTGCATTTCCACTATGTTTTTAAGTCCCCTCCTTAAAAATACACATTTATGTACAAATAACAATACTATATTTTGCATCTTAAAAGTAGACTGCCCTGTGATATTTACAGAGAAAATGTTCACCATTCCTTTCTACGTTTCAAAATATCCCTCCTCTTGGGTGCTGACATAGAAACATCATTTTGGAACAAGTGGCAGTTTCGTCTTGCATCCCTGCCTTTTCTTGTTCTGCATGGGAAAAAAGCCTAAATAGTAGACAGCAAGAAAATTCAATAATGTCCACTCTGGAACAACCCGAGGGTAGGAATTTTGCATATGTATCAGGCGCCCTATAAGCATCACCCTCCCATCCCATGCCATAAAAAAGGGTGGAGGGGAGGAAATATTCAGCAAAGTCCTAATATACAATGTGTATTGTAAAAACAACTTTAATTTTAAAAGTGAATTCTACCTTCTAAGGTTTTCAGTGCTGCCTCACTCCTACTCCTAGGGTGAAGGACTTTGGAGAGACACGAAAACTAATTCATATCAAAACCAGAACGCGAAACTCCTGCCTGCCCCGTAGCCTGGCCTGAGTACCTGGAATGCCCGAAAGTGGATGGGCGCTCTCTCTTCCTATCTGGCCCATGGCTCTGAGGACCTCCCTCCCCGCTCCAAGCCCCAAGCCCGCGAGCAGGAGATGCTCAGAGAAAAGCGAGTCGCTCACCAGTGAGGAGCCAGCAGCAGGCGACAGCGACCCCTGGGCGGGCGCGGGGCCGAGGGGCCATGGCCGGAGCAGCCTCAGCGCCAGGGGGCCGCGCTGGTTCGCAGGGCAGGACCGGGCGCGGGAGCTGCGCTCTCTGGCTGGGCCACTTATCCCGCTGCCGCGGTTCCCAGTCCTCTGCCCCAGTGGCAGCGGCGCCCAGGAGCGGGAGAGGAGTGATTTCCTGTGTTTTCGTCGAATTCCTCTAAATGCGCTCCACGCTTTTCACATCCCAGACGGATTGCCACATCGCCCGCCCCTTCGCGCTCTTGGTCTCTGAAATCTCACTGGCAGCTTCCCAGGCTCTGTCCGAGACATGGACAAATAAAGCCAGCTTCGCGGGTCCGTGTTTAGGCTAAAGTCCACGGGCTGTAGAAGCAAACCTTAAAGGGACATCTGCCTTTCATTGAGAGGGTGATCTCGTTCTCCGGGCCAAATCCCCTAAGGTGGTAGGAAGGCGGGTAAGGGCTGGACCTTCGGGAGGGTGTTGCCAGCCCAGTGGCTCCGCCTTCACACCCCTTACTTCTCCCGGCCCGGGCAGGGAGGGCGCTTTGACAGTGCCTGGGCGCCCTTAACGGGAGGCAGCTTTCCCGGGTCCATTGCGCAGAGGGATTAGGCCGTCTGTGAAAATGCGAGGATCTGGAATCCCCCCTTCCATCCCCTGCGGACACTTGAAATTCACCGTGAAGTCGTTTTGCACGAAAGGGGGCGTCCCCACCACCCCGACAGGCTCCACTGAGGGCTTTGCTTTCGCTTATGGGGGGGTGGGGGGGTTGCTTCGTTTATGGTAATTCGTGGTTAAAGGGTGGTTGCAGATAAGCTTTTCTTTGAGATAACTAGGATAAGGGGAGAAAAGGAGAAGCAAGACGGAGGAAAAACAGTAAGAGGGAGAGCGAGAAGGGAAGAGAGGAAGAAAAGCAGCCTCCTTGGAAATGGAATGTGTGTGGGCTATTTTGTTTAAGTGAATTAGGATGTTTGTACGCTGGTAATTGAATCTAATAAAGAACTCGGGGCACTACTTTATTTTTTTCTTGCTTGAAACTTTCACGAGTGAAAATGCATTAAGAGTCCAGAAGTGCTTAGGAACTTGCAATGCTTCCCTTTCCTGGTGAGTTGAACAACCTCTCTGAGTCAAAAGCCATATTCACCCTAGCTTCAACCAATGCTGGCTATTTTCAAAATAGCTGTGTCTTAGCGGTTTTGAGAATTTCAAAGACAGAAAGAATAAGTGGATTTGTGTTTAGAGGAATCTGAGGGAAACAGTTCAATTCAATTCTTCAACTCAACAACTAATTGAGCATCTCTAGCAGAACTAGGGCTAGGCAGGACAAGAGTGCCACCCAAAGGAGGGTTCGTTGAGCAGAACGCAACACAGGTAGCACAGAACAGGTAACACGAGGGACAGGAAGGAAGAAGCCCACAGGGTTCACTGGATACATTGCCAGATAGAGGATCACAGCAACTAAAAGCTGGAGAAGACAAAAGTTGAAGAAGTTTAAGGAGCGTCAAAAATGGGGTGGGCAGACCCAAGGAGGTTGAAGGCCATCAGATCTCAGTATGTTGACCCATTAATCAAGAAATTCCTTTTCTATTATGTATCTGAACTGATTCACTATTTAGTAAATACATTAAAAATCTCGTTCTCCCGTTTTTAGTTTTTATAATGTCATTTCTCAGTTCTGTCTTCAAATTTACACAAATGAGTCTCTAGAAAAATTGTATTATGTTGGGTCACAGTTCAATCCCATTGGACTTTACTTAAGTTCCTTTGTTTGTGTTCAATGCTCTCATACCCTGCCAAGGAATTCATTTCCTGTGTATATCTCGTTTCCCTGTTGGTAGTATCAGTTATGTCTTATGCCTCTCAGTATGACTCTCTGTGCTTTGAACAGTAACCAATAGATATTGATTAATTCGTAGACATTTAAAAATCATAGTAAGTACTTTCCCAATGATATTTCTCCAAATTGCTTAGTTTTCAAAAACATATAATAGTGTGTCTATATATACACAATCATGTGTATGTATGTATGTGTACATATATATGTACAGCATATACATACATATGCAAATACATATATGGCATTTTAGCAAATTGCAATATATTTCATTAGAAAAAACAAAAAGAAATTGTAAAATATTGAAATAAAGTAGGGTTAACATATAATATGTTCAAGTTTACAATTACTGGGAAATTTACCTTTCTTCTGGGGGCTAATATATAATTTCAATTTTAATATTTTTATTTCCTCTAGGACTTACAAATTATTGGTGATAACCATCACTAACAGTGATATTGTTACAATTAATTTTCACAAGTTACAAATTTTATGTTTACATGTTTACATATTTATGAATCTTTTATATGTCTAGTCAATACAAATGTAGAGACTGAGAGATAACTATGGTTAGAGAATTAATTTTAGAATCAGTGCTTATTTTCTGAACTTCAATAAACCCAAATACAAATAAATGTCAAGCCGGTTATTTTCTTAACCAATTTTATTCTGACTGACAGAAAGACATGTCATTGAGTAAAGATTTAGAGAAGACAGAAACTTGCCCAGAGTCACAAACTAGTTATTGATATGAGACACTTGATGACAAATGTTTCAGCTCTAGACTTTATACTACATACTTTTCTATTTTAAATGAGACTTGATTTGATCAGATCTCTTTAAGGGTTTGGAAGCATGAGTAGGAGCATGAACCTTATTGTGAACTGCACACGCTTCTTATGAGAATCTAATGCCTGATGATCTGTCACTGTCTCCCATCATCCCCAGATGAAAACGTCTAGTTGCAGGAAAACAGGCTGAGGGCTCCCACTGATTCTACATTATGGTGAGTTTTATAATTACTTCATTATATATTATAACATAATTATAATGGGAATAAAGTGCACAATGAATGTAATGTGTTTGAATCATCTTGAAACCGTTTCCCCTACCCCTGGTCTGTGGAAAAAATGCCTTCTATGAAACCGGTCTCTCTGCCAAAACGGTTGGGGATGGCTGCACTGAAAGATTAGAGACTGAACTGATTAAGAATTTGGAAAGTGGATGTCTATGAAATGAGGCAAGAGTAATTGAGATTATTAACCAATAATCTCAAAAAGAAAAACATATACTTAAAACCAAAGTATTCTTCTTGGAGTTAATCTAATATACTGAGTAAAGTAACTAGAGTAAGTAAGGTTCTGGAGTTACGCTGCTTGGACTCAAGTCCTGGAACCACAATATAGTAGCTGTGTGATTTGGGAAACGTCATCAAGTTTATCTAAGCCTCAGTTTTCTCAAATGTAAAGTGGGAATGAAAATACTGTACTACTTCTGGTCTGAGAATTGCTGTGGGGATTAAATGAACCGAGCCTCTGAGCATTTAGCACAATGCCTGGATTAAAGTAAGTGCTCGGTTAGTATGAATCATTCTTCTCTGTAAATAGAAGAATTGGTATTAAACAGACCATGTAAACAGGGCAGGCTCTGCGTGTGGTAGACCCTGTAGGAAGTGGTGAAATTTGATGGCCATCAGAAGAGGAACTTTAATGTCCGCCTAAAAATATCTCCATCAACTCCTATTATTATTTCTGGAATCCTCGCTTTAAAAATATTTACCTTGGATTAGGGAATTATCTTGAAGATAGTTCTATAAAATGGGTATGCATGAAGACATCAGAACCCATTATAACGTTCACATGAATTTGCTTTTCAAATTGGCTGGCCGTCAGAGGTTTTTTTTTTTTTTTTTTTTTTTTAATTTTTTTACAAGAGAAGAACATTCCGCTAAGAGGTTGGGGGAATAGAAGAGGTTCTAGAACTCCGTGTCTAATGTATGCCAGGGTTCTTTAGCAGTAAGATTATAGGTTCTCAAAGCTACAGGATAAATAAGGTACTCCCACCTGGGTAGTGGGGGTGGTGCTGATTTTACTCAAAAATAAATAATTTAAAAATTGTTGTTTGCTAAAATAACAGATTTTTATAAGAAATATTTTTAAATCATGTTTTCTTTTTAAAAGTCAAATATGAGATTTTAAATACATTTTAAGGTAGCATCAAAGTGTGGTTTTACCCCAACCCCATCCCCTCCACTCTCAGGTGTTAGGGGTAGGTGGAAGTGTACAGAACTGCTTCCGTTTTTACAAAGATTTTATGAAGATTTGGATTTTTAAGTTTTAGTATGTAAGCACTTAGGGGAATATACCCCAAAACAGTGGGGCTAACTCACAAAGCTAACTCATATGGAAAACTTAGTCTAGTTCAATAATTTTTAATTTTCTGGCATATATTGGGCTCCAGGGCTATGTTCTGCAGAGGCAAAAATGGATACAACAGTTGTTATTCCACTGCAAACCTGCTGTTCATTAATTTCTTTCACTTGTAACTAGGAAGAGAAAATAAGTAGTTTTGTGCTCAATTGTAACATTGGCATATTTCATTTTAAGCCTATTAAATTAAACAGTCTAGTGAAATTATCCTAATAGTTGTTGTTGATATACCTTGAGAACCTATGATTGCTTCCTCTCTGACCAAAATAAAGTCACAGTGATATGGAACTTAAACTTCACCATGAGCCAACCATTTGTTTTTTGTTATTACGTAATATTCCTGTGTGTTTTTTCACTTAAAATATAAAATAGGTGTTTCTCCCTCCCTATTTCCTGAACAAGCCTGTGCCAGAAACCTTGTCCAAAGACATTTGGGCAACTGGTACTTAAGAAAAAACAAAAAAACAAAATACTTGACTTCAGAATCCTGGTGAGGAACAGTTCTCAACACTATAGGAAACTTCCTTGGACTTACTGGCAGACTTCAACATGAGTGACACACCAGGGCTGCAGCAGGGGAGGGTGGACCAGGGTGGTGCCCTGGCAGGAATGTTCAATTCGTGGCATTCTATGACTCAGAATAACAACCACTGATGAGCAGTAACATTTTAGCTGCATTGCTGGGTCCCTTAATTTGAAATATGACTTAATTATATTTAAGCTGTTATGCAATTCTAGGATCATTTGAACAGGTTGATTTAATTATTTTCTTTTAACCAATTTGTAAAAAGTTAAATAAAGTAAGTGGGCTCTAAAATCCCAGAATTACAACAAAAAATGATTAATTAGTATTTCAAACCAAGGAGACTGGCATTTCTTGTGGTAGGACTGGGTCACTAAACACATGTGTGGGGAAATACCATTTGTCTTTAATACAAAATAAATGCATCAAGGGAAGGGAGTCTATTATTTGGCTCTGAGATAATAACACTTACATAGCTTATTTTACAATAATGTGACCATTTTTTATCTTCTCTCCTAGATCATAATCTATACAATGATAGTAATTACTAATGTTTGTTCTCTGCAGCATCTGTGCTCATGTAATGCACTGAAACACTTACAAAGTTACTTCTCTGCAGGAGGAAGTCTCTTAGATCCTGGGGAATCAGAGATGTTGAAGTGCTAGGCCCTAACCTCAGGAATATTCACAGGCTACGTAGAGACAACATACATAGAATGATCTAATTGCATCTGATCCCTATAATAGAGAATAAATAAAGTCAAGGCTTTCAAATAGATGATGGCACTGAAATTTAACCTTGCAGGGAGTGGGCAGGGGATTTTATAGGTAGAGAAAAAGGTAATGGGCATTCTATGCAGAGGTAACATGAAAATAGATGAAGAGACTGGAATAGAAGTTAAGAAAAGTGAGTGAAGCTGAGACCAGATTGGAAAGGATCTTAGAAAGATACCAGGGAATTTGGGCTTCTTATAAGCACAGAATATTTTCACAGTTCTTATTGACATATACAAACAAGTTTTTTATTCTGTTTTTGTTTTTCTCTCTTATTTGTTTTCTGAGGTGGCTTGATTTTTATCTTAGTTTTGTAGTAGAGGGGATGAAATATATCATATGCAAGAAGTATACTGTGAAACTTTTATACAATGAAATTTAATGTAATGCCTTCTGTAAATAAATGTATTATTATTTATTATAAATAAAATTATTTGCATTACCAGAATAAAGCTGTAAAAGTGGACATTTGTCTCTGGTGAGAAAGCATAGGCTAGAAGAATAATCCTTGGTGATTCTTTTAAAATTGGAAGAAGATAAAAATGAAGCAACTCGTAATGGTACCCAAAAAAGCTTTAAACACTTTAATTGAACACCATATGATAGATATTTAAACATTAGTAAATGTATGCCATCAATATTGGCCATTTTAAGTTTTTTAGGGGAAGGCAAAGTAAATTACTGGGATGGAGGGGCCATTAAATCATTATCATCCAGGTCTTTGTTTTGTGGGGTGGGGACTGCTTTTAAAGGCCCTGCGTGGTTGGAGGAAAGCTCAGGACTCTTCATGAAAAATACCCATGACTAGCTGATTGCTCCCCAGAAAAGGAAAGTGTAGGCAGCCAAGGGGATAGGGGCAGATTGGGAGTTAAAAACCACTGAAGACACCAGGGTAAAGCAAGAATGAAGAGTCAAATGCGAATTGAAGATGAAGCACTGTAGAGCAAGGTTTGGACCGGAAGGTTTGGAAAGTTCAAAATTAAGGCTGTAAATATTAGGATCTGCTCAGGTCTTTGTTTTTGTTTTGTTTTTTCCTCCAATGTGGGCCCAGATATGCCACAGAGCAACAAGGGCAAGAGTTTTAAGACTCTACCGTGAAATTAGGGCTAAATATATCTGAGCTATAAAAAGTAATAGGATAGGTAATTGTAATATTAGCAAGGCTAATAGTAAAATGAGAATAATATTAATTAAACAATTACATGATTATACAGAAGGGAAATATCTCAAGGTCAGAAAAAGAAGACGTATTAAAAAGGGAACTTTTTTAAGACTACATTTTTCTCTCAAGCTCCTAATATTAATAGATGATTTAGTGTTCTCCCTCCTCTTTTTTTTTCTGGAATTGATTAAAAACAAAATTAATTCCTGCTGAGAAGAAAAGAAAAATGGAGGATTACATGGCCAAAGAGTGAGTTTTCTTTTCTCCAGGAGCTACAGAATGTTACTGAACACTTTGGGATGAAAAAGAGTCTCATAGGGATGTAAGAATGAAGAGAAATTGGTGGATCCTGTAATGGGGGATCTGGACGGAGAGTGACTGCAGAGAAGGGTGGAAAGAGCATCCAAACATGGCCCAAACCATACTTAAAGCGGCAGCATCATTTGGTAGCACCTGGTAGCTGTTCGGGTGCCCATTCAGTGCCTTCTTGCTACTCATGGGCTATCAGTTGCTATTTGAAAAAGCAAAATATATCATTTATTTTAAGACCCAGTAAACTAAAGTCCGCCATCAGCCATGGCCAGCTGTTGTGTTGACCTGGCTATTACTTGAGTCAATTCACATCTGACCATCCCTGAAGATAACATAACTCTCAACAGTGTACAGCACTTAAAACACCTTAAGAGTGGGCCCTAGACACCTGGCAAAGTGATTGTGATAAAGAGAGGAAAGTAACTTCTCCCTCCCAACCTACCTATGTTTGAAGGAGACTGACTGGAGCCAGACTCAGTCTTCATTTGACTTGGGACAGAATGAAAGCATCTGCTGTACATTTATAAAAAATACATTGGATTGGCCAGGCGTGGTGGCCCATGCCTATAATCCCAGCACTTTGGGAGGCCGAGGCAGGTGGATCACGAGGCCAGGAGATCGAGACCATCCTGACTAACACGGTGAAACCCTGTCTGTACTAGAAATACAAAAAATTAGCCGGGCATGGTGGCAGGCGCCTGTAGTCCCAGCTACTTGGGAGGTTGAGGCAGGAGAATGGTGTGAACCCGAGAGGCAGAGCTTGCAGTGAGCTTAGATGGCGCCACTGCACTCCAGCCTGGGTGACAGAGCAAGACTCCGCCTCAAAAAAAAAAAAATGGATTTAATTAGTCTAGGAATGATTATTAGTGCTTAGCAAAGTTGGGTATTAAAATGCTTAGAAAAAAGGCCTGGACAGTTACGAACAATGTGTACCTGGCATTTGACTACATCATAACTGGATATTTATATTAATGTTTTACAAGATCATATAATTTATTTTTACTATGACCCACACCTCTCATAAAAATACAAACCCAGGTCCAGGTGTGGTGTCTCACCCTGTAATCCAAGCACTTTGGGAGGTTGAGGCTGGAGGATCGTTTGAACCAGGAATTTGATACCAGCCTAGGCAACGTAGAGGGACCTCATCTCTACAAAATTTTTTTTAAAAAAACTAGCCAGATGTGGTGACATACACCTGTAGTCTTAGCTACTCAGGAGGCTGAAACCAGAGGATTGCTTGAATCCACGGGTTAGAAGTTACAGTAAGGTATGATCGCACCACTGCCCTCTAGCCTGGGTGATAGGGCGAGTCCCCATCGCTAAAAAACAACAACAAAAAAAGCAAAACAAAAAACTCAAATAGTATAAAATATTTAAATATAAATTCAGTCTAACTAGAGTAGCAATATTTAGATTTTCCTTATTATATCCACAATACTTAGTTTTGAGATTGTTTTGTAGTTTATATCACCAGGAGTTAGGGGAAATGAATTAATTTTCTACTTTATGTTAATCAAAGTCAAGTCTTATGAATAAAAATGATACTTTAATTTCATTAAAATATTTTAATGAAAAACTTGTCTTGTATGGACTATAATAATAGGCATATTTGTGCAATATTAAAACAAAGGTATAGAAATATTTCTGGAATTGTGGAGGAATAACCTCCAAAATTTTTTTCCTCCGTAAAAGCAATGAGAATATTGGCAAAAATGGTCAAAATCAACTTTTTCAGAACTCTGTAATTAACCAAAGACTTGAAGAAATTAACAAAGAAATCCAGCAAAACAGCCAAATCTTGAAAAACAGAAAACTCTGTGACATTTTAATTTGTTGTATTTCCATTTTCCCTCACTTCCTAGCTCTGTGGTAGCTCTGAAGGTGAATGGCCTTGGAATCCTGAAAATCAGCAGTCTAGCAGCCACTGGAGGTGATGGAACAGTAGTCTGTCTAGCAGCCATTGGAGGTGACAAAGCAGCCACTTTTGGAGCTCCTGTAAAACCCCATCCTGAGAAAAGTATTGCTATTTGACCTGTATTGCAGGCAATTTCTTGAAAAGCTCCATTCTCAAGAGTTATCTTTATTTGGACTGTCTTAGAGCTAGCTCTATAAAAGCAGCTATATTTCAAGTAAAAAAAAAAAAAATCCGTGGCAACTGTATAACCCCACAGCAATCTGAGGCAGCAATACCAGTCAAGGTATTGGTGACCAAGTAATCTGAAAGATGTCCATAGGGAACTTTAGAAAGGTTGTACATGTTCCAGAAATCAAGAAGTACATGTACATGTGTGGGTCTGTGCATACGGCCTGGAAAGACCTGAGATCCCAATCTCTCACCTCTGGCTGAACTTAAGGCTTTGTGCCATCAGGAAGCAATAGCTAAGGTAGAGTTGTGAAATGCCCACTGGCACATTGAAGATGTACTTGCAACACAGAGAGAGAGCCCTTCAGCAAAGGTTAGGAGACTGATTGTTTCTTTAAGATATTAAAGAAAATCTCTATTTAATTATTAATTAACCATTAAGCTAATGAAGGAGAGACTTAAGTAGCCACAAAAAGACTTTATAGAATTAGTCCAGGAAAGTCACTAAATAAACACAAATCATCATTATCATCATCAGCAGCAGCAGCAACAACAGCAACAGCAGACAACAATAAAAATAAGCTCCAGTGTGAAGAATCTGAATTAGATTTTTCATATTGTAACATTTTAAATTTCCAGTTCAAACAAAAAAATACTACAACGAAATAGGAAAGTATAACCTAAACAAAGTGGGGGGAAAACAGCAATAGAAATCATTTGTTAGGAATCCCAAATGTTGGATTTGTTAGAAAAAATTTTGTGAGCCACCACACCCGGCCCACAATTTTCTAATATGTGTTAATGCTATGTGACAAAATGCCCTGATTCCTACTGCCAAAGGTTCAACTTAATGTATATACCCCAAAACCCATGCATTTTTGCTCTTTTTTGTTTTTTTAATGGTTGTTGAAGTAAAACAGCCCATCCTCTTCAAGTCCACCTATGTTGTTCCTTAGGCATTCTATCTTTGCTCAAATTGTTGAAGGATGGTGGTTTGTTTCACGGTTTTTTTATTTGAGACTAATGAACATTCTAACATGATAAAGGCAATTATTACTGTGTAGCCATGGTTTTCTGAAAAAGATATTTTAGAAATTGTATTTCATATCTTAAATAAAATTTGTTTCTAAATTTCAAAGCTAAAAAAACCCCCAATCAAGTCAGCAAGTTAAAAGTCAGTTTGGTTGTGTCCTAACATTTGAAACACACACATGACTGTTAGTGTGTACACACACACACACACATACCCCTCAGCACATAATCCCCACAATATGGCAACGGTCTATGCAGAAACACAAGATGAGGTTATTTTAAAATGCTTACCTATTTAGAATGAATCTTTGCAATATTTCTCTCTTTTTCTTCCCTTAGTGACTTTATATTACTGGTTCATAGGCTTCTAAGTAATATTGTCTTTCACCATTGTTTGAAAAGATTTAGTCTCTTTCCAAATTTGTGAAGTTACCAAGTTCATAAGAAGTTATGAAGTTCATAAAGTCTCACAGAAAAAATAAGTATTATCTGCATGACGTTTTATAATTAATTTAGAATTTGTTCCATTTATAGTTATATTTGAATTCAGCATTCCCATTAGGAAGGCTAGGTAGATAGCCTAGTTTTAAGAAATTCAGAGCAACATAATAAATAGAATTGCTACGACTGAAACCCAAATCTGGAAATTTTTCGTATATATATTTTTTAAATTCTGTGTACCCACAATCTAGGAACATTTTAAAGATCATTTTTTAGATAATTTCCACTACGCTGATATTTTAATTCTTGTCTGTTTGTAGTAAATATACACAAAATATCAAAATAAATCTCTAGGACACATCTGTTTCCTGTTCATTGTGCACATCATGTTATAAGCTTTTGGAATGAAAATCGACATTTGAAAACCTCAAGAAATGACAATAGCAGCAGCGATGATGTTTTTCAGCTCTCACTGCTAATGTGGGAACTGATTATTTATTTCAAAAGCTTTTATAAAATAAAGCAAACCTTGAATATATTCAGCTAGGAAATAAACCTTGAAATTATATGGTTACCAATAACAGTAAATTAGAGTTTCAACAAATAACTCAGTGATTTTCTTAAAAATGCTAAACATTTCTTAAATACTTGCCCAGATTGTTTTTGTTAATTTTAAGATGCTTTCAAAAGTTTACACCCATGCGTGTGCAACATATATACATATATTATTCTTTCTTTTAGGTAACGCAGTTGGTTAAAGGACCAGAACGCATTCCTAAACAAGTGTACGTTTTAAAATAATCTTATGTTATAAGCAGGTTGCCAACTTTTGATTTGGAATAGTTTGTTGAAGTTTGCCTTTTGATCTTAACTAGCTAAATTAAGATAGCTTAAATTAAGAAATTAGGAAATCTAAATTAATTTAGATTTTTTAACACCTTAAAAGATCTATTTTAAGGACTTGAAAATTAGAATTCTTTAGATGAGAAAACATGCCTAACATTCCTTATTTGAAATGGAAACTATTAATATTTAAACACATATCAGACATCAAGGACTAAAAAATTATGCTAAGGTAAAGATGAAATTATCTCTATTTCCTTTCCTCTCTTCCTTCCCTTTCTCACTTCCTTCAAGGGAAAGTTTCTGCAGCCTTTGGCTCTTTTTTGTAGAAATCAAAGATCCCTCGCTAGGAATGAAGTCTCTCTGGTCACACACATAAACATATGCATGTAAATATATATGTATGCATGCATTTATATATGTATTCACCTCCCACTCTGTCAGCCATGTCCCAACAGGTATTAAAAGTTACAGCAGCAGGAGTTTGGGTAACATGAAATAAAGGAGATGTTTACTGAGGTGTAGACAGATAAGAGGAAACCAGCAAACCATCTTGAGTCACCAACTCTTTGCACCCCCAGACCTCAAAGTGCAAAGGAAGGAGCTAGTATTACCAGTGAGAATTAGAGTCTTGAAAGGGAGTGGGTGTCCAATAGAAGCTGTCCTTGTGGAAGGCGCCAGCCAGTGGTTTGAGATGGGGGAGGGTAAAGTTGTGTGTAGGGTTAGAGGGAGCTAGGGAGGGCATAAGAAATGTTTGACATCTTTCTTTTTCTGCCCTCCAATATCCTGCCACTGGCTCCCACTGGCCTAAGCTTCCAGGCGGCAAGGGGATCCCATCCATATGGATCAGTCCTCCTGCAACAAAAAGCTGGGTGGAAAAGGGTCCAGAATGGATCTAGGGGGCAGTGGCAGCAAATGGAAAATAACCAACCCCCGTCTCCAGTGCTTCATTTTCTCAGTTTGGCTGCCTACTGGCCAGGCAAACTAACCTCTCACAGCTCTGACTGTGTGCTTAGGTAAGTGACCATTCCTTTATCTGGGGCTACAACATGAAAGCAGGCAAGGTCACCCTCTGTCCCGGCTTTCAAGCCCTAGACCTCATATTATGGGTATTGGTGCTTGGGGGTGTTTTCCAACACTTCCCTCTAAAGTTAGGTTCCCCATTTCCCAGAGTTAATTGACCAGGATGAGTCAAAGTCAGGACAGTAATCATCTTGAAGGAGAGATCCTGGGGGTTCTTATACAGAACTAGGTATCAATTCACTTTCATGGAGACCAGTTATTCTCCCAGAATGACCTTTAACTCATGTGGGCCACAGTCCTCTCCAGTAACTTCGATTAGATAAGGACTTTGGTTATCATATTGGTTCATACCTCGCAGCTAGTAGAAACTCCCCAGAGGTGCTAAGGTACTCTGTGCTCAAAACATCAGTGTATGTATTCCAATGAGACAAAAATTCACCAGGCTAGTAAGGCCCTTGTCCAAAGCTCCAAAATATTATGTTTCTATAAAATGAAAAATTTTTTATATCAAACTCATTATTCGATCTTGGTTAACACTAGAGGTTCAGAGCGTATACACTCTTCGATGTATATATATGAAATAAACTTTTCTGTATTACTTTTGTGTATTGCTCTGTTTCTCATTTTAAGAAAGAAACTGTTTTGCTTCAAGATGCTGGAATAGTCCTTAAAAATATGATCTGTTTGGTATCATGTAAACATGGGCTAACATGAAGATAATTTAATATTACTAAACATTGTTAAAGAATCTGATTTTGCCTATGCTTTGAAGGTTATCAGACTCACCTCTCTAAGAGATCAGGGAAAAACTGTAGCTAATGCATGGAAATTAGCCGCTACTTTCCACTGAATGACACCGTTGATCCAATGTACTGCTGTTAAGCAGAATTAAATTCTTCCAAAATATGGAGAAAATTTTGACCAAAAAATTTGTGATTGCTATTACTACAGTATGTCCTGTAGTTTTTCTCTTAGTCAAAAATATAGTGATTTTTGTTTTTGTTTGTTTTTGTTTTTAAGATGGAGTCTCGCTCTGTCACCCAGGCTGGAGTGCAGTAGCGTGGTCTCGGCTCACTGCAAACTCTGCCTCCTGATTTCAAGCAATTCTCTTGCCTCAGTTTCCAGAGTAGCTGGGACTATAGGAGCCCACCACCATGTCTGGCTAATTTTTGTATTTTTAGTAGAGATAGGGTTTCGCCATGTTGGCCAGGCTGGATGACAAAATTAAAGAAGAAAAGAATTCAAAAAGAGAATGCTTAAAACATTCAAAACTTACAAAATAGAGGAAATAAGGACATAAGAATGTTCTGCTGTAGAATGAGTGAATGAGCAGCCCTTGAGATTTTACTGCTTGATGGCTCAGAGTACTCAAAATTATCTTGTTTGTTACAATGTATATAGAGAAAGATCACGAAATATCAGCTGAAATCTTGTCTTTAAATTCAGATTTTAACTGGATTGTTTATCAACCCAGTGATAAACAATGAGGTCTTCTTTTAATTGTTGTGGTAGAGACAGGGGTGGGGGCATGGAGACGAAGGGCAGGAAATGTTAAGGAAGGGCTGGTTGCCTAGCCAGACAAGTCAAAGGAGGTAGCTGGAGATCAGCGCAACCTAAAGGCATCACAACCTGCTGTGAGGGCACAAAGGAAGGGACAATGAATATGTTTTTCTGAGTAGCTGAACAAGAGGATTATGAAACGTTCCCATGCAGGAACAGGACTCTGAAACCCGGAATTTTGTTTCAGTTGTGAAAACTCTGGGGTCAAGGGGAACACAAATAAATCAGTGCTTTTATGTCACTTGAGAGAGGCTGATAAAAAGCTGAACTACCGAGACAGGGACACAGAGCAGGGAAGAGGGGTGGCACAGAGGTAATCTTGTGCAGAGAGAGTCTGAAGTGGAAGAAGTTCATTTAAATGCAGTTTGAAATTGTAATTTAAAACTTCTAAACATATATTCATATAATCAATAAACCTTTAAATTTGCTTATCACTAGGTTCTACCACTTGTTATTTAGGAACCTGCATGCAGTCTTTAGAACAGTGGAGAGAATCAGGGAAGCTTGCGCTTTAATTTTTTATCTAATTCACTAAACTAATAAATACTTACAGAGTACCTACTGTATGCAAAGCATTATAAGACTGCCATAAGATATCACTTAATATCCATTTTTCCTTTAATTTGATAAGATTTTTTTCATGCTAGTGTCTGTTTTAGATATTTTGTTATATATGCAAAAAGGAAACAATTATCAAGGTGTTTTATAAAGATAACTTTCCTAGAAAAAAAGCCATGACCTGCTGAAAAAGTTTTGGACTGCCACGCTATGACATAAAAACTCAGCCTTGTAAACAAGGATTTCTGGAAGTTTGATATACAAGGTCCTCCACCCATTTTCCTGTCACACAGGATGTAATGGCTTTTGTTATAATGTAGTGCGACACTAAATAACTGGTGATCACTGAGTGTGTTACTTATTATTTCAGTCACTCAAAAGAGCTACATTTACAAGAAATCAAATGACCTTTAATAGATAGAATGTACTGATGTCAAATTTTTAAAAACCAAGATTACGTTATGAAACTTTTCAGGCATAAAGTTTCATATATGCCAAGAAAAGCTTTGTTCTGAAAAACCCACATTTATAGTTTAGGTTCATATCTAATAATTTTCTGTAAGTCAGAATTAAGATCTAAAATCCTGCCTTGCTTAATCCGTGCCTTCTAATATAACTTCTGCTAGAATGAACTGTCATTTAACAGAACTTTTTTTTTGCTGTGTTGATGACTTACTGGGAGTATTTTAACCCAGTAGCTTACTCAAATCACATTATATTGTCATTTTATTGAGCTTTAGTTTTGGAACCAAGATTTTACATGCTGTTGATGAATATATCTACTGCAGTCTGTGTTATAATTGAGTTCTGGTTTTTGGACCATCAGTTAATAAGAGAGATTAATTAATCACATTTGTTCCCCTGTTGGCATTGATTAAGTCCACAAGAGTATGGCAGGACTGGGTAGAGATGAAGATTATTTATCTAATGTGCAATATTTGTTTAACACTAATCTGCTAGTTAAGTGACTGCTGCTCTTGGAGAAGAGGATTTGTACACATAGTTATTCATTTAGTTTTCAGAATTTATTGGGCATCTACTATACCTGAAGCCATTCTTGAGTATTAAATAAGATCAACAAGTCCCTGCCCTCATGAAGTTAATTTTTGTTGTGGTTGAGAGGAGATAAACAATAAATAAATAAATACATAAATGAGAAAACATGTCATATAGAAATAATGTTACACAAATAATTACAATAGAAGAGTGGCCACTTTCATTTGAATAGTCAGAGAAGACATGTCTAAAAATAACACTTAATGTGCCTTTTGAATGACAAGAAGTCAGCCTTGTGAAGATCACATAAGGATCATCTAAGTTTATCTGAAAAACAAAAACAAAGTAAACCTAAACAAAATTGTTTAATGTCCCAAATTTCCCTTTACCCCTCCTTAATGAATGTGTACACCTTTGTTCAAGAAGGCTGGTGAATATGTATAGATTTTGAGCAAAAGTATTATTAGAGAAATAACTCCAGGAGCAAGTTGCACTGAAGGTGAGTTATTTGTCGAGGCAAATATAAAGTAAAAATGAATCATGCCATGAATATGTGGAGGTTGTAAGAAGAAGAAGAACTTGAAAAAAACAGCGATTCCCTTTTATTTCTCATCTTTCTCTCTTCCAGACCTGAAGATGCAAAGTATTAGCAAGTGCAGGACTTCAACAAAGAGCATGTGCTATTTACGTAGGGAGAGGAGGAAACTGTTAGGAGATTCAGGTCACTTTCACCCACAGTTAGTGTTATCATTTTATTTAGAATCTGGAATTGTATTCTATCTTGTGAAAAGTAACTTTAAAGAATTAAATTGAGTATGTATATCTTAGAGTTAAACATTCTTTAATCAACAAGAAGAGGTGAGTAACAATCCAGTTGTATGCCTCCTGACTCTCTCTTCACAGTGACAATGGATTTCTCTTTTCTTTTCTTTTCTTTTTATGAGTGAACTAGTATGAAAGTATCAGTTTCTCTTTTACACTGTGGTTTCTCTATCTTTCGCAGAAGTCTGAATGTGAAGCCTCCAGTGGGCCGTGGCTTGTTAGGGTGCATTCTCCATCTCAGAGCCACTTATCAATAGCTCTTTACAATTGGAAAAAAAAACTCACAGCAATAAATTTGCTTACTAACTGGAATGCTTAAAACTTAACTAGGAAAATCCATGAACCAACTGTTTTCCAATTATAGTTTGTGGTACATAAGCTGAAATTACAAAAACAACAACAACAACAACAGGTGAATTTGGCTCATGTTCAGAGTCAGCACTGTACCAGCGCTGTTCTGTACAATCCAGAACACTTGTGCCAAGTGTCCAAGCAGAAAAACCATGCCTGGCCTTGAGAAATGGAGTGGAGAATCCATTAGTATTTTGAAAACCTGTGGGTTTAATTTTAAATGTCTGTTTATGAGGATTACCTGGAATCTAGCCTTCCCCAGAAGAAAGGGGGAAAAGAAAGGCATTTCCTTTTTTTAAGCAGAAAAAACACAAATCTTGCAAAACTCCATTTTGAAACACTATGCTCCATTTGGTGTAAGGGGTATTAAAGCATCTTTGTGAAGATTTAATGCATCACATTCTATTGTTCAAATTACCAATATTTTGCTAAGAAAGTGTTTAATAGTCTTTATTGTTCCTTTTGAGACAAAATAAATCCATGCTTAAAAAAATGCAAAAATTAGACAGTAAATAAATACGAAAATAATGTATAGTCTTGCCATTAAGTGATAACCTCTATTAGTAACATTTATAGCCTTTAGAACTTTTTCTACGCAAAAGCCAGGTACTGTGGCTCATGCCTGTAATCCTAGCTACTTAGGAGGCTGAGAGAAGAGGACCACTTGAGCACAACAGATAGAGGTTGCAGTGAGTTATGATCATGCCACTGCACTCCAGCCTGGGTGACAAGAGTGAGATCCCATCTCTAAAATTAAAAAAAAAAGTTAATGTTCTATACATATATATGTAGTCATAAAAATGTAACCATATTACGTGCATTATGTTCTTGCAGTCTGTTTTTTATTATGTAATTTCACTATGTAATCTGTTTTTAATTATGAACATATGTTCATGCCATTGAATATACATTGACACCATCATTTTTAATTACAACATTTCATTACATAAATTTGCCATGTTATTTTCTGTTGGCCACTTAAGTAATTTCAAATTTTTCTTATCATAAACAGTGTTTTAATTGACATACTCATGTACCTAATCGGGTACACAGAGTGCAACAAAAGCACATGTAATGGACACTTAGCCCAGTATAAGGAAGTTAGCAAAAGGTTCTCAGAAGCGGAAACCTCCAAGATGAGACCTCAAAGCTGAGATCTGAGAAGCCCATCTGTAAATGATGAAGAAAAGTAAGCCGAACACCTTTTCTGAACCTAAGCTGAACACTCTTTTTGTTTATTCTTAATCTTTCTTTAATTATTAATTTAGTACAATATTTAGTTTCATGTTCTCACTGACCCTCAGAATTCAGAAATAAATCTTCTACTCTTTTCTCTCTTTTTCTCCCTCTCTGTCATATTAATAACAATGTGGTTATTTGCATAGGAACAATAAAACTTGTTCTCCTATTTTTCTGGCTATCATTGAATGAACTGATTATGCAACCAAGTTATTTGAATGTTTTGGAGTGCCGTATTTAGGAACAGTCTCCTTTAGTCAGATATAAAAACTGCATCAATAAAAAATAACGGTTGTGCTTAGGTAGACATACAGGATCAATGACTACAAAGCCATATGAAGAAACTGGTCAGATATCTGTTTTATGGCTTACAAAGGTCAACCTTACAGTTAATAAATTAGTTCACTTCCTCATAGCCCAGAAACCCTGACTATTTGGCGGGATCTTTTATTTATTTATTTATTTATTTATTTATTTATTTATTTATTGAGACGAAGTCTTGCTTTGTCGCCCAGGCTGGAGTGCAGTGGCTCCATCTCGCCTCACTGCAAGCTCTGCCTCCCGGGTTCACGCCATTCTCCTGCCTCAGCCTCCGGAGTAGCTGGGACTACAGGTGCCCGCCACCACGCCCAGCTAATTTTTTGTATTTTTAATAGAGTCGGGGTTTCACCGTGTTAGCCAGGATGGTCTCCATCTCCTGACCTCGTGATCCACCTGCCTTGGCCTCCCAAAGTGCTGGGATTACAGGCGTGAGCCACCGCGCCAGGCCCGGGATCTTAAAAAAAGAAAAGTTGACCAACGTTTTTCCCATATGTACTCATTAGAATCTTAACCATACCGTCTTCTCTATAGAACCTCAAAAGGTGATCATGGATTGATCATGAATCATGGATTAATGTGCCTTCAGTTTGGCCCAGTAGTTAGGAAAACCCAGGAATTACAAAGATCAGTAGAGAAAATAGTAAAGAAACATGAAAGATGAGACTCAAACATCATGATTTAAGTAAGAGACAGAAAAAAAAAGTAAAGGCTAAGTCAGACCCACATGAAAGATAAATTTCCACATTATAACACAGCTGTGGAGGGATCATGACATGAGCCAGAGAAAATTCAAAGTCAGGGATTAGGATTCCTAGATCACAAATAGTGATGTGCTGTGCTGGCTTTAAAATATTTCTGGCAGGGCGCAGTGGCTCATGCCTATAATTTCAGCACTTTGAGAGGCCGAGGTGGGCGGATCACCTGAGGTCAGGAGTTCAAGACCAGCCTGGCCAACATGGTGAAGCCCCCCTCTAGAAATATTAGCCGGGCGTGGTGGTGCATGACTGTAATCCCAGCTGCTTGGGAGGCTGAGGCAGGAGAATTGCTTGAAACTGGGAGGCGGAGGTTGCAGTGAGCCGAGGTCATACCATTGCACTCCAGCCTGGGAGACAGAGTGAGACTCTGTCTCAAAAAATAAGTAAATAAATAAAATAGTAATAATAATAATAAATAAAATAATGTTTCTGCCAACAGTTCAGTCATAAATCAAATAGGAATGTGGGCAAAATTGTATTAATATTTGCTTATTTTAGGTTGTCTAGAATTTTATAAATGGGTTTTGTTTAGATCATAGGAAATTATTGGCATATGAGGCAATACTTTTGTCTGTTGCCTCTATTTTGGGTGGGGTAGGTGGGTGACATTTGTATTGTGGCAAACAAACACTGCAGCATACAGGATACAGGTGCACAAAAGCTCAGGGTAAATAAGAGGAGCTAGAGGTTGTAAAGAAATATTCTACAGCAGGTCAACTCTGTCCATCTGACTTCCAGTGCAGACAGTCTGACATTTTTAGCAATATTTTAAAGACCAAAATAATGAAGTAAGTGTTTACCAGAAAGAAAGCTGAGAAGTTGGCTCAAACTTTGAAAAATTAATTTTGCTTTTTTCAGATAGAGCACTGTGATGAAAGAAGCTTTCAACAGTTTATTCAGATTCCAAGAGAATGTTGGTGTGCCTAGTGTCCAAATTCACCAGACAAGTTTTGCTGTGATTTTCCAAGCTAGGTTCATTTCATTATATGACAAAGGAAATGATCACCATTGTAAATAATTTTTCTGCCTGTGACCATATCTTACCAGTTTATGCAGGAATTTCAAGCAAAGTATGAAAAATTTGCTAATTTTTGTGCTATCAGGAAGATAGGAGGTGAAAGCATGTTGAAAAGAATTTAAACTACAAATTGATACCAAGGAATTTTTGGAGTTCAGAAAATCTGCAAGAACCAACTTGTCGGACCCCCCAGGACTCATAGTATGATTCTTGTTTCTTACTGATGTAAGAAGAGAATGCCACAGATTAAACTTAAAGTTAAGGGACAAATAAGCTAGACAAGAATAGCTCTGCTTTCTTTAAGGAAGTGAAATATTCACATTCAAACTGAACTTGTGGATTGACTCAATGCACATTTATTTCCTTTTTCTGATATTCCCTGAATTCAGTAGAGTTATAGATTGCCTAGATATACAGATATGTTGGGGTAAACAAAGGCCCAGTTATAGAGGAAGTTCTCAAGTTACAAGAAATCTGAAACACACTTTAAGTTCTGGCAGAGGCTCTTGGAAAATAAAGCTCAAGTTTTTTTTTTTTTTAATAATTACAGAAATGTGGTATATCTATAAGCCACAATATCCAAAGAAACTGATGAAACTGTGTTATGGTTTGAAGGTGTTCCCCAAATTTCATGTGTTGGTAACTTAATTCCCCAAATCTTATGTTGATGGTATTTGGAGATGGGAGATAGGAGATAATTAGGAGTAGATAAGGTCATAGGGTGGGGCCCTCTGATGAGACTGGTAACTATGTAAGAAGAGGAAGAAAGACTTGAGTTGGCATGCTGTTGCCCTCTCCTCATGCGATGCCCTTCACCATGATATGAGGCAGCAAGAAGGCCTTCACAAGATGCCAGTACCATGCTCTTAGACTTCTCAGCTGCCAGAAATGTGACGAATACATTCCTTTTCTTTATAAATTGCCCAGTTTGTGGTATTCAGTTATAGCAAAAGAAAATGAACTATGACAAACTGTAAGTGAACTTTTCTTAACAAGATGACATACTAATGCCATTTGGGAGATGAGTATATCTGTTTTGAAACTAATGATATACTCAGCTTATGGCCAAACACCTAGAAATTACCAACATAAATCAGAAAGTCATCTTTGGTGATGTTAACCTAGATTCAGAATTGGAGTGAGTCCTGAAAAATATTCTTTATCAATTTTAGGAATAAAAGATTCAACCCACACTAGTGGATTTCTGGTTACATGATGTGACAGTTAATATTGAGTGTCAACTTGACTGGATTGAAGGATGAAAAGTATTGTTTCTAGGTGTGTCTGTGAGCGTCTTGCCAAAGGAGATTAACATTTGAGTCAGTGGTCTGGGAGAGGCAGATCCACCCTCAATCGGGGAGGACACCATCTAATCAGCTGCCAGCATGGCTAGAATAAAAGCAGACAGAAGAACATGACAGGGTCTGATTTGCTGAGTGTTCTGGTCTTCATCTTTTCTCCTGTGCTGGTTGCTTCCTGCCCTAGAACATCAGACCCCAAGTTCTTCAGCTTTTGGACTCTTGGACTTACACCAGCGGTTTGCCAGGGGCTCTCAGGCCTTTGGCCAGAGACTAAAGGCTGCACTGTCAGCTTCCTTACTTTTGAGGTTTTGAGACTGGGACTGATCCACCACTGGCTTCCTCGCTCCTCAACTTGCAGACGACATATCGTGGGAGTTTACCTCTTGATCGTGAGTCAATTCTCCTTAATAAACTCCCTTTCCTATATACATATATCCTGTTTGTTCTGTCCCTCTAGAGAACCCTGACTAATAGACATGGTCATTGTTGAAAATTACCTGAAACAAGAGGCCGACTTGGTTAGGAGTCCCTTAGCATAGGCAGTTCCTTGAGATGTGGGAAAAAAAAAAGTAAACTTTTTAAAAATATAATTATATAATCTAATTTAGGCTAATATTTATATTCTGAAAGGGAATAATCTCTTGGTCACAGAGGAAGCTTTAAAAAAACATGAATTTCTCAGTAGTTCTTGTTTTGTTTTCAGAGACAAGGTTTCACTCTGTTGCCCAGGTTAGAGTAAGTGGTACAATCGTAGCTCACTGCATCCGTGATCTCCTGGGCTCAAGTGATCCTCCTGCCTCAGCCTCCCAAAGTGCTGGAATTGCAGGCATGAGCCACCATGCTCAGCCAGCTTTTTTATGTACCATGTGGTCTCATCTTACTTTCTGTTTTTGTCCTGTCTGGCTGTCTCCTCTATTCTCATTATTATCTGGACAATCTCATTAAATTAAAATTGAAATTTTAAACATATAAAAATTAAAATCTTATAACATCAAAAATTCAAAACAGAGCAAGTCTGGTTGCCATAATAAAAAGCTAGGTCACTCCCTAGCTTAGTGGGTTCAAGTTGTAGTGCCCTTAGGCCAAGCGCCTGGCAATGTCACCATGAATGGCTACTTCTTTGCAAGGAACAACTTACAACTGTTTCATTTATTGTGTAGTTGGTGGGTGTTAATGTGTGTTGTGTGATGGGTTGGTGGTGAGCAAGGAAGCTGCAGAGACATTAGGCATGAGATGTGTCTACTATGAGTTAGGAGTATTAGTAATAGTCTTTAGAGGAGAAAGCAAACAGGAAGCCCACAGCTTTCAATTACTATATATGAAGTGAGTTAATAATCATGACTATAAAATAGGAATCACAAACTCAAGTAAGGCTATGGGCTAATATATGAAAAAAAACAACTAATTTTAGTTGTTTCTACACAGAAACATATTGTATGCATATTAAAACATAATAATATAATTAATACAATATAATTAATTTATAAAATAAATGTGATTCTTCTCACTGTATTCTTTAAATTCATTATCACCTTAGTTTATTTTTTCCCCAATTTTGATGATGACATGAAGACACAAAACTATTCTACTTTAGTAAGATAAAAATGATGATCAAATTAGTATTGATTGGAAACTAACATTTTCTGGTGAAAAGGACAGAGAGAACTGGGGTGAACAGAAAACTCTAGGCCTGTATAAAGGGAGTAGTTGCTACTTGATCCAATTGATTGCTGCCATTTAAGAAATGGGCTTGTATTGCAAGATCTTCCAGTGCTCTAAAAAACAAAGACATTTGAAATGTTTTAAAATTAGAAGTCTTCTTTTATGTGCTTTTTTTTCTTCCCCTGAAATCCTCCAGGAAAAATTTTTCAAGGGAAACCTATTTGGGGGGTTGAAAACTATCCATGGTTTTCTAGCTTTTTAGCCATGTCTTGGAGAAGATATGCTAAAGTTCTCCCTTTCTTTTTATATTTTTCGTAGATTTATAACTCTCTATCTCTTTTTTTTTTAATAAGACTTTATTACCTACACATTGTGATGGTTCATTTTATCTTTCAACTTAACTGGGCCACAGGGTGCCCAGATATTTGATCAAACATTATTCCTTGTCTTTAAGGTACTTGTGGATGAGATTAACATAAGTTGGTAGACTGAGTAAAGCAGATTGCCCTCTCTAATGTGGGTGGGTCCCATCCAATCAGTTGAAGGCCTGATTATAACGAAAAGCCTAAATAAGAGGGAACTTCTCTTACCTGACTGCCTTCATGCTAGAACATCAGTTTTTTTCCTGCCTATGGACTTGAACAGAAACAATAATTCTTCTTGGGTTTCAAGACCACTGGTTTTCAGACTGGAGCTATATTACCAACTCTCCTAGATCTCCAGCTTGTTAACTGCAGATCTTGGAACTTCTCATCCTTCGCAATTGCATGAGCCAATTTTTCATAATCTCTCTGTCTCCATACACACACACACACATATATATATATATATATATATATACACACACACACACACATATATTTATAATATCTACCTATCTCTATATATGTATATATGAGTTATTATATATATAAATATATATATAAAGTTCTCTCTCTCTATATATATAAAGTTACTCATTCTGTTTCTCTGACAATCCTAATACACATAGTGATTAGAAAAGTGGGCTTGTTGGGAGATTGAAAAGGAGTTGGCTTCCAGGGAAACTCAATTTAATAGACTGATTTTTGAGCAGATATTCCTCTTATAATAAAGTAAATAGTGAGATCTTAAAAAAAGAAAAACAAACCAAATCCTTGAGATTTGAAATCGGGAAGAAAGAGGTAAGCAGAAAAGATTTGTCAAGTTATATATTTTTGTCACTATGTGACTTTGAGCCAGCCACCTCCCTTCGGTGTAAGTTGCAGCATCTGTGAAATTAAGGCCTAGACTAGATCAGATGTTTTCAAACTTGTCTCAACTTAGAGAACCTACAGTTAGAATTCTGTTTTCCAGATATTATAGTTTTAGTGGAATGCCATGTAATCATTATTTTTAATTTTTTTTAGACAAAGTAGGGGAAATTGCCCTAGTAGAAAATGTAATTCAATATAGGCAAAAATAGAATTACAACCATTTGATCATGTCTATGATAAATCCAGCTATTGCAATAAACATTTCTAGGATTTTCTATTTCTATCTGCTTGCTTCTTGTTTATTAATTTTTGACATCTTAAAATGCTTGTTAGTTGTATTAGTCCATTTTCATGCTGCTGATTAAGACATACTTGAGACTGGGTAATTTATAAAGAAAAAGAGGTTTAATGGACTCAGTTCCATGTGGCTGGGGAGGCCTCATAATCATGGAGGAAGGTGAAAAGTATGTCTTACATGGTGGCAGGCATGAGAGAATGAAAAGCCAAGTGAAAGGGGAAACCCCTTATAAAACCATCAGATCTTATGAGACTTATTCACTACCATGAGAACAGTATGGGGGAAACTGCCTTCATGATTCAATTATCTCCCACCTCACCCCTCTCACAACAAGTGGGAATTATGGGAGCTACAATTCAAGATGAGATTTGGGTGGGGGCACAGCCAAACCATATCATTAGTTAAGTGATTGCAGTGCCAATACCGTAAGAGAAATTTATGAGAAAAAAAATTGAGAAAACTTTTTCTATTAGCTTTATGTTTTCGGAAAATTGGATAAAATATTGTGTTACTTTATTTTATGGTGGGAAAACTTGGTCTAGCTATTGTGGGAACATAGTTTGAGGCCCACTGGAGTAGTGTTTCTTATAGCCTCTCCCAGCTGTAACATTCGATGTGTCTACAATTTTTTTTTCATCTTGGAATAAATGTATGTTTTACTTTAACTAAGTGACATAATTTCCATGTATAATGTTTGTATTATTTTCTTTTATATATATACATATTTTTTATTATACTTTAAGTTCTAGGGTACATGTGCACAACGTGCAGGTTTGTTACATATGCAAAAATGTGCCATGTTGGTGTGCTGCATCCGTTAACTTGTCATTTACATTAGGCATATCTCCTAATGCTATCTCTCCCCCCTCTCCCCACCCCACAACAGGCCCCAGTGTGTGATGTTCCCCTTCCTGTGTCCAAGTGTTCTCATTTTTTAACTGTGGCCAAGCAAGATTCATGACCTCTTAGTTGGAGAGAAATTCTCTTACAAACAAAATATAGCTGTGGGCTAATTTCTGTTGTTGAAATTGAGGAAAAAAACATTGGAGGACAAGTGCAATAGTTGAAATGCATGCAAACTTTGTCCTAACAACAAACCTTTAGTGGTTTAAAACTTCTTTTTCATCAACTTTCCACTCAGAAAGCTTTATTCTTCATTTTATTTATTTGTTTTAGTGTCTACTACCTATTAAGAAATTCTCTATATGTTGTGGATAAAGCAATGAACCAAACAAAACAAAACAAAATCCCATCTTAATGGAGCTTATATTTTGGTGGAGAGAAATAGACAATCAATAAAATATAAAAAATAGTATTTTAGATAGTTAATAGTTTAATGGAGGAAAATGAAGCTGAACTAGAGAAAAGGGTGTATGTGAGGGGTGTGAGTGGCAAATTTAAGACACGGTAATCAGGAAAGGTTTCATTGCAAAGATGATGTTTGAGCAAAGGTGGGAGGAAGGTCTATCTTAGTTCTAGCTGTTACAACAAATTACCATGGACTGGGTGACTCTACAACAAACATTTATTTCTTATAGTTCTGGAGGCTGAAAATTTCAACATCAAGGTACCAATAGATCTCATTTCTGCTGAGAGCCCTCTTTCTGGCTTGCAGATGACCATCTTTTGGTTGAAACCTTACATAACGGAGAGCATAGAGAAAGAGATCCTGTGTTACTGCCTTTTCTTTTTTTTAAATAAGGGTACTAATTGTGTTATGAAGACCCTGCCCTCATGACCTAATCTAACCTTGTTACCTCCCAAAGGCCCAATCTCCAGATACCATCACAATGGAAATTAAGATTTCAACATATGAATTTGAGGGAGACACAAACATTCAGTCTATAAGAAGGTCTATGCTAGAATGTAGGGTAAGAAACTTATAGCAGAAGGTCCCTAAGGCAAGAGCATCCTTGGGAAGTTCAGAAGACCACTCTGTTTGGAATGGAGTGATTTAGGCAGACAGTGGTAGAAACATGAGGTCAGATTATATAGGGACTTAAAGGCCATTTAGATGATTTGGCTTTTATTCAGAGATGGAAGCTAGTAGAGGATTTGGGGTAGAAGGGTAGCATTAGATGATACATTTTTAAAGAAATTTTATCATTATTATTATTATATTTGTACAGACATGGCCTTGCTATGTTGCCTAGGATGGTCTCAAACTCCTGCACTCAAGTGATCCTCCTGCTTCAGCCTCTCAAAATGTTGGGATTACAGGTGTGAGACACGAGGCTCTGCCAGACACATTTTTTTAAAGCATCACTCTGTGCTCTTTCCAGATATCGTACAGTTTTAGTGGAATTTTATGTAATCACTATTTTTGATTTTTCAGACAGCGTAGGTAAAATTGCATAAGTAGAAAATATAATTAGATATAGGTAAAATATAATTACAACCATTTGATCATGTCTGTGATTGTATTAGTCCATTTTCATACTGCTATGAAGAAATACCCAAGACTGGGTAATTTAAAAAGAAAAAGAGGTTTCATGAACTCACAGTTCCACATGGCTGGGAGGCCTCACAATCATGGTGGAAGGCAAAGAAGGAGCAAAGTCAGATCTTACATGATGGCATGCAAGAGAGCATGTACAGGGGAACTCCCCTTTATAAAACCATCAGATCTTGTGAGACTTATTCACTATCACTAGATCAGCAAGGGAAAAACCCGCCCCCATGATTCAATTACCTCCCACTGGGTCCCTCTCTTGATACATGGGGATTGTGGGAGCTACAATTCAAGATGAGATTTGGGTGAGGACACATCCAAATCATATCAATGATAAATCCAGCTGTTGCAATAAACTTTGCTGAGGTTTTCTATTTCCATCTGCTTGCTTGGTGGAAATATATACTATATGTCCAATACTGTGCTGTGGCAAGGACTGACACAAAAAGAGAAGTGAAAAGACAATTTCAATAATCCTGTTATGGCATGATAGTGGTCAGAACATGGTGAATGTGATGAGAAGTTGCTAGGTTCTGAATGTATTTTAAAGATAAAGTCAATAATATTTGCTTGAAGAGATCAGATGTGGGGTGTGAGAGAAAGAGAGTTGTTGAGTGTGACTCCAAAGTCACCAAAGGCAAACTTTCTTATTTGCAAATATTTCTGTGTAAATCTCAACATCTTGTGAAAGTATGTGATTATATTACACTCCTTGGAGTTCACTGTCAGTAGCCCGTTGTTCCCTCTTCGTTTCAGAGGATAATAAGATCAGAGCCAGGACTGGGACCCACATCAAGATTACCTACAGCCTGTTGGGTTACAAGGGGACTATCTACTCCTATGAGTTCACCATCCTCCTATCCTATATGGTCCATAAATTTCTCTCTGATTTTTGCTACCCTTGCATGTGATTGTCCATCTGGTGCCCTGAGCTGATTCATACCAGTCCTTATACCAACTTATATGCTCTGTCTCCCTGGATCCAGGGCCATCATCACACTTATCACCCGAGTCTTCACTTTAGTTGTTACAATAGGATTTTATCCAGAGTAAGTTTACAAATACCTGGGGCATGAATGATGGTTGAAATTTGCTCTGTGAGGAATAAGCAGGTAAAGCCCCAAGTGCTAAACAAATGTTAATTATTTATTATTATGGTTGTAATTATAGAGATGTATTCAAGGAGTAACAATGATTTAATCAAGGGTTTATTCCTGCTCTGTAGAGCTATCCTGCCCATTACAGTAGCCATTAGCCACATGAAGCTATTTAATTTAAAGATAATTAAAACTAAATAAGATCAAAAATTTCAACTCCTTAGTCCCAGGCATATTTCCATTATTTAATAGCCACACATGGCTAGTGGCTACTGTATTAGACACTGCAGAATGAGGAACATTGACATCATTGCAGAAAGTTCTATTGGAGAGTGCGGCTCACCTGTGTGAGAGGAAGTCAGAATTGGGGGGGTCACCATGCCATTCATATGAACAAGTTTTCACCATAGGTGAGTTGTCCTTCCTTATTTATGTGGAAATCTTTGGGAATTTCTTATGCCAGTGACCATAAGCTACATCTCCAAGGGCTTTATCACTATTATTATTTTATCATTATTACTATTATGTTTGTACAAACATGGCCTTTACCTTTATTCCTTAAAATATCTGTTAAAGGCAATCTTATGTGCATATGTGGGCGTGGGAAATCAAGAGCCTCACCACACTGCCATGAGGTATTCTTGGCTTTGGCTTGGTACAGCTCATAGAATTATTCAAATGACCCTTCCCTGAACTTAAAAAAATTAATGTACATTTTAAAGAAAACAAATCCCACATGTTTTAGTGTATTTATACTTGTTCTTCCAGCTTTTGGTTTGAAGAGGACTGTGGTATCTGAAAAATCTTTGGGAATTTTCACATGAAGGTTTACATTAAATTTCTTCTCCAAAAGAGGAAGTTAGGTTTGGTCATTGGTAAAGTATCACAGAATCCCAAATGTTTTGTTTTGCCTTCAAAGCTCAGATTTGTCCATTTAGAGTGGGTGTCAAACTTGGCAGGAAATCTTCTTTCATTCATGGAGCTTAGATCATTAACAAATTCTTCTAAAAAGAGAAAGGATAGTGTTGAATAGTTTACAGTAAAAATGTTCAATTATTAATTATCATTTGTATGTAAATTGCAAACTAGGGACCATACACACTGTTGAGACTCTTCAAAAGGGCACAATCTGAGCTGGGGAAGCCCACCACTAATTGTCACCTTGGTGATAATGCAGTGAGCAAGCAAAGCTACAGTTGAGTGCCATCAGACTTTAGGATAACATCTGACATCATCCAGAGCTTTGTGAAGTAGCCCCGCCAGACAGTCATTACTAGCATAGCGGATCCCATGACCCTACTACTCTGGCTATCATTGATGGGTCTACAGTGGGCCCAAAGTTGGCTAATACACTGAAAGGTATCCAGGCTTGTAGAGCTCACTCCTTATACTGGATGGTGTTTGGCCAGTAACACCAGTTCAAAACTAAATTACAAAATTCCTACTATACATTGCGACTCACTTTACATCAATTATTATGCAATCACTTCCTTTTTTTTTTGAGGTGGAGTTTTGCTCTTGTTGCCCAGGCTGCAGTGCAACAGCACAATCTCGGCTCACTGCAACCTCCGCCTCCCGGGTTCAAGTGATTCTCCTGCCTCAGCCTCCCGAGTAGCTGGAATTACAGGCATGTGCCACTACGCCAGGCTAATTTTGTATTTTTAGCAGAGATGGGGTTTCTTCCTGTTGGTCAGGCTGGTCTTGAACTCCCGACGTCAGGTGATCCGCCTGCCTCGGCCTCCCAAAGTGCTGAGATTACAGGCATGAGCCACCTCAATTCAGTATACTCAAAATTGAGTACACTGAAGCTCAGTTTATTGGAGTCATGCCTATAAGCAGGGTCACACGGAATTTTTTTACTCTCATGTTTGCTTTCTTTCTAACAGATTACACTTTACTCTACTTTTCTCTTTATATTTGAAGCCCTATAGAAAATATTATATGAGCTATAGAAGGAGATGTAGAAACTGAGACAAGGTCTACCTGAGTCATCATAATAGGGGAGCAAATGGTGCCTGTGGGCAAAACTGTATACGCAAGCAAACAGGAGAATTGGTGGCGTTTTAGTCATCCCTGAGGCCGGATTTGCGTGTGTAGCTGTATCTTAAATGATATTACAGTCCTTCAATTCCTTGAATGATGTCTGGTCATCAGGCTGTTGAAAATATTTCCTGTTCTTTATCCCCACAAACCCCTTTGACAAATCCATTCACTGGGGAACATTGCTGGTATGCCTTTAAATCTGAAATCTCCTGTCCTTTTAATGAACATGCTATATCGAGTCATTGTGAATTCTAACTTAAGTGTTCAAAGTTAAATTGTCTAATACACACTCTGATTTATAATAAGCTCTGAATAAATGTTAGTTCTTTTCTAGTTCCTTCTTTGTATTTCTTTTCACTTAAAAATATTAATAAGTAGAGGTTTTGTTATTTTTATTCTAGTCCAGCACATGGTATTAGCTTCTTCCTTTAATTATAAATTCCATTTCATAACAATTGAAAATTCCAGGGAGTGCATGTCAGGGAAGTTATTATAGTTCATTTGAGGATAAAATCATCGGCATTTGACCTTATGTCACCATTTGTAGCATGCTACAATGTCTCAGAAATATATCGTCTTGTCAAGGCCTTCTTACTTAATTAAATCTTCCTGTAAATTTATTGAAAGGCAAAGTAAGTAAATAGCAGCTATTGAAGTGGTAATAATGATTTTGCATTCAACAGAATCTTAGACATGAATATTGAAATAATCAACATCCAGTGATAATGCAAAATAAGAACAATGTGTTTGAAGTGTCCTATTTCTCTTTTCATAACCAACCCGCAGCCTTGTATATCATATCCCATCTTCTGGTGCTCCAGGAGGAACGATTCTATTACTGCCCTCACCAACCTAAGTCCTAAGCCCTATGGCCATTCAACCCAGCCAGAATTGAGAAATGGGGTCAAATTCATTCCTGAACATTTACGTAGCATTTTCCTCATTGCACAGTACTGGCCTTAGACCTGAGCAAGCAGGGACCCTGTGCCTCACAGAGCCATGTACTTTAAAATGCTTTCCTCAAAGTGTTCTATGTCCCCCTGCAGCAGTGCCTGGAACCAGCTGGGGTCAGCAGTGTCATCAGGGAGGGCTCAAAATACTGCTTCAGCTTTTTCTCTCCTCTGTAGCATTCTATATGACCCCCAATCACAGCATAGACAGGGACAGAATGTTACCCCGGCACCATGGAGGGTAGGCTCCAGTAAGATAAATAAATGACAGTTACTGTGAGAGTCTGGGGGTGGGAGCTCTATAGAAAGACCCATTTTGGCCTGATTCTCTCCACTGAAAAAATGGATTTCCAAGAGAATGGGAGGAAACAACAGAGTTGTGTCTTAGTGTGACGGGAGTTATTGATTCAGTCTGACCTGGTGTTCCAAGGACAGACCCAGGCCCTGATGCATGGCTTTGAGGGAAAACCCAAGAGCTCACCTCAAGCTGTGAACTCTGGGCAGGGAGAGCTTGAAAGCCCTATCCCTGAGTTGGGAAATTCCCTTTTCCTAAAGAAACCCTATGAAAATTCCACTCCAGCACCCTATGGTAGCAACTATTGCAAAAACATCCAGTGTCAATCACAGTGCTCTAAGGCCAACTTCAAAGGGTATCTTCACTGGTGAAGACAGAAATTCACTTCCTTGAAGCTTGCTATCTTTTAAAAGAAACATCTAATTGTCACCCTGCCCGAATAGCCCCCTATTTCTCTAAGATCAACCAACCTCTACTTTGTCCTTGAGAAAACTTGTATCCACCTGGAGAAAACTTGCTGATCAGGGATAATGGTTTATCTCAGCAAAATCTCTTCTGCTTCATGATTGATTTTTTTTTCTTTTACTATCTACACTTGGATATGCATAATAAAATATAAAACCATCTAAAAAATTTATCGCTGTCCAGTGCAGTAATTCTCTCTTCTCTCAACTATGATAAGAGCTGTCAGGGTTTACTTACCCAGTGAATAACCTTCCACCCCGTCACTTCATTACTGTTGTTTGAAATTTCAATTTTATGTTTTTATTGAAGTTTAAACATTATTTATTTTTATTTTTATTTTTTGAGACAGAGTCTAGCTCTTGTTGCCCAGGCTGGAGTGCAATGGTGCGATTTTGGCTCACTGCAACCTCCGACTCCTGGGTTCAAGCTATTCTCCTGCCTCAGCCTCCTGAGAAGCTGGGATTACAGGCATTCACGACCATGCCCATCTAATTTTGTATTTTTAGTAGAGACGGGCTTTCTCCACATTGGTCAGGCTGGTCTCAAACTCCTGACCTCAGGTGATCCACCCACTGGGCCTCCCAGAGTGCTGGTATTATAGCCATGAGCCACCGGGCCCTGCCGAAATTTAAACATTATTTTAAACTTTAGAAATTATTTTTCATAATCAATAGCCAATTAACATATTTTATCATTGTTTTATATTTCTTCTTCCAGATTCACTTGTCCACCAACTAAAGCACATCTTAAATAAGAACTGTGTGTGTGTGTGTGTGTGTGTGTGTGTGAATGTGAGCATAAGTGTATCTGTATGTGTGAGTGTATATGAGTGTGACTGAGTGGATTATGTATGTGTGTGCGTGTGTATGTAGACTTTGTATATGTGAAAATATCTAAAGATATTTTAGTTTTGAATGATTTTTAGACTGGGTATAAAATTATAGTTCGGCATTGATTTTCCCTTGCCTACTTTTACCTATTTTCTTCTGGCCTCCATTTTGCTAATAAATAATATCCTGTTAAATTTACTGTCATTATCCATAAGTAATCATTCTTTTTCCTCTGCTAACTTTTGAGATCATATCTTCATGATTTTTATAATGTATTCTTGCAGAGATTTATTTTTTATTTAGTAGCCTTGTTTCTTTGCCTCCCTCTGAAGCTGAAAATTTAGTCCTTCTGTAATTATAAAAACTTCTCAATAATCATTTCCTTAAAGGTTACATCTTCACTATTACTTTTTTTCCTTCAAGAACTCCTATTTTGTAAATGTTGGAGACTCTCAATCTGGCTTCTTAACAATATTTTCCTATTTACCTCTTTGTCTTTTCATGCTAGAATTCTTCAGTTCTATGTTCCAGCTCATTAATTTATTCTTGGGCTTTATTTTGTCAGAAAATTTCTCATCTATTGCATTTTCAAATTCATTGACAGTTTTTTTTCTTTCCAAAATTTCTAATTAGCATATCTATTTATCTATCTATCTATCATCTGTCATTTCTGTTCTTGCTGTGTTCATGTTTACTTTTATTCAATAATTTTGTATTCTATTTAAATAGCTATATTTTCTGTTATCTCTTTGACAACCTCAACATTTTTAAGTCTTTGCCAAACTCTTCTTCGAAATACATATCATATAGAAAACTTCATTAGCTTGATTGTTGATTTTGTTGACTGTATTTTCTACATATGTTTTAAAATTTTTGTATGCTGGTTTACTTTGAATATTCTCTCTCTCTTTCTCTCTCACTCTACACACACACACACACACGCACACACACACAGACACACACACACACCCTCCTCTGCCCGGTTCCCATGCTGCTCACTCTTCCTGGTCTAGGCATTTTGTGGTTGCCTCTGTACACTTTTAGTCTCCAATACAGGACTAGGTTTTATCATCACAGTTTGGAGTTAGCAGCCCTATGGAGCAGTGAGGAATATGAGAAATCTAGGCTGCAGCTTGAACGCAGCTTGATTCAGTTTTAGAGAATGAAATTGTGGTTGTTTTCCTCGGTGACTCCTTGGACCCACAATTTCTATGTGCCCTTAGCTCTATTCAGCTACATTTAATAACGTTTAATAGACATTACATTCTTCCTACTTCCTTTTGCAAGGGGAGGCAGCTCACCAGATTTCAGCAGCAAGTGAAGCTCAAGTCTCCCCAATTATGAGAGGACTACTATTATTGACCTTTGAGCTACCATTGCTTAGTGCTTTGCCACAACTACGTAACTTAGAAAATTGTGACTTCAGCTTTGATTCACCACTCTGTTTCTGTTCTGTTTCTCACCCATGTAGATATTTGTCTTATATTTGAGTCCAGCTGTGGTGTGTGGTGTGTGTGTGTGTGCATGTGTGTGTGTGTTTAACATTTTATCATTCATTGCTGTGTTAGGAAGAAGGTTTCTTGAAGCATACATTCTCAGCATCCTGTTGGCCCAGAAGCCTCCTTCTCTTTTTTCAAGCTTCTTGAAAAAGTAGTCTATTTGCAGTATCTCCATTTCTTTCCCATCAATTAAGACTTCTACTTATAATCAGGGGTCTGCTCCCATCAATGTAACTTCTCTTGCCAAGTCAAAGAAGACATCCAATTTTTCTCCGTATTTTCTCTTTGGTTGTTAATATTACCCCTCCCGACTGTCATGCTTATTCTTATAATAAACCTCCCTTATTTGTATAACTTGAGTGAGCTTCTGTTACTTGCAAACAAAAAAAACCTAATGACCAGAGCACTGCAAAAAACTAGTCCTTCTAACATTTCAAGGAAAGTCTAGTTATGCTTGTCACTTGCATATAATGCTTTACTGACTCCCCATCACACACCTGTGAGATAAAAGCTGTAATTCCTTAGTATGACATTTCTCATATTCTGCACACTCCTTCTTTCACTCCCTATCACACTCACCTTCAAACCCCATCTTACACCCAGCACCAAGCACACATGCCTCCACCTCTTTGCACATACTGCCTCTACCCCTTGCCTGCAATGTCCTCCTCTTTTTGCCTTGTTCTCATGAGAAACTCCTAACTCTTCCAACAGCTAAGTCAGGTATCCGGATGTATTCCTTTAAGGATATGTTTCCTACATATAGTCGACAATGTTTAAGATACATTAATTGAAAGACTTTTGTACACATTATCCTGGGTGTTGAGCATTTAATAGCGAGCAACAACAAACATGCTTCATGCCCAAATGAAACTTATTTATTAATGGAGGAGATAGGCATTAATCGGATAATCTATGGGTAAATGGAGGGATGCCCCTGTGACCAGTGCTGTCATGATAGTCAAAGTGCCATGCAATCCTATAATTACAAAATGTGACCTTGTGGGGATATTGTTGACATTCTTCAGAATTAAGCAGCCCCTCCTCCGGTATTATGTGCATGGTTCTGTTGTTACGATTATCAAAATGAATTTAAATTTATTTGTTTATATGTCTTTCTCTACCCCTAAACTTTGAGGTCCTTATTCATTCCAAATCTCTGTCTTGAGCAGAGTATCTGGCACATAGTGGGCATATATTGAAAATGATAAATGACAAAATGTTTTCTGATTGAGTTAAAGTATAACTTTAATCATAAATCGTACAGAATTTTACAGAGAATTTTTTATTCTAGTATTTACTTTCTCTAGAACAAGAAGTTCTGCGTCTAGTTGCTTTGCAAAAGAGGACAATTCTGTAATAATTATAAGCTTTTTCACATTCTTTCTTATAGGTCAGAGACTAGTCTAGCAGTTGCTTGCTAACTTTGAGGCTGGAAAATAGGGAACAGCATTAACTAGCTTAATTATAAACTATTTGAAAGGTCAGAGCACAAGAGCCCAGAATACACTACTGCCTTTCAGAGAATGGAAAGTGATGAACAACTGCTTGATGAAATAAATACTGTCATGAGGAGAGCAAAAATAGCCAAACAACTAGATCAAACATTTCTGAAATAAAGAAGAAAATGATATGGCAATGTTAAATCAGTCTTTTATGATTTTTTGATTTTGTATATTTTTAAAGGTTATAACAAAAATGACCAGAGAATGGATGATACATAGTTATTAGTTCATTTCTTTATATGAAATTAAGTACATTAAAAATGGTCTTTACAAAACCAAAATTATTTCCATATATTTCCACCCCACCCTCTTCCTTTACTAAACTTGGCCAAAGATAGAAATTGTGCTTTGGGTTTTGATTCATTCTTCCTTCCTAGTGATCTTCTGTTGAATGCTTCTCTAGGCAGCTGCCTCACAAGACTCATAGCCCAGAGCTGGAACCTGTAGCAGCCACAAGCAGGCTAACTGTGCATGGTCCATTTTTACATGTCTCACACAAAGTCCTGGTCCTGGGATGTCCTGAGAGGTCTCTGTAAGATTTAGAGGTGGCCCAGAGGTCCTCTGACCCTTTCTTATCCTTTGTATTTATTTTTACCTGGTGCTATGGTTTGAATGTTTTTGTTCTCTTCAAATTGCATGTTGAAACTTAATACCCAATGCAATAGTATGAAGAGGTGTGGCCTTTATGAAGTGATTGAATGGGATTTAGGTGCCCTTATTAAAGGACTTGACAGAGAGAGTTTGTCCCCTTTGCCTTTCCACCTTTTGCCATATGAGGACACAGCATTCGTCCGTTCTGGAGGATGCAGCAACAAGGCGCCATCTTGGAAGCAGAGAGCGCAGCCGTCACCAGACACCAAATTTGCTGGGGCCTTGATCTTGGACTTTTCAGCCTTCAAAACTGTGAAAACCAATTCTATTAATTTATAAATTACCTAGTCTGTGATATTTTGTTATAGCAGCACAAATGACTAAGATACTTGGACAGCTTAAGATGTCAATAAACTCCCAAAAAGGTACCTTAGAATAGTTGAAACACTTTTGAGTTAGACAGACTTGGTTTGAATCATAGTTCTGTCACTTACTAGCCATTTTGACAAAGGGAAAATTTTTTTATGTCTTCATTTTCCTTTCTGCATAGAAGGAATTCGTAAGGACCACATTGGATGCAGCAGATATAAATGACCAGACACACATCAAGTACACCTCAGGTATGTAGAAACCTAAAGCTGAACACACACACACACACACACACACAATCACACACATACATATATAATCATGCTCCTATTGGGCAATCCCTCATCCCCACTTGGCAGCAGAAAAACTAAATTTCTTCTAATATGTAGACAGGCCATTCCAGGAACTCCATTTCAGTCACTCTATTTATAATCAGTTACTCATAGGTAAATATTAAGTCAAATTCTGCTATTATCATTTTATTAGTTCATGTTAATAATTCCTGGATCCTTCCTCCCTTTTATTAGGTTTGTCATTTTAAAATGGCAAGAGCCACAATTACTTTTGCATCAACCTAATAAATTCTGACTTAAAACTCCCAGAGAGCCTCAGATACACTATTTTCTTGCAACAAGTTTAGTAAGAGAGGAGAGGAGCAGAGTGTGCATTCTTGAGGGGTTTGAGGAGCATGTCAGTGAGAATGGGGATTCATGTGGGTTTTCCTCATTTCCTTTCCTTATGGGTCTGGTTGCCGCAGTCCTCGAACCCTGGGAATTCATACTGGTCTGTCCTGTTGCTTTTTTTGATGGTCTTTGGGCACCCAGATAAGCATCATTGTAGCCACCTGGCTCAGACTCATATAGGGAATGGATTCACCCCATTCCTTTGCTCTCCCACCAAGGGGGCTCTACTTACAACTTTCTCTCAGCTTTTAGGAAACCCAGGTCTCCCCACAATGCCAATGTTTGGTCCACAAAAAAATGGAGAAAGGAGACTACAATAACATCCTATCAAATATAATTAGGCCTTTTCTGTGTTCCACAGACACTGCTCTATAACACAATTCAACTTGCGAATGAGATATCCATTTTTTTCTGGTATATAGACACCTCTGTGGTGGATCCTGTAGCTCGTTATCCAGGTTCCCCTCAGGATGACAGAGCTCATTCTCCCAGCTGGTAGAAATTTAGGTGGCTTATGGCCGTTAACTGAGTTGCTCTCCAAAAATTACCTTCAACCCAAAGTTGCTCACTCATGAGTAACGGCAGGTTGGTGTGGACATATAAAGCCACAGCCCCTTCCCCCTAGGCCATCTGACTCTCCTGGGACTGGCCAAAGCCTATCTTGCACTGCACTGTAGCTCACCTCATCCTTACCTGCCTCCTCCGTCACCACGGAGGTTAATCCATGTGTGTTTACCACAACTCACCTCATCCTTACCTGCCTCCTCCATCACCACAGAGGTTAATCCGTGGGTGTTTACCTGTAAAATTCCTGCAGCAAATTTTCATCTCAGAGTCTGTTTCTGAGGAATCTTCCCTAAGAGAGGCCCAAACCATTGCCAAATTGTATGAGAAAATACGGTAAAAGGCAATAGAGAAAAATGGGAAGGGGCAGCACTTTGCAATCTATGGCTCCCTAAATTCTGTTTTCAAAACCCCTCTGTACCTCTCTCTCAGTTTGTCTATAACTGTGTGGGTAAAAGCCAGTAAAGTTGTTCTGTCTTATTAGTCTCTTGATGTTGTTTGGTAGAGAGACAGATTCCTAGAATTGCTCTCATGTTAATTTTGAAGTTTAAGCATGAAATCTCTTTTGTTCTTTGCTTGAGTTGAATTAGCTGCTCTTTAATATGCACATCTATCTAAACCACTGGGTGCAGGGAAAGAGACAGCCAGTAGCCCAGGGAAACTCAAAAGAGCAACTCTTGGTCATATTTCAAAGCATGTGTGGGTGACACACATAGTGCCTGAATTCCATTTATATTCCTTATATTATTTATACTAAGTGTGATATCCTCTTTCCTCCACATTTGGTCTTTGGGCACCCAGATAGGTATCATTGTAGCCACCTGGCTCAGGCTCATATAGGAACTTTTTTTCAGTAACTCTTATGTAGGTCCTATGGACAACATGACTTCTATTTTATTGTTTAAAATGTAGGCAAATAACTATGATGCAGGAGCACAAAATGAACTGTTACTTCTTTTTTTAAATTGAGATATAATTCACATCATAAGTTCATAATTTTAAAGTACACAATCTAGTAGTTATTAGTATGTTCACTATATTGTGCTGCTATCTTTCTATCCAGTTCCAAACACTAATTTCCATTCTACTCCAAAAACATCACTTATCCTTCAGCAGCCAGTCCTAATTTTCCCCTTCTCTCATCTCTTTTGGCAACCACTAACCTATTTTCTTTATGGATTTTTCTATTTTGGAATTTCCATGTAAGTGATATTATACAATATGTGGCTTTCTGCGTCTGACTTCATTTGTTTAGTGTAATGCTTTTAAGATTCCTCCATGCTGTAGCATGAAACAGTACTTTATTCCTTTTTATGGCTGAATAATATTACATTGTTTGGTTATACCACACCTTGTTTATCCATTCATCAGTTGATGGACATTTGGGTTGTTTCTCCTTTTTGGCTGTAGTGAGCAATGCTGCCATGAACGTTTATGCACATGTTTTTCTGTGAAAATATGTTTTTAATTTTCTTGAGTACATACATAAGAGTGGGACCCTGTGTTAAATGGCAAATATGTCTTTAACATTTGGAAAAACTGCCAGACTGTTTTCTAAAGGGTCTGTACAATTTTACATTTATACAAGCATGCATAAGGACTCCAGTTTCTCCACATCCTCACCAATACTTGTTATTTTCTGTTTTGATGCTATCCTAGTGGGTGTGAAAGACTATCTCATTGTGGTTTTGATTTGCATTTTCCTGATGACTAATAAAGACGAGTATCTTTTCATGTACTTATTGGTCACTTCTATATCTTCTTTGGAGAAATGTCTGTTGAAATGCTTTGCCCATTTTTAATTGGGTTATTTGTCTCTTTATTGTTGAGTTATAATAATTCTTTACATATTGGAGATGCCAGATCCTTCTCAGATATATGATTTGCAAATATTTTCTTCCATCCTGAGAACTTTTAACTTTATTGATAGTGTTCATTGCAGCACAAAAGTTTCCAATTTTGATGAAGACAAATTTATGTACTTATCTTTGGTTTTGGGGCTTTTAGTGTCATATCTAAGAAACTGCTAATCCAAGTCCATGCAGATTTACAACTATGTATTGTTCTAAGAATTTTATAGTTTTAGCTCTTACATTTAGGTTTGTGATTCATTTTGAGTTAGTTTTTGTGTAAGTAGAGGTCCAACTTTGTTCTTTTGAATGTGGATATCTACTTCTCCTGGCACTATTTGTTAGAAAGACTATTATTCCCTCATTGAACGGTCTTGGAACTCTTGTTGAAAATTAACTGGTCACAAATGTATGGGTTTTTTTCTGAACACTCAATTGTATTCCATTGGTCTATATAATGTCCTTATGCCATGACCACACTCACTGTCTTGATTGCTGTAGCTTTGTAGCAAGTTTAGAAATCAGGAAACTTCTCAAAATTTCTCCCATTGTGTTTTTCTTTTCCAAGATTGGTTTTTCTATTTAGAATTTCTTGTCTTTCCATATGAATTTTAGGATCAGCTTGTTCATTTCTGAACAAGAAAGTAGTTGGAATTTTGATAAGGATTGCATTGATTTTGTAGATCAATTTGGGGAATATTGCCATCTTAGTAAAATAAAGTCTTCCAATCCATTAACAAAGAATTATTTCTATTTTTTAGGTCGTCTTTAATTACTTTCAACGATGTTTTGTAGTTTCTCTTGTGCTATTTTCTCTTTACCATGGTCCACATCTCCAACTTCAGAACCTGCTGCTGCCTGTTCTGGGAATGGTTGCTATCATCAGACCTGATATCTAGAAGTAGTAGTAGGAGAGGGGCAGGCATTGAGGGGTTGATCGAAAAAAATGGTGAAAGGAAAAGGAAGTTCCTGGTAGAAGTCAGGAGATAGGAAAATGAATTTTATTTATAATCAAAAAGATTCAAGTCATTCATAAGTAATTCATGACAACATCCAGTACTTTAAAGCAACTTTTTCTTTAATCAACAACCATCATTTCACAAAATCACTCTTGAGACTTAAATTCAATGATGAATGACACCTCTATTGGTCAAGAAATTTCTTAAACTTCTCGTATCAGAATTGGATTCAGAAATCCTGGCATGGACTTAGGAATGTTCTCATGTTTGTGGTATCTTTTAAAGGTCATTACAATCTTATTAAAAGAAGTAAAGTATAATTTATTGAGGTTACTTTCTTAATGGTAGTTGGAAATTGGTATAGTGAAAATGTATTGAAATATTAACGCATGCTTAGTTCTAAGGTTATCTTTTCCTTTCCAGTTTCTAAAGAGTATCCAGGCTCTTTTGGTTCTTTTGTCTTAGGAGAGCTTTTAGTTTGTTCTCTGACAGCAGAAGGAGGGGTTGTTTCACAGCACATATGTGGTGAGTGGGTTTTGAGTATTTATAATCCCACTCTTTGCGAAGATTCCTGTGCATATTTTTCCTATATAACATTTCCAAGATCTACATGTTCTTGTGGTCAGTATTAGTATTAGAGAATACTGTGAAAGAACCCTCCAGAAATAACTAATATTGGTTGTCATACAAGCCCATGTTGGTAAGTATTCTGTTAGATTTAATTAAATTTAAAGAAAGCAAAGTAATGTGACACTTCTGGCCTATTTAAGTACTTTGTAGGATGAGAGTCACTCCTCGAACACTGGTTCTGATATAAATTCCAAACTAGGAGCACTGCAACTATGTTGAACTATTGTGAAATAAAATAACTTCTTTGCAGGGTGACTTTGAAGTGCAACATCCATTTGGATATAAGTTTTCATGGCATGTACTTAGGAATGTTCTCATGTTTGCATTATCTTTGAAAGGTCATTAAAGTCACATAAGTTTGTAATAACTTGATATTCATGTGGGGTCAGAAGTACATGCCGTTTAGACTGTGGTGCAATTTGAGGGACATTGGAGACAAGGATCATAACTCTGTTAGGTCTGGCTTCCTGCTACTTGTAGCCACACAGAGGTTTTCTGGGGCACAAAGCATACAAATTATGATTCTCTCTAAGTTGCTTTTATTACTCAAGGGAAAAATTAACTTCAGATGCAATTTGATATTAAGTTCTTCAAATATCACATTGATATGAAAATTATGAGTCTTATGGTTGGACAGAAAAATAATTATTATGCTTCTTGGTTCTGGACTTTTAAATATACCTAATCTGCTCACACCGCTTGCCACAGACATGCAAAGGATGATAGCAGGTTATAGCTTGAACTAAGGTATTTCCCCATAGCTCTCTGATTTCTGTGCTCAGTCTTCGGTATTCTGTTTTCATTTCACCAGCTCTTCAGTTCTTTAGCTTTTTCATTTTGTCTTGTGTCTCAGCTGTAGGCTCTCCTTGATTTTGTGATCTGCAGTTGGATCCTCTGCTGTTGGACCTTATTCCTTTCCCAATTCATTTTATTCAAATATTTTGCATTTTTTTCACCTGGCTGTTAGTGCTGTTTCCAGATAAGAGACACTTACTCTACTAGTTTTTGTTCCCAAGGACACACATCATCATCATCTTCTGGGCTGGACCCAGCCTAACAATCAGAATCAGACACTTCCATTTATCCAGTCATCTACCCTTTTGGATAGTCTGTCTATCTCTAAGATTATTGTTTTAGAAAACCTAGACTACATGATTTCTTCATTATAGTGGGTATCTCCTCAAATTTATAGGTTGAAGTCCTAACCCCAGTACCTCAGAATGTGAGCTTATTTGGATATAACATCACTGAAGATGTAATTCATTATGATGAGGTCATAGTAGACTAGGTGTAATGGTTAATACTGAATGTCAACTTGATTGGATTGAAGTATGCAAAGTATTGATCCTGGGTGTGTCTATGAGGGTGTGGCCAAGGAGATTAACATTTGAGTCAGTGTGCTGAGAAAGGCAGACCCACCCTTAACCTGTGTGGGCACAAGCTAATCAGCTACCAGCATGGCTAGAATATAAAACAGGTAGAAAAAAGTGTGAAAAGACGAGACTGGCCTAGCTTCCCAGCCTACATCTATCTCCCATGCTGGATGCTTCCTGTCCTTGAACACTGGACTCCAAGTTCTTCAGTTTTGGGACTCAGACTGGCTCTCCTTGCTCCTCAGCTTGCAGATGGCCTATTGTGGGACCTTGTGATCATGTAAGTTAATACTTAATAAACTCCCCATATATATATATAGAGAGAGAGTTTTGTCCCTCTAGAGAACCCTGACTAATACACTAGGGTAGGCCCCTAATTCAATATGACTAGTGTCCTTACAAAAAGGGAAATTTAGATACATAAATGCACACATGAAGAATACCATGTGCACATCAAGGCAGAGATGGGGTGATGCATCTATAAGTCAAGGAATGCCAAAGATTTCTGGCAAGCCACTAGATGCTAGGGGAGAGGCATGGAACAGATTCTTTCTCAGAAACCTCAGGAGGAACCAAACCTGCCAACACCTTGATCTTGGACTTTGATGTGGTTTGGCTGTGTCCCCATCCAAATCTCATCTTGAATTGTAGCTCCATAATCCCCATGTGTTGTGGAAGGGACCCAGTGGGAGGTAATTGAATCACGGGGGTGGGTTTCTCCTGTGCTGTTCTTGTGATAGTGACTTTGCTCCTCCTTCGCCTTCCACCATGATTGTGAGGCCTCCCCAGTTACGTGGAACTGTAAGTCTATTAAACCTATTTTTCTTGATAAATTACCCAGTCTCGGGTATTTCTTCATAGCAGTATGAAATTGGACTAATATAGACTTCAAACCTTCAGGGCAATACATTTCTGTTGTTTAAGCCAACCAGTGTGCGGTACTTTTTAAGGCAGACCTAGTAAACAATGCATGCTGTTAAACATAAAATTTGTATTCCTAGTTAGACAGAAGACCACTTCTTTTTTTCAAAATTATATTTTGAACTTGATTGATTATGTCACTTATCACATAGTCTCTATATTTTCTTGACCATCCAAATAAGTTGAATGATGAAAACTTTGTCATTTTTCTATATTTTGAAATATCAACTAGAATAATGTATATGAGATATGGACTATATATGAGATACGGAACACCCTCAGTTCACAAACTCCACCCACTTCATACACAACGTGCTTAGCAAGCAAATTAAATTCACAGATATACCAGTTTGAACTTATTTTGTTCTCATTTTCCTTTATTAGTGGTTTGACCCTGGCTTAACCTTGGTTTTGATTCCTTAAAAGGGATAAAATTTGGCCTAGCTCCCAGTTATATTTGGCCTTTTGCAAGTTGAGTCTTCCTTAGAACTTCCTTCCTCCCAATCCATGCCAATTAATTCATCAATCTTTTCTTAACTAACATTTCTGTAATCTCTGTGCATTTTTGTCAACTACTTCTGAGGCACCCATGTGAGTCAGCCACTGTGCTAGCACTGAAAATATAGCAGTAAGAAAGGAAAAAACAGCCGTCTGACACTGGGTTGAGGTTTACAGAAGAGTCACAGTGCAACCTTTTGTGGCTTGAATTTTTGTGCTGTCTTCTCTTTGCTGCAAACTGCTATGATTACTTTAGTGATGAACCAATTCAGGCTTGAGTATGTATCACCTACTTACTGACACAGAAGATCCTGAAATTCTGAGTATATAAAGCTAATGAATAAAAGGTATGGGATCAAAAATTTCTTCCAGGCTAATATCCCCACTACTCCAGCAACCTAAGCCACCCACTTCTCTTCTTTTTAATTATTAAAAACGTTTTTGTTTTTATACATGTACAGAGTTTAAGAAATCAGATAGAGATAAAAGTGCCCTGTTAGAAAGCAGTGGTCCCTTCTCCTACCCACTCTACCCAATGCTCCAGCCTTAGGCCCCAGAGCAACCATTTTCAACTCTTCAACTTTTTCACCCTATTTCCTCCACATTTATAGATAATATTACTGATATGTCTTCATATGTCACGATTATGTATGATTTACTAGCTTCCTTTGGTAGTCATTGAAAAATGTTGCGCTTCTCAGCATTCCCTTGCCATCACCACACCCCGACTTGCCTTTTCTTCAGCCTCCCAGCATAGCTCTACCACACATTCTCTTTAAACAAGCATGTTAGCATGGTTATGGTTACATAAATAACATCCATCGCTTTTCCAAGTTTATTTCTCAGACAACTTTTGGCTTTTCCTAGAGTTAATCATTGCCTTTTTGAAAAGACCTCAGTTTATAATGCAGACTTTGAATAATCACTCTATTTTTAGCTAAGTGCCTTCCCAGGGCCTTGCTTATCCTGATCTCTAGTGGCCCTAAACCCTGAGACCCTCAAGGCTTCTGCAGAGGGAAATGACTCACGGTCTTTGGTGCCTTTCCCCTGTGGAGACTTCAGCAGTCACTTCCTTTGCTCTATTCAGTCAGTAACCAGTCCTATATCTACTTTGCAGTATCAATACCACTTTTTCTACATTATAATTTTAAAGTAATTTAATAAAGAAAAAGAAGTTAACATGTATGTTCAGAGGCCCCAAATTCCTCTTAATAATAATAAATTTATCTCTTCTGGACTTAAGACTAACAGATGTCTCTCACAAAGCCACCACAGAGGTAGACTCATTAAATCTCATGTCAAACATCTAATATAAAATTCTACTCTTTTGGGTTTTTTTTTTTTTTACCTTCTCTCTGCCTGTCTCTCCCTTTCTCTCAACTTTTTCCATTTTCCCAGTGGCCCTTAGATTGAGGGAAAGAGGTAAAATTGTATAATCTGCTCACTGGGTGAATATATACCAATTGTTATACTAGAAAATTAGAGAGGCACCCAGGTGGCAATAACTTCCCTTATCTCAGTTCATCCATGACAAATGAAAGATTTTCTGAGATGATAAAGCAGCACAAATTATCCTAAAAAGAGAAAAGCTGTTCAAAATCACGAGTCCTAAGGGATGAGTTCATCATCTCGCTTCATTTTTACTGATAGCCTGAATTTACATGCCAATATGTTTGGATAATTAAATGAAATGCCTCCTTTAGTTCAGGTGTTATTAGACCAGTGAGATGGGGTCTAAATTGTGGCTTTTCAGCCAAATGTAAACTTTTGGGGTGAAAATTGCTTTCTTCTGCAGTTTATATTCCTGGACTACTTCATTTCTAATCTCGTTAATTGCTTGGCAGGTATATCACATATCAGGATTTTTGTTAAATAAATTAGCAGGAAGTACATACAGGAAAGTAATCTTATAATGGGTTAGTACTATCAAACACTGTCACCATAAAGACCACTAAGATTCGTGCTCAGAGTATTTTGAGACATGTTGGCTTCAGTTCAAGAATAATCTCTTTCTTGTTTTCAGCATAGGGTTTGACACATAGTACTTCAAAAATCCACCAAAGTTATTTTACCCTTGGCACCGCCTTATCTAGCCCAGGCAGAGGCAATTTCCAATGGTTGCACCCTAATTCTACCTTCCAGGAGAATGTGATTCCATCCTCTAGAAATTGCCCTGCCTCATGTATATGCATGGAACAAAAAGGTCCATGGTATCCCTAGGCATGTCTTCTATCATAAATGCACCACATCTGGGAGGAAAAGCCTCATTTTAAGACGCAATGTTGGGCACACTTTATATTTAGTGTGCCACAGTATCCCAAATGTCTAGCATAGAGTGAACATGAAAAATATTTGCTAATTGGCAGCATGTCTTTGCCATTTTGGAACTTACAGTCTAACTGGCAAAAGAAACCATATAACAAGAAGTTATAGTGAACTATGATAATTACAGAGGGAAGTGAGGGCCTCACAGGGAGGCACTTAATCCAGACCCGGGGAGTCAGGGAAGAGCTTCTGCAAAAAGTGGTGTCCAAGTGCAAACTGGAGGATGAATGGGGCTTACCAGCCAGGAGTGGCTGTGTGGGTAATGGAAGGAATATGGAGGGCAGGAGAGCGTTGCAGCAGAGAATGTCCCAGCAAGAAGGAATATTGTAAGATAAGGCTTGAAGAAGAGACAGAAACTGGAGAGGAAAGAAACTATGACTGGAGAGTAGAATAAGTGGTGTGGCTGAAAATAAAGAAGAAGAGACAATAAGGGAGAGCCATAAATCCATACGTAACAGTTTAGATTTTATTCTAAGAACCATGAGTAACTACTGAAGGGTTTTAAGCCAAGGAGTGACAGAATCTAGCATGTCAGCTGGCATGATGTTCTCACAGGGATTTGGATTCTTGATCTTCAGTGGAAAGGTTGAGGGACAAACATTATCTTTTTCCTTGGCCACATTCTGAGGTATATTTTACATATTGGCAAACTGAAATCCATAACTCCTACCAAATAATTCCTTGGATCTGATCCCACCTACTCTTCGTTACTTTTCAGATTCCGTGTGAAATTTACCTCTTATTTATCAAGGTGCAATCCATTTCTTAAGGCTCCTGAAAGGACATGCCAAAGAAATTGCTAAAGCCCAAAATGTTTACTTTCCAGCTGTCCCCAACAATTTGTGGATAATATTTCCTAATATTTGGGAGTTTGAGAATTTATTACAAAAAAAACCCATGCTGGATTAGGTTTGATACTTAAATTCAGATATGTAAATAATTTCAATTAGGCAATATCCCAAATTGGTATCTATTCTTTTTCAGAATTATTAGAATTTTGTAGCAGGATATTTTGTTCTACCAGTCAATTTGATGTAGGCAGGCACTGAAGTCTGCTCTGGTAAAACTGAACCCAGTGATATCATGAGAGACTTTGTTGGAGTGTCTCCCCACTCCTTTCCATCAAGCATGTGTTTCTAAGTGCTGGAACAGCATTACCTACCATTCTCCTAAATAAGAGCTGGCCGGCCACGTAGCTGTGTCAGGAGAGCTTCTACAGTGTTTCTTCTGAGCACTCTACAGAGGTGATTCTGTTTGGGTGCCCTCTGTTGCTCTTCTTTTATCCCTGGTCCCTGGTAATAGAATCCAGTGATGAAAGAAGCACAGAAAAGCCTTAGTAATCAGATGGACTTGGGTTTACATCTTGATTTTATCACCTTTCTAGTATACTGTCTGAGGCATAATCTCTATTTTTTCAGCTTCATTGTCCTTATTTATAAAATTACAATACAATATCCAATATACAAGATTATTGTAAGGATGAAATGAGACACAATGAATCAAGTGCCTAGCACGAGGCCTGGCCAATTTAATGCTCAATGAGTGGCAGCTACTGTTACACCCATGAGGAAAATGTAAAGTGCTGGCATTTTTCCATTACAAAAACTAAGTGTGGACTTTAAAATTAGCCAACACTCTGGGGTAGAGGAACATATATAAATCAGATGTGGCTTTTGCCCTAGGGAAAATCCCAAAAGACAGCTGCTTCCTGTCATCAAGAGGAAAATGTCGCATGGATTGAGGAAGCAATGGTCTGTGTGAGATTTGAGATATCATTTCATCATATTGATTGTTAGTTTTCTTATCTGTAAAATTAATATTTAGGTTAAATGACTGCTAGGTACTTTCAGCTCTGTATTTCTGAAGTGCCAGGGATGCATTTTAGCCATATTACAATTTTACTAGGGGCTAAGACCATTAAACATCTATGTTCAGCTAAGAACGCAGTTGTGGAGCCTTTGTGTGTGTGTGTGTGTGTGTGTGTGTGTGTTTGTGTTGTGTTTGTGTGTGTGTGTGTGTTTGGTATCCACACAGCATATAAAAAGATTCATAATATTTAAGGCTATTTATTTTGGGTTCTTCTGTTATCCCGCATTTCAACCATGATTACCACAGGGATTTCAACAAATGCTTACCCTTCTCTACCCATATTTATGAGGGCTTGACTTTGCCTCTCTGCTCAACAGTCTTATATAAATATGCCATACTTTTTTATGTGTATAAGTAATTCAAATGATTGATGTAATGTGTGTGTGTATTTGTGCACACATGTACACTTGCATAAGTATGTGTGCACTTGTGTGTGTGCAGAGGCCTGCACATAGAGACAGACATTTCAACTTCAAGAGTTGACCTCAGTTAGGATAAAGTAATGTGACTTTGGGAGATTACAAAAGATCCTACCTGTTTTAAATTTATCTCCTACCAACGAAACACTGACTTTTCTTTTAATGCCAAACAATGAGTATCTCTTGGAAATATCATCTAACCCCATGACTTCAACTACCATATTGGTAACTCCTCAAAGCTCTAGCCTTCCAGAGAAAGCCCTAGCCCAAAAACATATATTTCAAATGAAACCAATATAGTCTGCAGACTACTAAAAAGGCCAGGTGATTGATTTCTTTTCTTCATTAATTTGAGTGCAATTTGCTTCCTTATTGATATAAGTGGTTTATCTCATTGGAAATAGCATCTTTATTATACAATCACCTTGTGTTTTGACGGACAGCTACTGAAAAACCATGTTGGTATGTGAAATAAGGGGAGTTGACATTAGTGTTTTTGTCATGAACTACAGGTCAGGCTAGATATTGTTGGGGAATAAAAAGGTATAAAATAAGCAATATATGCACATAGGAAAGTACTCACAATTAGAAAAGCTGGAAACTACCTGGGTTATTATTGATGGCTAATAAGTTTATCTAACACTTAATAGTTTAAAAACATATGAGGCTCTTGGCTATGATATGTGTATTTTTTTGAGACTGGGCCATATGTTCAAACAAGCTTGGTATTCAGATCAAATTGCCTGCAAAATTTGGTTTTAGAAAAGCTCTCAAGTCAGTTGAATAATTAACTTTACAAGCCTTTTTACTACCTTGGTATTTCTTTTCACTAATGAATAAATTAAAACAAACTGGTTTGTGTATGAAAAAAAGCTAAATATATTAATGTGTAGCACTCATCTTTTGAAGCTGAACTCTCAAAGTTCAATATCAACATTTTTCTCAGGATTACATATATTTCTTTTTAAATGCTAATTTCTGAGTAGATCTCTGCTTCTGTTACTTGTAGCTTCAATGGTCTGAAATTCATCTGAGAAACATAGATGCAGTGGCAGAGAAGAGAAAACCAAAGATTGGAACAGAAAATATAAGGAAGGAAATGGGTTTTGTGTAGTGAGAGAGAGCATGAGAAAGTCTGTAGGTGGGAGTTAATATGGAGGAGAATTTGAAAGCAGGTGATGGGGTTGAGCTGAGTCACAAGTCAGGATGCTATTGGTTTTTAAGGCTAAAAGCTTGAACCAGAAGGGCCAGAGTAATGGAGATGGAAAAATCCCTGATGATGTAAACCAGGAGGCTGTGGCTGAGTAAGAGGAAGAAGAGAAAAGATGAAAACCAGAGTTCAATTCCAGGTCACAGTTAGAAAAATTACCAGGAGAGCAGCAGCAGACACTTGTCCAAGAGATAAGAGAGCCTTGAAACCAAGGCACAGTCTATTCAGCAGAAAATCTCCTCTTGCAGAGGCAGGAAACAGATGATGTTATTTACAGATCAAGAGCTTCCCAAGGCCTTGAGCATTAAGGTCAATGCCAACCTCTACAAGTCGGCATCCTAACAGAGCCCAAGAATGGGAGAAGAAGTAAGAAGAAGGTTGCCCCAGAAATGCTCAAATTAGGTCAGTCATTTCTAAGGCATGTATTGACTTTGTAATTTTATTTTCCAAAGAAAAATTTGCCATCCCTGTCTTGACACTGTAATAAAGAGTCTGAAAATAAGAGAAAAATATTTAATATTAGGACTATCTCAGAAAATCTAGGCTAAACACTTGCTGCAGCTACCACGGATAGGACATAAGAAAAATGAAGAGTGATGTTAAGTAACATGCAAAATTATCATATAAATATAAACCTCAGATTCTCCCAAAAGTGTTGAATGTGATCCACTGTTTCAATAACAACAAAAGAAATGCGTTAACACATCTGATATTAAACCAAGAATGAAATGTCTGGATAGGCCATCATGACCACAGCAAAACAAAGACCTAATTAGTCTAGTAATATTTTATATTTTATTTTATAGAAAATATCTGTCATTGAGCATTCAGTACAACATGGAGAGCTAACACGAAAACTGTAAGATCCCATAATTGAAAAAACACAGCAGAGTGTAAAGAAAGTCATTTTTGGTCTCTAAAAAGGTAGATTAACCTGAGGCCAAATAATATACCTTAACAGTGATGAAGGGAACAAAGTAACACACAGAGGCCCCCATTGAAAAGGGGCTTTTTATTACAAGTTCCTTTTAAGTCAGTAAAACAAGACTGTTATCTGGGGGTTTTGATCTGCGGTTGATAATGTACTGATATTCTCACAAACATAAATGCCTGTAAACAGCCCACTGTACCTCAGAAGACCTTACTAGAAAGTCAGGGGCATAAAACAGTAAGAAAATCTAGAGAGATGAGAGTCATCAGAAACAAGTAAAGTTGAAACAAATGTAGGACTGTCCATTTTTTTCTTTGGAATTTTAATTATTTGAAGGTAATCTTCTAAGATCCTATTTCTAGAAATTTTCATTCAAATCAAGCCAGTATATGGTACTGAAAACCTCATGTGGTGACTTTAACGAGTAGCATATTTTGCCCTTAACACGATGTACTTAAATATACACTTACATAGGTTGTTTTCATAGCATCTTAAGACGTAATCTGAAAACGGCTCTCAAAGCACACTATTCCTTTGAACCTTGGAAAATACTAGTCTGGTAAATTTTGCAAAATATCTGGCTTTAGCAGGGAGAAGGCCTGCTAGTAGTTGCACAGGTTGCTGGGAAATACCTTAAATTGTTTCCTTTACGCAAATATGGGAGCAACTAAACTTGTGCTCACTGTTTTTTAGAGGGAACAGACTAACATTCCTTAGGTTCACCAACATAACTTACCCAGGGCAGCTTAAGAACCAAGAGATTGCTGTGCAGAAGCTCTTTAGTTTAATTAGATCCCATTTGTCAGTTTTGGCTTTGTTGCCATTGCTTTTGGTGTTTTAGACATGAAGTCCTTAGAAACTACCATCAGAGTGAACAGGCAACCTACAAAATGGGAGAAAATTTTCGCAACTGACTCATCTGACAAAGGGCTAATATCCAGAATCTACAATGTACTCAAACAAATTTACAAGAAAAAAACAAACAACCCCATCAAAAAGTGGGCGAAGGACATGAACAGACACTTCTAAAAGGAAGACATTTATGCAGCCAAAAAACACATGAAAAAATGCTCATCATCACTGGCCATCAGAGAAATGCAAATCAAAACCACAATGAGATACCATCTCACACCAGTTAGAATGGCGATCATTAAAAAGTCAGGAAACAACAGGTGCTAGAGAGGATGTGGAGAAATAGGAACACTTTTGCACTGTTGGTGGGACTGTAAACTAGTTCAACCCTTGTGGAAGTCAGTGTGGCGATTCCTTAGGGATCTAGAACTAGAAATACCATTTGACGCAGCCATCCCATTACTGGGTATATACCCAAGGTACTATAAATCATGCTGCTATAAAGACACATACACACGTATGTTTATTGCGGCACTATTCACAATAGCAAAGATTTGGAACCAACCCAAATGTCCAACAATGATAGACTGGATTAAGAAAATGTGGCACGTATACACCATGGAATACTATGCAGCCATAAAAAATGATGAGTTCATGTCCTTTGTAGGGACATGGATGAAATTGGAAATCATCATTCTCAGTAAACTATCGCAAGAACAAAAAACCAAACACCGCATATTCTCACTCATAGGTGGGAATTGAACAACGAGAACACATGGACACAGGAAGGGGAACATCACACACTGGGGACTGTTGTGGGGTTGGGGGAGGGGGGAGGGATAGCTTTAGGAGAGATATACCTAATGCTAAATGACGAGTTAATGGGTGCAGCACACCAGAATGGCACATGTATACATATGTAACTAACCTGCACATTGTGCACATGTACCCTAAAACTTAAAGTATAATAATAATAAAATACAATAATTAAAAAAAAAAAGAAGAACCAAGAGATTACTATAGCAACTTCGAATGCAGAGATTCTTAAGGTGAGATTCAGGAGCCTCCTGTTCTAGGATCACCTTAGATACCAGTTAAAAATGCGAATCCCTGGGCCTCCTTCTCAGATAATTAAATAGCATCCCTGGCAAGGAGGGATCATGTGAATCAGAATGCTTAACAAGCTCCTCAGGTCATTCTCATCTCTAAATTAGAGAGTTTAGTGGCTCTTGTGGTTCACTCTTTTGATAAAAATCTCAAAGGCATTGTATTATCTTGATGGTCATGATCTGGGGAAGGGAAACAAACTTTTCCTATGAATCGTTATGACAATCTGAGCCTGGAACCATTGCAGGCAACCAGCACAGTGTAATCTGAGATGCTTTCTGCAATGGAGTTTTGCAGTTTCAAGTTGAAGATTATTTTGCCATTTCATCGTCTGAGACTCTATTTTCCTCTTTATAGTTTTTGCCAACTGATCGTGAGGAAAAGACTTAATGATGCCTTTTGCTTTTATATTTTACTTCTGTTTTTTTTTAATTCACCCTTTTATTTAGTACCTCTTTATAATTTTACTATTCATTAGGTCAAATGAGGACGAAATATATTTAAGTTTTAGTATTTTGTCTACGAGACTTCTGTTTTAGCATTCCTTACTCTCCCCCTTGCTTTCTTTGATTCTTTTGAGACATTTTAAAAAATGTAAACCATGGTGCACTGATCAGTAACCTTTCTCTCTCAATGTAGTAGAAATCTTTTACACCTTCCTCCAGGGTAGTTGTATCTTTTCTCCTTTATAGCTGGTTTTCTGGCTACTGATTATGGAGAGACCCTGGCCTTTGTTTCTGCTCCCTTTCATATTGGGAGATAAGGTAATGAAGAGAGACATCACTGCTCCAGAGGGGCTCTAGCTCCTGCTTCCAATTTGCAAATGTTAAATTTTCTCACAATTTTTCTTCCTTCTCTCACATGACCTCATAAAAGCACATCTTCATGGTTTTTGTGGCTCTCTATAATAAAGACGGGGTTATGCAGAAATCTCCTGTATTCTACTTTTCTATTTTTCCTCTTATCCTTTTAATATTTTTATAATTTTAATGTTGATAAACTCCAAAAATAATTCACTTTATTGTATTTCTTCAGAATTTTCAATGACCTAAGGAGATCAGAGAGAAGTAGGAGTGTACGTTAGAAAGGAATTCTAGACCACTGGTTTTCAAGACACTTGGTAACATATACTCCATTAAAGTAGTTAATAATTTTACAATCTAAACTCTACTCTCTATTATGAAAAGACATTTCCATGGCTGGGAATGGTGGCTCATGCCTGTAATCCCAGTACTTTGGGAGGCCGAGGCAGGCAGATTACTTGAGGCCAAGAGTTCCAGACCAGCCTGGCCAACATGGCAAAACCCCATCTCTACTAAAAATACAAAAGTTAGCCGTGCATGGTGATGCGCACCTGTAGTCCCAGCTACTCAGGTGGCTCAGGCAGGAGAAGTGCTTAAGCCTGGGAGGTGGAGGTTGCAGTGAGCCAAGATTGTGCCACTGCACTCCAGCCTGGGTAACAGAGCGAGACTCTATCTCAAAAAAAAAAAAAAAAAGAAAAAAGAAAAAAAAAAAAGGAAAAGAAAGAAACACATTTCCTTGAGGAAATATACAATTACATTCTAAACATAATGCTTACATTTACCTTTATTGGGTACAGAAAACTACATTATCAGTGATAAAAGGAGGTAAATACAGAACAAATAATTAAGATTAAGAAAGATTCTCAAACTTCTCTGTATTCAATAGTTTCAAGTTTCCTCATAATGTCTTTCTTTCGAGTAGATCTGATTTCCATCTTTTTTTCCCCTAATCATCTCATTCCCTCTAAGAGTTCCCAGAGTATGGGTACTTAAGACTGCATGGTGGTAATACTGTTTTTAGAAAGAGCTGCCTTGAAGAGTTATATGGTATGTTAATAAGATCTATTTTCTTAGAAAATAAATTCAGACTGACCTCTCCATAACTGAATGATAGGAGAGCATCTATAAAGAATTAAAAAAAGACTACTCAGTTTGGTAATTGTGGGTTAGATAATACAATTCCTTTGTTTTTCCTGTGCCTGTGCCTTTTTATTCAGTATCTTTGGATAATTTTACTATTTACTAGATTAATTAAATAAACATACTTAATTTTTGTCTTAGTACCCTCTCTCTCTCTCTCACATACACACACACACACACACACACACACACACACACACACACAATTCAGGAATGTGAATTGCTTTAGGGTTCAAATATTCATTTCTTTCATCCAATTCTATGATATTTTGGACACCTCCAACTAGCGAGGACAAGCCAACTATTTTAAAAACGCAGCTAGTAGAGCAAGACAACAAAACCTTTTACTTCTTTTTTCCCCACTTTGGAGTTGATAATGAATATAGCAGACGGTAGGAATGGTTTAGGGGAATACATGCTAAAAGTTACACATTCATATCACATTTCCGTTCTTCTTTTATTCGGCAATCATTGACATACCCTGGACTTCCCTTAGCTTTCACTTTTTCTGCATAAAGTTTTTTTGGTTTATTATTTTAATCCTAATTCTACCTCAACCCATCTTAATGGAAACTTCCCTAAAACAGTGTTTTAGAAGAAAAACATTTAGCTGGAGGAGGCTGGTGGAATTCCCATTGAAACACCTTACATTAAATTTTTGTGGTTAAGAAGGAGCAGGAGTAGTCTTAGCATATGTTAGAACTTTCATACACTGTAAATTTTTTTTCTCACAAATCCAAATAAATTGCCATTGCCACAGGTAAATAATAAGTAAGACTTAATTAGCCAACATATTCCATAGCATATTTTAGAAATACTATCACAATGGTTATACTACATCAAGTTAACTCAGAGTGTATACTATTCACTTCAATAATTTTAATTAAAAAAATTTTTTAAAAAAACTAAGAGTCTTCTACAGTAGATATCTTTCGAGGTCTTTAAAAATTTATGAAGATCTGGGCATGGTGGCATGTGCCTGTGGTCGCAGATACTCAGGAGGCTGAGGCAGGAGGATCACTTGAGCCAAGGAGTTTGAGGCCAGCCTGGACAACATAAAAAGACTATGTTAGAAAAAAATTCATAATGTGCAATGCTTGAGCAGTGGACACTGGAGATCACAGAATACCTGGAATGAGAACTGAATAAATGCTAAACCTGATGTCTCATGATCAAATACAGAAGTCACACAATGGAGTAGTGAGTCTACACTTTCACCCAAAGTTTATGTTCAGCATGCATTTTAAAAAGCTTTGCTTCTGGTTGAGCACACTGTTTTCTCATGTTAAAAATTATTTTGGAAGTCTGATTATATCAGTCTGTTCTCACACAGCTATGAAGAAATACTCCAGAATAGGTAGTTTATAAAGGAAAGAGGTTTAATTGACTTACGGTTCTGCATTGCTGGCAAGGCCTCAGGAAACTTACAATCATGGCAGAAGGCAAAGGAGAAGCAGGTACCTTCTTCACAGGGCAGAAGGTTGGAGTGAGTGCAAGCAGGGAAAATCTCAGATGCTTATAAAACCACCAGATCTTGTGAGACTCACTCACTCACTATCATGAGAACAGCATGGGTAAAATGCTGCCATGATCCAATTATCTCCACCTAGTCCCACCCTTGACATGTGCGGATTATGGGTTTTACAATTTGAGGTGAGATTTGGGTGGGGACACAGAGCCAAACCACATTATTCCACCCTTGGCCCCTCCTAAATCTCATGTCCTTTCACTTGTCAAAACAAATCATGCCTTCCCAACAGTTCCCCAGAGTCTTAACTCATTTTATCATTAGCTCAAAAGTCCACAGTCCAAAGTCTCATCTGAGACAAAGCTGGTCCATTCTGCCTGTGAGCCTGTAAAATCAAAAGCAAGTTAGTTACTTTCTAGATAAAATGGGGGTGCAGGCATTAGGTAAATGCTCCCATTCCAAAAGGGAGAAATTGGCCAAAACAAAGGGATTACAGGCCCCATGTAAATCCAAAATCCAATAGGGCAGTCATTAAAACTTAAAAGTTCCAAAATGACCTCCTTTGAATCTGTGTCTTACATCTAGGTCATGCTGATGCCAGAGGTGGACACCCATGGCCTTGGGCTGCTTTGCCTCTGTGGATTTGCAGGGTACAGCCCCCTCTCAGCTGCTTTCATGAGCTGGGGTTGAATGTCTGCAGCTTTCCCACATGCACTGTGCAAGCTGTCAGTGGATCTACCATTCTGGGGTCTGGAGGATGGTGGCCCTCTTCTCACAACTCCACTAGGCAGTGCCCCAGTGGGGACTCTGTGTGGGGACTCTGACCCCACATTTCCTTTCTGTACTGCCCTAGCAGAGGTTCTCCATGAAGGCTCCACCCCTGAGCAAACTTCTGCCTGGGAGACATCCAGGTGTTTCTGCACATCCTTTGAAATCTAGGCAGAGGTTCCCAAACTTCAATTCTTGACTTCTGTGCACACACAGGCTCAACACCACATGGACGCTGCCAAGACTTGGGGCTTGAACCCTCTGAAGCCACAGTCCAAGCTGTACCTTGGTCCCTTTTAACCTTGGCTAGAGCTGAGGCAGATGGGACACAGGGTACCATGTCCTGAGGCTGCACATAGCAGGAGGATCCTGGGCCTGGCCCATGAAACCATTTTTCCCTTCTAGTCCTCTGGGCCTGTGATGGGAGGGGCTGCCATGAATGTCTCTAACATGCCCTTCTTGGGGAGATATTTTCCCCATTGTCTTGGTGATTAACATTTGGCTCCATGTTACTTATGTGAATTTCTGCAGCTGGCTTCAATTTCTCCCCAGAAAATGGGTTTTTCTTTTCTATCGCATTGTCAGGCTACAGATTTTCCAAACTTTTATGCTCTGCTTTCTCTTGAATGCTTTGCCATTTAGAAATTTCTTCCATCAAATACCCTAAATCATCTCTCTCAAGTTCAAAGTTCCACAGATCTCTAGGGCAGGGACAAAATACTGCCAATCTCTTTGCTAAAACATAGCAAGAGTCACCTTTACTCCAGTTCCCGACAAGTTCCTCATCTCCATTTGAGAACACCTCAGCCTGAACTTCATTGTCCATATCACTATCAGCATTTTGTTCAAAGCCATTCAACAAGTCTCTAGGAAGTTCCAAACTTTCCCACATCTTCCTGTCTTCCTCTGAGCCCTCTATACTGTTCCAACCTCTGTCTGTTACTCAGTTCCAAAGTCGCTTCCACATTTTCAGTTATCTTTACAGTGGCACCTCACTCCCAGTACCAATTTACTGTGTCAATACATTCTCACACTGCTATGAAGAAATACCTGAGGCTGGGTAATTTATAAAGGGAAGAGATTTAATTGACTCACAGTTCCATATTGCTGAGGAGACCTCAGGAAACTTACAATCATAGTAGAAGGCAAAGGAGAAGCAGGCATCTTCTTCACAGGGCAGCAGGACAGAGTGAGTGCAAGTAAAGGAAATGCCAGACACTTACAAAACCATAAGATCTCATGAGACTCATTCACCATCATGAGAACAGCATGGGGAAAACTGCCTCCATGATCTGGTTGCCTCCACCTGGTCCTGCCCTTGACATGTGGGGATTATGGGGATTACAATTCACGGTGAGATTTGAGTGGAGACACAGAGCCGAACCATATCACTGACCTACTTATATTAAATTCAATTGTAATCTGTTTAGTTGTAACTCATTAAGAAAGCATTTGGAATTATTTAGGTCATGATAAATTTTAAATTATGTAATTTAAGAAGAAAATAAGCTTTGGGAGGCCAAGACGGGCGGATCACGAGGTCAGGAGATTGAGACCATCCTGGCTAACAAGGTGAAACCCCGTCTCTACTAAAAATACAAAAAAATTAGCCAGGCATGGTGGCAGGTGCCTGTAGTCCCAGCTACTCAGGAGGCTGAGGCAGGAGAATGGTGTGAACCCGGGAGGCAGAGCTTGCAGTGAGAGCAAGATTTCATCTCAAAAAAAAAAAAAAAGAAGAAGAAAATACAACTGAACTGTACTTTAAACAGTAAGGGACTTTGCATTCACAGGCAGTTTCCAAGAAGCAGAAAATACTACACATTTATCTGTTTGCCTGGGTTTTATCATGTGGTAAATGCAAGATAAATAACAGCTGTCACAGATGAGCAGGACTAATGCTAAAAAACTAGTGCCATGTATGATAGTGCGTGTGTGCATGCTCACTACTAGACAAGTTGGTAAAATTGCAAGTTAACATATTAGGTTGAAGCACATGTTATTACCAATATTACTGGTCAAAAGAAGTAGAGTGTTTGGCTGTTTCATTTGGTTGAAGCTTAGGTCTTTCAGAACCAAAAAGGGTCTCATAAATAATTCAATCCATGGGTTTTTTAACTGGGTCGAGTATGGGTCCACTTCAAGGAGATGAGGAGCCCTCATCTATGTATTCATTCAGTTGATAGTTTTCCAGAGCTTATGATGTTCCAAGTAATGCTCTAGTAGCTGGGGATATAGACAGGAAAACACAGAGTCCTTTGCCCTCATTCATATTTCATTTCAGTGGGAAGGCCTGACAATAAATATATACTAGGAAGTCATTACTGAATTGAATGCAGTTTTACGTCTTGTGTTCATTTATACATTTTTCTGGAGGGAGAGTTCATTGAATTCATGGAAATGGTTTATGATCACCAAAAATTAGAACCACTAACCTATCACACTCTGCCAATTTTGACGGGAAACCAAAGTACAAACACTGAGTGATTTGCCCATCACCGTGTAGTTCATTCATGGCTAACTTAAGATTGAAACGCAGGTGTCCTGGTGTTCAGTCATTATTGCACATTGTAGGGGAAATAATCTGTGACTTTTCCTTTCCTTTCTATATTTATTTTCTTTTTAACAATACCTGCATACTTTTGACGCTCAACAAATTCATGTCGAGAGCTGGGAATCTGGTCAGACAGATTGTAGTCCTAACTTCGTTATTACAGAGTATAAGCTTTGTGATTCTAGAAAATTGTTTAAAACTCTGAGCTGCAGCTTCCACATCTAGATTGATGCGAGTAAATTGTAACTGACAGATTATTGTGAGGATTAAATGAGATTTCTTATACACACACTGTGTATGTGCACATACACAGTGTATGCACATACACATACATATTATTTGGCTAACAGCCTTTCGCCTGATAAGCATGTGAGTCATTACTATTATAACCCTTTTTATAAGTCTGTTCTTTGGTGCCGGGTCTCCAGCTTCTAAAAAATTCACTCCCTTTCACCAAACTGTGATTCAAATAGCAGCTTGGAGCTCTTGTTTAATTCTGGGAAGACCCAAGGGGCAGTAGTAACTAACTACTACAAAGTACAGACCTTAAACTCTGGAGCTTGGCTGCCTGGGTTCAAATTTTGGCTCTACTCTTTGTCTTTTTATGTGTTGTCTGAATTTTTCATAATAAGCATGTGGTAGTTTTTCTACTAAAAAAAAAAACAAGCTATTTTCACTTTAAAAAACAACAACAACAACATATGGATCTATTTTTTGGTGACTTGCCATTTCTGTTCCTTTGAAATTCATCCTGTGTCTTTGGAAGACTAGGATATGTGGCTCTCCCTGCCTTAAAGGGATCCTGATTGATCTTCTCTGGTGGCAAGAAAGCTCAGCCTCCTCCTTCCTGCAGGATAAAGGAGTGGCTTGGAAAAGTGGTCAGATCGGAAGGCCCTCGAGACCAGCTCCCTTTCCCACAGCCCTTCAGTGTCTGACTCAGAGGGAAACTGGCGCTGTTCTCTGGTATCCTCTCTCCTTTCGTCTCCACACCTAGTGTGCCAGCGTTGTTCTCCAAACAAAGAACAGACCATGTAAATTCTGTGACCGAAGCTTCATTGATATGAAGGAGAAACAATTGCCAGACCTATTCTGGCCTTCTGTAAACAAAACTTTTTTTTAGAGAAAGCTTGCATGCCATTTTTAGAGAAAGTTATTGTATGCCAGAAATTAGACAGTGAGGGAAAGGCCAAATTCCTGGTGATATTTATCTTGCTATTCTGTTCCCTTCAGGAACTATCTCTCTATCTCAGGATAATTTTTTTGTTTGTTCTAAGAATTATATTGTGTATGAAACTCTGTGCATGCACAAAGATAAATAATTTTCTTTTTTATTATTACAGATAGAGAAAAATTTGAAATCCTTGACAGTTTCATTTTCACAAAATTAAACTGAAGTAAATCATACATTATATAAATAATGTTAATTGATCTTGCTGATAGCATATGGAAAAACTTGGTTTGCACTTTTCCTAAACTAAAGATAATTGCTTTGACAAAGATGAAAAATATTGCATAAGAAACATTTAATCTCTTGTCAGGATCTGGGTAGCCTTATAAGGCTCTGAGATGGTGTGCTGGGGAAGATATCAAAGAGATGAACAGCACAAGTGAGCAGGCAGTAAAAAGCTCAATGGCAGAGAGAACTCCAAGGACTTAAAAATATGTACTCAGACATAAGCTTATAATGCAAGTTATCTATATTGTTGAGCAAAATGGATATGTATATTTTGTATTATGTAAGTCCTTTTGTTTTTCAAAGAAGAGACACTCTCAGATTTCCTTAGATCTATTCCCCTCAAACTTTCCCACTGAAGTATTCCTAAATGGGAGAGGAGTAACAATGGATACTTTTCAACGTGTCAAAGAGTGGTGGGTTTTGGATTTAGAAGAGACCAATATCACCATAAGATCAGACTCTAAGACCAGGGAAATAGAAACTAGAAAGGATCTTGTCACTTTATTGCATTAAATAGACATGAAAGAAGGAAGAAGGATGAGGTATATCTAGAGAAACCCCTACCCTAGTTTAAGGGGCCAAGTTACACATGTCTATGTTTGATATTAAGACATATATTAAAAATACAATTCATACCAGAAAAGTCATGGCATTCTCAATTTGAGAGCTGGGATGGACTTTGGACAACCCTGATGTTCCATACACATAATTTCAATATTATACTTGAACAGAGGAGCTGAAGAGAGTTTTCCCAGTGCATGAAAACAATGAATGGTAAAATAGGAATCATCACCCAGGTTCCTAAGTGCTGGTGCAAAATTCTTCCAGTTTCCACTCCGTTGCCCTCCCATGAGTCAAATGGTTTTAGTGTGGTCAGTGTCTTCTGCATGGAAATGCAAGCATTTCACTTTTAAAAACATACAACTTTAAAACTAATGTAAGCAATTTAAGTAACGGAGATGGCATTAATACAACCAACATGCCTATCAACAATTATTTAACTATCTCAACCTTCAATTTGGAGAGGTCAGTTCTTTAAGTGAAGGAATTATCCAGGTTCTAATTAATGAAAATGTGATAGTCCCAGAGAATATTCTTATATGGAATTTCTTTTAGCAGTCTAATTTTAAACAGCTGGAACTCATTTGTTAAGCTGTAGCCTATTCCACTTTTTGAAAAGTGTGGTATGTGGGACTTTTTTTCCACACAGAAGTGGAACTTTCTGGAAAGTCTGAACATATTGCCGTACTTGACCTTACAGGCTAGCAGCTGCTTGGAGACCCTGTTGGGCAGCTTGAGCCTTTTGTGCTCCACCTGTGTTCAGCTATTAGCGTTATACTGTGGTAAGCACTGATTCAAGGCCGAGGGACTGGCTGCCTTCAAGGATCCCATTGTTTATAGCCCTTCCTTTTACTTAATGTTCTGTTTCTGTAATTATTGATGTTGTTGAATCTGATCAAAAGCACAGGTGCAGCACCTCTTGCAGGTCCATGTTGTACTGAAGGTTTAAGAATTCACAGGCTAATAGGGGTGTAGAGGAAGAAGAAGGTTAAGGAGTATTCATTGCCTTGACTCCAAAACGTGGTGAGAGAATGCTGCAAAATACAGAAGCTTAAAACATTGCAGCAACTCCTTGACTGTTTCACCGTGGTTTGTTTTACATACCACAGCATCCTGTATGAAGATGGATTCCCATATATCAGAGATGAGAAACAGGACACGGCTCACCTTGGGCTTATCAGACTGCATCTGACGCATGAAACAACAGGAAGCTGTTGATAGCTGAGGTGAAACAGCAAGCAGTGACTGGTTTAGAAATGTCATAATACCAGACATTGACCCCACCCCCAACCTCATGTACTAGGTTCCAGAGTAAAAATAGAACAAGTATCTATCAAAAGCAAACACTTAAGTTTGGGGTTTTCTCCTGCTCTATTCTCTGGAACACGTCCCTTGTCTGATATCACACACTGTGTTCCAGCTCATACAGTCAATCTGTCCAGGTTCACAACTAAACCTTTCTGCAGAGAAAGGGAACAATGGAGTACACTATGGCCATGGTTTAATACAAGGAAGGTGTGATGTTTAAAAATTTCTTGGCACAGGTTAAAGTACAAGTGAATTTTTTTCAGGTGTTCTCTGTTATCCCTTTACTTTAGGACTGTGACTTTTATGGTTTGTTTATCTAGATAGAATCACAAGTCCTGAATCATTAATTTATTCCTTCAAGTCTTTTTTTTTTTTTCTTTTTGAGACCGAGTCTCACTCTGTTGTCCAGGCTGGAGTACAGTGGCGTGATCTTGGCTCACTGCAACCTCTGCCTCCCAGGTTCAAGCAATTCTCCATGTCTCAGCCTCCTGAGTAGCTGGGACAACCACCCCCAGCTAATTTTTGCATTTTTAGTAGAGACGGGGTTTCACCATGTTGGCCAGGCTGGTCTCCAACTCCTGACCTCAGGTGATCCACTCACCTTGGCCTCCCAATGTGCTGGGATTACAGGCATGAGCCACGATGCCTGGCCTCAAGTATTTATTGAATGCTGTTCACTGGGTCAGGCACTCAGGATTGTGAGAAACTTGATAGTCATAACTCCTAGATATGGATCTTGTAGAGTAGCTATTGTATACAACCTTCATCTGCCCTCTAAAACAGCATTTCTCAGTTAGTTCCATAAGAATTAGTCTGTACAGACATGGTTTGAGTGACTATTTTCTCAGTTTTTTCCAAGAATGGTAGATCGTGGGTGCCACTTCACATGCATAGAGGATTGAGTTAATTCATTGCTTACAATGGATGCCTTAGGCCATTAGGGCCAATTGATCCTAAGTGATAAGGTTTTTCCAAAAGGAATAAAAGCTCCAGCTACAACGTTGGTCAAAACTAGTAGGAAGAGACAACATTAATAATTAGGAGTTTCACAACACTGTTCCTTCACCACAGACAACTGGCCTTGAAGAGAGAAAGGACAAATAAGTGTGTACAGGATTTTTTTAAAAAATTAACCTCTAAGTGTTGAGCAAGTTAGGGGAGTATTTCATGGGGGAAGATATTGTTTGAAGGTGGGAGGTTATCAGGTAGCAAGCCATGCTGAATTCATATGGGAAGGAAGAATATAAAGCATTTGAGAGTTATTGGGGATGAAAGAAAGATGAGGATCAGATATTATTAAGAACTGCTGGGAATGCATAATGTACTAGAATCCCTCTAGATGTTTTTGAGAGATGCAAACAAATATTGGAATTCCCATTCTGCCTATATTTAAAGACAATACATCTCTGGGCCTGGACCACATGGATTTTCATTTTGGTAGGGTTATACTCCTATGAGCTCACGTGAACCTGCTCATCAGCTTGATGGGTGCCTGTGATGTGACACCAGCGTACTGGCCTCTATTCTTTTTTTTTTAAATTATTATTATTATACTTTAAGTTTTAGGGTACATGTGCACAACATGCAGGTTTGTTACATAAGTATACATGTGCCATGTTGGTGTGCTGCACCCATTAACTCCTCATTTAACATTAGGTATATCTCCTAATGCTATCCCTCCCCCCTCCCCCCACTCCACAACAGTCCCCGGTGTGTGATGTTCCCCTTCCTGTGTCCATGTGTTCTCATTGTTCAGTTCCCACCTATGAGTGAGAACATGCGGTGTTTGGTTTTTTTGTCCTTGCGATAGTTTGCTGAGAATCATGGTTTTCAGCTTCATCCATGTCCCTACAAAGGACACGAACTCATCATTTTTATGGCTGCATAGTATTCCATGGTGTATATATGCCACATTTTCTTAATCCAGTCTATCATTGTTGAGGATTTGGGTTGGTTCCAATTCTTTGCTATTGTGAATAGTGCCGCAATAAACATACGTGTGCATGTGTCTTTATAGCAGCATGATTTATAGTCTTTGGGTATATACCCAGTAATGGGATGGCTGGGTCAAATGGTATTTCTAGTTTTAGATCCCTGAGGAATTGCCAGACCGACTTCCACAATGGTTGAACTAGTTTACAGTCCCACCAACAGTGTAAAACTGTTCCTATTTCTCCACATCCTCTCCAGCACCTGTTGTTTCCTGACTTTTTAATGATCGCCATTCTAACTGGTGTGAGATGGTATCTCATTGTGGTTTTGATTTGCATTTCTCTGACGGCCAGTGATGATGAGCATTTTTTCATGTGTCTTTTGGCTGCATAAATGTCTTCTTTTGAGAAGAGTGTTCATATCCTTTGCCCACTTTTTGATGGGGTTGTTTGTTTTTTTCTTGTAAATTTGTTTGAGTTCATTGTAGATTCTGGATATTAGCTATTTGTCAGATGGGTAGGCTGCAAAAATTTTCTTCCACTCTGTAGGTTGTTCTTCCATTCTGTAGGTTGTTCACTCTGATGGTGGTTTCTTTTGCTGTGCAGAAGCTCTTTAGTTTAATTGGATCCCATTTGTCAATTTTGGCTTTAGTTGCCATTGCTTTTGGTGTTTTAGACATGAAGTCCTTGCCCATGCCTATGTCCTGAATGGTATTGCCTAGGTTTTCTTCTGGGGTTTTTATGGTTTTAGGTCTAACGTTTAAGTCTTTAATCCATCTTGAATTAATTTTTGTATAAGGTGCAAGGAAGAGATCCAGTTTCAGCTTTCTACATATGGCTAGCCAGTTTTCCCAGCACCATTTATTAAATAGGGAATCCCTTCCCCATTTCTTGTTTTTGTCAGGTTTGTCAAAGATCAGATAGTTGTAGATATGTGGCATTATTTCTGAGGGCTCTGTTCTGTTCCATTGGTCTATATCTCTGTTTTGGTACCAGTACCATGCTGTTTTGGTTACTGTAGCCTAGTAGTATAGTTTGAAGTCAGGTAGTGTGATGCCTCCAGCTTTGTTCTTTTGGCTTAGGATTGACTTGGCGATGTGGGCTCTTTTTTTTGTTCCATATGAACCTTAAAATAATTTTTTCCAATTCTGTGAAGAAAGTCGTTGGTAGCTTGATGCAGATGGCATTGAATCTATAAATTACCTTGGGCAGTATGGCCATTTTCACAATATTGATTCTTCCTACCCAGGATCATGGAATGTTCTTCCATTTCTTTGTATCCTCTTTTATTTCATTGAGCAGTGGTTTGTAGTTCTCCTTGAAGAGGTCCTTCACATCCCTTGTAAGTTGGATTCCTAGGTATTTTATTCTCTTTGAAGCAATTGTGAATGGGAGTTCACTCATGATTTGGCTCTCTGTCTGTTATTGGTGTATAAGAATGCTTGTGATTTTTGTACATTGATTTTGTATCCTGAGACTTTGCTGAAGTTGCTTATCAGCTTAAGGAGATTTTGGGCTGAGACGATGGGGTTTTCTAGATATACAATCATGTCATCTGCAAACAGGGACAATTTGACTTCCTCTTTTCCTAATTGAATGCCCTTTATTTCCTTCTCCTGCCTGATTGCCCTGGCCAGAACTTCCAACACTATGTTGAATAGGAGCAGTGAGAGAGGGCATCCCTGTCTTGTGCCAGTTTTCAAAGGGAATGCTTCCAGGTTTTGTCCATTCAGTATGATATTGGCTGTGGGTTTCTCCTAGGTAGCTCTTATTATTTTGAGATACATTCCATCAATACCTAATTTATTGAGAGTTTTTAGCATGAAGCATTGTTGAATTTTGTCAAAGGCCTTTTCTGCATCTATTGAGATAATCATGTGGTTTTTGTCTTTGGTTCTGTTTATATGCTGGATTACGTTTATTGATTTGCGTATGTTGAACCAGCCTTGCATCCCAGGGATGAAGCCCACTTGATCATGGTGGATAAGCTTTTTGGTGTGTTGCTGGATTCAGTTTGCCAGTATTTTATTGAGGATTTTTGCATCAATGTTCATCAAGAATATTGGTCTAAAATTATCTTTTTTTGTTGTGTCTCTGCCAGGCTTTGGTATCAGGATGATGCTGGCCTCATAAAATGAGTTAGGGAGGATTCCCTCTTTTTCTATTGATTGGAATAGTTTCAGAAGGAATGATACCAGCTCCTCCTTGTACCTCTGGTAGAATTTGGCCGTGAATCCATCTGGTCCTCGACTTTTTTTGGTTGGTAAGCTATTAATTACTGCCTCAATTTCAGAGCCTGTTATTGGTCTATTCAGAGATTCAACTGCTTCCTGGTTTAGTCTTGGGAGAGTGTACGTGTCGAGGAATTTATCGATTTCTTCTAGATTTTCTAGTTTATTTGAGTAGAGGTGTTTATAGTATTCTCTGATGGTGGTTTGTATTTCTGTGGGATCGGTGGTGATATCCCCTTTGTCGGTTTTTATTGCATCTATTTGATTCTTCTCTCTTTTCTTCTTTATTAGTCTTGCTAGCGGTCTATCAATTTTGTTGATCTTTTCAAAAAACCAGCTCCTGGATTCACTGATTTTTTGAAGGGTTTTTTGTATCTCTATTTCCTTCAGTTCTGCTCCTATCTTAGTTATTTCTTGCCTTCTGCTAGCTTTTGAAAGTGTTTGCTCTTGATTCTCTAGTTCTTTTAATTGTGATGTTAGGGTGTCAATTTTCAGTCTTTCCTGCTTTCTTTTGTGGGCATTTAGTGCTATAAATTTTCCCTCTACACTGCTTTGAATGTGTTCCAGAGATTCTGGTATGTTTGTGTCTTTGTTCTCGTTGGTTTCAAAGAACATCTTTATTTCTGCCTTCATTTCTTTATGTACCCAGTAGTTATTCAGGAGCAGGTTGTTCAGTTCCCATGTAGTTGAGCAATTTTGAGTGAGTTTCTTAATCTTGAGCTCTAGTTTGATTGCACTGTGTGTCTGAGAGACAGTTTGTTATAATTTCTGTTCTTTTACATTTGCTGAGGAGTGCTTTACTTCCCACTATGTGGTCAATTTTGGAATAAGTGTGGTGTGATGCTGAAAAGAATTTATATTCTGTTGACTTGGGGTGGAGAGTTCTGTAGATGTCTATTAGGTCTGCTTGGTGCAGAGCTGAGTTCAATTCCTGGATATCCTTGTTAGCTTTCTGTCTCATTGATCTGTCTAATGTTGACAGTGGGGTGTTAAAGTCTCCCATTATTATTGTGTTGGAGTCTAAGTCACTTTGTAGGTCACCAAGGACTTGCTTTATGAATCTGGGTGCTCCTGTATTGGGTGCATATATATTTAGGATAGTTAGTTCTTCTTGTTGAATTCATCCCTTTACCCTTATGTAATGGCCTTCTTTGTCTCTTTTGATCTTTGTTGGTTTAAAGTCTGTTTTATCCAAGACTAGGATTGCAACCCCTGCCTTTTTTTTGTTTTCCATTTGCTTGGTTGATCTTCCTCCATCCCTTTATTTTGAGCCTATGTGTGTCTCTGCACGTGAGATGGATTTCCTGAATACAGCAACTGATGGGTCTTGACTCTTTATCCAATTTGCCAGTCTGTGCCTTTTAATTGGAGCATTTAGCCCATTTACATTTAAGGTTAGTATTGTTATGTGTGAATTTGATCCTGTCATTATGATGTTAGCTGGTTATTTTGCTCATTAGTTGATGCAGTTTCTTCCTAGCCTTGATGATCTTTACAATTTGGCATGTTTTTGCAGTGGCTGGTACCGGTTGTACCTTTCCATGTTTGGTGCTTCCTTCAGGAGCTGTTTTAGGGCAGGCCTGGTGGTGACAAAATCTCTCAGCATTTGCTTGTCTGTGAAGTACTTTATTTCTCCTTCACTTATGAAGCTTATTTTGGCTGGATATGAAATTCTGGGTTGAAAATTCTTTTCTTTAAGAATGTTGAATATTGGCCCCCACTCTCTTCTGGCTTGTAGAGTTTCTGCTGAGAGATCAGCAGTTAATCTGATGGGCTTCCCTTTGTGGGTAACCCGACCTTTCTCTCTGGCTGCCCTTAACATTTTTTCCTTCATTTCAACTTTGCTGAATCTGACAATTATGTGTCTTGGAGTTGCTCTTCTTGAGGAGTATCTTTGTGGTATTCTCTGTATTTCCTGAATTTGAATGTTGGCCTGCCTTGCTAGATTGGGGAAGTTCTCCTGGATAATATACTGCAGAGTCTTTTCCAACTTGGTTCCACTCTCCCCGTCACTTTCAGGTGCACCGATTAGACGTAGATTTGGTCTTTTCACATAGTCCCATATTTCTTGGAGGCTTTGTTTGTTTCTTTTTATTCTTTTTTCTCTAAACTTCTCTTCACTGTTCATTTCATTCATTTCATTTTCCATCGCAGCTACCCTTTCTTCCAGTTAATCGCATCAGTTACTGAGGCTTGTTAATTCATCACGTAGTTCTCGTGCCATGGTTTTCAGCTCCATCAGGTCCTTTAAGGACTTCTCTGCATCAGTTATTCTAGTTATCCATTCGTTTAATTTTTTTTCAAAGTTTTTATCTTCTTTGCCATTGGTTCGAACTTCCTCCTTTAGCTCGGAGTAGTTTGATCTTCTGAAGCCTTCCTCTCTCAACTCGTCAAAGTCATTCTCTGTCCAGCTTTGTTCTGTTGCTGGTGAGGAGCTGCGTTCCTTTGGAGGAGGAGGGGCGCTCTGATTTTTAGAGTTTCCGGTATTTCTGCTCTGTTTTTCCCCATCTTTGTGGTTTTATCTACCTTTGGTCTTTGATGATGGTGACGTACAGATGGGTTTTGGGTGTGGATGTCCTTTCCGTTTGTTAGTTTTCCTTCTAACAGTCAGGACCCTCAGCTGCAGGTCTGTTGGAGTTTACTAGAGGTCCACTCCAGACCCTGATTGCCTGGGTATCTGCATCGGTGGCTGCAGAACAGCGGATATTGGTGAACTGCAAATGCTGCTGCCTGATCGTTCCTCTGGAAGTTTTGTCTCAGAGGAGTACCCGGCTGTGTGAGGTGTCAGTCTGCCCCTCCTGTGATAGTGCCACTGCACTCTAGTCTGGGTGACAGAGTGAGTGCCTATCTCAAAACAAGAAAGAAAGGAAGAAAGAGAGAAAGAGAGAGAGAGAAAGACAAAGAAAGAAAGAAAGAAACAAAGAAAGAAAGAAAGAAGGAAAGAAAACAAGAAGGAAAGAAAACAAGAAGGAAACAAAGAAAGAAAGAAGGAATCTAAGCTTTCAACTTAGGAAATTAGAAAAAGAAGAAATTACCTCCAAAGTAAAAGGAAAATAAATAGCAAAAGTTATAGCGGAAATCAATGAAATTAGAAACAAATTAACAGAATCAATAAAAATAAAAGCTGGCTATTTGAGGAGATAATAAAATTAAAAAGCCTCTAGTCAGGCAGATTAAGAAAAAAAGGGAGAGAAACAAATTACTAATATCAAAAATGAAAGAGGGGACATCACTACAGATCCCATGTACATTAAAAAAACATAAAGGAATACTAGGAGCAACTCTATGCCCCTAAATTTAATAACCTAGATAAAGTAGACTAATTCCTTGAAAGATAATCTGCCAAAACTCACACAAGAAGGAATAGACAATCTTAATAGTGCTCTGACAGTGAAAAAAAAATGGATCAATAGTTAAAACCTTCCAAACCAGAAGCATTAGACTCAGATGAATTCACTAACGAATTCTAGCAAATATATATTTTTTTAATTGTACCAATTCTCTATAATCTCTTCCAAATGTTGGAGGCACAGGGAATACTTCCTAATACATTCTATGAGGCCAGCATTACGCTAATACCAAATCCATACAAAGACATTATAATAAAAGAAAAATACAGATCAATACCTCTCACAAACATTGATACAGAAATCTTTGATGAAATATTGGCAAATGGAATCCAACAATGTATAAAAATAATTATGTACCATGACCAAGTGTAATATATCCTAGATATGAATGACTGGTTCAACATTCAAAAATCAATTAATGTTATCTGTCACATCAGCAGGCTCAACAAAAAAAAAATCACATGATATATGATTCCAACATCCATTCATGATAAAAACTTTCCATAAACTTGGAATAGAAGTCAACTTCCTCCACTTGATAAAGTATATCTACCAAAACCTATAGTTAACAGTGTACATAATGGTGAGAAACTAGAAACTTTCCCACTAAGATCTGGAACAAGACAAAGATACCATCTCTCACCACTCTTTTCAAAACTGAACTGGAAGCCCTAACTAATGCAATAAGACAAGAAAATAAAACAAAAGCATACTGATTGGGAAGAAAGAAATAAACTCTCTTTGTTCTCAGATAACATGATTATCTATGCAGAAAATCCTAAAGAATCAACAAAAAGGCTCCTGGAATTACTAAGTGATTATGGCAATGTTGCAGGATATAAGGTTAATATACAAAAGTCATTCACTTTCAGCAGCAATGAACAATTGGAATTTAGAATTTAAAACACAACAACATTTACATTAGAACCCCCTCAAAAGAAATACTTAGGTATAAATCTAATGAAATATAGACAAGACCTATATAAGGAAAACTACAAAGCTCTGATGCATGACGTCAAGGAAACCTAAATAAAAAATGGAGAGATATTTCATATTCATGAGTAGAAGAATCTAATGTTGTTAAGATGTCAGTTCTTCCCAGCTTGATCTGTAGATTAAATTTAATCCCAATAAAAATACCACCAAATTACCTTGTGGATATTGCCAATCTTACTCTTTTTTTTTTTTTCCTCTTTGAGACAGAGTCTCACTCTATCACCCAGGCTGGAGTGCAGTGGCATGATCTTGGCTCACTGTAGCTCTGCCTCCCGGGTTCAAGTGATTCTCCTGCTTCAGCCTCCTGAGTAGCTGGGATTACAGGCACCTGCTGCCACTCCAGGCTAATTTCTGTATTTTTAGTAGAGACAGGGTTTCACCATGTTAGCCAGGCTGGTCTTGAACTCCTGACCTCAGGTGATCCACCTGCCTTGGCCTCCCAAAGTGCTGGGATTACAGGCATGAGCCACCTTGCCTGGCCATTGCCAGTCTTATTCTAAAGTTTATACGGAGAGACAAAAGACCCAGATGGACAACACAATACTGAAAGAGAAGAACAAAGTTCGAGGATTGGCTCTACCTGGTTTCAAGGCTTACAATAAAGTTACAGTAATTAAGGCAGTGTGGTATTAGAAAAAGAATAAATAAATAAATAAATGATATCTATTATAAGGCACAGAAACAGATCCACATGAATATAGTCAACAGATGTTTGACAAAGGGGCAATAGTAAGAAATTGCAGAAAAACTCTACAACTAATAGTACTAGAACAATTGCACATCCACATGCAAAAAAGTAAATCTAGGCACAGACCTTATACCCTTTATAAAAATTAGCTCAAAATTAATCACATAACTAAATGTAAAATGCAAAACTGTAAAACTTCTAGAAGATAGAAGATAACATAGAAGAAAAATTGAGATGACTTTTTAGATATGATACCAAAGACACATCTATGAAAGAAAGAATTGATAAACCAGACTTCATTAAAATAAAGAATTTCTGCTCTGTAAAAGACACTGTGAAAAGAATGAAAGAAGAGCTTCAGATTGGGAGAAAATATTTGCAAAAGACATGTCTTATGAAGGCTGTTTTCCAAAATATACAAAGAACCCTTAAAACTCAACAATAAGAAAACAACCACCTGATTAAAAAATTAAAAGACATCTCACCAAAGAAGACATATGGATGGCAAATAAGTATATAAAAAGATGCTCCACATCATATTTCATCAGGAAAATACAAATTAAAACAACAGTGAGATGACACTTCACACCTATCAGAGGGCCAAAATAAAGAACACTGACAATATTAAATGCTGACTAGGATATGGAGGAACAGGGAGTCTTAGTCATTTTTGGTAAATTCAAAATGATGCAACTACTTTGGAAGACAGTTTGGCATTTTCTTACAAAAGTAAACATACTCTTATCATATGATCCAACAATTGGCCTCCTTAGTATTTTTCAAATTGAAGACTTAAGTCCACACGAAGATCTACATACAGATATTTGTAGCAGCTTTATACATAATTGCCAAAGCTTGGAATCAAGGTTTGGTAAGTCCTTCAGTAGGCAAATGGATAAACTGGTATACCTAGGCAATGATAAATATATCATTGTTCAGTGCTAACAAGAAATGAGTTACCAAGCCATGAACAGTACTGGGAAAAACTGAAATGCACATTGCTAAGTAAAAGAAGCCAATCTTAAAAGGCAACATACTGTATGATTCCAGCCATATGGCTTTGTGGAAAAGTCAAAACCTATATATAGACAATAAAAACATTGCCAGAGTGGTTACTGGGGTTAGCAGGCAGGGTGGGATGAATTGGCAGAGCACAGAGGATTTTTAGGGCATTGAAACTACACTGAATGTACTATAATGATAGATACATGTCATTACATGCTTGTCTAAACCCATAAAATGGACACCACCAATATTGAACCCTAATGTGAACTATGGTTTTTGAGTATTAAAACCATATACTCAATATGGTTTATATCGACATATGGTTGCATATGTTGACATAGTTTCATTATTTGCAAAAAGTGTATCATTCTGATGGGTGATATTAATACTAGGGGATGCAATGTATGTGTTGGGGAAGAAAGTTTATGGAAAATCTCCATATTTTGCTCTCAATTTTGCTGTGAACATAAAACTGTTCTAAAAATAAAGACTTGAAAAATTGCACATGCGAGTACTAAGAGATTGTCAGGTGGGTCAGCTCAGTGACAAACCTTTCCTGCATTCATTGTTTAAGAGCAGCTTTTGATGATTTAGTATCCAATACCTCTGAGAGAAGGGTTATTCCTTTCCTTGCCTGCTGGTCTCTCAAAACCTTGAGTTCAAGGTGACCAGCGAGAAGCTGTAGCTTAAGATTTGATGGAGCTCTTCCTACGAAGTCCATATTTATGAGAACAAGAAGCACAAATTCCCCGAAAGAATTGCTGGTAGTGATAGCGAGCAGAGCTACTTCTACTGTGACTTTGAGGTATTTATGCAACTCTTTGGTATTTCAGGTGCCACATATCTATAAAATGAAGTCTTTGGTTTGGGTGATCAATCTACAGCATTTTTTCCATTGTTAATAACCTATTATCCTAAGATCATTTATATTTCAGAAACTTTGAACACATATTTAGGTCAACATCTAGAGGATTGAAACTTTTACTATTTGTGGTGCATATTCCTTTGGCAATGAAGCCCATTTTGAGGACTTGTATAATTTCTGACCTCATCAAAATAATGAGACTAAGATAAAATAAATGCCAATGACATTACTACTTTTATCTTTTCAAATATACCTTGACAGACTAAACAGTTTACTATCATTGGAATTATTATAATCTAGACTGAAATCTGACTTTCCACTTCATCACTGATATTAACATTTAGTGTGACTTTGCTAAAGTGGGTCACATTATCTCTTCAGGTATTAGTTTTCCCATTTATGAAATAAGAGGCCACAGCCAAACATCGTTCCAGTCCCTCCCAAATAAAAGATTGTAGAAATCTATGATTCATGTCTGAACTATTCATTACTGTCAAAGATATTTTCTTTATTTTTATTATAGTTTAAGATCTAGGGTACATGTGCACAACGTGCAGGTTTGTTACATAGGTATACATGTGCCATGTTGGTGTGCTGCACCCATCAACTCATCATTTACATTAAGTATTTCTCCTAATGCTATCCCTCTCCCAGCCCCCTACCCCCCAACAGGCCCAGTTGTGTGATGTTCCCTGTCCTTTGTCCAAGTGTTCTCATTGCTCAGTTCCCACCTATGAGTAAGAATATGCGGTGTTTGGTTTTCTGTTCCTGTGTTAGTTTGCTGAGAATGATGGTTTCCAGCTTCATCCTTGTCCCTGCAAAGGACATGAACTCATCCTTTTTATGGTTGCATAGTATCCCATGGTGTAATGTGCCACATTTTCTTAATCCAGTCTATCATTGATGGACATTTGGGTTGCTTCCAAGTCTTTGCTATTGTGAATAGTGCCACAATAAACATATGTGTGCATGTGCTTTACAGCAGGATGATTTCTAATCCTTTGGGTATATACCCAGTAATGGGAGTAATGGGATTGCTAGGTCAAATGGTATTTCTAGTTCTAGATCCTTGAGGAATCGCCACACTGTCTTCCACAATGGTTGAACTAGTTTACAGTCCCACAAACAGTGTAAAAGCGTTCCTGTTTCTCCACATCCTCTCCAGCACCTGTTGTTTCCTGACTTTTTAATGATCGCCATTCTAACTGCTGTGAGATGGTATCTCATTGTGGTTTTGATTTGCATTTCTCTGATGACCAGTGATGATGAGCATTTTTTCATGTGTCTGTTGGCTGCATAGATGTCTTCTTTTGAAAAGTGTCTGTTCGTATCCTTTGTCCACTTTTTGATGGGGTTGTTTGTAGTTTTCTTGTAAATTTGCTTAAGTTCTTTGTAGATTCTGGATATAAGGCCTTTGCCAGATGGGTAGGTTGCAAAAATTTTCTCTCATTTTGTAGGTTATTTTCTTAAGTGATTTTGTAACTTAGAGTTTTAAAGTCCAATAAGTTACCATTAAGTACTATATCAGTATGCATGCTTTTCAAAGTGGGTAACAGAAACATGAGGTTCACAGTAAAACAATATATTATTAAAAACTCAAACTAACATGAGAATAAAACTAGGAAATATAAAATTTCCTACTTGTGAAATAGTATGTGTTAAATTCGTAAATTGCAAATACCACAGGACTATTATTTACTTTTCCCCAGTAGAAAGGGCACCCACCCTTTACTTAGAACAATGTGGTGTGGATTCTTAATATTTCTAAGCACTATGTATCATACACAGAAATAAAACAAAGCTGATTATATTTAAGTACTCTTTTGGTGTTAATCCCTTTGAACTTTTGAAGTACAGGTTTCACTTTGAAGCTTACGATGTTCAAGTCATCAGTTACAAAGCACAGAGAAGACTATTATATAACAACCATGAGAAGACATTATTTCCTATATTGTATCACTAGCCATGTTTTTAATTATGTCTGTCTTCCATTAGCAGTGCCTAATATCCTTTTCAATTAGCAATTTGAATATGCTAATCTAAAATTGACTAATGTAAGTTTTACAATGTTAAATATGTATATATCAAATATATATATTCATTTACATACACACATATATTTTTCTTGTATTTGGTAATGCTTTCCTACCATTGCATTTGGCAGTGGAGGGAGCTTTGGCTGGGATTTAGAGGACCTTGGTTATAGTTCATACTTTATCACCTATCAGCTATGTGACTGAGTACTTTTCTTAACACCTAGAATGACCAAATATGCCTTTAAGTTGACAGTGGTTCTTAATCGCTCTTTTGGTTATTGGCCCTTTTATGAGTCTAATGAAAGCTATAAATTCTCTCTCCAGAAAAAATATTAGGAATATATATTTACACGAATTTTGCATGCCTTTGAGGAGAGTTATAGACTTCCTGAAGTATATATGGATCTAAGGGTAAGAATGACTGGACAGAAAAAATTTTTGAACTTTGTATTTCTATATGATAGAATTTCCAAAATCATTTCAGAACCATGAATATTATTCAATTATTTGTGCTAACTCAGACCTTCCCTTTTAGTGTCTTTAGATAATTTCAGGTTTGTTTCCTCCTGACACCAAACCTCTGGCCTGGCTTCTTATATACAATCTTGTTGCTGGAGCATAGTGCATAGTGTGCCAAAAGAAAATCATGTGTGAATCCAGCATATCTCTTGATCTTCTGAGAAAATAGAGCACTGGCCCAAGTTTACCAAGAAGCTAGAAAACCCGGCTTAATAGCACCTTCCACAAAATGGATTTGGGGATTTTATGTGTCCACACACTTGCTCTGATCCAACAGCATGACATCATTTCTAGAAATATCTATCCAAGACCACATAGTCTTTAAAGAGGTTAAAATATCAAATCCTGCATAGAGGAATTCCAGGCCATAGACCAGGTCATGACATTCTTTGAGTTTGGGGTCATGTCCTGTGGATCATAATTCAAAAGGTCACTCAGAGTAATAAATTTGGCGGACATAGGCAAAATAAAAAAGGATCTGGAAAATTTTGCTGTATGAGTAATGGTCATAGGAACCAGGAATGTTTCATCAGAGGAAGAGAACTGTAGGTTGTCTTCAAATATCCCACAAACATGATAAAGACGGTGCAGCCATATTACTCTGGGCCCTGCAAGTCAGAACTAAGCCAGTGGCTAGATTTAATTCAGTATGAGGAAGGATGTTCTAATAATGCATACTGTGCATATATGAGACAGACTTCCTTGTAAAGGGGTGGGAGTCAACTGAAAGAGATGAAGCAGAGGTTGCATACATGGCTGCCTTATACAGGGAAATTATAAAAGGTATCCAGTTTATACATGGGAGTGAGTAGAATAGTGGTTGGTGTGAGCAGCCTAGATAAAATCTAAAAGAAATTTGTTTTGTCTGTGAAAATCTATAACTCTAGATTTATTTTTTGAAAAAGGGGCACGGTTCTTGGGAAAGGTAGTTGCTAGAAAGAATATGATCTTTTCTGAAGCTGTTAAGGGCACCAGGAAACAGGTGTTCTGCTTGGTCACTGATCCCAGATTTTATGTCAGTCTGGCAGTTGAGGGGATAAAGATAAGGCTGTCACTCACTGTGACTGTTAGTAGATTACATAGTAAAATACTTGCATTACAGAATAAAATATGCTATTGTAAATATAGCTTGGCCAAATACTGACACTGTCTTGATTGGAAATAACAGAAGTATGTCATACACAAAATGTATATTTCATTTAATCTTCACTACTAGGGAGTCAGTGATAACATCCTCATTCCATTTCATAGGTGAGAAAACACAGGTGCTGACAAGCTAACATAGCAAGTAGTAGTGGAGCTGGAACTTAAATTCAACAGGCTGAGTTTATAGGTCATGCAGTTAATAATCAATCATACCATACCACTTCCTCAAACAAATTTGTTCATGAAAGAGGTCCACCGTGTTATATACACTTTCTCAGGTTAATGGATGGTATTCAATACAGACACAACAATTTCCAGTATAAGATTATTTATGAGTCATTAAACAGTATTTACTGAGCACTATTAGAGATGAGGAACTAATCTAGATGCTGGGGATTCAGCAATGAACAATACTGACACAGAAATCTGTCCTGCTTATATTCTAGCCGGGCGATACAGTAAAGAAAAGGAAGGACATTTTGTATAGCCTGTAAGAGAGCAACAAATATTAAGAAGAAAAAATGAAATGCAACAGGAAAAGGGGTAAGGAAATACTGGAAGAGCATCTTTAAATGGGGATGGTAGGAGGGGTCCCATGGAAAGATCTTTGAGAGGCGGAGGTCCTTTGATCCCAGTGAATTTGAATTTTCCATCTGCTCTGCATGGACATTCTTGGGGAGTCTTGGAGAAACCCTAAGAGCAGTACACATTGCTACCTTACCTTATAATACATATTTAATGGATTATGTAAAACTTGAAAATAAAAATGAAGAGTGCAATGCTCAGTCCTGGAATTATGTGTGGGTCCGTGAGGCCAAGGTTCCCGGCTGTTTTTCAGCTAAACAGTGCGTGGGAAGGACAAGTGATCTGCTTCCGGACAGTCCAGTAGGAGGAAATGAACATTTCAGCCCAGCTCGTTGGTGTCTTCCAGGAAAGCACCAGTGATCTCTTGAACAAATAGCATGCCTTGTTCTAAAGTTTGTTGTGAAGTTTACCCAAAGGGAAGATCTGACAGGATGTCTAGTGTTTTACTAACTACCTCCATTAGTCATTGTTGCTGCTAGGTCAAGCAATGTGGGTTTTGTGGGAAACCTCTAAAGCTTTGAAGGGGCCTGCGCTTCTTTGTTCTTTTTCTTTACATGTATGTGACTTTGGGCCAGAAAATTTATTTCTGTCCCTTAAATATCTTTTTATTCCTGATCTGTTGAATGAAAGACACAGGAACCTATTGGACAGTAAGATCTATTACCTAAATTGGTAAACTCTGAGCTTCTTGAGGGTAGGAATTATGGCTTATTCATATTTGAATCTAACTCAGAAGCTATAACCATGACTTGCATGTTGTAGTTGTGCAATACATGTCTGTTACAAGCTGAATAAATGTGATTTTTCCATGTGGCTACTTTAGGAATAATGGACACACAAAAAGGATACCATGGAAAGTATTCTCATATGTGCACAGTATGCATCCTTAGCCCAAGAAAGTATAAGCCCATCAACTACAACTTTTATTTTAAAATAGGCAAGAAAATCTAATATGCCAGATCATCTTTCACTGAATTTGAGAGTAGAATAAAAATAAGTAACCAAATAGCAAGCAATAAAGTTTACTTCTATTACTGTTTTGATTCTTAGTATTCATTTTTACTTCAGACAAAAACTTTTCCTTTACATAATAGGCATAATTATTAGCAGAAAATTATATTTAGGGAGGAAGTTAACACCTGCAAACCCAAACCACAAAATGTTTGGTGGGCTTTACAAATAAATAATTTTGTTCACCTCTCTTAGTGAGCCATTTGCCCCCATATTTTGCAGTTTTTCTTTTCTTATTTTTAATGTGCAAAAGTTAGTAAATGTTGGAAACAAAAACGTGAAGGCTCACTTATGTTTTGCTTTTTAAAATGGGAAAATGAGAATGGAAATTAAAGAGCAGTGGATCACTGTTTTGTCTGCCCTGGTTCCTCTGAAACTTCCTGTAATTTTTTTTTTCCCAAGTACTGAGTGAAGAGTTATGTCTGACACTCTGGAGAAAAATGTTACTAACATAGGGATGACACTGAAATACTCAGGCAACAGTTATCTGAGTGTATTTGTCATTTTAAGTAGAATCTGGCAGTAATTCATCTATATCTACAACAAAAATGTGCAGGTTTTGGGAAGAAGTGAGCTTTTAAAAAAAGTCATATTTCCTTTTGTCTCTGAAAGACTGAATGTTTTCAGTACTACGGCTAATAAAATTAGTTTGTGGCATTTCTCCACTTTCTTATAGAAATAGCCACACTTACCTACTCTGACCAATCCTAAATGTCTTTTCTGTGTTTATTTATTTCTAGCATTGGGGTTAAGGTAGGAATACAGTAGACAAAAGTAACTTTATTTGATTGCAAAATGAAGTTTCAGATGGAAAAACTCTAAAAAACAACAACAAAAAAGAAATTTATGCTCAATAGTTTCAATTGTCCTTGGGGAAAAGTCAATTATCTGCATATATTATATAACCTTTTTACGATCTGGCCCTGCTGACCTGTCAGGCTTGCTCCTTGATGCTTCAATGACATTGAAGTGCTGACAGTTCTCTGAAATTCTTCCACCTTGCCTGACTCCTCCGTCTTTTTTACCTGGCCAATTCGCATGCATTTTTCAGGTCTTAATGAGATGTCACAATCTCTGGACAGCCTCCCCTGATTCCCCAAGCCTGGGGTAAACTTCGTGTACCACCAAAGCATCCTGTAACCTCTGTCATATCACATTATTCATAAGTTCTATGGAGGCAGAGGGTGTATGGTCTGCACTTCACCCAGCCACATTTAGCCCAGTACTTAGGATTCAGTAAGGCCAAAGCAAACACACATTAAGTAAAGAACAAAAACTTGAAGTGCAAACAACTCTAGTCACTGAATTGATAAATAGTGTCTCTTGCTGTACTATAAGCTCTATCAGTGGAGGAACCGTGTCTGTTTTTCTCACCATTTTATCCTCTGTGTTTATCACAGTGCTTTACACATAGGAGCTGCTCAGTAAAGAGGGGTTTAATGAGTGAATTAATTGACCATAGTTATATCAGTGTCTTTAAGATAAATACTAGGAAAGAATAGTTATTTAAAATTTAAACGAAGTCACCTTGTGTCCATTTTTCCCAGGTGTGACAGACTGGTTATTTACTACAAACTTTCTTTTACATTTGATTTGTTACATGACTTCAGTTAGATCAGATTTTCTCAAGCTTGGGACTGATGACATATGGACTGGATGATTTTTTGGTGTGCATGTGTATTTATGTATGTTTGGGGGGTGTAGGCTGTTGAGCAGCATCCCTCGCTTCTACTAATTAGATACCAATAGCACATCCTTCATACACAGCTGTGACAAATGGAAATCTCTCCAGACTTTATATGTATTTGAGAACCATAGAGGATGCATGTTTGTGTAGAGGGATTTGTTGAGCAATTCATATTTGTGTCAAGAGATAGCTTATTAGGTTAAGGATAGCAATTTTTGTTTTTAAGAGAAAAAAATCTCTGTACAGCCTTGTATGGTCAATATACCTGACAGCAATAACTTAAGCACAGCCTGAGAATGACCCTGTATGGCAGATGCACCTGAATGAGGGTTTAGCGTTCCGAGCTAAGGAATCTGTGAGTAGCCAACCTGGAGAGTCATTCCTTACCAATTAGAAACATCTGAGCCCCTCTCCCCCACCCCAGCCCATCGCATGGAATGAGAGCCATGCAGGGGATTGAGGCCCTTTGTTTTGAGTTTAATGAACGTTGCCAGGTGGAGGTTGTTGGGGGAGGGTGCTCAGTGAAGGTGCTGTATAAACTGCATGCTTTTTTCAAGCGGTTGCAGTTCTCCTGTCCATCACACTGCCACTGGACTGCCCCTCTATGTAAGTTTCAGGCTAGTAAAACCCTGTGTATCCTTTGCTGTTTCTGAGTCTCTTTTTTGGACTCTTGAACCTGGTGCCATCCCTACTGAAGTTAATAGGAGTCTGGCACAATAAGGGTCTGGGCTGTGTGTAAAAAGCAGAGCTTGTGCTATGATTGTGTAGTTGAGTCCAAAAGCAGAGTCAGGGGATAGGTGAGGGTGGGATTCTGCAGCCCGAGCCACCCCCCAGGTCACCTGCCCTCAAATGCCAATGCCTTTATCTGGAGGAAGGGCATCGTTTCTCCAATGTATCTTTCCCAGTGGAGGTATCCGTTCTATTTCATCCCTTCAACACTAGCAGTGGCCTTGGTTAGAATTATTGTACTTATCATTTTGCCAAGTTTTTGTTGTTGTACCTTTATGATTGCTAATGGTGAAACCTGGTTCCACTCTTCCACAGCCTCCATTCAAAGGAAACTTTATGACGTGGTATTTTTGATAGAATTAAAGAAATCTCTGACTAGCCAAATAAGAAAAGAGATTAGCATACTTAGCTATGTGCTCTGTATCAGCTTGGGTCCCTGGGTCATAGATATGTGAGTTACATGATTTACTTTGAGTAAGGCTCAGATTTTTTAAATCTAAGCTAACCTATTTTTATTGAATTAAGTTTATAGGTCAGGAAATCTTGATTGGCTTTCTGGGATGCAATCTTCTTAGCTTCTCACAGGACTTAGAGAATGCAACTATGAAGACCCCTACAATTTGCTTTTGAAAAAATATTCAGGTTCATTTGCTTTTGAGAAAGGCTTGTGAACTATTTAGACCTTTACAGCATGAACACAAAGTTGAAAATAACACAAGGGAGGAAATCCTCATGAGGTTTCTGGTACTTCCTGCCATGGTCAGGCCATAAATAACATGAAAGAATCATGCCTTTGGTATTTGAGCACTTCCATGTTCAGTGGTAAAGACAACTGGAAGTGCAGAGGTGTGAGAAAAATGTAGAATTTCCATAATGAGCATGAACTGGAATTATGGTTTGGGATTTGTGTAAACTCTGGACTTTGCCATTAAGACCCAAATTTTTGTTCCACTGAGAACTTCTCCTCCAGCCTTTGCTAGTTGCTCTGTCATGTGAATCGATGGAAATATAAATTATTTAATTGAAGCTTGTAATGCGTGTACACAGACTTAAAGTTTCTCTGAAGCCTATCTCAAAAATATATGGCAGTACTGACCATTTTTATACGAATATTTAAAAAGTAGTATTGATATAACAAAAGGGTGGTATTGATCTAGAAAAGGATGTTATTGGTAGTTGTTCCAAAAAAAAACTCAACTAGATGCACCTATATATACCTAACAAAGCAATACCAAATGCCAGTGCTATTGCAGGTCTAAGAAAACTAACAAGGAAATAATTGTTCAGATTTTTTCATTGAGTTGTCTAACATAAGTTTAAGTCGACTCATTTCTGGCTACGATAACATTTTAACATTGGTCCCAGTTCCTGAGCCTAGGAAAGAATAGCAGGTCTTTGTGCCTTAATGAATATCATGCCTAGAGCTGACTACTAATGCAAATCTATTATTAGAGGTTGAAGTGAGCCAATTGATATGATCTTAGTGATCAGAAAATAATTGTGGAATTAGTGTCAAAAAATGTGTGTGTGTGACTTTAATATTTATGTCTGAACTTGTATCCAAGGCATTGATAGAAACCCGTGAAAGGTAACTGATACAGTCAACGTCTTTCCCTTTCAAGCCCCCATCGTTTTCCTTACCAGATACTCTCCTTTCTCCTGAGCTTCTATCCTGTGAAAAGTCCTATTTAAGGGTACCTATTATAATTCTGCCCAAAGTATCTGCAGATAAGACTTTATGCCCCTAATATTAGAGACACTGGACTCTAGGAAGCCTTTTCCTAGAAGGCAAAGTGGTGAGTTTGGTGTTGTGAACCAGCAAATGAAGAGTCAGGAGGTCGGCCTGGACCCCTATAAATCAGATGGCAGAGGCCATCTCATGAGATGGGCCTTGCCCCTTGGAACTCTTTTTAAGTCAAATATCTAAATATTTGCATGCCTTCCCAAGTTACTTCTGTTAATTTTTACATTTTTACAAAAAGAAAATTAGCCAAAACAATACTAAAAATAGCCACTGGCCTATTGGCCTACATAAGTGATAATTGGTGGTATTTATGTGGGAAAAAGAGACCCTTTCTACCCTTTATTCCTAACAGAAAGAAATTAATTTGCAAGCTCTATACAAAAGCAAATACCTATTAAGGAGAGAAAAGCAAGAAGGTAATATATCACTTGGCACATATTTTGCTTAATTATTATATGCTTTTTTCTTTCTGTATCTGTCTCATTTTAGTGAAGAAAACAATTTGGTGGTAGCTTGCTTTGAAATAGGTCCCACAGCTTTTTGTTGTTTTCTTCCAACTCCCCTTTGCTTCAGTTAGTTTCACTCAGCAGCTTATTATCACTTAAACTATCTTCTGGTCAACTATTTATCGTTATTAACCTTGCTTTTCCAGAGTTATATTGTCCAGTATGATGGAGCAGGTACATCTGTGAATGTGTTGAACCACAGTTTCCAAAGCCTTTCTACATAGAGTATTAACCTATAGTTACATGAGATCAAATGATTAAGATGGAAACAGACCTCCTCAGATGTTCAAAATTATCATTGGTGTAGTCTTTTGATGATCAGTAGTTGAAAAAAAAATAACCCAAACCTCAGCCCATTGCAAATGTCAAGTAATAATTGTGGCAGAATACAAGCACCTGAATTCCGAGCACAAAGGAAGAAGCGTGTTGCCGATAGCATTATAAATGGCCATTCTCTACTTCAGCTGTCGACCGTGTAGCATATAATCACAGTGTATGCTCCAGTTCTGAAGCAGTCGCAACTTACCTGAAAAGTGTAGCTTTCTGACATTTTTCAAGATAAAAGAATAACAAGCAAAAATGAACATGAAAATATAAATTCATTTACTTTTAAGAATACTGTATGTTTTTGTATGTGACTAAATTAACATACTCAGAAGTATTTTTTTAAAACTCCCTTCCCCAGTATGTATTTTTTAATGTGTTTGGAAAATATAACACATGGTAATAATTTTAGAAGTTTGGCCACTTTAGCCCCTTACTTGACAGTCTGTCTCAGGCAGTTTGTGGAATGCCTTCTTTCACAGTTCCTCCATGACTTTCTCCTTGAGGGACCCAGTCATACATTAGGCAAAGGTGGAGAAGGAGGTTCCTTCTACCTTTAGTTATTTGCCACATTGATTAACTTTGGTGCCACAAATCCCTGTCATTAGGTAATCAGTAACAAGATACAATGATAATTTTAGAATAAAATACATGAATTCCATTTGAGTCACTTCTTTGGGTTAAGGTTATAAGAAGGCATTGTTAAAACACACATGTCTTACCCAGGCTGGATAAGCCATTGACACATTTGAATCCATTATAAAGATGGTTTGGGTGATTTTCTGATTGCTATCATGAAAAGCAGAAAAAAGGAACTAGAGGGCCTTGAATAAAATTCAGTACATTTTGTTATGAGATGAGAAGTAGTAGGAAGAAGGGAAAAGCTGCATTGTGAAGTGAGAGCCTTTGTGGGTTGTCTGAGAGAAAACCGGGAGCCCTGAACATGGAGAGGTTCACACTGAGTTGTTGGGAGAGGGCAGTGACATACTGAAGTCAGCTTATGACTGTGGTGTTTTTTGTAGAGCTGGCAGAGAAAGACAGGAAACTATTTTTACGCAACTAGCCAGTTTTAGCTGTGTTAATGGAAGAACTCTGTTTTTACTGTAATAATTAACAACAAAAATGACTTACATTATCTAACCTTTTAAAATTCATAAGATAGACTCAAAGTACCCTGAAGTGAATGTAGCCATGACTGTGGAAGGTAGTATTACACCCCACATTGGAGAATAAAATGAGGAATAAAGCAAGTTTAACAGTCCAAGTTTTATTAGCTAGGGGAAAAAATTGGCTTCTTATTTTTAAGTGTTCTTATATATTAAATTTTAAATTATTGTTAAGTAAAGCAAGTAGGAGAAGTACAGAATCCCACTGTGTAGAGGAAACTACTATTAATACATTAGTTGCATCTTTCTAGTTCTTTGAAAAATATTTTTTAAAAAATATTAAGTATGTATTTGGTATACATTTTTGGCCATGCATTTTAATCTATTATTATAACTTCTTTTTCCCATTTAACAACAATTTTTTTGTGTGTGTATACGAATTTTTTTGTTTGTTTGTTTGTTTTAAATCTCCTGCTAGTCACACCATTGGTGAGGGATGAATCCAGGTTATGGGATGGCTGAATACATGGCACCCAACCTGGACAGATGAGATTGGTAGCAGTTTACTGGTGTCCTAAACTCGGAGCCCAGGGTAGGAGGACACTGTGCCATGCAGGGCCACATGAAGGTTACAATCAAGAACGGTATAAGTAATAGGAACTGTGGGAGATGGACTTTGTAGTATTAAGAGGGAAGGTGTCCCCTGGTTCCCACAGGAGGATGTCATTGGCTTGCTTGTTTGAATAATTTTCTGCGGCTGGTGGGAAACTGAAAAGTTACTCAAGGCTAGGCAGAAACAACACCCAGCCTCCTCCCATCTTGATAAAGAGATTTAATAAGATAAAGAGATTGATAAAGAGGTTTGGATCTGGAACCTTATCACTGGAGGCAGAGTGGGGAGGATGACTTGTGGTTATGACATTTGAAGCCTTCCTGATTTCACCAGACATCAAGGTAGACATAATATTGGACCTTAATTTTAGACTTTACACCACATTTTTATGAAGATGTAATCTATCAATAAATTGAATTTTTGCAGGCATTGATAACATAATGTTCCAATTCTTATCTTTGGGTAAAAAGATTTATATGGTTTTAATATTAATATTTTCATATTCAATATTAGGGCCTCAAGAGAAAATATTGTCAAGAGAAATGAATTGTTTTATCTCTTGATACATATTTTCAAATGATGTTGAAACAAAATTTCTGACATTTAAGTTTAAACCTTTTTACTATACTATATTGCTTCTGCCAATGATTGTGACAATGAAATAATCTTAAAGAAACTACCTTTTCATTAAATCACTGTCCATAAAGTTTATGTGACAGCTTACTTTGTGATTATATTGGAATATAAGTGCTTTGATTCACCAGGTTGGGGTTGGCAGAGTGAAAATTAAGGCCAAACTTTACTCAACAAGAATGACATTTTAGTGAAACACTAGTACAATTCTTGAGAGAAAATAAATCAGAAGTTTCAGTCAAATCTCAACATAAATACAGGCCAAATCTCTTTTAAAATAAATTCTTGTTTACCTGAAACTGATCTCTTCTTAAATATTAATAACTAATAGTTTTATTTCAATTTATATTTCCTTGGAATTATACATATTGAATTTCAAAAGGGAAGGAAAAGTATGTTCTTAAACTCCAAAATATGAATAGATATATTATATATTAATACATACTTGAATTTACTTAAATTATTGAATATCATATATGCAAAATACAATTTAAGGCTTAGCTTTGAATATTGTAATAAAAACATATCAAAATAACTTTAAAAGAATTAGCAAAGCCATGTTAGCTCAGTAAAAATAAAATAAAGATTGAAAAAATATACAATGGCATTGTTGTAATGAAAAAGCTAAGTTAAATTCTTGTGATTATAAAAAAACATTTGCTTTTATTTAGTTTAAATCATTTAAATATGTACAGTCTATGAGAAAAGGAAGTACATACATTAAAAATAGCACTTAGTCTACTCCCAATGGAACTGAGTTATTTACATGATTATATTTCAATAATAATAATCATGTTAACATAATGCTTCCCATTCATTTTTTTAATGCTAAGTTAAACCCAACTGATGCTGATGAATACAGTACATTTAGTAAAAAGACTGAATTTAAGAATATTTTAAATTTAAAGTAGCTTTTACTTTTAAATAAAATGACTCTTCAGATATGATTGGGCTTTCAGTAACTTTAATACTTGAGACAAAACTTTTGGAAAGTACAAATAAATAAGTTAAATGTAGCAACAAATTTAAAAGTTACAGGTTTCATATTCTAATCCCAGGGATGAAACTTCAGGCTCTTAGGCCACATTCTACTGATTCAGAATTGAATGTTAAAGGAAACATAACAACTGAATATAATAGGTTGTCCAATAAATAATAGTATAGAACAACACATTAGAAGGTCTGTTATCTTGAAGTATGAGAATTGTTTTTCTCTGGGTTTGTTTATTTTTGAGTGTGGAGATCTTAAATCTGGGGTCTCCATCAGCAGGGGGAAACAGTTTTACACCCTTTTTGCATTCTTTATTGTTAAAGTATAAAACTTGATCTTCCAAATTATGGCCTTGCATTGTCAGAAAATAATTTTGAATTATTTTAAAAATATACTCTACAACTTGTAAATAAGACTTGTGAACATGCTACAAATAATTTTATTAAATGTCTATCATATTAAAGATCCATCCACTTTTATAATGGTACTTTTTACTTATCTGAAAAATTCACATGTACTAAATAGTTTATTCCCACATGATGTTTGAAAAATGACTTTTGCCCTTATATTATGCATATTGTAAATATAGTTATAATATGGGTTTCAATATAATTATGTAATACATAAAATAATTTATAACTGTAATACATGTAAAAGGCTTGTTATGACATTTATTCCAAGTTTTATATTCAGTGAGAAACATTAATATGTCCCCTCAAACTTCATATGTTGAAGCCCTAGCTGTCACTGTGTCTATACTTTGATATAGAGCCTTTAAAGATGTAATTCTCATTAAATGAAGTCATGAAGATGGCAACTGATATCATAGGATTAGAAGAAGACACCAGAGAGCTCCTTCTCCCTCTGTGTCATGTGAGCACACACCAAGAAGGCAGACATCTGTAAGCCAGGAAGGGCCCTCATCAGAACTTGACCCTTCTGGCACTTGGATCTTGGACTTGCAGCCTCCAAAACTGTAAGAAAATAAATTTTTATAGTTTGAACCACTCAGTCTATGGTATTTTATGATGGAAGCCCAAACTGACTAAGACAATGCACATTAATTAGAAGTATCGTAGGTTTTTTTTTTTTTTTTTCTTTTCAGAGATGGAGCCTTGCTCTGTCGCCCAGGCTGGACTGCAGTGGCGCTATCTCAGCTTACTGCAAACTCCACCTCCCAGGTTCAAGCCATTCTCCTGCCTCAGCCTCCCAAGGAGCTGGGATTACAGGCATGTGCCACCACGCTTGGCTAATTTTTTGTATTCTTAGTAAAGATGGGGTTTCACCATATTGGCCAGGCTGGCCTCAAACTCTGGACCTCGTGATCCACCCGCCTTGGCCTCCCAAAATGCTGGGATTACAGGCGTGAGCCACCACACCCTGCCCATGTTGTAGGTTTTTAATTCAGTGGTGTTCAGATTAATTGGGTCATTCTTTTAATCATTATGAATGATACACATAAGTTTTCATAGTCTTTTTTCCATGATTTGTCCTGTTAATGTCTTCCTGAGGCTTTAGGATAAAGTCTCACTCTCAGGAAATATATAGTTTATAGAAATTTGTTTATTTGTTGAACTCATACCACTGGCTAGGTCATAGCTATAGGGCAGTGATTGTTATAGAATATATCTGAAAATATTCTTTCTCAGGCTCTTTAAAGCTTGCCTATCTTAAACACAGCTGAATGGTCCCATAACAAATTTATGTAATTCCATCATTGTTACTATAGCCACAGTAACAGGTTCCCACACATATGAAACCAGGGAGTTAGCTATAGGCTGCCGTCTAGCCCATTTGTTTTTTCTTTTTATTTTTATTTTTATTATTATTATACTTTAAGTTTTAGAGTACATGTGCACAATGTGCAGGTTAGTTACATATGTATACATGTGCCATGCTGGTGTGCTGCACCCATTAACTCGTCATTCAGCATTAGGTATATCTCCTAATGCTATCCCTCCCCCCTCTCCCCACCCCACAACAGTCCCCAGAGTGTGATGTTCCCCTTCCTGTGTCCATGTGTTCTCATTGTTCAATTCCCATCTATGAGTGAGAACATGCGGTGTTTGGTTTTGTGTCCTTGCGATAGTTTACTGAGAATGATGATTTCCAATTTCATCCATGTCCCTACAAAGGACATGAACTCATCATTTTTTATGGCTGCATAGTATTCCATGGTGTATATGTGCCACATACGTGTGCATGTGTCTTTATAGCAGCATGATTTATAGTCCTTTGGGTATATACCCAGTAATGGGATGGCTGGGTCAAATGGTATTTCTAGTTCTAAATCCCTGAGGAATCGCCACACTGACTTCCACAAGGGTTGAACTAGTTTACAGTCCCACCAACAGTGTAAAAGTGTTCCTATTTCTCCACATCCTCTCCAGCACCTGTTGTTTCCTGACTTTTTAATGATCGCCATTCTAACTGCTGTGAGATGGTATCTCATTGTGGTTTTGATTTGCATTTCTCTGATGGTCAGTGATGATGAGCATTTTTTCATGTGTCTTTTGGCTGCATAAATGTCTTCTTTTGAGAAGGGTCTGTTCATATCCTTTGCCCACTTTTTGATGGGGTTGTTTGTTTTTTTCTTGTAAATTTGTTTGAGTTCATTGTAGATTCTGGATATTAGCTCTTTGTCAGATGAGTAGATTGCGAAAATTTTCTCCCATTTTGTAGGTTGCCTGTTCACTCTGATGGTAGTTTCTTTTGCTGTGCAGAAGCTCTTTAGTTTAATTAGATCCCATTTGTCAATGTTGGCTTTTGTTGCCATTGCTTTTGATGTTTTAGACATGAAGTCCTTGCCCATGCCTATGTCCTGAATGGTAATGCCTAGGTTTTCTTCTAGGGTTTTTATGGTTTTAGGTCTAACATGTAAGTCTTTAATCCATCTTGAATTAATTTTTGTATAAGGTGCAAGGAAGGGATCCAGTTTCAGCTTTCTACATATGGCTAGCCAGTTTTCCCAGCACCATTTATTAAATAGGGAATCCTTTCCACATTGCTTGTTTTTCTCAGGTTTGTCAAAGATCAGATAGTTGTAGATATGCGGCGTTATTTCTGAGGGCTCTGTTCTGTTCCATTGATCTATATCTCTGTTTGGTACCAGTACCATGCTGTTTTGGTTACTGTAGCTTTGTAGTGTAGTTTGAAGTCAGGTAGCATGATGCCTCCAGCTTTGTTCTTTTGGCTCAGGATTGACTTGGTGATGTGGGCTCTTTTTTGGTTCCATATGAACTTTAAAGTAGTTTTTTCCAATTCTGTGAAGAAAGTCATTGGTAGCTTGATGGGGATGGCATTGAATCTATAAATTACCTTGGGCAGTATGGCCATTTTCACGATATTGATTCTTCCTACCCATGAGCATGGAATGTTCTTCCATTTGTTTGTATCCTCTTTTATTTAATTGAGCAGTGGTTTGTAGTTCTCCTTGAGGAGGTCCTTCATGTCCCTTGTAAGTTGGATTCCTAGGTATTTTATTCTCTTTGAAGCAATTGTGAATGGGAGTTCACTCATGATTTGGCTCTCTGTTTGTCTGTTATTGGTGTATAAGAATGGATACAAATGCCAGAGTGCAAAAAGCACAGGATGTATGCAGACACAGTGATGGGCCTTGTCTACTTGCTTTCTTGGAGTGCACACTTCTCAATTTTGAGCAGAATCTTGACATGTTCCACTACTGCCTCTTTTGTAGTAAATGTGTGGTTTCCAAAATAGGTCTCTTTGACAAGGAGACATGATATACTAAGAGCCCTGTGGGCCAGAAATGGAAAGCCTTCAGTTCTTCTTTATGTTACACTGCTAACAAGGTCTGTGTCCTTGGGTGAGGTGTACAGACTGTTTAGGCCTTAGTACCCTCATTCATAAGTAAACATATTGAATTAGATCAGTTATTTTCAAGCAAGTCTCTATGGAGATGGAGAGGATGGGGTGGGCTTACCATGTGAGACTCTGTTGTCTCTCTTTCATTCTTCAAGCCTGGAAACACTGTTTTTATCCCTTATTGTGTCTTTAGCATAAAGGGCTCTCTTATTTTGTTTAGGTTTTTCACTGACTGGACTTGATGACATTGAATGTATTTTTTTTATTTGTAATCAATTCTATTTTTATATTATGACCACAGCTTAACTGATGCCAACCTTCCCATCAATATTTATTTTAGCTGAAATATCATTGTCCAAATTAAAACAAGTTATTGCATACTCTTTAAAGATTCTATTGTGTGTCCAGCTCTGTGCTTTATTACTTAGTATTTGGGACTAAAATAAAATAGGTGGCATTTTCACTACATTCAACTATGTTGATGTTATGATTTCCCAACTGAAATTTTTCCCTTGACACCTTGGAATTTCCTGTTCAGAGATCTTTTACAGCTCCTCTCTACTGTCCACAATTCTGGCACCACATAGACATCGAGAATATATTTAGTATTATGTACGCTAGGAGCAATGCATTTTATAAAATTTCTGGGGACAAGTAAGCCTGGGTAGATTAATTCATCTCTGGTTCTTAGAGGTTATATTTGATAAGTGTTATCCAAAATTTCCCAAGAACAACTTAAATTGAACATAGTGAAGATTTATAATCTTGAAGAATTTCGAGAACATTGCCAGAACTAGGACCTATTTGAGCAGCTGTCAGCTATCCAAAGGCATTACCTTAAAGATAATCTGCTTTTAGGCTGTGTATATGGCATGCATGCTTCAGTCCTCTAAAGAAAGGGAAAAAGACCGAAACAAAAAGAGCACAATTCAAAAGATCTTTAAGTTATTAATAGAATAGTTTAAACAGATTATTTAAAAACAGTTACCTGAAAGGTTAACGTCTCACTGACTTTATGAGAAAGAGAATTGAAGATGTTACTTTACAAGCTATGATGGAAACCGAATTTTGCAGAAACAACAGTGGATACAGACACAGATATCAGTGGTCTGAGGAAGGTTGCAAACTACATTAAGAAGCTGAGAAAACGGGAAAAGATGGCTAAATTAGAAACAAGAAGATTAATGGGCCAAATAGCATTAGGCAGGCTGATGATGCTGCTTTCTTTAAAATGGTGAATATGAGCTCATTGCTATCTAAATGTCAGTCACTCTGGCACCTCACAAATTTATACCTGGCATCTCCTTGGTGAATGGGTGGGTTGGCAAAAAGAGGAAGGCACCAGGATTAAGTTAAACTCCCCCCAGGAGACTCTGCTATATATATGAAAAGGAGGCCAAGTGTTACCTGTTACTGGGATTTTCCAGCCGTCATCAGGCTAGAATTGTGGGAAAAATGAGAAATGAAAAGAAGCAGAGCTGCTGCATAAAATGCGGCCAGGGTTGTGATATTAGGAGACATCTGAGAGGGACACAGTGGATCACGGCTTCCAGCCTATTCCAAAATCAATAAAAGAGAAAGCATTTAGAATAGGGACTTACAGATTTAAAAAGAAAAAAGGAAGCCAGTAGAGGTTGGAGGAGTAAAGGATGATGCGAAACAGCACTGAGAAAGGAGATGAAGGAAGGTGAAATGAAAAAGGAACCTGCAAATCTTCTTCGAGAACATTTTGCCTCATCAAGCAGTCATAAATTTGTGTCTTTTAATATGTTCTGTCTGGTTATCTTTATCAATTTTACTTTATTACAGCCTTTCTGGTAGTTATTGCATCCACCTCGGCGAATGAGGGCTGAAAAGTGTTCCACATGAAATATTCATTGGGTTTATAGCTTTAACCTTTAAAGTAAAAGCCGAAGTAAAAAACTTGAATAAAAAGAGTTTTAGTGTCCATTTTATGTCTGTGAGAGCCTAGTGAAAGGAGAAAGGGAGAGGAAGCTAACAGGGAGGAACGGTATGGAAAAATCTTGAAGCAAAGACAACTTTTAAATGGCAAGTCTAAGGATATGGGGGAAAAAAAGTGAAAGAGACAAAAGAATCTGAAGAATTGAAAATTGTTAGGATGAAGCCAAGATGTGACTTCAGCGGTCCAGTGTGGGAAATTGCTGTTAAAGGAAATGGAGAGTTTCAAGGACTTTTGTCTGAGTTGGGGAGAGTAGCCCCTTGGCTTCATTCCCCAGGAAGCATGGCAGTTATGAGAAGAACCTGGCAAGGAAGGCCTCAAGAAGGGCAGGATTCACTTGAATTAGCAGGATAATTATAGTAAAGTAGAAGATGCCTCCGTGGAGTATCTGCTCTGTACCACACACTTCACATAAGTTACTTAGTTTACTTCTCACAAACAGGCATCGTTTACCCCATTCTACAAATATGGAAACCAAGACTTTTAAGTGACTTGTCCAGGGTAATAATGTCAAGCAGAGAAATTGAGATACATCTCTCTTCAGAGCCCAGGTTGCTGCTCCCCACCTAACCTCCCAATGGAATCTTCCACTGTTTGACATGTAAAGCAGTTGGCAGTGACCACCCTCCCCTCACACCACTCCCCTGCTGCCAGTTTTGAATTAGAAGCAAGCAAAGTGCTCCAGAAAAAGGCACTCTAAGTGGGTTACATAAAATGCAATAAGCAAGCTACAGCCTAGTATCTATCAGTTCAAGAAGAAAGAAAATGCCAAGGCAAAAGTGAACTTTTTTCTGAGGTCATTTAGGCTTTGACACAATGGGTTACTCTAAACAGTAGTTCTCAGCATTTTCAACCTTGGCTTCACATTGGAAATCCTGGGGAGCTTTAAAAAAATCCTCATGCCTGGGTTCTACCCTAGAGACTCTGAATTTACTGGTCTGGGAATGTTTTCCTTCGGAAGTTTTCATTGGAACTCCCCCAGGTGCTTATAATATGTGGCAAATTCAAGAACCATTGCTCTACAAGTTGAATCAAATAATGAGGCATGTCCACTCCAGCCTCCAAACAAATGGCATTCATCTTTGCATCCCCCTGTTAGTCTAGTGTCTCATGTACAATAGATGCTTAATTATGCTATGCATAATAGATGCTTAATAAATGTTTGGAGAATTAACTTGATGAACAGCAGAAGACATATATGTATAGCTCTGGTCTTTTGTTATCTGGGTATCCCCTTCGTGCCTTCAAATCTTCAATATTCATGGGTAAGTTTTATGTGTCTTTCTAGCACAAATAAGCCTCAGCAGAGCTGGGTAGCCATAACTTTCTCAGTCAAAAGATATTTGTGTTGTTTCATCTGTTGTTAGTGTACTCCTTTTGTGTACAACACTGATGCTAAAAACACTATGGGATTCCCCAAAAATCTTCTCTGCTTCCCTGTGGAAAGCACCACACCTCAGTCAAATACTAATTCCTTCAGGGAAGCTGACCTCTGGTGGCCAGACAGGCAGCACAGTGTGGCTGTTAAGAGCATGGACCTGAAATCAAGACATCTTGAATTCAAACCTAAGCTCTGTTGTTTATTGCATACCTGTGTAACTCAATTTCCTCATTTGTACCATAACTTGAGAGGGGACTCATACCTACTTTACAGCAATGTGGTGAGGTTCAAATGAGTTTGTGTATGTGAAGAACCTGGTACCTGGTTAGTGCCATAAAATTGTGTACCACTATTACAGGGAGAATGCTTTTATTAAAATGAATTTCTGAAATTGTCTATAAGCATCAACAATTTAGAAGAGAACATTTTTTAGCAGATGTTAACTACCTGGTAGAATTTACAGGAATATGCTACAGAGGTTTTCAGGTGTTGCTCAGAAGGGGCATGGGATGGGCGGTAGGGATGGCTTTGGTGCCACTATTTGCTCTTTGCCTGGTCTAGTGTACATTGAAGCCAGTGAGGTTTCACTGTACTCAATATATGGCCAAGATCCATGTGAATAAAACACACAATGTCTTATTATGATATCAGGAGTAATACAAAAGGCTGGACATGTTATTCATTCTTTGGTCACTTGTTTCTTCTGTTATTCTCTTGCTTCCAAACAGAATAGGCAGCAAGGGCAGTAGACACAGCTTGTGCAGAAAAGTTGGTTGATTGTGCAACGGTTTTGAAGATCCTTACATTTCAGCTCTATTTCCTCAGGCAAGAGGATGAGTTGGGCTTTTAAAGGAGGAAGAATGGGAACAGACACATGTGTGCAAAGTATGTCAGGTGTGAAATCTATAATTCAGAAAAGCATCTAGGTTTGACTTCACAAAAACTTACTTGAATAGGAGAAAAGGATAATAAAAGCCAGGTTGCTGAAAGGTAATCTAAGGGGATAGAAATTATTTATAAGTGATATTGAACTTTAAAAGTTATACAACAAACCTTAATCTAAACAGCAAGTTACCTCTAATTGGGGTCCTGTTAGAAATCAGAATGAAACCATGTAAAGCTAATGTCTCACTTTATTTGGACTCTCAAGGAGATAATACATCAAATGATAGAATCTGAGGGTTGAGGATAGTTTATTTTGTGTTTCCAAGTGTGATTTTTCTGGATTTCAAAATGACTGCCTTGATATTTATTTTTTCTCCTGGGAAAGAAGGGAAAAAGCCTCTACTGCATTCCCACTGTCTAGAATATTAGCTGTTAAAATTCCTATTGGCTGACCTCATGAAAGAGGACACTGCATTTGACCAGCTCAGCTTTTATTCCCCCTTTCTCACTGTAGATGTTACTGTACAACACACTGAATATTGGATCAGTCTTTGAGAAGCACTGTAACATGACCTGCACAAAGAGACAAGTAATTCTATACTATTTTCTTCCAAGCTCAAGTTGGCACAGATAAAATTCCTGTGCATTAATTTATAATTAAAACTTGTGCCTTTCTAGAAAATGCCTCATCTCTGCTTGGCTTAAAAAAAAAAAATCAATCTGCTGTTTTTCCAAAAAAGTAGAGATAATTTAACATGTCATTTTTCATGCAATTAGTTTATTGGCTACTTTACAAGAACCAAACAAGTCTAAGAAAATCAGTCATTGTAGTTTGTGTTCATGAGTGACAACCTGGTGCTTGGGAGAGCCTAGAGCATGATTAAGGGCTTAGGAGAGAAAACCAAAGGTTTTTCTTTGTTAAAGAAACAAATAGACAACTTCTCTTTGCACCTCTAACTGACTTAAAATTGCTAATTGTTTTCGTCTGTGTGTTTTTGTAGACCACACTCAGGATTCAGCTGCGTCCTTCTGAATGTGAAAAGGAAGACCTGACACAAAGGGATACAAAATATCAATACCTTCCATTCTCCCTGTGTCTCAGTCCCCTGAATCACCAAGGGGCGATTAGATTCGAGATGGCTTGAAATATGTTGACTGAGACACTAATGTGGAATTAGTAGGCCTGGAAAAGAAGAAATAGATCTGCAGAAAAACATGCAATTCTGGATTAGTAAGCAGCTTAGAAATATTTATTCAGTGCTTACTAGTCACAAACAGAAGCTATATGTAACTGGAGTGGAAACTTCGCACATTTCCAGCAAGTGGACAGGATTTAACTTAGTGACCCCAGTCTGCAGAGGGCAGCTGACCTCAATATTTAATCATAGCTCACTGGACACAACAATGAAATTCTAAGTAGTAAAAGAGGTACAACCAAAAAATGAAAAGAGCTTACTCACCTACATGAAGGCTGAGAAAATTCTTCCAGCTCATAGCTCAGGGAAGAAAGGTGTTTTGTCACATGCATTTTGAAAAGGGTACTGCATTTGGGACACTCCCAAATTCTGAAGTTTCTGGCTTTACACGAATGTCTGTGGTCACACTTAGTTTCAGGAAAAGTTAACACAACTGAAATGTAGGTTATAAAGTCTGTATTTTAGCAGAAGTTTTGAAAGACTTCTGCTAAAGGAGACTTCATACAGGAATACCTAAAGAATCTTCTTCAGTATTTTTTTTCTTTTCCATCAACAAGCAAGGATGGCCGATTATCTCCAATCCTGGGCTGTGGCATTAGATATGGCTCCTCAGAAGCTTAGGACCTCAGCACCTTTCTTTTTGTCTAAATCCCTGGAAGCTTTTAATAATTTTGTCTTGTCCTAGCATTGCTCAGGCAACTAACTCCAGCTGAGCAGAAGAAGAAGAACATTTAAGCATAACCTCTGTAAGGAAGTTTATAGTAGACCACCCAGAGCTCGGAGCAGCCTGCCCCCTACCTTTTTCCTGAGAAATATAGGAAGATTTATAGGACTAGACATTCAGCTTATAAATAGGAAATTCACTTTGGGAATTCCCTTGAGATAAGCCAGGAATGTATTTGTCAGCCAACATAGAAGCACTTCAGCTTTTGCCTTCGAATACCTCAAGAACAGTAAAAATTAACCCTGAGGAAAAGAGCACTTGTTAGTCTTGCAAAATCCTTTCTCCCCTGTAGAAGTATCCCTAGCAGGACCCTAGGACTGATTGTGGGTGTGGTCACTTCCCCAGAGATAACAGCTCCTTCACAGAAAGGAAATGTAAGACCTCAGGTCCTTGGGAATGCTAATTCTCCTGAAATCAGGTTGATGGGTGTGCTCCCTTCCCTGGGAGGCAGTTTTGAAATTGGCAAGGCATTTTGTTTGTCTTAGTGATGGGAGGTGTGGTACAGACACAAATTCTTTGCTACTTTTTCCATTGAAAGATGAGGCCAGCCTGGGGCAGAGGGTCATGGCTGTAATCCCAGCACTTTGGGAGGCCGAAGAGGGAGGATCACTTGAGCCCAGGAATTAGACAACAGCCTGCGCAACGTGGTGAAACCTTGTCTCTACTAAAAATACAAAAAATTAACCAGGCTGTGCCTATTGTCCCAGCTACTCGGGAGGCTGAGTTGGGAAGAACATCTGAACCCAGGAAATCGAGGCTGCAGTGAGCCACGATCACACCATGCCACGGCACTCCAGCCTGGGCAACAGGATGAGACCTTGTCTCACACACACACACAAAAAGAAAGGTGAGCCCTATTTCTCTCCTTTGAATCTGGGTGAGCCTTACAAGTGCTTGACAGAACAGATATTGTACTGGTTTCTGGGCCTCGGTCTTATAAGACTACTGGCTTTCCCTTCTTTCTTGGAGCACTCACTTGGGGAACCCTGATTCGACATACATGGGGTCTGGCGAGACCAGTGGGAAGACTCGGAGAATGTATGGGAAGAGAGGCCCAAAGGAGCTCAGTTTCTGGCTGTCCTTGCCAAGGTTATAGGTATGTGAAGGAACCACTAACATTTGGGGTTGGTTTGCTATCTGGCAAAGATAACGCGCCCACATTTTGGTACTCAACACCTGGTGATACTGTAATAAAAACCTAAAATTCATGGATTATTGGTTTTATGACAAGGCAGTGAGTAGAAACTGGAAAGGCCCCAAGAAGGCTATTTGTTAAAATGGAAGGGACTTTTAGGAGGCTGTTGATGAGGGATTCAAGGACAGTGGAGAAAATGTTATTGGAAGCTGGAGACAGATGTCTGTTGTGATGGTAGTGGCAGAACGTTTAGTGAAGTTGTTGTTTGCAGTCATGGCAAGTAAAAATTGTATCTAATAAACTGGTGGATCACATAAAGTGTTGATGTGGGATGTCAAAAGTGCCTATTGTTTATTTTAGCTGTATATGAAAGATAGGGAAAAGAGCCATATGAGAGAAATAGAACTGTTAAAACTTTGAGGGGAATTTAAAGGATATGTAGAGGATTCAGGACAGTCAGTTTTTTTTTTTTTTTAAGAAAGGTATTTCTCATCCTAGTCTCTTCCAACAAAATATTATCAAAGTAAGAAATGGTTTCAAGGCACTGATCTAATCTATGGCCTCTGAGGCCTTAACAATGGTACTTACAGCTACAAGGTACTGGCCAGTTCAGCTGTGTGCTTTTCCTGGCTTACAGATGGCCCTCTTTTGGCTATGTCCTCACATGGTGGAGATGGAGGAGACACAGAGAATGAGATCTCTCTCATGTCTCTTCTTATAAAGGCGCTAGTGGCATGATGAGGGATTCACCCTCATGACCTAATTGTCTAACAAAGGCCCATTTCCAAATACATATCACTTTAGGGGTTAGGGCTTCAACATCCTAATTTCACAGGGGACACAATTCAGTCCATAGTACACTAGCAATATGTGTTCAATGGATTTCAGAATTGCTATGAACCAGTGACTGCAGTGTGCCTTCTATTCTCTCCTTTCAGATTGGTAATATCTTGACGTTATCTTACCTCTGTCCCAACATCATATGATAGGTGTGGGTGACGGGCAGATTTCACATAGAGAGGAATAGTACTCGGAAAGCTGTACTTGAGAAACTTTATCTAAGGAGTTTCCTCTGCACCCGGACCTGATGGAGACAAGATTTTAGACTTGAGGAGTGGGGATTTTAGAAGGGGCAGTTAATTAATGTTGCATATGGGAAAATATGAATAATTTGTGGTGAGAGGGTAGATTGTGGTAGATTAAAGATGAGTGCAATTTATTTTCTGCTATTTCCATGGAGGGGTGGGATCGACTTCTCCTCTTGAATCTTGCCAGCATCTTTGACTCCACAGGTTCCGGCTTAGGATGTAGGAGACTGATAGCTTCCATTCCTCTCTCTTAGAACACCCGTGCTTGGAGTACTGAACTACTATGTGAGAAAGCTAACCACCCTGGCATTTAGGGAATGGTGCTAGGGATGATAGACTTCATGCAACAATGGGGGAGTCCTGCAAAACTGAGAATGTTTTTCATGTCCTCCAAATGAACCATAAAGCATTCATGTATGTGAAAAGCATACATTAAAATTTTCTATGTAGGGGTTCTTAATTGTGGCCTTCAGACCATCAGCATCAGCATCAACTGATAACTTATTTTACATGCAGATTTTTGGGCTCTGCTCCAGATGTACTGAATCAAAAACTCATGGGTGAGACCAACCAAGCAATCTGTGTTTTATCAAGCTCCTTGTTGCACACTAACATTTGAGAACCACTGATTTATGCTAAGAAATAAAATTTTATAGTGTGCACCCAATTTCCCAAGAATGCTAATGCTGTACAAGTTTAGGGAAGATTGTACAATACCTTATTGAGGTCTTTACCGGGAAAGGCTAATAATTTTAGAAAATTATGCAGTTCATGGTAATAGACTGTGTCAACACGTTGCCCAGGCTGGTGCCAAACTCCTGAGCTCAGGCAAAGTGCTAGGATTACAGGTGTAAGGCACCACACCTGGCCAATAGTGTACATTTTCTATAAAAATTAAGTTTATAAGAGTGTTGTTCAAATATCTTTATCTTTATTACTTTAAAAAATGTATCCATTGGTTTCTCAGAGAGGACTACTCAAATCTCCCATTATTATAAGTTTGCTTATTTATTTGCACTTCTGTTGTTTTTTGCGTTCAGCATTTTAGGGTTAAGTTGTAGAAGGCTTACAAACTAATGGTTGCTTAATCTCCTTGGTGCGTTGTTCCTTTTAGCTTAACGAAATGTTCCTCTATCTTTATGAATAATTTTAATCTTAAATTCCATTTTTTTGCTATTAATATTTCCATACCAGCATTATTTTGGCAAATATCTATTTTGTCAATCTATTTTTGCATACATTTGTTTTCAACTTCCTTATATAGTGCTTCTTTTAGTGTGTCATTTATCATCCAAACCAGAACTTCTGAGAGTAAAAAGAAGAGTATGCTAGAACAATAGGTGAAATCCAGAAATCCACGTCACTGGGAAATGTGACTGTCATAAGTAGCATATAACTGGATTGTTTTTATAAGCAGATGTGATAGTCTATCTTTTTGGGTAGACAATACATTAACATTCTTTGTAGTTACTGACATATTTAGATATTTGTTGCAGCTTAATTTGCATTTTTAATATATTTTGTTGAATTGCTTAATTGTATGATGCTTCTCCTTCTCCTCCCTTTTTATTTTATTCCTCTTCTTGCTTCATTTTCATTGACATAATTTTCTTTATTCTGTCTCTCTTTTCCTGTTTTCCACTGGATTAGAGGTTATTAATTTCACTAAACATTTTAAATACTGGTTTATCTTAAATTTGAATTTGTTTGACTCAAGGATGTTTGAAATTATTCAGTGTCTTTACTCCTCTCCTATATAATATTCATGTAATATAAACATCTTACAACTATTTAAGTCTGATTTGTCTCATATTACTATTGTCTAATATTTTAATTCCAACTTATTTTAACATTGCCTCCTCATTTCATCATTAACATATTTTATAGTCAATACTTATTTATATTTACCAACAAGCTTGAAAATACATTTATTTCTTACATTCTTCTCTTTTCTTTTAGTTTCAATTCTTGTTGAAACACCTCTTTTAGCATTTCTTTTAATAAAGGCCTACCAAACCATAATTACTTTATGTGTATTTGAAAATGTCTGGATTCTATTTTATAAAGCTACAGCTATTACTTCCATTTGATAAGTGAGGAATCTGAGTTGCAGATTTGATAAATAAATTTCTCAGACAGGGAAACTCTTAAAAGTGGCCAACAGAGAATGCCCAAGACAATGGAATAATATAATTTGAAGGGTAAAATTCTCCTTTTCTAAAATTCTATTCTTAGCTGACATTTACTGATGTAAAATATGAGGTCTAATTATCTTGCCTCGTTTGATAATGAGTCTCTTCTTTCTGGTAAGCTTAAAGATTCTTCCATAATATTCTGCAGGAGTATTTAGATGGGTCTAGATATGAATTTGCTTCTCTTACTCTGCTGGCGACTTGGTGCTCTCCCTTACACTGAGATTATTGTTCTTCGCATCTCTCTGCACAATGAGAGCCTTTCTCTAATTCTGTCTATTTTATCTTTTCATAGCTCTTCCTTGTGGGCCACATGTCTCTGTATTTACCTTTGTCAATTTGTACTGAATTCTGGGAGGCGTCCTTGGATTTGTCTTTCAATTTATCCATTTATATTTTCTTTGTGTCTTATTCTTGTGTTTTTTTCACTGATATTTTTTTCTTTAAATTTTATAAATCTGTGCAGGAAAGGGTTAACTTGCAGGTGTGAGTTGCTCAAAACTTACACCTTCAGAAAGGAATTGTCTTCAGAACCTGCTCTTGGACAGCTCCTTGGAGATGAACTCTGAATCTTTGGAATATTCTGCCTGATAGCTTTTGTGTGCCTGAGGCAAGGGACACAATTTGATCAGATAGTTTATGCTAACACTGTGGTTTATGTCAAGCACCTGTTTTTGCTCTGCAGGGCTGGAATCTGAGTAGCTGAGGTGCTTATGTGACTACATGCCTACATCACTGACCCCCAATAAACACCTTGGACACAAGACTCAGGTGAGCTTTCCTGACTGACAACACCTCACACGTGTCATTACACATTATTGTTGGCATAATTAAACAGGTTTGTGTAACTCCACTGGGAAAAGACACATAGAAGTATGTGCCTGGTGCCTCCTGGACTTCACCCTGTGTGCCTTTTTCTCTTACTGCTTTTAATCTGTATTCTTTTGCTGTATTAAACTGTAACCAAAAGTGTAGTGGCTTTTCTGAGTCCTGTAAATACTTCAAGTAAATCACCAAGCCTGAGGGTGGTCTTGGGGATCCCTGACACACGTATGTATTTCTCTTTTTTAAACATTCCATTTTAACCAGTTTCTAGTCTTTTTTTACATTTTCCTATTACTATGGAGACACTTTATTATTTCTCTATTTTATTCCTTTCTTTCTTATAATATTCTAAATTTACTTATTTAGAGCTTCTCTCTGATTAAAAAGAATACTTTTTGTCCTTTGTGTACAAAATTTGCTACTTCTTGAGCCTGCTGGTTCTCTCCCATGGTTGCCCTGTATGCAGTCATTTGGTAGCAGCTACAACTTCAGCTCCTATTGACCCATAAGTACTGGTACTCAGGGCTAAAGGATGGATTAAATTTGCTTACAGTAGACCTCCATGAGTTTCTCTGATTCCGGGCTAGTTTTTATAATAAATTTTTGCTTGGTGTGAATTAGATTTTAAACTCACACAGAGAATAGGATTGGGCTCCTGATACATTTTGTTAAATCCTTTTCCCTTTCTTACTGCTCTGAACTTTGGTAAGCATTCTTACTACTTTGCCAGTCTAGTGGGTAACATTTTTTTCTAAAAGTTTTTTAAAACTTTGTTTCATGGGTTTAGCGAAAGGTGGGAAACAGTGTGTAAGAGCATGTCACCTCCTTCCATGCTTAAGTAGACTGTTAAAGGTACTAAAACAACTCTGTTATAAGTCATTTTTATCCTAGGTCCAATTGTCCTGAACCTCAGGGGACACTTAATTGTACTAGGAGTCCAGTATTTTTTAAAATAAATTTTTGTGATTTGCTTTGCAATTTTCTATACTATATGAGTGACATTTTATTTTAGTGTCAATTTTTCCCTCTTTTAATTATCTGTTTAAAAGTTAGGGTTATGTGTGTGTGTGTGTGTGTGTGTGTGTGTGTGTATGCATGTGCAATTTGTAGAATTTGGAAAGCCAAAGTTTTCAAGATGACACTAACATATTATTTTTTGGTGGACCCACTCTGAATGTCATTTTGTTTATTTTAGTTTCTTCTAAACCCAGGGCCAAATCTTATTTTTATAAGAATTTTTTTTTATTTGTAGCTCAGTTAGGAGGATAAAAAGAGCACTGTGTACTGGCTTCCCAAGAATTTGTATGTCTAATCCCTCAAGAATGTGAATAGTTAATTATAAATGTGGTCGAAGATCAGAAGTATGGAAGTGATAGGCTATTATAAAAATGAAAGAATATTAGTTGAAAAAAGAATGCAGAAATTAACAAAATGTTTAATAATTTCTTTACATCAGTTGCTGTGGGAGATGACTGATGGGTGAGCAGAGAGCCAATAGATTGCCCAGGAAAAGCTATCAAACATTCTTTTTTTTTTTTTGAAACGGAGTCTTGCTCTGTTGCCCAGGCTGGAGTGCAGAGGCACTATCTCAGCTCACTGCAAGCTCCACCTCCCGGGTTCACGCCATTCTCCTGCCTCAGCCTCCCAAGTAGCTGGGACTACAAGCACCCGCCACCATGCGCGGCTAATTTTTTGTATTTTTAGTAGAGACGAGGTTTCACCATGTTAGCCAGGAGGGTCTTGATCTCCTGACCTGGTGATCTGCCCGCCTCGGTCTCCCAAAGTGCTGGGATTACAGGCGTGAGCCACCATGCCTGGCCCCAAACATTCTTATACAGCAAGTAAGCAAGATTGATTAGGAAGTCGGAATATCTGAACATTGCAAAAACTCTAGGGAATGGCATGGCTTCAGGTTTTTAACTTAAGTGATCTACAGAAGCAAAACTTTAGAGATAAAACTGCAGTTTCATGAAGAAGAAAAATATAGATCAAAAGAATGAATGTTTATTTTTGCTAAGATTTAGGAAGCAGAATACTATTTCGATTAAAATTTATGGAGTACTTTTCTATAAACACACCATTTTTCCAGTTCTTATAGCCTTTTTATGGGAGATAGCAGTTGTCTTATTACCTCTCATTTTGGCATGCAAAAATAAAGGAAGGAACACTAACAAGATACCAATAATTTTAGGATGTTACCCTGATGTGTTTAGTCTTCTACTTGAAAGGGTAGTTCCAAGTTTGTTTGTGCATGCGGCATGCGTGTGTATCTGGGAGTGTGTGTGTGTGTGTGTGTAAGAATCTTCAAAAAAGACGTGACTCATATCTTGTCTGGTTTATGAAATGCTATGCCTTATTATTTCACTAAACCCAATAGTTTTGTTGACTAGGTCTTTAAAAATAAATGTGGTATGCAATTAATAGGACTATAAGGGACAAGAGAGATGCTAACTTTAGAAAATGAAAAGTGAAAAAAAAAAAAAAAAAAAGAATAAGCATGTGAATCCTTCACTGGCAACCAAGATATCCAGGTTCTCTCATCAAAATTGACTAGAAGGCGTTGTGACTCACGGAGAGAAGGAAGGGCAGTGTGGTGTGGCTGCCCATCTGAAAGCCACACGGGGAAGGGGAACCCCCTGCCCCCAACCAAGAAAAGCAGTGAGTGAGCCTGCTACCCACCCAGGGAAACTGTGCTTTTTTCCACGGAACTGTGCAATCCATGGATCGGAAGATCCCACTCGCAAACCTATGCTTCCTGGGCCTAGCATCCCAACCTTGGAATGCACAGATTCTGACAGCCTCTCAGTGGGAATCTGCTGAAGCCCACCGAATTCCCGGGGGGAGGGGCGACCAGCACTGGGTGTGGCTGCCTGCTGTCTAAGCCATTTGAGCTCCTTGGGGGAGGGGCAGCAGCCAGCACTGGGACTGGCAACTGCCTAACATGCTAAGCTGCCTTGGTGGGGGAAGGATGGTGCCCATTTCTATAGCTCCAGGGTGTACTTTTTCCCTGCTGGAGCCAGGGAGGCTGGACGGCTTGGTCCTAAGACTTGTCCCCACAGCCCAACACACTGGCTGTGGCAGTATTCAACCAGAGTGCCTCTTCAGGCCTAAACCTAACCCATCCTTCCTCACTGGGCAGGTCTTCCCTGCAGAATCTCCAATAACTCTAGCCAGAGGCTCAGGGACAGAATTTGTATCTCCCTGGGCTTGAACCCCTAGAGGTAGGGGTGGCCTCAGTTTCTGTGGACCAGCAGGCTTAGCCTCTCCTCCTAGTAGTTCTGAGGAATCTGGGCAGCCCAGATGAGTGGGTTTCCCCCCAGCGAAACACACTCTCTCCACCAAGGGACAAAGTGCTTCGTTAAATGGGTCCTGCTCTCTGTGCGACCAAACTGGGTGAGACCCTCCAATAGGGGCTGTCAGGCACCTTATACAGGAGCGATCCTATTGGCATCAGGCTGGTGTCCCTCAAGGTTAGAGGTCCCAGAAGAAGGAGCAGGCACCCATCTTTGCTGTTTTCCAGCCTCCTTGAGTGACATCTCCAGGCATGTGAGTGAATCAGATGAATAAGGCCTGAAGTGAACCCCCAGCAAACTGCAGCAGCCCTACAGAAGAGAGACCTGACTATTGAAAGAAAAGGAAACAAGCAGAAAGCGACAACAATGGCATCAACAACAATAGCAAAAAAGGCCCCCACAAAAACCCCATCCAAGGGTAAGCAGCCTCAAAGACCAAACTACACAAACTCATGAAGATGAGAAAGAATCACGAAAAAATGCTGAAAACCCAAAAGACCAGAGTTCCTCTTCTCCTCCAAATGATCACAATGTCTCTCCATCAAGGGCCCAGAACTGGAGGAGAATCCAATGGACGAATTGACAGAAATAGGCTTCAGAAGATGGGTAATAACAAACTACACTGAGCTAAAGGAGCATGTTCTAACTCAGTGCAAAGAAGATAAGAACCTTGACAAAACGTTAGAGGAATTGCTAACCAGAATAACCAGCTTAGAGAGGAACATAAATGACCTGATGGAGCTGAAAAACACAGCTCGAGAACTTTGTGAAGAATATACAAGTATCAACAGCTGAATAGACCAAGTGCAAGAAAGGATATCAGAGTTTCAAGACCACCTTACTGAAATAAGATGTGCAGAAAAGAATAGAGAAAAAGGAATGAAAAGGAATGAAGAAAGCCTCCAAGAAATATGGGACTTCATAAAAAGACTGAACCTACGATTGATTGGAGTACCAGAAGGATATGGGGAGAATGGAAACCAGCTAGAAAACACACTTCAGGATATTATGCAAGAGAACCTCCCCAACCTAGGAAGATAGGCCAACATGCAAATTCAGGAAATACAGAGAACACCATTAAAATACTCCATGAGAAGATCAACCCCAGGGCACATAATCATCAGATTCTCCAAGGTTGAAATGAAGGAAAAACTGTTAAGGGCAACCAGAGAGAAAGGCCAGGTCACCTACAAAGGAAAGCCCATCAGACTAACAGCAGACCTCTTGGAGAAACTCTACAAGCCAGAAGAGATGGGGGGCCAACATTCAACATTCTTAAAGAAAAGAATTTTCAACCCAGAATTTCCTATCCGGCCAAACTAAGCTTCATAAGCGAAAGGGAAATAAAACCCTTTCCAGACATGCAAGTGCTGAGGGATTTTGTTACCACCAGGCCTGCCCTGCAAGAGCTCCTGAAAGAAGCACTAAATATGAAAAGGAAAAACTGGTAACAGTCACTGCAAAAACACACCAAAATATAAAGACTGATGACACTATGAAGAAACTGCATCAACTAGTGTGCAAAATAACCAAATAGCATAATGATGACAGGATCAAATTCACACATAACAATACTAACCTTAAATGTAAATGGGCTAAATGCCCCAATTAAAAGACACAGACTGTCAAATTGAATAAGGAGTCAAAACCCACTGGTGTGCTGTATTCAGAGACCCATCTTACACAGGCCCAAAATAAAGGGGTGGAGGAATATTTACCAAGCAATTGAAAGCAAACAAACAAACAAACAAAAAAGCAGGGGTTGCAATCCTAGTCTCTGACAAAACAGACTTTAAACCAACAAAGATAAAAAAAGACAAAGAAGGGCATTATATAATGATAAACGGAACAATTAAACAAGAAGAGCTAAGTATTCTAAATATATATGCACCCAATACAGGAGCACCCAGATTCATAAAACAAGTTTCTGGAGACCTACAAAGAAACTTAGATTACCACACAATAATAGTGGGAAACTTTAACACCCCACTGTCAGTATTAGACAGATCAATGAGACAGAAAATTAACAGGGATATTCAGGACTTGAACTTGCCTCTGGATCAAGTGGACCTAGTAGAGGTCTACAGAACCCTCCACCCCAAATAAACAGAATATACATTATTCTCAGTGCCACATGGGACTTATTCTAAAATTCACCACATAATTGGAAGTAAAACACTCCTCAGCAAATGCAAAAGAACGGAAACCATAACAATCTCTCAGACAACAGTGCAATCGAATGAGAACTCAGGATTAAGAAACTCAGTCAAAACCACACAATTTCATGGAAATTGAACAACCTGCTCCTGAATGACTCCTGCATAAATAATAAAATTAAGGCAGAAATCAAGAAGTTCTTCGAAACCAATGAGAACAAAGAGATAACATACCATATTCTCTGGGACATGGCTAAAGTAGTGTTAAGAGGGAAATTTATAGCACTAAGTGCCCATATCAGAAAACTACAAAGATCTCAAATCAACACCCTAACATCACAATTAAAAGAACCGGAGAGGCAAGAGCAAAATAATCCACAAGCTAGCAAAAGACAAGAAATAATTAAGATCAGAGAAGAATTGAAGGAGATAGAGACACGAAAAACCCTCCAAAACATCAATGAATACAGGAGCTCTTTTTTTGAAAAAACTAACAAAATAGACCTCTAGCTAGACTAATAAAGAAGAAGAGAGACAAGAATAAAATAGACAAAATAAAAAATCATGTCAGTGGATATCATCACTGACCCCACAGAAATACAAACTACCATCAGAGAATACTAGAAACACCAGTACACAAATAAACTAGAAAAATCTAAGAGAAATAGATAAATCTCTGGACGCATACACCCTACCAAGGCTAAACCAGGAAGAAGTCGAATCCCTGAATAGACCAATAACAAACTCTGAAATTGAGGCAGTAATTAATAGCCTACTAACCAAAAAAAAGCCAATGACCAGACAGATTCACAGGTGAATTCTACCAAAAATACAAAGAGGAGCTAGTACCATTCCTTCTGAAAGTATTCCAAAGAATTGAAAAGGAGGGATTCCTCCCTAACTGATTTTTTGAAGCCAGCATCATCCTGATACCAAAACTGGGAAGAAACACAACAACAAAAAAGAAAACTTCAGGCCAATATCCCTGTTGAACATTGATGCGAAAATCCTCAGTAAAATACTGGCAAACTGAATCCAGCAGCATGTCAAAAAGCCTATCCACCAAGATCAAATCGGCTTCATCCCTGACATGCAAGGCAGGTTCAACATACACAAATCAATAAACGTAATCCATCACATAAACAGCGCCAAAGACAAAAGCCACATGATTATCTCAGTAGATGCAGAAAAGGCCTTTGATAAAATCCAACATGGCTTCATGTTAAAAACTCTCATTAAACTAGGTATTGATGGAACATATCCCAAAATAATAAGAGCTATTTATGACAAATCCAAAGCCAATATCATACTGAATGGGAAAAAGCTGGAAGCATTCCCTTTGAAAACTGGTACAAGAAAAGGATGCCCTCTCTCACCACCCCTATTTAACATAGTATTATAAGTTCTGGCCAGGGCAATCAGGAAAGAGAAAGAAATAAAGGGTATTCAAATAGGAAGAGAGGAAGTCAAGTTGTCTCTGTTTGCAAACGACATGATTTTATATTTAGAAAATGCCATCATCTCAGCCCCAAAACTTCTTGAACTGAAAAGCAACTTCAGTAAAGTCTCAGAATACAACATCAATGTGCAAAAATCACCAGCATTCCTTTATACCAACAATAGGCAAGCAGGGAGTCGAATCATGAATCAATAGGCAAGCAGAGAGTCAAATCATCCCATTCACAATACTACAAAGAGAATAAAAAACCTAGGCATACAGCTAACAAGGGATATGAAGGACCTCTTCAAGGAGAACTACAAACCACTGCTCAAGGACATAAGAGAGGACACAAAAATAAATGGAAAAAAATTCCATATTCATGGATAGGAAGAATCAATATCATGAAAATGGCCATACTGCCCAAAGTAATTTATAGATTCAATGTTATTACCATCAAACCACCATTGACTTTCTTAGCAGAATTAGAAAAAATTACTTTAAATTTCATATGGAATCAAAGAAGATCTCATATAGGCAAGACAATCCTAAGCAAAAAGAACAAAGCTGGAGGCAGCATGCTACCTGATTTCAAACTATACTATGAGGCCACAGTAACCAAAACAGCATAGTACTGGTACCAAAACAGACATATAGACCAATGGAGCAGAACAGAAACCTCGGAACATAACACCACACACCTACAATCATCTGATCTTCGACAAACCTGACAAAAAAAGCAATGGGGAGAGGATCTCTTATTCAGTCAGTGGTGCTGGGAAAACTGGCTAGCCATAGGCAGAAAACAGAAACTGGACCCTTTCCTTATACCTTATACAAAAATTAATTCAAGATGGATTAAAGACTTAAATGTAAAGCCCAAAACCATAAATACCCTAGAAGAAAACCTAGGCAATACAATTCAGGACATAGGCATGGGCAAATACTTCATGACAAAAATGCCAAAAGTGATTGCAACGAAAGCCAAAATTGACAAATGGGATCTAATTAAACTAAAGAGCTTCTGCACAGCAAAAGAAACTATCATCAGAGTGGATAGGCAACCTACTGAATGGGAGAAAATTTTGCTATCTACCCATCTGACAAAGGTCTAATATCCAGAATTTATAAGGAAGTTAAACAAATTTACAAGGGAAAAACAACCCCATCAAAAAGTGCGCAAAGGATATGAACAGGCATGTCTCAAAAGAAAACATTTACATGGCCAGCAAACATATGAAGAAAAGCTCAACATCACTGATCATCAGAGAAGTGCAAATCAAAACCCTAATGAGATACCATCTCACACCAGTCAGAATGGCGATTATTAAAAAGTCAGGAAACAATAGATGCTGGCAAGGCTGTGGAGAAACAGGAATGCTTTTACACTGTTGGTGGGAGTGTAAATTAGTTCAACCATTGTGGAAGACAGTATGGTGATTCCTCAAGAATCTAGAACCAGAAATACAATTTGACCCAGCAATTCCATCCATTACTGGGTATATACCCAAAGGATTATAAATCATTCTACTGTGTCTATAAAGACACATGCACACATATGTTTACTGCAGCATTATTTACAATAGCAAAGACATGGAACCAACCCAAATGCCCATCAATGATAGACTGGATAAAGAAAACGTGGTACATATACACCATGGAATACTCTGCAGCCATAAAAAAGAATGAGATTATGTCCTTTGCAGGGACATGGATGAAGCTGGAAATCATCATCCTCAGCAAACTAACACAGGAACACCAAACAGAAAACCAAACACTGCATGTTCTCACTCATAAGTGGGAGTTGAAGATTGAGAACACATGGGCACAGAGAGAGGAACAACACATGCTAGGGCCTGTTGGTGGGTGGGGGTTGAGGGGAGGGAACTTAGAGGATGGGTCAATAGGTGCAGCAAACTATGTAACAAACCTGCACCTTCTGCACATGTATCCCATTTTTGTTTTTTTTGAAGAAATGAAAAAGTCCCTATAATCAATCTCTCTTGCTATCTTTCTCTCTGTGTATCTATTACCTTCTTTCATTGCCCTAAATCTTTCCCTCAATATTTTCCCCATATTGACCAACATCTGGATTTTGTTTCTATCTGTCCTGCCTTTTTCATATTAACAAATTTCCGAGTTCCTATCCTCTCTCATATTCTGCAGTTTACGTGATTCCTTCATAAGAGTTTTACCAGCTCCTAATTTATCTGTGTAGCTCCAGGGAGGTTTTATCTTATTCTGTTCATATCTCCCTCTATTTATAGTACTGCAGACAATCTAGCTGAACTTTGACTTTTGTGCTTACTCACATACCCACATCCAGTAGTAGATTCTCTGATTTCTGTCATTTCCGTAAGGGTACCTTCACCCCTGGCAGAAATTTCTTTGATATAAAATTGTGTTAAAAATAATAGAAGATATCTAAGTGGATCACGAATCTACACCCGTGATAAAATTGCATTGAACTAAATACACACACAAATAAATGCATGTAAAACTAAGGTGTATTGATTGTATCACTGTAAAATTCCTGGTTGGAAATTTTACAGTGCTGGGGAGACTGGGTAAATGTTCAGTGCAATTTCTGACTGTTTTTTCTTATAATTGTTTATGAGTCACAATTATTTCAAAATAATTTTTTTTAAAAAGACATGGTGGAAACACAATTGAGTGTTTTGGGCTTCACTTTGTATCTTTTACTGAGTTAGCAATCTCAGACAAGATCATAAATAATCATCTAGAACTTTCCCCCGACCATCCCCTACCCCAATCAGTTTTCTAGGACAGCAAGTTAATGTTATAGGCATCAGGATCCTTCAATTAAGGCCATTTCTAAATCTAAATTATTTTTCTGTCAACAGTCATTCACTGTCAGTCAATAAATAGTTGTCGAGCACCTATTGTGAATTAGGCACTCTTATAGGCACTGGAGTTACAAACAATATATTTGTTCTTGGCTTTAATGAATGTATTTTCTGAATAAAAGCATTTGTGGTATGCTAAGATCAACTGGATTTATAATTTCAATTTGCTAATATTTGCAGGCTGCTTCATCGATACTTTCTTATTTTATGTTATGATGCATCAAAGTGAACTCTGATCCCTTCAAACAGAATCATTGCTTTCAGATAAAGAAACCTCAGATCAAATATAAGCATCAAAATCTACAAAGATTTTAGAGGGTGAAGAAACACGGAAAGATCTCTGGTGATGGAGCCAGCATTGATGAACCAAGAAAAGTCTTAAACGTGAAGAAGCCTGTGATAAACAAGGTGACTCACCTCATCAAATGGAATAGGGATCTTCTGGCAAAGCTGCCTGGGTAAACCGCAACTCACAAGGGATAGAATTTCACTAAATTCTTAAGAGGTTACAGACTCTATTTCTATCCTTAAATACACTCATTATTTTATCCCTGGATATACCCAATTATAGTTTAAACTTAAATTGAATAAAAGATGATGGGAATAATTCTATTTTTATTTCAGGACTGTGCCCAGGGGAATAACAAGGAAGAAAAATGTCAGAAGAATTAGTTTCTCTCTAATTGAACAAATGTATTTATATTTCCTTGTTGATAGGCATAGATTCTCAATGAGAAACTGAAACTTATGAAGTTACATTTAAGACTCCAGTTGTGACAATGATGACCAATGCTCTTTGGTATTACGTTTTCCAATTCAACACAGGAAATGAGTTGGAATTTGTTTTGCAGTTTTTTTTTCAGCCTGTTTTGTGGAGTATTTTTTCCTGTGATCTGTAGAAACACAATGATAACATTACGAACTTTGCCAGTCATTGGCCCATCAAAAATGTTTGTATGCTTGAATGGGCAAGAAATTACATTTGATGGAGTCCCATGTGCCTCATTAACTAAATTTTTCTTTTCGGTTATTATTAAAGGACAGTAGGTGGCCAGGCACGATGGCTCATTCCTGTAATCCCAGCAGTTCAGGAGGCCAAGGTGGGCAGATCATGAGGTCAGGAGACCAAGACCATCCTGGCCAACACGGTGAAATCCCGTCTCTACTAAAAATACAAAAATTAGCCAGGTGTGGTGGTGTGTGCCTGTAATCCCAGCTACTAGGAGGCTGAGGCAGGAGAATCTCTCTAACCAGGGATTCGGAGGTTGCAGTGAGCCGAGATTGCGCCACTACCCTCCAGCCAGGCAATAGAGCGAGAGTCTGTCTCCAAAAAAAAAAGACTGTAGGTATGAGATCAGACGTGACTTTTAACTTTTAACTTTTAACTTTCATGTTCTTCATCTTCCATTCTTGCCACAAAAAGACTGCCGTTTCCTTCTTCACATTCAATGTGTCTCATGGGTCAGAGAATCTGTGTGGTTACACTCTTAACTAGTACAGCCACTGTTCTTCGACTACTTAAACGCTCTTATCCTTCCACTCAGTCATCCATTTGACCCCATTTCCTTTATATTCTATGCAGAATTACATGTGCAATTAGGGTTTGTTTTCATTATTACTGTTATTATTATAATCACTATTTGCCAATTCTGTTGATTACCCTTTCCATTTGTTTTTCAACAAAACTCTCTCTGTACACCAACAACACTGCCTCAATCTTTTAATCTACCAGAAAAAAAATTCAACTCCATAAGCAATTGGATCAATAATAGTAGGAATTCACAATTTTCAGTCTCAGTGGTTTCCTTCAACATTAAACTCCTTTTTATTTTGATTGTCCATTACTTCATAACTTTGAAATCCTCTTTCAATTTCTCTAATGTAATTTGACCAAGATTGTGGCTCGCAAGACTGAACTTTTTTGAAATATGGACATGGGGAGTCCCCACATTTTGCTAGACTACATCTTGGAGGGTGCTTGGAAAGCAGAAATGGTGGGAAATCGTTTTATTTTCTGTTTGCAAAAGCCACTTTGCAACTTGTGGTTATCCTATTCTATCACCAAGCTCCTGCCTGTATTTACAGTGGGCTTTGAAGAACCAGCTGCTGAAAGTGATAAATCAGCAGCTGAAAATGATGAATGCGAGACTGATTGGAACTCAAAGTGAAATATAGGTGCTTGTCAACAATGTTAGATTGGTAACTTGAGGTGGCAAAGAGTGGTGACTGCTGGCAAAATGTATGAATATATGTATTATAGTAGCAATTATACTTGCTTATTTCAATGTTTTTGAAGTCTTCTTATTTATAGAACATTCTGGCTTTTTATTTTGAGGAGCACTGCTAACAATAAATCAGAACCAACATTTATTGAGTGTCGATTATTATATCCCAAGTCCAGTACTAGACTGTGGAGCATTAGCTATGAAATGCCTAGTTGTGATTTCCAAGCACCACTTATGGAAAATTATGATCTGCTTTTTATATTAGTGCAGTATCGCTAGATGTAACAGGTATTCTGGATTTTAAAACCTATTTATAATGTTTGTTTCTAATGTGGTTTATGCTTACTCAAATGGAATATTTTTCAGCTTGTTCCTTTCCAAGTGGTACTTACATACCTGTTGTTCCTGGATCTTTCCATTTTGATTTTGATATATTCAAGTTGCCAATGTTCCCTGGTTACTAGTCCATGTACTGGTCTGTTCATTTGTACATAAACATTTATACAAGATGGAAAAGTTGAAGTAATTTAAATTTAGTCCATTATTTTATTCCAATGTGAATTGTGTGTCACTACACGATTTCAACGCAAGGTTATTCATTGGTTTACCTTCTGCCTTTTTATGGCTTCCAGGCATGTTTAATATCTGTGATTAACTGAATTTTTCAGGTTAACATCTGCATTTAATCACAAGTTATTACCCATTTCCTAGACTGGTCAGTGTAACATTTCAATCACTCCTTCCTTCTTTCTCCACCCATGTAGTAAAAGATTCAAAGTCAGTTATACTTTCTCTCTTTCACAGCCATCGAGCTGCACTTAAATAATATTCAAGAAAGTTATATTTCTTTTGAAGTGGTCACAGGAAGCATATGCTTAGTGTATATAAACAGAAAGAGAGTTGATGCACTGATTTGGTTGATTTACAGAGCTCTTGTATCTACATGTAAACATTTTGCCTCAGAGAGAAATGAAAGGTTCTGTTGGACTCCAAAAGCCACTAGCTCCTGTGTAACAGCACTGAGATTCAAAGAGCAAGGCTTCTTTGAATTTCACATTCCCCTGTTTTTTTTTTTTTTTTTTTTTTAGTCTAGCTCAACAAACTTCTGAGAGTTCCCTGTTTTAGTTTAAATACTCCTTGTCTCATTTTCCAAACTCTTTAATTTTTCAAAGTCATTTGATCATGGAGAATAAAACCTTAAGGATTAGCCATACTCCCGTCTTTTTCCTACTGAACAGAATCATTCAAACCAATTCTTCCATTTTCTCTGAGTTCTCCATGAACCTATCATAAATGACTCCATTTAAGAAAAAACAATAATATGAAAGCAGAACAGCTAAATGTGTGTTAATGTCTCGCCACTATATTTTTGGCAAACCTTGACCTAATTCAGGTCAAAATTAGCGTTTCTTCCCAAACTGAATATTTTGTTGGAGAGGGTGGGAGGGGGTAGGAATAAGCAGCTATGCTGGGCTTTTAATTGATTGGGAACTAAGATGTGAGCAATATTCTCTGTGTTTTCTTCAAGTATGGGGGATACTGGACTATGACTAAAAATTATGAAGAGAATCTAATACATTAAAGTGAATTAGATATTCTAATCAAATATATCTTATGACTAAGTTGTTTTGACACATTTAGTGATCACTATGATTATTGTTCTAGGAAGTTTTTAGGCACGATATATGTAAACGATCACATAATTATTGCAATTAATTTCCCCATATGTGTAGTCAAATAAAACCCTCATTATTTTCCTTAATTCATTTAAAAGCAACAGAAATCATTGTGTGCCCACTAGATGCAGGGCCTTAATTGCCCTGAAGTCAGAAGTGGCATCTTGTTCATAATTTTATCACCAGTGTCAAATGCATTGATTGATCATTAGTAGGTACTTAAAGTTCATACAAAAATGAATAATATATGGAGACTGCAATAAAGAATATTTAAAATTTCCTTTTCTAGGTTCTGAATTTGTAAAATCATGTTTAATGAGGCATTTCTTTATATCAGTTCAACGTTCATCATTTTCATTCCTATATGGAAATGCAAGAAAACAAAAAAGGGTCTAGACTAAATCCTTTGTATCACTACTCTGTTTTCATCCCAGCCTCCATCTTCCATGACTTAGGTGTTCTTAACTGGTTCAATGAACTATTCTCTGTCTTTCAAGGTTCAAGTGGCTACTAATGCTCTTTGGAAGGAATATCAGCATCGAGGCCATCTAAAGTCTTGAAGCACAGGAAGGATGGGGAATTGGGGCTTGGAATTTACTATGATTTGGTGAAGGAACAGGATATGACCTGTGGGTTACATGGGTGTGAGACACCAGAGCACAGTTCTCCAGAGGCAGAATCTAAGTCCTTGAAGTCCGTGTGTCCCAGAAGCAAGAAACCTTCAGGGCAGAAAAAGCCAAGGATGGTTCTTTCTGGCTGTGATCATTTGGCCACTTGAAACCAGTTAAACCAGGTTCATATGCACTGTTGACCTTAGGGCAAGATTTCTATGTCCATGAAATGGTTCTTTATTCATGCACTACTTCCCAGTGAGTCCAAATACAGCCTCAGAATGATTGTTAACATAGGATTTCAGGCGGTGGCAAATACTAACAAAGTCAGGTTAAGGTTTTAGAAATAAAACCAATTCTTGCCCTTGTAATAATGCAATTTCAGGGAGAATGGGGAACACTTCTTGCTCCTACTTTGACTTCCTCCTTGCCCTTTCCCAGTAAAAATTCCCCTATCCAATCTCCCCACTGATGTGTGATATTATCTTTGTCAGACAACACAACCATCCCTTCAACAATCAGAAGACATAGATTGATGCTTACACATCCTTTCCAGCTTTCTTCCTATTTGTTCCCTCTTCCTGTACTTTCTCTGTTATCCCCTCATGCCCATACTTCCTCTGGGACACTTACCAGAAAAGAACTCCTCCCCAAACTGTTACCCGCACAATCTGCCTTCCTAGCTTTCTGGATCTATTAAAGTGTGGTCTAGGCCTGCGGCATCCACATATTAACCTCCGACTTTCTTCTTAATCAATAGCAATAGGGCTTCTAACCCCTCTGTATTCCACTGCTGCAGCTGCTCTTTCCTTTTATTGAGGACTAACAGTGGTCCAGGAATAACAATAAAATACATACATATTACTATTTAATCACTTAAAAAACAACTCCAGGAGGTAAATGCTAATAATTGGGTCTAAAGAGATCAAGTAATTTGTGGAAGGACACACTTAGGGTAAGTGAGTAAGGAATTCTGATCTAATCTTAACTCCTTAACTGCCTTGAGAGACCACCTTCATGTTGACTTTTATTTCAGTCTTTATATTCCTCAATCCAATACTATCTAAAAGAACTTTCTGCCAAAATAAATTTGTTCTATAGCTGCACTATTTTTATACACAACCCACTTGCCTCTTGTGGGTATTAAACACTTACAATGTGGCTAATGCAACTGAGGAAATACATTTTAAATTTAGTCTGATTTACATTTAAACAGGCACTCATAGCCATTGGCTACTGTATTGGACTGTACAGCTTCAATACCTCAGCGTCCCTAGATCTTGTCAACAGCACCTTCATGCTGACACTTTGCTTTTCCTTGGTTGAATGATCACGATCTCATGATTGTTTTCCTGTTTTCTCCTCCTTTTCTGGGGTTCCTTTCTTCCTCCAGTTTCTTACATGTAAGTTGTTCCCAGACTTCTTTTGTACATTTCCTACATTTTATTCCTGGGCATTAACACTCATTCTGATGTCTTTAAATATCTTTGTACGAATGGCCAAAATCTTTTCCTGACAAAAAACAGAGGTAATGTTCTTTCCAAAGCTCTTCTTCACATTTTCCCTGTTTCTCTTAATGGCATGGAGATTCTTTCAGTTCCTCAGATTCACAACTTCTAATTCTTCTTGGGTGCATATGCCTTTTGTTTGACTCTGTGAAATCTTTTGCCGAGTTTCAAGGATCCTGTCCTCCATATGTCCCACGTGTGTTCCTATCTCTTTGCTTTCCCAGCTGCAACCCCATTTCTTTGTGTTTTCCCCCGAGAGAAACCAATTTAATGCTTCTATTCTCAGAATTTCGCAGCATGCAGGACTCAAATGTATACAACAGAAGAAAAAAACCCACAAGTTTTTGAAGAGCGTTTGTCCAGTGATTAATATTTTGATATCTATTGACAATCCCTTAGAACTTTAAATCTCAACAACAAAAAAGTATTGCGGATTTCCATAATTTATACAGAATTATTTGACTTCTATAAACTTTTCTGAACAGAACGATTAAATGTCAAGAATCCATGAAGCCTAGAAGATGCCTTAACAGTTTTGAGGTTTTATGAAAGCCACTTTTTTATTATATTAGACAAATGCTCTCTGAGAATCAAAGACTTTGTTTGTTTGTTTGTTTTTTGTTTTGAGATGGAGTCTTGCTCTGTCGCCCAGCCTGGCAGCCTCTGCCTCCCTTTTGCTGATTCGGAAGCAGAGTCTGGTGAAGGTCACATGACTTGCCCGTCACTTGATCAGCTTGGGGCCAGCTGGGGCCAGACGGGGTCTCCAGGCTGCAAGTCCTTGCCAGTCCTGTCCCTGCTGCCCTCTGTGACAATTTCTGCCGATTCAGCATCAACGGTTTGTCCCGCAGCTGCCGTGCAAACAAATCTCAGCCATCAGATGTTCCCTGAAGCACAGAGTCCCGTTCTCAGAAGCCAACCGAGCTGTGCTTCTGGGCAGTGCTCTCTCACTTCGTGGCCAGGACGTCGGCTGTGACTCTCCTCTTTCCTGAGGAGCATCTTCAGCTGATCCACGTCCTGCATGGTGCTGCAGGTGGGGCAGCAAGATACGCTTGTGACATGAGAGTCTTGACACATGTGAGGTAGGTAGGGTCAACACGGTGAGGTCCACAACTCGACACCAGCCCTCCAAGCCTGGGAGGCACTCCTCCTCGACTAGGCAGACAAGTATTTGGGCTTTCTCCCCAGTCCTGCAGGAGCAATCCGCTTCCTTCAGAGGATCTGTGGATTCTCTCGGCTTTCCTGGTATATTCCTGCAGTAGTTCTGGAGCAAAAGTTCATAATGCGAGTGAGTCTCAAATCTAGTCTTGCCTCCTATCCGCCATTTTCCCCTCGAGAACTCTCCAACCCCATTTCTGAGATTCAAATATCAAGTCCTTTAGAACAGTTTGAATAATTATAATCAAATAATTAAATATACAATAATTATTAACAATTAATAATAATGATTAATTATAATAATTATTTAAATGGCCTCTGTTTCCAGCCTTCACTGATTCTATTTATCCTAACTACTGCTCTCAAATTAACCATGTTGAAGCTTAGCTCTGAACATTTATTCTCATGCTGTGAAACTTTGAGGGCTCATGATTAATTCCAGGTAAAGCCCATGTACTTCAGTCCAGATTTGGGTTTCATGATTCTCAATTCCCATCTCTACCCTAATTCCTCTTTCTCCATGAAAACTTTCTAGAACTTTTGATTGAAAACAAAACAACAAAAACAAAAACAAAAACAAAACAGAACAAACAAAAAAACCCTCTCTCTAATTTCCCACAGCAGAGTCACTTTCTATCTTGCTATATATTTTTATTTATAAACATGTGCTATTAGTTCATGAAGAGTAGAACACTGTTTTATTTATATTCCACACAATACTTAGAATAATGACATACAAATTGTAAAACTCATATAATCTTATTCAGTTCTTAACTATTTTTTAATTTAAATTGTTTTAGTGTTTCTTATATACCACCCATCTCTAAGTATTGGGAATACGCAGGGGAAACAAAGACATTTCTCTGTTATACGGTTTTCAAGGCCTATCAGGTAAGACATTCTGGAAATTATTTTAAAATACAATGTATGCTTGAATATTAAATTGTGTTCTAGGTACAGTCTGGCACAAAGGAAAGAGTAATAAAATCTGAGTGGATGACTTAAGGACAATTTTGTAGAGTAAGAAATCCTGGGAAATCTGGATCTTAAAGTACTCGAAGGAAGTTTATCCAGGAGTATAAAAATGATGAAATCCTAAAGAGCCTGAAGAATTTGAGCAGAGGCCTCGAGGTGTGAAACAGCATGACACAAGGAAAGCTACATGTAATTCTGAGTGTCTAGAACACAAGGTGAATAATGCATAAAGAAGGAAGGGCAGTGTTAAGGGAGTGGATTAGACCTGAAGCCTTAATTGTAAGCATGTGTGGAGGACTTTGTATACCATCTTAAGAAGTTTTGGTTTTCTCCTATACGGAAGCCATTAAGAGTTTTAAGTAGAGAGTAACTGTTCTAGATGTGCTTTTCTGAAAGTCCTCTTTGGTAGGAGAATGGAAGGATTCAAAATGGGAAGCAGCAGAGGTAACTTAAAATTTTGATGGAATACAATAGGCATAGAGATATCATCTTAATGCAGGGGCAGAGAGGAAGAGGAGAAAGAACCCAAGGAATGAATGACTGGTAAGTGAATGGAAATGGAGTTAATGAAGAAAACATACAATGAAGATAAAATGCTTTGGCAGGAAAAGATGTACTCATTCATTCCTTAAAGCTTTGGACTGGCTGAACTTGTGGAGCCTCTAGACCTTCCAGGTATCCACGAGGCAGCTAAACATAGAAATATGATTGCAGGAGAGCAGTCTGAGCTGGAGGTGTAATTTGGGGTTCATCAGATTTTAGATTAAAATACAAACATGGCTGTGGGAAAACGATGCAGGGAGAAGCTGGCCTAAAGTCTTTCTGTGACGTGATTTGTCATTGTGTGTGTGTGTGTTGAAAAGAAAAATATTTATGCTTGAAGGAAACTAATTTCATCTCGTTTGCTCTAGGTAATATAGAAAAAGATTGTCTTTCTTCAAAACTCTTCCTTCCTTTTTTATATAGCTTAGAGCAAGAAAGATGAAATTAGTTTCCTTCAAGTATGAATATTGTTCTTTTCAGCACATACACAGACACACACACACACACAGCATTTTAGAGAGACCATAATATCTGTTCTTTTCTAATTACTAGTTGAAATGACAGATAATTTGTGTTAGTGTCTGAAGAATAATGTATTTAAAATGCAATGAGAGGAGACATTTTTGATAAAAGTAGAACACAATCTTTTGGTTCCTTACTTCCATTTGTGATTCTGTAAAACAGGTCATAGGCTCAAACTTTTTTCTTATATATTGTTTAGGAGATCAAGTCTTTCTGGAGACAGAAATAAAAATAAAGATGGTTATAGTCTTTCCAGGACTTATTTACTGAGTTTTTTTTTCTAATGTAGAGAAAAAAATATATTGGCTCATCCTTGCAAATGTTTTCAAAAATCCTTAAGCTGAGAAAATATTTTGCATAATATTCCATCATATTGTATACTTCATATACTTAAGCCCCCAACTGTGGTACTGACTATTCATTCTTATAAAGTTTAGTACCTTCACTTTTGTTGATATCAATCAAGGCTAATTTGCTTCATTTTATTCTTATTTTACTTCAGTTCATAATTGCAACATAATCTTATGAGCTATTTGGCTTCTCCTGAGAGTGACCGTATTACCTAAGTGTATGTGCACTCTCCCATCTTTGTCTATCTTTTTCTTTTCTTCTTTTGTACTAAATCTGGGGAAACATTTAGTGATTTGTTGAGATACAAGATAACCAACTCGATAAATTCGAGTTTCACTTTGAGTTCTGGGAAAAAGGAAGCAGAATATTTTTTTCAGAAGGGCCATTGGCCCTGGAATTCTTCCCCTTGATTAGTTGCCAGAGGCTGGGCTGCTGATCTCAGAGTCACAGAGGAAGACCCATCTGTTTTCTCAGGCTTCTCTTCTTAGGGAGAGATGTGAAGGAAGCTCTGTGAAATCTCCAGGGACTGGCTGAAATTCTTGAGACAAGTTTATAGTTTAGCTCTGTGAAGAATCATCCATGACTATTAAGATGAGCCATTTTATTCTGCTCAAATATTCTTACAGAACATTTTATCAGTTCAAGAGTTAATTAAAAAAAAACCAATATAATATTCTCTTCTTTTTAATGTCAGTTCTATAATTCAGCTACAAATTTTACAGCAACACTTATTCCCAATAATAAAGGCTAGAAATTATTAACAAACACACATATTAACATATATTATTTTTATCTCTGACAACTTAAAAGGGATTTTTATATTAATGGCTATCATTGTATTAGTAATGTACTCACTTTGCTATGTAATTTATAAATTTCTATATATTAATATTTCTTTATCATTGACTATTAATAAAATAATACATTCAGGCATTGTATTTTTAAAAACATTTTTTAAACAATGAAGTTTATCTAATTGTATTTCATCTTGTACCACATAATAATCATGTTTCTATAATTTGCTCTTATCAGTTTTTTTTTTTTTAAGATGGAGTTTCACTCTTGTTGCCCAGGCTGGAGGGCAATGGCACTATCTCATCTCACTGCAACCTCCGCCTCCCGGGTTCAAGTGATTCTCCTGCCTCAGCCCCCCGAGTAGCTGAAATTACAGGCATGTGCTACCACGCCCGGCTAATTTTTGTATTTTTAGTAGAGATGGGGTTTTGCCATGTTGGCCAGGCTGGTCATGAACTCCTGACCTTAGGTGATCTATCTGCCAGGGCCTCCCATCTTATCAGGTTTTAGAATCCATTACCTCACCAGTTGAAACTCAAATTAAGTTATCCTGCTATCTTGTGGTTGCAACTGGAAATAGCAAATGTTGTATTTAGGAGTTAGAATTAAAGCTTAGCTGTTGAGATAGAACAACAACAAAAAAATCAGATCCTTGAGAGAGAGCTAAAGTACGCTGAGAGAACACTTGCTTTTAATCAAGATTTCAATAGTGAGTGATCAAATCGCTTTCCTTCAGTGCCCATGGAGACACTGGGAAGAAGTCAGTCACACTGAAAGGCCACTAGAGATAGATTTGGAGCCAGAGAGCAGCTCAGCAGTAATGATTAAAATTATCCCTTAGTGGTCCTAAAGACTTAAAGCTCCTACTAATTTTTTTTTTTCAAGAAAGTCAGACTCTGACAAATTGGGCCAAATGATTTTCTAATAGAAAATTAATTCACTGCAGATTTACTACATTTCCTTTTCTTTTTCTGACTCAATCCAGGGTTGGAGTCAAACTCTCAAGGAAGTAGCCTCACAAGGATGACAGAACTCCAGTCTGGGGTCTGTTTTCCAATGCAGCTTTTTTATTTTGGGTTCCAGCAGTGATTCCTGTTAGAAAGAGAGAAATGTGCAAATTTCAGTGTTCCCAGAGGTCTGCACTTTTGCTGGTTCCCTTGTCCTCATTCTCAAGCACAGTGAGACCATTCTTGGGGTAGCTTCCATATTCAGTCTGAGAAGATGAAGAGGACTTATCTCCACACCTCTGCTCTCTTTCCCCAGTGACAGCACCTTGTAAGAGGCTATGGGGCCACATCATGTTGCTAATATACATTCTTCAAGCAGTGAACTTCCCATTTTGTGGAGGAAAGATTGGCTCCTATTTATAGTCTTCATTTTCACCCTAAACCCCTAAATCCAAAAACTATGTATAGGAAATCTCATTTTATAGAAACTCTGAAGAATGTCCCAGTAGTCAATAAATAACTTTTAATTACACAGTGTTAACTGCAGAGTGAGTACTAGAACAAAGTCTTTCTGAGTTAAACTGAACGTCTTTAATTTCTTAGATACCTTGTGTTTGATCTATGTCATTTATGCCTCAGCTTTAATTATTAAACCTTTATTCACTAAATCCCACTATAATGTAATCAACGAATAGATGCACATCTGCTCAGTTCTACCACCACCGTTTAAAAACATTTTTCCCTTTACAAAGCCCTGTATTTCCTCTGGCTGATGCTGCAAGTATTAATGGTGGCCAAGAGGCTTCTGTCACTTAATGAGTAGCAGGTGTTGTCAGAATAACTTATTATTTATCACTTCCTCACCCAGGATATTGTTCTAGGCTTGTAAGACATTTATGCACTTCTCCATCAATGGCCTCTTTATTTCTAACCGAGTGTTTTTGTGTCTGAAATGAACATTACACTTCACACTAAACTTTGACATTCGCTACCTCAGAGACTACCTTCACCTACTGGGGACAGTAATGGAGGTCAGCTGGAGCAACTCTACTAATGTTTCCCAGATTCGGTGATTATTTGAGGTCATGGGGTAAGGTAGTTGGTGGAAAGGACGGCGTACGGAGGAAGGAGATCACCATATTTTGATATAGCTTTTATTTATGGTCTTCACTGTGTGATTGGAAATCCTTCCCACAGTCTGACCACTCCAGATGGATTGGAGCTGATCCATTTGAATTGCTTTGTTTGATGTTCTGTTGTGAGATTAATGAAAAAAACACCTTTTTTGGATGCATGATAGTTTTTCATCTTAAGGCTGAATCCAAATGACGGCCATCTTAAAGATTCATTACATTGGTGGAACATGAATTCTTTGAGAGTAGAGACATTTTAGATTTTGCTGTTCACCTTCCTGGAATTAATCTCACACAATCCTCAGAGCTTCTTGGATTCATGTTTGATTGAGTTCTTTTCATTTCTTCAGATTTTCTCAGGCCTCTGTTCTTCTGTCAGGATTGATAGAAATATTTGCAACTGCCACAGACATAAATTTCCTGATTTAATTGTTAAAAGCATCTTGATATCAGTCTGAATGAGGGAAATTTTACTGTATGAAGGAATGCTAAGTCTTGTGGCAAGCATTTTCCTTAGTCTTGGTGGACTTATTGGTCCTTAACAGTGTCTAGATTCATTTGGTTTTCCTTTGCTATGCCATTTGTCCATGGATAGACAATCCGACCTACATAGACAGGTGTTGAATCTTAGGTTTTCTTTTCAGAAACTGCATATAAGTTGCCAGATGCTTAAAAAAAGGAGTTAACTAAAGGATGGGAGATTAAAAGTTTAATATATTTTTAAAATAAAATTGTTATCAATCTTTATCGGGAACTATTATAATATAATGCTATATGTATTTATAATTATAATTTAAATATTTATATGAATCTGTACACATTTTTAACAACTAAAATCATTTTAGACTTTAAAAAGTCTCATTTGCATGCTCTCTGGGCTTGAAGAACCCTTGAGAATGAAGTTCAGAGTTTACTCACTGTGTATTCCTGGGATTGGTCCAGTAAACATCCTTTTCTGGAAGTAAGCTAAGTTTTTATAGCCAAGATGGTGTTATGTGAAGGAAGTGGGAATTCAGTTGCAGTTTTGATTTTGTGAACCCCTCAAGAGAGCTTTCAAATATGTAAGAGTTGATTGGACTAGTATCTCCTGCATTTTGTTCTGACCATTTTAGTTCAACTTTCTAATTATTACATACATATCTAACTTATATTTAAGAAGGAAGATGTCTGTAGAAACCATTTGATGTCTAGGTAGTCATAAGCCTACTTAAGCCTTCTTTTCCTGAAAGCAGGAAGACACCATTTGCCAAATGTAAACAAAACTGAGCACCACAGACTGGTTGCTTCAGTAACTAGGAACCCACAACTTCAAACGTTGCAAATTTAGCATTACATAGCTAGGATGAAAAGAATTTGATAAACACTTTACATTATTTGAAGAAACATTTATCAACTAAATCTAATATTCAGTATTTGTTACCTATCTTCTGGTTACCTTTCGGCAAGAATCTACAAAGCATTTTAAGCTTTGAAGTTCCTAGCATTTTTTCCCAAATTTGAACAGACAATAAATCTCCTATTAAAAAGTTTCAGAAATGTGACACATTGTACACCAATATTTGTGGTCTTCTTTCTTTGCTTTAAAAATATAATCCAGGATTATCTGCAACCAAATGGGACAGCAATAAACTGATCCAGGCTGTTAGAAATAGAGTAGAAATCATTTAATCCAAGTAGAAGAGAAAGAAATCCTACCCATATTTTGGGGGTTCTGACATTTTTTTCTTACTTGGATCAGATGAAAAAAGTTGAAATGTCAAAAATCTAATTGAAGAGTTTTATGAGGAGAGAAACTTGTTCAATGACTCCCTTCTTCACAAAGGGAATAGTAAGATAGCAAATGTAATGTGTGTAGAGATGCTGATATCTTAAAGAAGTTTATACTCCAAGCAGATGAGAACAATCTCTCATCCTTTAAGTATTTAATTCACCAATAGTTGTTCTCAAGTTGGGGCCCTAAGAGAGAATGATGGACCCTAGATAGGATGGCTAGATCACCTTCTTGAAATTGGCTCAGTAAATATCGCGTTTTTTTCTAGGGGGTAAAATGTTAAGAATAGTGGAACTGGTTTGCCCCTGGAAGCGGGGACACACCTACATGAGTTTGAGCTTTGTAGAGAGGAAGTCTGCAGCAATGTTTTAGTGTCTCCTTTTATAATAATCTTTCCCAGCTGGCACCCTTTCTGTTAATGATCTCTTCCCACAGTTGTAGAACACAGAGAAGTTAGTCAGAATCCAGCCAGGTAGGCTATGTCCTATTAACCCAGACAATGAAGGTTTACCGATTAATGAAACTACAAATATTAAGAAATATTTCATAATAAAATGGAGGTGAAAAGCTTTGCAATAGGAATGACAAGACTCAGGTTTATCACTAACTTCTTGCTTGCTTTTTGATGTGCTTCCCTTTTGTAATGAATTATCTCAACGCTGTGATGCTCCTGAAAACTAGACTAGTAGAAATCTCCATGATAGATATCAGAATGCAGTTTATCCAAATGCAGAACATGTCCTGTTCCTGTCAATTAGGGAGAAGATAAGATATTTCCTAAAGCCTTTATATTTATTTTGAGAGGCCCAAATCATAGTTTTGTAATCCCTGAGAAGCCACCAGTAACAGATATTTTGAATAAAAGCAGAGTATCAGCCCCTGCAAAAACTAGATCCTAGACAAATTGAATTTTTATAAAACTTAGGCTTTCTCCATTTGTTCTCATTCTGCTGCTAGGTAATCCAGACACTATCTTGTCCTTCAAATTCTCTTCAGCAAAGGCCCAACTAATCTTCACTTATGTGTTAACTGTAGAGGGGTTTTACCTTGCACAAAAATAATCTGCTTTTCAGTAAGGACCTCCTGACAGTCAAAGCATTCCAGCTTTGAAGTGAAATGAGTGAATCTAGAATGTTGGCAATTCAGGGCCTTCAAAGAGAAAGAGTGATATTTCTGAGGACACTTTTGTGTTCCTTGAATGAGGATCCTGTGAATGGCCCCATATTCCATTGAGGCCATTCCAGTCCTATGTGTGCGGTGAAGTAACTTCCTGCCTTGCCTCCAATCTGCCCCAAGCACTGTCAGCATTACAGGGCTGGGCATATAGAGTTTATATTTCTACTTGGAAGGGCCTTGAAAGATCCCTTAAGAGAGCTATTACAGTCTTTTGTACATCTCATTCTTCTTTCAGAGTCTACAGTGAATTAGGAATTGGGGAGCATTCTGTTTCTCCCCTAAGGGTGATTAAGAATCCTCAAGTTTCTTGAGGATATAAAGCTATAACCTTCTTAATGGATAGAAACTTCATAAATCTAATCCTGACTGCTGTCGCATATTACTTCCAAAGTTTTTTTGTTTTGTTTTGTTTTTGAGACGGAGTCTCACTCTGTTGCCCATGCTGGAGTGCAGTGCTGCCATCTCGGCTCATTGCAAACTCCGCCTCCCGGGTTCAAGCAATTCTCCTGCCTCAGCCTCCCAAGTAGCTGGGATTACAAGCATATGCCACAATGCTTGGCTTTTTAAAATTATTTTTATTTTTTATTTTTATTTTTTTATTTTTAGTAGAATCGGGGTTTCCCCATGTTGGCCAAGCTGGTCTTGAACTCTTGACCTCAAGTGATCCACCAGCCTCGGCCTCCCACACTGCTGGGATTACAGGCATAAACCACTGTGCCAGGCCTATTTCCAGAGTCTTCTATGGGTATCCTATTATTTTAGAGAACTTGAATCTACATGGGACTTTTGGATTTGATTCCGTTTGCTTATGTATCTGTTTTATTCAATTGCTATCGTTAGTGGAAGGAGTTAATAACATAATTCGTGAGGAAGAAAGCCTGGTAGAATTTTAACAATAGCAAGAAACAGTGGTGTGCTAATTTGGTCATTGTACATATCCCAGCTTGGTATCTCAATTTTAACAATAGCTCATGTGCTAAGTCATGCATACAGATGTTGAAGATATGACCTCAGGAGATCTTTCAGGCTGTGAAGACTATTATACCTAGTATAGTTTGTTACTGAGTTGCTCACCCCCTCTAGGAAGCAGCTAATTTGTGCAGCACACATGATCTTTTGCTTGTTGTCCAAGAGTACTAGAATACACCTGATTTCTAAGGCAAGCTTTTAACTTGCAGTGCTAGTCTCTAGATATAACTTAAGATATTTAAGAAGTCATAAAATGACTTTTTTTTGCTATAAGATGAAAAATTTTTATCTCGTATATAGTATGAAGAGTTGGACATTCAGTTATGCATTTGAAATATGCAAGAATGAAGGCCACTTAAAAAAATTTGGTCTGTTTTTAAAATATGAAAACAAACTAATAATCTATCTTAGTATGGTATATAGTATTGCATACATCTGAAAATGGTATCATATTTTGCTCAGCTGGAAATTGCCCTGGTGTTCAAAGTGTTTTTCATATAAAAAGATTAAACAATATTTAGACTCATTTTTAAAAATAATTTTAAAACGCTCATTAGGGTATACTTTTCTAACACTAGATTGACTTAAAAACCAAATCTTAGCTTGCAAGAATTAGGGTGTGACCGTATAATTCTTGCTCTTTTTCTTTCAGTAAGAACATACAGTCCTATTGATTCCTTTATTAACTTAAATATTTATTTTATGTTATTCAAACTAATTTAAATGTGAAAAGTATGGATTCCTAATAATGATACGAAAATAGGTCAGAAAGCTCCATCCTTCCTGCTTATATCAGCTTATAGAAGCATGTTCTCTTCAGTTTCTGTAGATCTGTTGTGTGTTAAGGCGCGGGCAAGGGCTAAGGTAGCAATTGTTTCCTACTCCTTGCACAAAATAGGATCTGCACATTGTCAACAGGCTGGAAATAACCAAACAGCAATGATTATGATGAATGGCTTTATCTGACCAATCTTATCTTTTCCAAGCTTAAGCAAGCTTTAAAAAATGGAAATCCTTATTCAGGCTTTGCTCCTTGCCATGATCTAAGGCAGAGGCCTCCAAAACAGTAACCTATAATTGGGGTCTATGAAATGGAGGACTTCCCACAGTAAAGTAATATCTTATTCTGCTTCCTGCATCTGCTGGGAAGTCTTTAGAGTAAATCTAACAAATGTTCACAAGGAACAGTTCCAGAAAATGTTACTTTCTCTTTAAAGGAGATGTGACTGTAATGAGTATCTCTCTCTCTCTCTCTGTCTCTCTCGCTCATCACTTACTGATTTGCTAGAATTAGATGATACAGTAAAATGAGCTCCATGGCATGGAGGTTGGATTACTTATTTTTATAAAATTAGCTTGTTAATAATGTATATTTCTAGTCATGGAATTTCCTACTATGTTCTTTTTGGAACCTTTGTCATTAGTCTGAAGACCTGCTGTATCTGTTCTTTCTTCTGGATATTTTTCAGTGACCTTTGACTAATCAAAAGTAGCATTTTGGCCTGTTCTAGCATTAGGTAATAAAAATGAAACCCTTCTCCCCCCAGTAAGAGAGCAATTGTAACTCTATATTCAATTGCCAAAAATAAATAATACTATTTATTTCTATAGAAAGAACTTGAAAATAATAACATCTATAGTTTTAAATTAGAGGTCCACATATAACAGAATAGTATAACACAAAATGGCATGGAATATTTTAGCACAATAGTAGAAACCAAGAGATGTGAGCTCTATTAGGGTAAATGACTAGTCAATGACTATAAGCCCTTCAACAACGAGGACTTCTGTTATTCTTATCTGTGAAGTTAAAAAATGGGATTGTAGATGTACTAAATTATTTTTATATTATAAAATTACATAATTTACTGTGAGATTTAAGTGGCACATCCCTTTTTGTCCTGTTTTGAGTATTAAATAAGATAGCATATGGAGAGTCCTAATGTGGTGCCTGGGACTCAGGAAAGAATCGATAAATGGCAGTGATATTCCTTATGATTTTGTGAATTACATTTGTCAGTTAAAACATGTTACTTTAACAATAACCACAAGATGGCAGTATTCACCTTCATAGTTAAGTTTTTTTCTATTAAAATGCTGCGGAAGGAGTTGGGTGTATTGTTTTAGCGACTTCCAAGTAGAACAAATGAAATAGTTTTCTCACTTGAAAGGAGAGCAGTTTTAAGATTTTATGTATGTATATACACACACATCAGTTTCCAAGCTGCTAAAGATTACCTATCTTGATACATTTTTCACCTAACCACGTGTCTTCTGAAAAATTCTGAATACATTTTGGTCCCCTTCTATGTGGACTGATGCTTCTTGGATAGTGGATTCTCCTTCAGCCTTCAGGTCTATCTATGAGGATAAAACAGAGAAATAAATTATAGTTCAAATTTTGCACTTTGGCTGGTGAATCCTGGGCATAATTTGAGTAGTATGTGACACAACCTCAAAAGCAAGGTTATTTTTTAAATAACAATTTTATTTTTTAATGAAATGAAGGCTAGCTAGCTAGAAAACATAATCTTAGTTTAAAGAGTCATGAAAGAGGAAATCTGTTTAAAAGATTAAAGCCATTTGAAATGTATAGACGATTATTGAGTAGGGGAAAATGTGTTTTCCTGTGATGGTGTACATTGCACATACTTCATTCCAGTACGATTAGCATGGGAGTGTCAGTTCTTACTAAGAAGAGTTGGAACTCACACATTCATCATCACCGTGTTATTTAAATTGATTTTTTTTTCTATGGTGGATTTCTTTGTGTTTGAAGGGTCCAATTTGGTTCAGAAGGAAACATTTGACAATGAAATATGTAGGAGCCACTTGGCTAGCACATGACATCAGTTAAGTTATACAGAAACTCAAAATTAAAATTCTGATTCTTTCAAATGAAAAATGATCTCAATTTTTGTTTCCTGTGAGAGGTTTTTTGTATAAATTGACCTGTATAGCACCAAAATAGTAAGATGTCTTACAATTAAGTTTGCTCATAGAAAACATTAAAGAAAATGATTTTTATTAAAATAAAGATATACATTTATGCACATTTTTAAAAAGCACTGTAAAAAAATGAAGATCTGTAAATGAAGGAACTCTGGAGTGACACTTGCCCACATTGAGAACATAGAAACACCATTGATACATTTCTTCATATTTATAAAATTACACAAAAGTTATATATGGCGAATGGAGAATAAAACCATACCTTTGTTGGAGTATTCCAAGAGTATATAGAAGTATAGTGTATATTTTATCTATAGCTCCTCATTGCCCTTTTTTAATGAAGGTAAATGATAGACATTAATTATTCTAAGTTGGAAGATGAATTAACTTAGAAAAATAAAAATTGCTTCTAAACTCTGTTAAATTGTTTTGATGCAACCAACTTACTCCCTTTCTTCCTCCCTCCCTCCTTTCCCTCCCTCCCTCCCTCCCTTCCTTCTTTCCTTTTCTCTCTCTTTCCATTTCTTCTTTCTTTCTTTCTTTTCTTTCTTTCTTTCTTTCTTTCTTTCTTTCTTTCTTTCTTTCTTTCTTCCTTCCTTCCTTCCTTCCTTCCTTCTTTCTTCCTTCCTTCCTTCTTTCTTTCCCTTTCTTTCTTTCTTTTTTCTTTCTTCTTTCTTCCTTTCTCTTTCTTTTTAACTCTTTTTCTCCCTTCCTTCCTTCCTTCTTTCCTTCTAAATCAGCCAGCATCATAAGAATTCTGAGAGCTTTCAAAATCTTCAGCTTAGCTCTAATACTAGCTCAACTATAATTATTGTAATTAAAAACAAAAAAGAAAAAGGCAAAGCCACAGATTTAACTGTTGGTAAAAACAACAGCTTGGATGGGAACAGTTTAGATGGGAAGAGAGTGGTAGTGGTCACCATCGAAGTAGGTCAAGAAATCTTATCTGATTCTCTGGTAGTATAAAAATGTAAATTGGTGATATGCTTCAGTAATGCCTTATTTGATATGATAAAGTATTTTAATTTAATTTGATTAAAGTCACTTTAACTCAGCACACACTATGTAGAAGGCTATTCCCTCCAAAAATATATTTTTTTCTTCTTGTACTTGGCTAAAGTATAGTGAATAGATTCCTGGATAAAGAGCCTGGCATTTTGAGTTACTGTTCTGGCATTTACAAAGCCACTCAAATTCTTTGCTAATGTCTTCAGCTTCTTATCTGTACAATAAACATCTTTTGCTAGATAATCTCTGATGTCATGGTCAGAGCTCACGTTCTAGATCACCTAGACCAGTTTATTTTCAAGACTTAGTTCTATATAATTTTAAGATTTTCTCAGAAACCATATAGGGGCTGCCTTTGCCGAAATGGGTATATACTCCTGGCCAAGTTTCAGCCAGAGCAACCTCACCTTTACCTTCACTCATGTTGTACACTAGGATAAGAAGTAAGCTTTTATTTGAAGAAATTCTCTACCTTAAAATGGTTGAGAGCCACTGATCTGGTCTGGATTTTCCTCTCCCCTCATTTTATAGAGGAAAGACAAAGATCCATAGAGGTTAAGTGTTAGGTTTAGGTCACATCGTGTAAGTAAAACTCCACCCAGAACCCAGGTCCTGACCTCCAGGTTACAGCCCTGCACCTCCACTACCCTTCCCTGCATTTTGTTTCTGGTGGAGTTAGGCTGGTACCTCTGTGCATTTCAAGCATGAATCGCCCACTTCTTCAAGAGGTTGTTCAGCCTACTGAAGAATGATATCTTCTTTTCTCTCTTGGCACCAGTATTATGGAAAACAGAAACTTATTCATTCTTCTCCACTCTGTTTTAATGTACTTAGTAACAAATGGCTTCAACAAATTCTGTTAGCTAATTGTTGTTATAGAGAATGGTTCAAAATAATCTGTTTCAAAACCAAATTGCTATTTTCAGCAGATGTCACCTAAGATTTAATAGCTTGAGACCATCCAACCCCATTCAGCAGATCCAATATTATACATAGAGTGCATTTTTGCAAACTAGAATAGAGCACAGTGGGAAGTAACATGGCTCAAAGTAAGACTTGAATGGATGCTTTATTATGGCCATGCTCTAAAGCATAGAACTCCTAGGTCTTGATTGCATATTTGTCAGTGTGTTGGAGCAGACCCAGTGATGAGGTCTGAGGAAATTCTTTGCTCTGCCAATATGGGTTTATTGACCCACCTCTGTGTGGAGGTGTGCTGACCATCTATTCAGCAATAAACCTTGATTAGGCAATTTAGTTACTACAAGAAACCTACTCAGCTGATTGTCAAAGAATATGCATTTGCCCTTAATCAGCAGCTGAGAATGTTTGCACTGCAAGTTCTAGCCAGAGAACACAATTTTGAATTCTTTGCTGTTCAATTCCTATCAAAATCTTGCTTTTGAGAAATTATAATGAAGGAGGATTGACTGAGGCTATAAAAGCCATTGAATGTATTTTATAGTCTTTGTATTACACCATCAGAATGTTGCATACTTACACTATGTAGCCTCTTCTAAAATTGATTTAAATCAATTGTATCGCACATGTGACATTAGCTTGCATGGAATAAACAAAGGAACCCTACTTAAAGTTCTTAAAGGGGTATCACTAAGGAAGTGGGTTGTTACATCTCATAGTATGATTTTAATGAAAATTTATGGAAGAAGTTCTTTTCAGATCTCTGGTATCAAGAAAGCTATCTGTACCTAAGTTTAAAAAGAACTCTTATGAGTACCACGAATGTTTTCACTGGTTTTATTTCATTCTTTGCTTTTACTGCTAGGAAGCACTGAGATGAATCTGCAGCCCACCTCTATCATATATATTAATAGGTGCATTTATAAAATGCATTTTTAAAAAATGTGCTAAATATTTTTTCTTTTTCAATGTTTCCCCTTCATATGTTTTACCTTATTATTTGTATTATGAGAAAAAGTCATAGATTTATTTCTTTTCCAGAACAATAAATACATATGAACATAAATAATCAAATCTTGAGGTTTAGGATAATAAGTATAGGCACCTGAGTATTAATCTGGGTGTCTGTCTGTGCTATCTCTTGTCTTAGTCGCTGCCAAGACATACTACCTCTAAATCTCCATTTGTTTCTCTTTTTCCATATTTCTAGTTCTACTTCTACTGACACTAGAGCTGCAATTAAAGAGAGAACTGACTGTGTTCTCTTGTGGTCGGTGAGAATAGATGTTAGCAGATCCCAAGAATCATGTCAAAGGTTTATATGACAAAGGGAAAAATTGTTAAATCGATGCCTGGAAAGAAGGGAAAGGAAGAGGAGAGGACCTGGGAAACTGTAAGACTGGATACTTCCTTGGAGGGGAGGTAGGAAGGAAACTTTGGAACTATTTCCCTTAAGAGGCAGGTATGCAATTTAAAGGGCAAATTAGTTATCTGGGTGATGAGCGTTGCACACCTCTGCTCTGTTTCCACTTGTAGTCGCTAATAAATAATCTCAATGTTAATTATAGGAGTGCATTTTTTTGTGGAATTTGAGGGGATGGGTTTCCTGTCTGAGGCCGTAGGGGCAGCACAGAGGGAGAATGCAATGTCATGGGAGCTCAGATGACCAGGTTAGTTTCTGATACTGAGAATTCGTATCATTCTCAGGGAGTGGATTAAGCTTCCAAAAGTCAAGAAATTGTGTAGGAAGGAAGAAGATTCTAGTCAAATTCACTTAAATCTCTGAGTGACAAAAGACCATACAGACATTTGTTAGAATAGGGTAATCACACAATTTATTATCCATACCAGGATACTTTTGAGGGTGTAGAGGGTGTTATTAATAAATATGCTGTAACAACAAGTGTATATCTGCATTGTCTCAGGCAAAATGGGACAAATGGCTGCCCCACGTATATCACTTAATAGTTTTTCATTATATTGCACAATGGCTTGAATGCAGTTTTAGGAAATACCTATTTGCAATGAGTATTTACAAATAATCTTGAATATACACACTTAAATATTCAACCTAAGCTCAAGCTCACCCATGATGTATTTTCCAGTTTCCCCCTACTCTTTGCTTTCCTTCTTTTTGACCATAGACCAAGCCGTTCTAGATTGACTTCTCTTTCTCTTTGATCCCATGGACCCATTCCATGTCTGAATTCTCAATTACAGGCCTAGGCTATATCATACAGTAGTTTTGTCAGTATTCTTCACTAAACCTTATTACTCATGGTTTATATTACTATAACATATCATAATACCTGGCACATAAAATATATTTAGTAATTGTTTATTAATTGAATGAATGAGTTGAAATATCCTTTGCAGTCAATGCCACACATCTTTTTAACTCATCATCTCTTACGCCAACATGCTCTGAGGCAGCAGACTGAGTTTTATATACTTGTACCACAATGAAACGTACAGGTGCTTGGGTTAGACTGCCATTTTGAAGGTAGGAGAGGAGCTCAGAGGTGTAATGGATAAGAATTGCTGTCAGTCAATTCCTGGGAGCATTGGAGCCTGCGTGTTGATCTTCATGATGCAAACTTTTCTCTGAATACCTGCAGGGAATGCATTTCAACTTTCAGAGAATGACTGACTTTTGTTGGATTTTATGATCTTATTAAATATGTTTTCTTCTAATGCACTGCCAACAAACCACAGATTTCTAAACATTTTGAAGTCTATGATTTTTCATATTTTGAAAGGGTATGCACTGACAAAGCTGTGTTGTGGGAGGTGTGAGAGTTGACATAATAGACTGTAACAGCTCTCAGAAAGGAGCGTTAAAATCTGTCTCCTACAATAAATTCGTATTCCATTTAGAATGGGTCTGATTTTTTTTCCCCTGTGATACTAAAGATCGAGAATGTCTACATAATTTATTATTATCTGCTTTTTAGGAGGTGTGCTGCTACATTAATGTATGTTTGAAATGTGTTCTGTTTCTTCCAACTTTTGAAAGTTAATACTTGCTCTTTCAAAATTGATTAACTTCAGCAATGATGAGGAAAATGATATTAAATATTTATCAGGTAGATGCAACCCAGAAAAGTGAAAAGATACTTTTCCCGAGGTTATGTTTGTTGACATGTGAAGTATTATGACTTAATTCTTTCTTGGTCCTGTTCCTTTTTAGAGACCTTAAATGACTTCTGGATTTGATGTGCTGCCATGTTATCATTACCTTTCATCTCTTCAACATCTTCCTTCTTTAAAAACATTATGTACAACAACTATAATAGGCATCTGTTGTTGTGCTTATTGGCTGGCATCTAATTCCTCTCTTATCCAAAATTGTTGTCCAATTTTGTTTTGGGGTACCAAATCTCTCCTGATGGCAGCTATGTGTTTTGAATAGTCTCTACCCTACTTTTAGTTACAGCCTTGAGTCATCATCAACTAAACCCAGTCAACAATCCTTTTCTTCTAGCTATTCCAAACTTTAATCAGAGTCAATGAGACACAAGATGTTTACTTATGTTTCTAGAACATGGATGTTTTCTCTCTTCTCATGGTTGATATGGTGTGAGCATGCAATATTTGGAACTGTAGTAACCATTGGTTATACCAGGCCTATTACCAGCCCAGAGCTGTTGATAGGCCCCTTTGGAGAGCCTGAGGACACAGTAAATACCACCGATAGAAAAGCAAAGGGACAGAGAAGAATGGAGTTTTTGTGACCACTTTCAAGCCACTGGATCAAGCCTTTCCTGGATTCAGAGCTGCCTCTGGATTTGCAGTAACATGAGCCAAGTATGTATTTCCATTAGAAGTTTCAAGCTAATTTGAGTGGAGATTTCTATTCCTTGCAACTGAAAAAATTAACAAAAAACACTTGATATGTAGGGATTTCTGAATGAATCAGAAATGTTTTGATTTATCACAATTTTCAGATTAGAAAAGTGATGGTTAGGAAAGAGTGGAAATTGGGATAGGAAGTTAGAATCGACTTGTAGCGGGTGGGACATTTGATAACAGAAGGAGAATTGACTGCATCACGATTTTGGGGAATGGGTAGGAGTTACCACTTCTAAACAGACACTCTTTCCTACCAAAGATCCTTAGAACTGAGAAAAGGTATCTTTCATGACTATAGTGGGTGGTGGAAACATTGGTTATAAAATGTCTGTAAGATCTAATATTGATTATGACTTGTTGAAAGGATGTGATATACAGTTTATATTGAGTGAACTGCTTTATAATTTCCAACCCAAATGAAATTTTTTTGGAATCTTTTCTGAAAAACATAGGTAACATATAGTATTTGCTATATTAAATGTTAACTGTTGCAATTTTTTTGGCATTATCTCAATCATGTACAGTATCTACCTCTTTAATGTACCTCACTATTCATTCTCTTTTTTCCATTTATTTTATATTCTTGTACTACGTTTTTCATTTTATTTTATTTATTTTAATTTATTAGACAATAGTGTCCTTTATTAGACAATAGGATTGCAACCACAGGAGTTACCTAGTATTACTACTAGTACCAACCATTAAGAAATTTCACCCTCTATATAGCCCACGATATTTTTGCTTTCTAAGAAACATGTTTTCACTAGGTTCTGTAGCTTATAGACCCTAGATATGAAAACGTAAACCACCAAAAACATACATGGCCTTAGACTTATCTTTCAGAAATGATCCAAAGAGATTTAGAAATTATGGAGATCATTCACATTGGTATAAATTAGTTCTACTTTAAAAACTAAACTGGTAATAAATTAGATAGGATCTGTAGAACACAGTTTTTCTAGGGAATCAACTCAAATGTAACAAGAAATTACCAAGGAAGTATAGAATGAGAATAGCCAATTTTCTAACCACATAATACAAGGTTTTTTTTTTTTATCCAATATACACGAAGTAGTCATTTTGTCATTTTTAGACAAATTCCTACGAAATAAAAATTAAGTGATAGTTCTGCTATATTTGACTCTTTTCCTAGAATAGAGTTTCACCTTAAATTTTGGTTTAATATCTGGACCACTTTTACTTATATGATAACATTTTCTTGCGAAGATAATTTCAACATTTTGACTTTGTCTTCCTAATGCTTTTTGTAGGTAGTAAGGTAATCGAGGGAGAGAGGGTAATGTGTGAAACAAGTTACTATTATTTCTTCTTCTCTATTTCATATACTTCCTCTATTTAACAAGATACTTTGCCTTCCTGTGGCTCAGGGTCCCTATATATAAACTGTTCTTTATAATATTATCCACCTTATTGGTTTGTTGTGAGGATGAAATGAGTATGTATATTTGCAGCACTTAAAAATGCTTAGAATAGTATTCATGGTTTTTGTGTTTCTATACATTCTACAAGCGGAGTCACCGACTGCCTTTTCTTTAGACTCTCTTCACGAATATTTGGGTAGAGCATAGCCTTAAAATATAGAGACAGTGTCTCCCTCTAGAAGAGATGGCAGGTTTACATACCATCCAGTATAATGAAAATAATATGTTATTCAGAGTAAAGATCAGACTGGTTTGTTAACTTCCCATGATAAAAGATCATTATAAAAAATCATTCCCATATAAAAGGCTTTTGTTCTCCTGTAATACAACTCACTCTGTGTTCAGGCTGACTTGTCCCTCTTTGTGTCACCCTGTGGGAACTGAGGTTCAGGGAACTGGTGAAAATGCTGATGTTCTGGGTACTGTCGTTGCTGTGGGTAAGAAATACTTTTGTCTCTGATTCACGAAACTTGTGTTTTCTGCAGTTTTCTTGATACTGTAACAGGGTAACTTCTTAGCTTGAAGTAGAGTAAAAGCTCAAACTCTTCACAGTTCTTAACAAAGTGTTTGGCACATAGCAAGTGCTAAATGTGTTATTTATTGTTGTTATTATCATCATCATCATTCTTTTCACAAAATTGAATTCTTTGACTAAGAGGGAACTATTAAAATATATTGCGAGTACTTCTGTTTATAATGGAGACTAGGCACCAATTCCAACTGCAAATCCAACTGCACACAGAAATACAAAGCTTACAATAATGCACAATGCTAACCAATTAGCAAAATCTATTATTTATACATTGAAAATCAATATAAAAAATAAAAGCAAAAATCAGATTCCTCAGAAACAAGAAACAGTAGCAAGACAGACTATATGCATTACAGTTACAAGCATAAATTTTAACTAACTTATTAAAAGACAACCCAGATAGAGTTCAAAACAAAAAAAATTTATAATGTGTACAGGAACATATCCAAGAGAGAATAGCAAAACAGAAATAATGAGTATAAATTATAAAACAAAAAGAAAAATAATGTAGGGCAATCAGACAAATTTTAAACAATGTAGAAATCAATGAATAAACATTATATATTAAAATAGGCATATGTTTTATGAACACTGTTATGAATTGAATGTTTGTGTCTCCCCTAAATGTATACGCTGGAGCTTTGATTCACAGTGGGAATAGCATTTGGAGGTGAGATCTTTGGAAGGTGATTAAGTCATGGGGGTAGAGCATTCATGAAGCAATTAGCGCCTATATAAGAAAAGTGAGAGAAATGACCTCTCCCTCTCTATCACTTAAAGGGACAGCAAGAAGGTGCCTATTGGTAAACCAGGAAGAAGGCCCTTACCAGACACCAAATATACTGGCATCTTGATTTTGAATTTCACAGCATCCAGAACTGTGAGAAAAAAAAATTGTTTAAATCACCCAGGCTATAGTATTTTGTTGTAGTATCCTGAGCAGACTCAGACAAACCATTGTATAATAAAAAATATTTATTAATTTAGTCACTTACTCAACAAATAAAGAGTACGGGGAAATCAGTTGAGAGGCCATTGCTCTCAGTCAGTTGGCAGATGTTGGGAGGTTAGTGATGCCAATGGAGAATGATGAATAGATTTGGCATATATTTATTTAACAAAGTGAAATCAGTGTGTAAGTTGGTAGGTTTATGGACGAGGGCCAAAAATGATTTCAAGGTTTTATAATCAATTCATTGATATTGATGTCGTTCTTTGAGTTAGGAAACACTGGGAGAATATGCCAGGTTAGAAAAATAAATTTTATAATAACAAAATATGTAATACAAAAATAGAAAAAATACAAATTCAGAGACTAATTGACTGAAATGTGTCACTGGAGACTTTATAGCAATCATCCATTTATCAAGATATTAGCTGAATGTTTAAATAATTATAAATAAAATAATTATTATTTGTGATTAATACATAAACATGTATGTATGTATGGTATATACACATAAATACCACAAAGAGATGATGAATTATTTGTGTAAGTTCATAGGGACATTTTCAAAATCTCATATTATTATTTCCAGTTATTGCCAGATGCAGTAATAACTGAATAAGGAGTTAGAGTAACATAATTTATAATATCGTGTGTTTGTGCATGTATATACTGTGAAACAAGAACTGTATTATCTTTACATGTCATTAAAACATTTCCAAAAATAGTTGTCATAATTGGCCACAATGAAATCTCAATAAATTTAAAAAGACAAAATTATAGAAATCACACAATGTAACAAAATTAAAAACTAGTGACAAATTTGAACAACAAATCAAAACCAAATAAAAGTTTTAAAATAGAGTCTCACAGTTAACTATTGAGCTAAGAAAAATCTAAAAATACTATTTCAAAATATTTATATTGCAAATTCTGAACATTTCATGTCAAAACTTAGAGGAATCATTAAAGATACACTCAAGACAAATTTTAAAAAGGGGTAAAGAAATATATTGAAAATAAGAATGGAAAAAAGAAAGAAAATGAATAAAGGAAAAAAGAAAAGAAGGAAGATAAGTGGGAGGGATGGAACAAAGGAAGGAGAGAGATAGAAGGAGAAAGGCAAAAAGAAGGGAGAATAAGAGGAAAAAAGGAAGGGAGGAAGGCAAATGACTCAACTCAAAACCAAATAAATAATTGGAGACAGCTTAAGCAGACAAGTAGTAAACATAAAAGCAGAACATTATGTATTAGTGGCAGGAAACACACACACACACAAACACACACACACACAGAATTGTAAGTACACCCAAGGTCTATTTTTTTAAATAAAACCACAAAACCACGTTTAATTTCTTGTTTTTCAAATCCAGTTGGGAGTGGTATAAATCACAAAATTAAGAATGAGCTAATGGAGATAATATATGTGGAAGTCATAGAAACATTTTAAGAAAATAATATTTACAAACTTCTGCTAATAAATTTGAAAATGCCAATGAAGAAGTAATGTTTTTCTGACAAATATAAACTCTGAATCTTTATTCACAAAGAAAAGCCTGAAAATTAATTGTATCAGTCTGTTTTCACACAGCTGTAAAGATACTATGTGAGACTGGGTAATTTATAAAGGAAGAGGTTTAACTGACTCAGTTCCACACAGCTGAGGAGACCTCAGGAAACTTACAATCATGGGGGAAAGTGAAGGGGAAACAAGGCACGTCTTACATGGAGGCAGGAGAAAGAAAGGGAGAAGGGGGATGGGCCAGACACTTATCAAACAGCCAGATCTTGTGCAAACTCACTATCATGATAACAGCATGGGGGAAACTGCTTCCATGATCCAATCATCTCCCACCAGGTCCCTCCCTTGACATGTGGGGACCACAATTTGAGATGAGATTTGGTTGGGGACACAGAGCCAAATTGATATAATTCTGCTCCAACCCCTCTCAAATCTCATGTCCCTTTCACATTTCAAAATGAATCATGCCTTCCCAACAGTCCCCCAAAGTCTTAACTCTTTCCAGCATTAACCCCAAAGTCCGAGTCCAAAGGCCCATCTGAGATAAGTCAAGTTCCTTCTGCCTATCAGCCTGTAAAATCAAAAGCAAGTTCCTTACTTCCAAGATACAATGGGGATACAGGCATTGGATACATGTCCCCATTCCAAATGGGAGAAATTGGCCAAAATAAAGGGGTCACAGGCCCCATGCAAGTCTGAAACCTGGCCAGGCAGTCACTAAATCTTAAAGCTCCAAAATCTCATTTGACTCCATGTCTCACATCCAGGGCACACTGATGAAAGGGGTGGGCTCCCAGGGCCTTGGGCAGTTTCACCCCTGTGGCTCTGCAGGGTATGGTCTCTGTGGCTTTCATGAGCTGGCATTGAGTTCCTGAGGTGCAAGCTGTTGGTGGATCTACCATTCTAGGGTCTGGAAGATGGTGGCCTTCTTCTCACAGCTCCACTAGCTAGTGCCTCAATGGGGACTCTGTGTGGGGGCTCCAACCCCACATTTTCTTTCCATACTGCTCTAGCAGAGGTTCTCCATGAGGGCTCTGTCCCTGTGCAGACTTCTGCTTGGACATCCAGGCTTTTTCATACATCCTCTAAAATCTAGGTGGAGGTTCCCAAAGTTCAACTCTTATCTTCTCCATAACTGCAGGCCCAACACCACATGGAAGTCACCAAGACTTGGGGCTTTCACCCTCTGAAGCAATGGCCCCAGCTGTACTTTGGCCCCTTTTAGCCATGGCTGGAGCTGGAGTGGCTGGGAAGCAGGGTGCCATGTCACAGGGCTGCACAGAGCAGTGGAGACCTGGGCCTGGCCTATGAAACCATTTTTTTCCTCCTAGGCCTCCAGGCCTGTGAGGTGAGTGGCTACTGTGAAGATCACTGATATGCCCTGGAGATATTTTTCCCCATTGTCTTTGCTATTAACATTTGGCTCCTCATTACTTATGCAAATTTCTGCAGCTGGTTTGAATTTCTTCTCAGAAAATGGGCTTTTCTTTTCCATCATATGGTCAGGCTGCAAAATTTCCAAACCTTTATGCTCTGCTTCCTTTTTAAACGTAAGTTCTAATTTTAAACCATCTCTTTGTGAATGCATTTAACTGAGCACTTTCAGAATAAGCCTGGTTACCTCTTGAATACTTTGCTGCTTAGAAATTTCTTCCACTAGGTACCCTAAAATATCTCTCTCAAGTTCAAAGTCCCCAGATGTCTAGGGCAGGGCAAAATGCCACCAGTCTCTGTTAAACCATAGCAAGAATGACCTTTGCTCCAATTCCCAGTAAGTTCCTCATCTCCATCTGAGACCACCTCAGCCTGGACTTTATTGTCCATATCACTATCAGCATTTTGGTCAAAACCATTCAACAAGTCTCTAGGAAGTTCTAAACTTTCCCAAATTTTCCTGTCTTCCGAACTGTTCCAACCTCTACGTGTTACCCAGTTCCAAAGTTGCTTCCACATTTTCAGATTATCTTTCTAGCAGTACTCCACTCTTGGTACAAATTCTATGTATCAGTCCATTTTCACACTGCTGTAACGATACTGAGACTGGTTAATTTATAAAGGAAAGAAGTTTAACTCACAGTTCTGCATGGCTGGGGAGACCTCAGGAAACTTACAGTCATGGCAGAAGGTGAAGGGGAAGCAAGGCACCTTCTTCACAAGGTGACAGAAAGGAGAAGTGCTGAATGAAAGGGAAAGGGCTCCTTATAAAACCATCAGATCTCGTGAGAACTCACTCACTATCATCAGAATAACATGGGGGAAACCGCCCCCATCATCCAGTCACCTCCCACCAGGTTCCTCCCATTGACATAAGAGGATTACAATTTGAGATGAGATTTGAATGGTACACAGAGCCAAACGATATCATTAATTATACTAATACTAATATGAAAATAAAGTTAAACTTTATATCATAACTCAAAAGAAATTCAATATTAATTAAAAAGTTAAGTACAATAATTAAAATCATCAATCAAGCACAGAACAAACTTTTAAAAAGTGGATTGCAATGCATATATATTTAGGATAGTTAGCTCTTCTTGTTGAATTGATCCCTTTACCATTATGTAATGGCCTTCTTTGTCTCTTTTGATCTTTGTTGGTTTAAAGTCTGTTTTATCAAGAGATTAGGATTGCAACCCCTGCCTTTTTTGTTTTCCATTTGCTTGGTAGATCTTCCTCCATCCCTTTATTTTGAGCCTATGTGTGTCTCTGAACATGAGGTGGGTTTCCTGAATACAGCACACTGAGGGATCTTGACTCTTTATCCAATTTGCCAGTCTGTGCCTTTTAATTGGAGCATTTAGCCCATTTACATTTAACGTTAGTATTGTTATGTGTGAATTTGGTCCTGTCATTATGATGTTAGCTGGTTATTTTGCTCATTAGTTGATGCGGTTTCTTCCTAGCCTCGACGGTCTTTACAATTTGGCATGTTATTGCAGTGGCTGGTACCGGTTGTTCCTGGTGGTGCAAAATCTCTCAGCATTTGCTTGTCTGTAAAGGATTTTATTTCTCCTTCACTTATGAAGCTTAGTTTGTCTGGATACGAAATTCTGGGTTGAAAATTCTTTTCTTTAAGAATGTTGAATATTGGCCCCCACTGTCTTCTGGCTTGTAGAGTTTCTGCCGAGAGATCCGCTGTCAGTCTGATGGGCTTCCCTTTGTGGGTAACCCAACCTTTCCCTCTGGCTGCCCTTAACATTTTTTCCTTCATTTCAACTTTGCTGAATCTGACAATTATGTGTCTTGGAGTTGCTCTTCTCGAGGAGTATCTTTGTGGCATTCTCTGTATTTCCTGAATTTGAATGTTGGCCTGCCTTGCTAGATTGGGGAAGTTCTCCTGGATAATATCCTGCAGAGTGTTTTCCAACTTGGTTCCATTCTCCCCGTCACTTTCAGGTACACCAATCAGATGTAGATTTTGTCTTTCACATAGTCCCATATTTCTTGGAGACTTTGTTCATTTCTTTTTATTCTTTTTTCTCTAAACTTCTCTTCACTGTTCATTTCATTTATTTCATCTTCCATTGCTGATTCCCTTTCTTCCAGTTGATTGCATCGGTTACTGAGGCTTGTGCATTCATCACGTAGTTCTCGTGCCGTGGTTTTCAGCTCCATCAGGTCCTTTAAGGACTTCTCTGCATTGGTTATTCTAGTTATCCATTCGTCTAATTTTTTTTCAAGGTTTTAAACTTCTTTGCCATGGGTTTGAACTTCCTTCTTTAGCTTGGAGTAGTTTGATCTTCTGAAGCCTTCCTCTCTCAACTCATCAAAGTCATTCTCCATCCAGCTTTGTTCTGTTGCTGATGAAGAGCTGTGTTCCTTTGGAGGAGGGGAGGCGCTCTGATTTTTAGAGTTTCCGGTTTTTCTGCTCTGTTTTTTCCCCATCTTTGTGGTTTTATCTACCTTTGGTCTTTGATGATGGTGACATACAGATGGGTTTTTGGTGTGGATGTCCTTTCTGTTTGTTAGTTTTCCTTCTAACAGTCAGGACCCTCAGCTGCAGGTCTGTTGGAGTTTGCTGGAGGTCCACTCCAGACCCTGTTTGCCTGGGTATCAGCAGCGGTGGCTGCAGAACAGCGGATATTGGTGAACTGCAAATGCTGCTGCCTGATCGTTCCTCTGGAAGTTTTGTCTCAGAGGAGTACCAGGCCGTGTGAGGTGTCAGTCAGCCCCTACTGGGGGGTGCCTCCCAGTTAGGCTACTTGGGGGTCAGGGACCCACTTGAGGAGGCAGTCTGCCCATTCTCAGATCTCAAGCTGCATGCTGGGAGAACCACTACTCTCTTCAATGCTGTCAGACAGGGACATTTAAGTTGCAGAGGTTATTGCTGTCTTTTGTTTGTCTGTGCCCTGCCCCCAGAGGTGGAGCGTACAGAGGCAGGCAGGCCTCCTTGAGCTGTGGTGGGCTTCACCCAGTTCGAGCTTCCAAAAAAAATCTCTTTATGTTAGAAATAAAAGCCACTAAACAAACCTTTATAAACTCTTGGGCACTATATTTGTGCTACTATTTGTGAGACTTAGAACAATTCATAGAATTTGTATTATTATTACCATCATTTTACGGAGAGAAACTGATGATGAAATAAATAGCCCAAGTAACATCATGGTGGATTTGATGCAAAAAAAAGAAAAATCGAAAAAAATTATCATAGCATTACTTCAAAACAATAGATGACAGAATCAGACTTTTACTAAGTTCTTGTAAACTCTGAAAAACTTAAAATCCATGTGCTAGGTAAGTGAAACATGTATGTGAAAAGAAAGGAAGACTATACACTTCAACTTCTTTTCTTTCTTTTTTTTTTTTTTTTTTTGAGAGAGTCTTGCTTTGTTGCTCAAGCTAGGGTATAGTGATGTGATCTCGGCTCACTGAAACCTCCACCTCTTGGGTTTAAGGGATTCTTGTGACTCAGCCTCCTGAGTAGTAGTTGGGATTACAGGTGTATGCCACCATGCCCACCTAACTTTTGTACTTTTTGTAGAGGTGGGGTTTCCTCATGTTGGCCAGGCTGGTCTCGACCTCCTGGCCTTAAGAGATCCACCTGCCTCAGCCTCCCAAAGTGCTGGGATTACAGGCGTGAGCCAACATGCCTGGCCTATACTTCAATTTTTGAAGTTAGCAAATTCTGATAACAAAATCTAAAAATTAAAGCCCAGAAAACATAGTATTATATCAAATTGATATTAATGTGAAAATTCTAGAAAAATAATATCAACAATACAATTTAACAATTACAACAACAAAATACACAGGCTCTCAAAATATGTGATAAAGTCCACAAGCCATTTATGTGGTTTATTAATACAGACCAGGAATAGAAAAATAGTCTTTAATACATGAGAGACAAAAATGTCAACCTTAACCAGCCAATGTTCAACTTAAAGTGATGCAATATAATCAGGAGAAAAAATAACAGCTCTTTACCACCTTACAAAGTGATTTAAGAAAATAACTTAAGAATTGTTCAAAGATTTATTTTCTATAATATTCATTTGTCCATTGTTTATAAGTGAAAATTTCAAAATGATGTAAGTGGCCAAGATAGAGGAATGGACAAATAAATTTTGTTATGTAAGTATGATGCAGTATGTGACCTTTAAAAGTCATGTTTTTAATAAAAAATGGATTGGGCAATGTTATGATATAATGTTAAGTGTAATGCAAAGCAGAATACACAATCAAAATATGGCATTTCACCAGATATATAAATGTAATATTTTATATCCTTAGAAAAAGGATTAAAAATAACAAAAAAATTCAAAATAAGTAAATATTTCAAAATAGTACAGAAATTATCTTTTTAAGGTAAGATTTCTGTCTTAACCAGTTTGGACTGCTATAATAACAATATTGTAGACTGGGTAGCTTAAATAATAGTAATTCATCTTTCCCAGTCTGCAGCCTGGAAAGTTAGGATCAAGGTGTTTGTAGACTGGATTCCTGCTGAAGGCTCTATTCTGGTATGCAGATCTTCTTGCTGTAACCTCACATAGTGGGGACAGAGAGTGGGGACAGAAAAATAGCTCTAGCCTATTTTTTCCTTGTAAGGCCACTAATCACATCATGGTGGCTCCAACCTCATGACCTCATTGAAACCTAATTATCTCCCAAAGGTCTTACCTCTGAACATCATTCTATTGGAGATTAGAGTTTCGACATATACATTTTTTCATGGAGGGCACAAACATGCAGTCCATAACTGTTGCCTTTTTTTGGTATTTTTATACACATTTTGCACTTTTTTTTCTGTAAGCTCCAGCTACCTTTTAAATATGGAAAACGTAGTAGTGTTTCTAATAGCAACAGAATTAGAAAGAGCCTAAATTTCCTTCATGCAATGGCAAATAGGTAATTAATAGTATGGAACAGTCATACTAGAGAATATCACTCAGTTGTTAAGAAGCATAAAATGATGCCCAAGACATGCTTGTTTAAAAATCAACAGGTATCATGTTACCTCTGAGGGAGGCCCATCCAGAAGGCTTGCTCTTAATGCTGAAATTGTGGACTCATTCACTTAAAATTACTCTTATAAGTGTATGAATCCACAATTACTAACCAAGCCACAACTAAGCAGCAGAGAGAATGCACCAGAGATTGAGCATATTAGTGAATGAGTCAGCTTTCAATTTCTTAATAAAGAAAAAGGTGATAAGGATGAAGGATAGGAGCCAGGGTCCCAGAGACCCACCCAGTGACTCCACAAGCAACCCTTGCTGATGGAAGTGTTATATACTTCCATCCTGTTTCTTATGTTGTTGTGGGATGTAACCTAGTTTCAGTGCACCAAGTCCAGCAACAATTTATACAATCTTATTTATCTGGGAACAAAGTTGTATATAAAAATGAAGCAAAAATACATACTCAACTATTCACAGTCATTGTCTCTAGAAGGAAAATACACAATTGAGGGAATGTATGGGGAATTTAATCTTTTTATTTGCATACTTTTATAATTGTAATTTTTTCAAAACTCATCCCTTAATTGGGTAATAAAGAAAAAGGTGATACTTGTTACTATCTCTAGGCAATGATTATGTAGGTCTTCTTTGCTTTAGTAAACGAGTGAATAAAATTATAGCTTGGTGAATAACTCAAATATAAAACAGAATAGTAGTGAGTCAAGGAAACTTTGCCAAATGAGTTTGTCAGCTTGGCCTCCAACAGCTTCAAAAGGGCAACTGTTCAGTACCACAGCCAATTTAGGACGTTTTATTGGCCAGCTCCTTAACAGCTCTTTACTAGCTCCTTAATCTGTTTTTTTTCTATGAGTGAGTCTTTGTTCATGACCCTCAAGAAAGGATATTTTAGCCAGAAGAGTCAGTGGAGTGTGTCAGGTATCAGGAATTCAGAGATGTATAATAAGCAGCCTCTGCCCTTAGGGAGCTTACTACCCAGCAGGGAAGGCATGTCATTATAGGCACTATCAGTACAGGATCCAGGGCTAGTCTCTGGAGTCAGACCTGGGTTAGTGCTACTGTGTGATCTAGGGAAAAAGACCTAACCTTACCTCTGCTCAGCTCCTCACCTATAATGGAGGGCAATCATGGCATCTACTTCTTTAGATTACTGTATGGACCAAGAGAGCTAACATATGTAAGGTTTAACTTATCCCTATTACTATTTAAATACATTATTTTGATGCATAGTGACAAAAGCTGTAATAGAGGTCAGCAAAAACGATGTTTACAGTAGCCACATTAGGTAGCCCATTGGGAATTCTCATGTATAATAGATAATTTTTGTATCCTTGGTTCTTAGTATGGGCACATGAACCCATTAGCGGGATTTCTGCCTCTCAGGAGAGGTCTGACCAACTGTCCTGGGTATTCAAAATTGTCCCTTTACTATAAGTCTCCATCTCCTGTGTTCATAGAAAAACAGACTCACAAGCAATGAAGAGATCCCAGTCTGGGTTCTGATGTTGACTGGATGGGGTGGGATGGGGAGATAGTATTCCTTTCCGCTGTAGATTTTTTTTTTTTTTGATCAGCTGTAGACTTTTATGAAAGTGGCATGGTGCCCACCAAATAGAAGGCTACATCCGGTTTGTAATGTGTCTAAAGTGCAGACCAGCCCACTGCACAAAGCTGTCCCCTCTGGTTTTGCTCTTGCTCTGTGTTCAATGTTGCTTGTTTCAGAATGGCTGCCAGGTGTCTTCTCTCTTCCGCTGGACTGAGAGTTCCCAGCGAGTCAGGCTACTCCACACTGTAGCTGGAGACTGTCACAAAGGATGCTGGAGGTGGCCCAGCAAACTCGATTTCCCCATCATATGAGCAGGGGAAAAATACACTGAGGTGTCTCAAAACAATAAAGGTGGTCCTCTTGACCCCTGCAAGCCCTTTAAGTGGTGGTAAAATTGTTTTTCTGATGTTAATTGTTATGACTCTTGCAGTTTTTAAAAATATCACTTGCTTTTAATGATGCAAGAAAGCACTAAATGATTTAAGGGTAGAGCTTATGCAAAACCACTTGTTCTGCTCAACTAACTCATGGGTTCTAAATGGCTCATGAGTGTCCTTTTAAATCCCTATTATGATAAATGAGACCAAATGGCATGTTTTGCCGTACTGTCTAAATTGGTCACATTTTTCTACATATTGCCTGACTCTTCTAATATTATAAAATCAGCTAGGAGATAAATTATATAAACCAGCACTCATGCTCTCGAGTTTAGCCTTCTGTGGTGGATGACATGCCTTATAGGAAATGCAGGAAGCAAACAGTTAGATTTGGGACAAACCCTTCTGTCTTCACTGTAATGACTCATTTTCCTTCTCTGTATTGTTTGATCTTTATTCTCATCATAGACAGGGATCCTCTGGGTCCCAAAATACTTCAGAGCCACAAGTAAAGTGGGCATCTGAGAGGTCTGTACCTGTCATTGGCCCATATTGGTAAACTCACATGATCTTGTACCACAAGTGTTAAAAATAGATTCTCCACAATATCATCAGAACTGAAGGGATAGCTCCACACACTAACAGAGACAATGTGAAAAAAATATAGTCTGTATGTTGTTTCTGTGATTCCTCACTCTACACTGTGGGTTTTCACGGGATGGAAGCTAGGCAATTTAATTCCGTAGCCTCATTTTCCTTTTCTGAACCATAGATCCAACCTCCTGCACCTCCTTGGTAATGCACATGAATGTGCCTTGCAGGTTAGAAACCCCCACACAGATAAAAGTCTTTTATCATTGAATGTATTTCATAGCATTTTGCCTTTTGGTTTTCTCTTTTTAAATCTTTTTCCCTCATTTTTTTATCTTCCATGTTAAAGGAATGGCAATTACAGCTTGGAGCTTTTACCTTCTTTCAAGAAAACTTTAGAGATAAAAAATAGAACAGTGCTGCAATAAACATACATGTGCATGTGTCTTTGTAGTAGAATGATTTATAATCCTTTGGGTATATACCGAGTAATGGGATTGCTGGGTCAAATGGTATTTCTGGTTCTAGAGCCTTGAGGAAAGGAATCGCCACACTGTCTTCCACAATGGCTGAACTAATTTACACTCCCACCAACAGTGTAAGAGCATTCCTATTTCTCCACATCCTCTCCAGCATCTGTTGTTTCCTAACTTTTTAGTGTTCGCCATTCTAAGTGACATGAGATTGTATCTTATTGTGGTTTTGATTTGCATTTCTCTAATGACTAGTGATGATGAGCTTTTTTTTCATATGTATGTTGGCTGCATAAATGTCTTCGTTTGAAAAGTGTCTGTTCATATCCTTCACCTACTTTTTGATGAGGTTGTTTGTTTTATTCTTGTAAATTTGTTAAAGTTCTTTATACATTCTGGATATTAGCCCTTTGTCAGATGGATAGATTGCAAAAATTTTCTCCCCTCTGTAGGTTGCCTGTTCATTCTTGTAACCAACCCAAATGCCCATCAATGATAGACTGGATAAAGAAAATGTGGCACATATACACCATGGAATATTATTCAGCAATAAAAAAGGATGAGTTCATGTCCTTTGTGGGAACATGGATGAAGCTGGAAACCATTATTCTCAGCAAACTAACACAAGAACAGAACACCAAACACTGCATGTTCTCATTCATAAGTGGGAGTTGAACAAGGAGGACACATGGACATCACACACTGGGGCCTGTTGGGGGGTGGGGGCTAGGAAAGGGATAGCATTAGGAGGAATACCTAGTGTAGATGACAGGTTGATAGGTTCAGCAAACCACCATGGCAGGCATATACCTATGTAACAAACCTGCATGTTCTGCACACATATCCCAGAACTTAAAGTATAATTAAAAAAAGAAAGAAAATTGTCCTTTATAGATATAAGCTATCTCAAAGTGCCTTTGCTTATTCTCATTGAGATAGACAGAACCTTAGGCCAGCAAAATTTGGAAGCAGCAAATTTTTAAATTTTACCTTAGGTAGGTACATCTATTAACTTACCTAAGAAAGAAGAATAAAAGGGTGGGGTAAGTTATGCAAAGCAAGAAAATAAATAGCTAAAGGCTGAATATCCCTTATCTGAAATGCTTGGACTCAGAAGTGTTTCAGATTTTGGATTCTTTTAAAATTTAGGGATATTTACCTATACATAATGAGTTATCTTAGGGATGAAAACTTAAGAAAAAAAAATAGAGAACATTGGAGCTGGAAGGGTTCTTTAAAAGCAACTCTCTAAGTCTCATATTCTATAGTTGAGAACATTTGAATATGCTACAGATCAAGGGACTCAGGTAAATTTCTACAACCAGCTCGCGAAAGCTGGAACTCAGATCTGGTCTCCTAAATTCCTGTCTGCTGCCCATTCCCTTACATCTGCCTCTTGATCTTTCGCATAAAACATGACTTCTTTCCTAAAATATGACCTGAGGAACTTGGAACTCTCTTTAGGAAGAGTCCTGGGACTTGTCCTACTTGATTTCCACATCTCTTTTCCTCCCTGCTCTAGTGGGTGCTTATACATACTTGTGGAATTGGTTAGGTCAGCAGCAGGAAAAGCATTTGTGAGTACAGTAGGTGGGGGATGTTTGTCTGAGGTTAGACTGGGCAGCAGAATCTCGTAGACTCCAAGGTGCACTTGGGTTGCCAAAACTATTCATCCCAAAAGCCCAATCAGAATGCAATTAGTTGCCTTCCCTTTCTCCTCAATTTTTGCTCTAAAAACTCCTTTGTTACTTTTAATGTTGACATTGTTGCATGAAATCACTGCTACATTTACCGACATCCTATTATGGGCCAGGCACTGTTCTGGGTACTTTATGTGCACAATCTCATTTCTCTCTCACTGCTGCACTCCATGGTAAATATAATAATGCCCTGTTATGGGTTAAATCGTGTCCCTTGAAAATTCACATGCTGAGATCCTAATCCCTAGTACCTCAGAATTTGACCTTATTTTGAAATAGGATCATTGTAGATATTATTGGTTAAGATGAGGTCATTAGACATCCCTAATCCGATGTGATGTGAATGGTGTCCTCATAAAATGGGAAAATTTAGAGACAGAATCATCCACACAGGGAGAAAGCCATGTGAAGACGAAGACAGGGATCTACATGCCGAGGAATGCCAAAGATTCCCAGCAAGTCATCAGAAGCCAGGAGAAAAGCATGGAGTCAACTTTTGTCTCATGGTTTTAGTTCTAAAGTAACCAAACTTTGGATATCTTGATCTTGGACTTCTGGCCTCCAGAACTGTGAGACAATAAAATTCTGCTGTTTAAGCCAGATGAATTTCTCTTTAAATTTGTAATACTCTGTTATGGAAACCTTAGAAAACTGATACACCCCTTTTTGCAGATAATAAAACTGAGTCTCACCAACAGTGTAAAAGTGTTCCTATTTCTCCACATTCTCTCCAGCACCTGTTGTTTCCTGACTTTTTAATGATCGCCATTCCAACTGGTGTGAGATGGTATCTCATTGTGGTTTTGATTTGCATTTCTCTGATGGCCAGTGATGATGAGCATTTTTTCATGTGTCCTTTGGCTGCATAAATGTCGTCGTTTGAGAAGTGTTTGTTCATATCCTTCGCCCACTTGTTGATGGGGTTGTTTGTTTTTTTCTTGTAAATTTGTTTGAGTTATTTGTAAATTCTGGATATTAGCCCTTTGTCAGATGAGTAGATTGTAAAAATTTTCTCCCATTCTGTAGGATGCCTGTTCACTCTGATGGTAGTTTCTTTTGCTGTGCAGAAGCTCTTTAGTTTAATTAGATCCCATTTTGTCAATTTTGGCTTTTGTTGCCATTACTTTTGGTGTTTTAGACATGAAGTCCTTGCCCATTACACTGTTGGTGGGACTGTAAACTAGTTCAACCATTGTGGAAGTCAGTGTGGCGATTCCTCAGGGATCTAGAACTAGAAATACCATTTGACCCAGCCATCCCATTACTGAGTATATACCCAAATAAATCATGCTGCTGTAAAGACACATGCACACGTATGTTTATTGAGGCACTATTCACAATAGCAAGGACTTGGAACCAACCCAAATGTCCAACAATGATAGACTGGATTAAGAAAATGTGGCACATATATGACATGGAATGCTATGCAGCCATAAAAAATGATGAGTTCATGTCCTTTGTGGAGACATGGATGAAGCTGGAAACCATCATTCTCAGCAAGCTATCACAAGGACAAAATACCAAACACCACATGTTCTCACTCATAGGTGGGAATTGAACAATGAGAACACATGGACACAGGAGGGGGAACATCACACACCAGGGCCTGTTGTGGGGTGGGGGGAGGGGGGAGGGATAGCATTAGGAGATATACCTAATGTAAATGATGAGTTAATGTGTGCAGCACACCAACATGGCACATGTATACATATGTAACAAGCCTGCACATTGTGTACATGTACCCTAAAACTTAAAGTATAATACAAAATAAATAAATGAAAACTTACAAATATATAAAAAAATAATAAAAACTGAGTCTCAGATTAAATAACCAGTCTTCCTAATGATAATTAATAAGAAGTAGGTCTAGCTTTAAAACATTGGTCTATTTAAATGTCACATTGTCACCGAGTGCCCTCATCAAAGACCTTCTTGCTTCCTAACGGTGGTTAAGAGCATAAACTCAGGAGCCACAGTGCCGAGTTTTGAATCCTAACTCTCAGCATTCATTGGCAGGTTTGACTTAAACAGTCTGTGATTCAGTTTCCTTTGCAAAATGAGCATGTTAATGTTATCCATTTCACAGGCTTGTTGATTAGATTAAATATGTTAACATGCATACCATGCTTAAAGCTGGTTCTAGTGTATAATGACTGCCTTTTAATTACTGGCAATTATTACCTCATCACCTCATGTAGGTATAATGGAGATGCTATTTTTGCAAGTAAGCCTAAACTTTAACATTTTCTTTATATAACTGTTCTTCTGGAGTCTTCCATGTGAATAGACTTATCTTGCAAGGCAGAAGAGTGTTGCAAGGCAAGTTTATTGTTTTTGCTTTAAATAACACATTTCTTGAGTTATAATTTATATACCACAAAATTCAGACATTAAAAGTATACAAACTAATTGGCTTTTAGTGTTTCCAAAAGTTGTGCAGCCATCACCAAACTCAGACAAGTTTTGCTGCAGAGAGATTTTATAATTTTTTTTTTTACTTCCATGCACTACATCAATAGTAGGTTTAATTTATTAGATCAAAGTATTTTACCTAAGTGAAGTCCATACAGGATGAGGAAAGTCATTAATACCTCTGTAGTAGGCAGAATGCCTCCTCCTTTCAAATGCAAATATGTTATGGCCTTAAAATAGAGAGATTATCCTGGATTACGGAGGTGGGCCCATTGTGTCACAGGAGTCCTTAAAAGTAGAGAACTACTTCCAGCTAGAGGCAGAAGAGGAAGGCAGAGAAATATGGCAGAAGGGGAAGGGATTCAAAGTGTGAGAGGGACTCCCATTCTGTTGTTGCTGGAGGGAGGCCATATGGTAGGCATGAGAAGGATTGCATGGAGTTTACAGAAGCAAATACTCATTCCTGAATGACAGCCAGCAAGGAAACGGGGACCTTGGCTCTACCATGTCAAGAAATTGCATTTGTCTAATGACCTGAAAGAGCTTGCACAATGGTTGAACTAGTTTACAGTCCCACCAACAGTGTAATGGGCAAGGACTTCATGTCTAAAACACCAAAAGCAATGGCCACAAAAGCCAAAACTGACAAAATGGGATCTAATTAAACTAAAGAGCTTCTGCACAGCAAAAGAAACTACCATCAGAGTGAACAGGCATCCTACAGAATGGGAGAAAATTTTTACAATCTACTCATCTGACAAAGGGCTAATATCCAGAATTTACAAATAACTCAAACAAATTTACAAGAAAAAAACAAACAAACCCATCAACAAGTGGGCGAAGGACATGAACAAACACTTCTCAAACGACGACATTTATGCAGCCAAAGGACACATGAAAAAATGCTCATCATCACTGGCCATCAGAGAAATGCAAATCAAAACCACAATGAGATACCATCTCACACCAGTTGGAATGGCGATCATTGTGGTGCGAAGGTGGTTGACTAGATGCATCCAGGAAGAGCTTCTCTCACTGAGAGACCAGACCATCAAGAAGACCGGCACACTATGAGCAGATCTTCGGAAGGAAGTTGTCGAGAATGGACAGAGAGAGGACACAGACCTTGGGCTGAAGGAGGAGGAAGCTGGGAACCCTGCATGGGGTTACCAAGCACCAGGACTCATTTCTGGCCCCAAACAGCTTCTAGTGAAGGGGCAAGTTAAATAGGCATGAACTGGTTCACTCTTATCACAAACCTCTGGAATCCTAGCTGCAGGAGACCCTACAACCCCATGGACATTTGAGCTGGCAGAGAGTGCTGCTTAGTGTGTTGCCAGAGACAGGACTCCAGCTTGTGTGGAGCTCAGAGGGTTTCACATGGTATTGGCTGCAAAGGAGCACAAGCAGGGATGCCCAAGGCTCACCATACTCCTATAGGTGACTTTGGCTTTCGTTCATTCTCTAACCTGGACAGAACAGGGCTATCTTGCCCATGGAATGGTGACAATCTGATCTGAGTGTCCCTTGTCTGCCAGCTTCTCCCAGGGTCCCTGTCTGGCTGCATCTGCTTGCAGTACAGCCTTGGATATCAAAACAGGGAGCATCCCAGTGGCCGTGGTTATAGCTCTTTCACTGACAGACCCCAGCTAACTGTCAGAGAGTTTTTGCAGATGGGTTCCTGCCAGCACTCACTCACCTACAGCTTCCCCCAACCACTGTGCCAGTGCTCACTTGTGCATAGCCTCACACCACTGCTTTGTCAGTGTGTGTACATGCATGGACCTCACCATGGCTCCACCCCAACCAGTGCACATTCGCTCAGAGCCTTACCCCATCACTTTGCCAGTGTGTGTACATGCATGGACCTCACCATTGCCCCCTCCTCAACCATTGCATGCATACACATGTACCCTGCTCCCAGCCATTGCTGACATGTAGGCATGGACTTAGCTGTACTATTGCTCCACTTTCCCTGGTGTGCACATGTGAGCATGAAACACACTACCATTACCTCCACAAAAAGCTTTTGCTGGAACCCTGCTTCAGAGTGTTGTTGCCAGTGGTCTGGGAATACCTTGGCCCCTACAGTGCAGCAGATGCTTGACATCAAGGGACAAGAGAACAAAGCCATGGACCTGTTCCCAGACCCCAGGGTAAGAGCACACAGCCTAGGAGTGATGAACTGAGTCTTAGCCACCTGAGATCATCCAGAAATGAAGCCAGTCAACCAAACCCAACTTATATCATGGTCAAATCCTCAAGGGCATCAGATAATTTAAAAGCAAAAAGCTCCTTCCAAAGAACAGCAACTTAAAGATTAAAGAAATATCAGCCCACAGAGATGAGAAAGAATCTGTGCAAGAACTGCAACTGTAAAAGTCAGAGAGAGTGTCTTTTTACCTCCAAAATACCATACTACATCTCCAAAAATTGTCCTTTACTGATAAAATGGCTGAAATGAGGGACATAGAATTAAGAATCAGGATGGCAGTGAAGATCATCAAGATTTAGGAGAACACCGAAACCCAATCTGAGGAACCTTTGCAATCCAGTAAAATGATTCATGACCTGAAAGATGAAATAGCAATTTTCAGAAACAACTAAACTGATCTGGTAGAGCCGAAAAGCTCACTACAAAATTTCATGTCAGGTGCAGTGGCTCACAGCTGTAATCCTAGTACTTTGGGAAGCTGAGGTGGGAGGATGGGAAGATCATTTGAGCCCAGGAGTTCAAAACCAGCCTGGAAAACATGGTGAAAATGAATCTGTATAAAATGTACAAAAATTAGCTGAGCATGGTGGCATGCACCTGTAGTCCCAGCTACTTAGGAGGCTGAGGTGGGAAGATCACTTGAGCCTGGAAGGTCAAGGTTGCAGTGAGCCGTGATGGCACCATGGTACTCCAGCCTGGGTGACAGGGCAAAACCCTGTCTCAAGTAAAAAAAAAAGAACCTTATAATATAACCTGAAGTATTGACAACAGAATAGACCAAGCTGAGGAAAGAATATCAGAGCTCTAAGAGACAAGTTCTTTGAATTAACTCAGTCAGAAAAAAAAAAGAAAAAATACTTTAAAAAATGAATGAAATCTCTGAACAATATGAGATTATGTAAAGAGGCCAAACCTGTAACTCATTGGATTCATTGGCATCCCTGAAGGAAAGGGAGAGAGAGAGAGAGGGCAAGCAACTTGGAAAACATATTTGAGGGTATTCTTCACAAAAATGTCCCCAACTTTGCTAGATAAGTCAACATGCAAATTCAGGAAACTCAGAGAATCCCTGTGAGATATAATACAAGGCAATGATCCTGAAAGCACATAGTTATCAGATTCTCCACGGTCAACACACACAAAAAATATTAAAGGCAGCTAGAGAGAAGGAGCAGGTAACCTACAAAGGGAACCCCATCATGCAAATAGCAGACATTTCAGCACAAACACTACAAGCCAGGAGACACTGAGGACCTGTATTCTGCACCAAAAAAAAAAAAAAAAAGAAATTCCAATCAAGAATTTCATATCTAGCCAAACTAAGCTTCATAAACAAAGGAGAAATAAAATTTTTTTTCAGACAAGCAAATGCTAAGGGAATTTTTTTTACCACAAGATCTACCTTATACATGGTCCTTAAGGATGTACTAAACATCGGAACAAAAGACCAGTACCAGTCACCACAAAAACACACTTAAGATCATAGACCATTGACACTATAAGGCAACTATACAATTAAATCTACATAGCAACCAGCTAACAACACAATGACAGGATCAGATTCACACATATAAATGTTAATCTTGAATGTACGTGGGCTAAATGCCCCACTTTAGAAGGCATAGTGTTGCAAGTTGGATAAAGAAGCAAGACCAAAATGTATGGTGTCTTTATGAGACCTATCTCATGTGCAGTGACACCAACAGGCTCAAAATAAAGTGATGGAGAAAGACCTATTAAAAAAGAAAGAAAACAAAAAATAAAGCAGGGGTTGCTATTCTTATTTCAGAAAAAACAGACTTTAACCCTTTTCCTGTTTGCCCCGAGAACACATGCTGGTGGCACTTGCGGCTACAGTGTTTACTCTGAGACACTTTTGCCATGAAATAACTTACTTGTATTATTATTTCACATCACTCTAGTATATCAACTTTGGAAACAAAAGACATCATTCTATTTATAGCATTCTGTTTTTAGCAGTGATATTTCCTATTTATAAAATATAGTAATTCTTGATCACTGAAAATGTCAAATCTTAGAAAATGTAGCATTTCTACGTGTGATATAAATATTGTTCTTGAACAGTGGTTGGCCCAAGATTCATTGGATGAATCTGATTTTTTTTGAAAAAGACGATTCTGATGTTAGTTCTGTTTAAAAATAACTCCAATACCAGTTTTATGTTTTATTTTCACATTGAAAATCAGTCAGATTTGCTTCAGCCTCAAAGAGCATGTTTACATAAAATTAAATAAGCGCTGGCAGCCAGCTGCACCTTTTTTTTTCTATAAACAACAATGAAAAGGACAAGGGAATTACATCATGATGTTCAATTCAACAAGAAGACTTAACTATTCTAAACATATTTGCATCCAATACTGGAGCACCCAGATTCATAAAACAAGCTCTTATAGACATATAAAGAGATTTAGATAACCACACAATAATAGTGACAGGTTTCAACACCCCACTGATATTATTAGATAGCTTATCCAAGCAGAAAACTAACGAAGATATTTGGGACCTTAACTTGACACTTGACCAAATGGACCTGACAGACATGTATGGGACACTCCACCCAACAACATCAGAATGTACATTCTTCTCATGTGCATATGACACATACTTTAAAATCAACCACATGGTTGGCCATAAGGCAATTCTCAACAATTTGAAAAAAAAAAAACACCAAAATTATATCAACCACAGTCTCAGGTAACAGCACAATAAAAATAGAAATCAATACCAAGAAGATCTCTGAAAACCAACCATACAATTACATGGATATTAAACTATCTAGACCTGAATGGCTTTGGGTAAACGATGAAATTAAGGAAGAAATCAAGAAACTCTTTGAGGCTAATGAAAGATATAAAATAACAACGTCTGGGACACAGCTAAAGCAATGTTATTAATAAAAGGAAAGATTATAGTGCTAAAGGTCCACATCAAAAAGTTAGAAAGATCTCAAAGTAGCATCACACCTAGAGGAGCTAGAAAAACAAGAGCAAAGCAGCCCAAAGCTAGCAGAAGACAACAAATAACCAAAATCAGAGCTGAAGAGAATGAAATAGAGATGTCAAAAACCATACAAAAGAGCGGCCAGGTGCGGTGTCACGCCTGTCATCCCAGCACTTTGGGAGGCTGAGGCAGGTGAATCACTTGAGGTTGGGAGTTCAAGACCAGCCTGACTAACACGGAGAAACCCTGTCTGTACTAAAAATACAAAAATTAGCTGGGCATGGTGGCACTTGCCTGTAATCCCAGCTACTCGGGAGGCTGAAGCAGGAGAATTGTTTGAACTCGGGAGGCAGAAGTTGTGTTGAGCTGAGATTGCGCCATTGCACTCCAGCCTAGACAACAAGAGTGAAACTCCATCTCAAAAAAAAAAAAAAAAAACCCATACAAAAGAGCAGTGAAACAAAAGGTTAGATTTTTGAAAGGATTCATAGACCACTACTAGACTAATAAAAAAGAGAGAAGATCCAAATAAACACAATGAGAAATGACACGGAGAATATTACCACTGACCCCAAAGAAATTAAAATAAAAGCAACCTTGTGAGACTATTACAGACACCTCTGTGCTTGCAAACTGGAAAACCTAGGAGAAATGGAAAAATCCCTGGAAATGTACACCCTCTCAAGACTGAATCAAGAAGAAATAGAAACCTTGGTTCTAAAATTAATGAGTTCTGAAATTTAATCAGTAATAAAAAGCTTAGCAAACAGAAAAAGCCCTGGACCAGACAGATTCACAGCTGAATTCTACCAGATATATAAAGAACTGGTACCAATCCTTCTGAAACTATTCCAAAAAATTGAAGAGGGAGGATTCCTTCCTAATTTATTCTATGAAGCCAGCATCATTCTAATACCATAACTTGGCAGAAACACAACAAACAAAAAAACTCTAGGCCAATATACCTGATTAACATAGATGCAAAAATCCTCAAGAAAATACTAGCAAACCAAATCCGGCAGCACATCAAAATGCTAATCCATCATGGTCACGTAGGCTTTATTTCTGGGATGCAAGGTTCGTTCAACATATGCAAATCAATAAATGTGATTCATTATGTAAACAGAACTAAGAATAAAAATTACATGATCATATAAACAGATGCAAAAAAGGCTTTCAATAAACTTCAACATCCCTTCATGTTGAAAATCCTCAGCAAACTGGGTATCAAAGGAACATATCTCCAAATAATAAGAGCTAGCTATGACAAACCCACAGCCAGCATTATACTGAATGGACAAAAGCTGAAAGAACTCCCCTTTGAGAACAAGAAAAAGATAAGGATGCCCACTCTCAACCCTCCTATCCAACATAGTTCTGGAAGTCCTAGCCAGAAAAATCATGCAGGAAAGAGAAATAAAATACCAGGTACTCAAATGGGAAGACAGGACAAGAGGAAGTCAAACTATCGCTGTTTGCAGATAATATGATCCTATACCTAGGAAGTCCTATAGTCCCTGCCCCAGTGCTCTTAGATCTGATAACTATCTTAGGCAAAGTTTCAGGATACAAAATCACTGTACAAAAATCAGTAACGTTTTTATACACCAACAACGTCTAAGCTGAGAGGCAAATCAAGAATACAATCCCATTCTCAATAGCCACAAAAAATAAAACAAAATAAAATAAGATAAAACACCCAGGAATACAGCTAACCAGGGAGGTGAAAGATATCTACAATGGAAATCACAAAACACTGTTGAAAGAATCAGAGACTACACAAACAAATGGAAAAACATTCCATGTTCATGGATAGGAAGAAAGAAAGTTTTTAAAATGGCCATACTGCCCAAAGCGATTTACAGATTCAATGCTATTTCTATCAAACTACCCATGACATTCATCACAGAATTAGAAAAAACTATTCCACATTTCATATGGAACCAATAAAGAGCCTGAATAACTAAAGAAATCCTAAGCAAAAAGAACAAAGCTGGAGGCATTACACTACTTGACTTCAAAGTATACTACAAGGCTACAGGAACTGAAACAGTTTAGTACTGGTACAAAACCAGACACATAGACCGAAGGAACAGGTTATGGAACCCAGACATAAAGCTGCACTCCTATAACCATCTGATCTGTGACAAAGTTGAAAATAACAAGCAATGGGGAAATGTGTCTTTCTTTAATATATTGTGCTGTGATAACTGATTAGCAATATGCAGAAGATTAAAACTGGAGCCCTTCCTTTTACCATTTACAAAAATCAACTCAAGATGGGTTAAAGACTTAAATGTAAAATCTAAAACTATAAAAAACTCCAGAAGAAAACCTAAGAGATTCCATTCTAGAAATAGGCCCTGGCAAAGATTTCCTGATGAACACTCCAAAAGCAATTGCAACAAAAACAAAAATTTATAAGTGAGACCTAATTAAACCCAAGAGCTTCTGCACATCAAAAGAAACTATCAACAGTATAAACAGACACCCTACAGAATGGGAGAAAATATTCACAAGCAGTGCATCAAAGGTCTAATATCCAGAATCTGTAAGGAATTTATACAAATGAACAAACAAAAAGCAAGCCACCCCATTAAAAAATGAGCAAAGGATGTGAACAAATACTTCTTAAAGACATACATTCAGCCAATAAGCATACGAAAAAGTGCTCAACATCGCTAATCATTAGAGAAATGCAAATCAAAATCACAATGAGATACCATCTCATACCAGTAAGAATGGCTATTAAAAAAATAACAGAGGCTGGCAGGGTTTCTGAGAAAAGAGAATGCTTACAAATTGGCTAGAATGTAAACTAGTTCATTAGTTCATTGTGGAAAGCCATTTGGAGATTTCTCAAAGAACTAAAAACAACTACCATCTGGCCCAGCAATCTCATTACGGGGTATATACCCAAAGGAACAGAAATCATTCTACCAGAAAGACACATGCATGTGTATGTTCATCATGGCACTTCTCACAATAGCAAAGACACGGAATCAACCTAGAAGCCCACCAATAGCGGATCTGATAAAGAAAATATGGCACATATACACCATGGAATACTATGCAGCCATTAAAAAGAACAAAACCATGTCCTTTGCAGCAGCATGGATGGAGGTGGATGCCATTTTCTTAAGCAAATTAACACAAGATCAGAAAACCAAATGTCACAGGTTGTCATTTACAAGTGGGAGCTAAACATGGAGAACACATGGACACAAAGAAGGGAACAATAGACACCAGAGTCTACTTGAGGGTGGAGGGTGGAAGAGGGTGAGGATAAGAAAAAAGCCTATATATTGAGTACTATGTTTAATACCTGGGCGATGCAATAATTTGTGAGCCAAAACCAGTGACATACAATTTACCCATGCAGCAAACCTGCACATGGGCCCCCTGAACGTAAAATAGAAGTTGGAAGAAAAAAAAATTAAAAAGAAGCAATTTGATGAAAAGTTAATTGTTTTACTTCTGCTGTGCAATTAATAAAGAAGTAATTAAAGTTAATTTTATTTTCTCAAGTTTTATAAATTATATTTTTTATCGTTTTTCAATGTAAATCTTTATATTCACAAAAGAGGCAGCTTTTAGAGGTCAGGGCTCTTACCTCATAACTGTAGTTCTTATGTCTTGAAAAGTTCCTAGATTTCAGAGTAAATAGCAAGGATGTTTCAATAGAAATAACTAGCCTATCTCTGCTAATTGTTTACTGAAAAGCCAAAAGAATTGTACAATGAAAACCCGTTTATCCACAACCTAGATTCTGCAATTAAGGTTTTGCTATATTTTCATATATATATATGTAAACACACACACATCATCCCTCTGGCCATCCATCAATCTATCTTATTTTTTGATGTTTTTAAAAATTGCAGATTTCATCTCCAAGGAGTTCCACACACTAGAGTTTGATCTTTGTTTACTTAAAAAGAATACTAAGGCTGAATATATATTTTGTATTTGGAGTTTGACACATAAAGTAACTAGAATTAGTATAGTAATTACTTGACCAGTGGATGGCTATTGTAAACAGCTGATATTTGATTCAGGAATTTGCCGACCGAGATGAAATTTTTGATTACCATGACAAATAGTGGTCATCTTTATAATCTCTCTCATCAGCAAAGTTCATTTAGAATTAATAGGAGAGAAAGTCAGATACTTTCCAGGAGAAGTCTCAAGGCAAAGGCTGACTCTAATGGAAACTCTCTAGATTGTGAGGAATCGTATAGCTTTCCCAGCAAAGGTTAAAGGGATATCGATAAAGTCAGAGACCATTTCAGTGGTTTAAAAACTCTCAATTTTTTGACCTAAGTTTCTATCAGGTTATAAAACTAATATTCTCTCCATCAGTTGAAGAACACGCTACCCAATCAGTAAAGTAATATATTTAGACATCATACAAGTTGTCTTACCTCATCATACAAGTTGCCTGTGCAAGCAAATTTTGCAATTCTAACTATTGTTGCTGTCTGGAAAACTACATAACTATACAATGTTTACACCATATTAAATATCTATTAATATTCACATAAGAGGAGAGGAAATATATTGCTTTGATGATATCTTGATAAATTCTTAAAAAACTGATTATAATATCATCTAGTTATCCCAACATGTTGCATATTTGTTGTTTCTCCCTCCTTCCCCTGTTTTATTTTTCTCATGTGGGAAAGGGGACTGGGCTTCATTTTGAGTTATGATTATAGGTTCTGTTTCATTTTTCTTCTGTCCTGGAATGGAAAAATCTCAAAAGCAGCTAAGGGAGTTGAAGAAGTATGAAAAGCCTGCTATTAGCAATATTTAGCTAAGGAACAGATGAAAATTGATTTAATTTGCTTTTCTTCTATGAGATTTTATCCTTGGTCAGCTTGAGGTATTGCATTGCAAACAGATCAATTGATCCTGCCTGATCTTTCAAGTCTGCAAAAACCTAAATGGGCTCTTACATAGAAGTTTCCCAAAAGACATGTTCTTCGTCTTCTACAACATGGAAGAAGATAGCTAATCTCAAATTCATACAATGGTAAGTATATATCACAAAATTTATTTCCAAAGCGATTTAGAGATCTTTCAACAATTGTTACAGTCTTGCACAAAAAATGGGAGAAGCTCAGCTTAGAGAGGAAGCGCTATAAGAAAGGAGTGAGATTGAGGGAAAAAAGGGCTTTTATGTTTATTTTGTAATTGTTTTATAAGCTTCTGTGTTATTAAAATAATACCTGCAGGTATTATTTTTAAGAATCTAAATCCAATAAAGGTTTATAAATGTAAGAAAAAGAAAAAGAAAGCAAGAAAAACTGAATGCTTACTATTCCCCACACCTGCATTGTCCTTTCAGCGTACTATTGAGGTCTTCATGGGTAGAATTTTTGTGTTACAAAAATTACGCAGTTCCCGGCACCTAGTAAATCCACAATTCAATAGCTACCGAATAGAGCAAAGGCTCACAATCAAGGTCTTTTCTGCCTCTAGAAGTCTCCGTTCTGAAAGACCTATTTTTTTTTTCCACAGAAAATGCCTGCCAACCAATACAAACATACTTTCGTTTAGAGGAAGTCTAAGGATATGTTGCACCATAAGTTGCAAATTACAATTCTTCTAGAGGACAGGTTCGTGTTGTAAATGCCTGAAACAGGCCTGGTATAGGAAAAACAGCACAGGCATAACCACTGATTTGCAACCTCAGTTTAGGGAAATAAGGGGGAATGGTGGGGACTGTGCAAAATGGAAACCCCATTCCCTATCTAAAGTGAGCACCAGCAACTTAACACCAGTTGTTTGATGCCTTGTGGGCACACATGATTAGTGCTGGAGAGTTTCTGATTTTTCAAGAGAAGCTGGAAATTTAGATTTGATATGAAATTATTAATTTTAGAAGTCTGACAGACTATCAGCATTTGTGATCTCTGCTTTCACAGAGGCCGTTTTTTCAATTTGGTGACACAGTGTGTGTTACAGCATTAGGTATCAACATGAAATCACTAATGTCTGCTACTTTCTAGAGCTAGCAGATTTCTATTGCAATTCTATTTTCTTTTTTTAATATTAGGCTCTCTTTAACCATTATAACTGTACCTTTTTTACAGTTCAGATGAATTTAAGACCTGTGCTGGTTTATTTGGATGGAGGAAGCTAAGTTCCCCATGGTTTGAGCTGACAAAGCCTGTTAGTGGCTTTCTTGGGATGGAAAGCCAGGTCCCTCTCAGGTTCAATGTAATATCTGGAAAAACATGGTGCCTATAAAAAGAAAAACTATTTCTCACAAAACTCCAAGAACTGTATGTTAGAGCAACTTTTATTGTCCTAAAAGTTCTACAGGGCCAGCAATATTATCTATATTAAACTTGAAATAAAATAATGCTGACTGCATTTTGGGGAAAATATGATATTATCCCACTGCAATGTTCCTGGGGAAAAAGCAGTAAAATTACTAGTGAGAATTACTGGACAGAAGGCAGGACAGTTCTAGGAAAACATTAGAACAATTCAGATCCAGCCAGGTGTGGTGGCTCACGCCTGTAATTCCAGCACTTTGGGAAGCCAAGGCAGGCGGATCACGAGATCAGGAGTTCAAGACCAGCTTGGCCAACATGGTGAAACCCAGTTTCTACTAAAAATACAAACATTAGCTTGGCGTAGTGGCGGGCGCCTGTAATCCCAGCTACTCAGGAAGCTGAGGTAGGAGAATCGCTTGAACTTGGGAGGTGGAGGCTGCAGTGAGCCGAGACTGCACCACTGCACTCCAGCCTGGGTGACAGAGTGAGACTCCATCTCAAAAAACAAACAAACAAAAAGCAAAGAAAAGAAAAGAAAAAGGAAAGAAAAGAAAAGAAAAAGTCAGATCCTTTTCTGGAGCGCCCTGGTTGGCTCCCAGGTTTATGGGGTCCCCAATTCCTCATGGCACTCCATAAGGGCTTCCTGGGTAGGACGTTGCTTTCTGGACAGTTGAATATACAAGACAGGATGGTTTCCCTTGACAACACAGGGCAAACAGGGTTTATATACTTGCTATGAAATGTGTGGTCCGTGGTGAACCACAGGCTGAGGTGGTAGATGGAGTAGAAAGCCATAGGTGAGAGAAGCTCAGTGTGCAGTCCTCTGCCATGATTTAGACAGGACAGTAAAGGAGGTGGTAGAACACCCAGAGTGAATAGGACCTTTTTAGCTGCAGGCAGAAAGCATCACTTGGGGGCTGAGAAGGCAGGTGGTCATTTTTCCAGATGACCATGTAACAGGAGTTCACAGACAGGAATTCAATTGAAAAGGAAGAGCCAAACAGGATTATTCTGGGATTGAAGTGCCTCTGAACCTATATGTGGAGGGGTTAGAGCACTCCATTCAGAGACCAGTATGGGGAAATAAGGTGAACTCAAACTGAATGTGTCGTTCTGGAAAGTATTGGTATTGGCTTCCATTGGCCAGTACCTGAAAGTTACTGTCATAGGTTGAACTGTGTTTCTCAAAGAGATATGTCCTATTCCTAAGCCTGGTTTCTGTGAATACGACCTTATTTGGAAATAGTCTTTGTAGGTGTAATTAAGTTAAGGATTTTGAGATAAGATCATTTTGGATTTAGGGTGGACACTCAATCTAACGACTGGTGTCTCTATAAGAGAGAGGGAAGAAGATTTGAGACACAGAGACGCAGAGGCACAGAGAAGAGGCCATAGGAAGAAAGAGGCAGAGATTGAAATCACACATGAGGCTCCAAGCCGGGTAACACTAAGAGCTGTAGGCAGCCACCAGAAGCTAGGAGAGAAGCATGGAACAGATTCTAACTCGAATTTCCAGAGGAACTACCCTGCTGACACCTTGATTTTGAATTTCTAGCCTCCAGAACTATGATAGAATATCCTTCTGTAGTTGTAGGCCGTGTAGTTTGTGGTACTTTTTATGGTGGCCTGAGGAAATAAATATGGTTACCCATGCCACCTGATCTCTGACATGAACAGTCTCTAGCTTTTACTTTTCAGCTAATGTGAAATGAGTATTTGTTTTAATCACTTTTAATTGTTTTTACTATTTTATTCATAGTAAGATCTCTCTCTTTTTTTGCTCTGGGAATGAATTACAAATTAAAAAGTGTTATGATTATAATAGTTTAAAAAATCAGTCTCTGGAGTTGGTTGTTAACTAGGAAGCAAAAAAAGTCAAATGAACCTTGTGGGCATTACGCTAAGTGTTGTAAGCCAGGCACAGAAAGACAAACGGCACATGAGCTTACTCATCTGTGGATTCTAGAGGAGTTGATTTCACAGATTACCAGAAGCTGGGGAGGTAGGGAGTAGGAGGGATGGAGAAAGTTTGTCAATGAGTACAAAGTTACTGTTAGACGGGAAGAATAAGTTCTGGTATTCTATTTCACAGTAGGGTAACTATAGCTAATACCAGTGCTGTGTATTTTTCAAAATAGCTAAAAGAGAAGATTTTGACTATTATCATCTGTATTAGTTCATTCTCACACTGCAATAAAAACTACCCAAGACTGGGTAATTTATGAAGAAAAGAGGTTTAATTGACTCACAGTTCTGCAGGCTGCACAAGAAGCATGTCTTGGAGGCCTCAGGAAACTTACGGTCATGGCCGAAGGGGAAGTAAGAACATCTTCACCTGTCGGAGCAGGACAAAGAGAGAGAACTGGGAAATGCTTTCAAATCTCATGAGTGAGATCTTGTGAGAACTCACTCACTATCACAACAGCAAAGGGGAAATACACCACTATGATCCAGTCCCCTCCCACCAGGTCCCTCCCCCAACACTGGGGGTTAAAATTCAACATGAGATCTGGGTGGGGACATAGATCGAAACCACATCATACCCTGTTATGATCATTATACAATGTATACATGCATTGAAACAGCACACTGTCCCATAAACATGTACACTTATGTGTCAATTATAAATAAATTGAATTATTTATTAATTATAAATAAAATTAATAAAAAGCATATATCAATTGTGCTTTAAAAATTAAATCTCCATTCTAGAATTGATTCCAGTATTCATTCAAACATTCGTTTCTATTAATTTATTCATTAATCCTTCAATCTATTTTAATCCATCATATATTTACCAAATGCTTACCCTGTGCTAGACATTATTCTTTTAACTACTTATAAATATATGATGAATAGGAAAGACAAGATGTCTGCCCTATTCGCATATATATTTTGGTGATGCAGACAGGGAATAAAAATCAAATAATTGCATAATTATGGAGTACAATAAATGTTATTGTTGACATCTCAATTTATTTTCCTGTAGTTCCTGGTGTTAGTACATTTAATTCTTAATTACAATGGTCACTACTTGCTATATAGAATGAAGGGAGAGTTCATGTTGAATACTCAGCTATTTAAACTAAATCCTGTTATTGGCAGGACCTCTGTTGGACTGCGTCTTTATCATGGCTGTTTATATCCGTATTCAAGCTTTGAATTCACACTTAACAGAGAATCAAAGCTACTTAATTCACAGCACAGCATTGTTGCTGCCACTTGATACAAAATTGAAAATAAATAACCTCAGTGGCAGCCCCAAAGCTTAGATGTCAGTAAGCTCAATATCTTTTAACCTCTAATGCTAGGGAAATAGCTGAACAATTCTTGTTAAAGCTAGAGTATCACAAAATCTCGGGAGTGAAAATGTGTGTTTGTATCTACACACACACACACACACACACACACAATCAGAGCTTATTATTTTCCTTGTTTATCTATTTATTTATTTTTGCTTGCCATGTATGGAGTAGCTAAATGATTACTGTAACTCACAATGGAGACAAACTTCACTTTCATTGGAGGTTGCAGTGTGACAGATACCATGATACCAAAGTGTTCTGAGACAAGACCTCCTTCCCACCCGATGTTCGAATATGCAGTTTGTAAAAGAGGATGGAGAGGAATTCTGTTCCATAACTCTTGTACTGTTAGTGAAATCAAGGATTGTTTAAAAGGGGACTAAACAGGATTTTGTGAGAAAGGAAACTGGTAAATTATTTTCTAGAGATGCATTTTATTTGCAACTCCCCATCATTCTTATTTAACATACTTGTTAAACTTCATTACTAAAATAATTCTTGTAGATAAAGTTCTTAGACTTAAATCACTGTTAATTAATTTTCATTAGGTTTTTTTGTTACCTTCAATTAGAGCAAAGTTATTTCAGAAATATCATAATCTCAAATGCAGTAAACCCATCCCAAACATAAGTTTCAATAAAGCATTTTAATATTCTTGCAATATAAATTTCTTAATGAGTCACAAAATATATGCCAATGTGTAGAACATTTATAATCAATCTGTTTCTTTTTTCCCCAAATTTATGTATTTATTTTTTAAAATTTTACTTTAAGTTCTGGGATACATGTGAAAAACATACAGATTTGTTACATAGGTATACGTGTGCCATGGTGGTTTGCTGCACCCATCAACCCATCATCTAGGTTTTAAGCTCCATGCATTAGTTATTTGTCCTAATGCTCTCCCTTTCCTCAACCCCGACCTCCCCTAGGCCCCGGTGTGTGTTGTTCCCGTTGCTGTGTCCATGTGTTATCACTGTTCAACTCCCATGTATGAGAACATGTGGTGTTTGGTTTTCTGTTCCTGTGTTATTTTGCTGAGTATTATGGCATCCACCTTCATCTATGTCCCTGCAAAGGACATCATCTCGTTCCTTTTTATGGCTGCATAGTATTCCATGGTGTATATGTACCACATTTTCTTTATCCAGTCTGTTTCTTTTGTAATGCTATTTACAAGGTCAGAAAAACCCCTGTGAAAGAGAAATTGCCAGTTGATGAAGTAGTATCTGTTATTTGCCTACTTGGGGGCTATATTCCTTTTGTACATATCAGCCACATCAGTTTAAGAGGTGGTTCTCTAGGGCATGCCAGTTGTTTTCATTTGCTGACACATTTGTAAATCTTTAATTTTTAATCATGTGAGTTTCTTTCCTTGTGTGAGACTACAGGAGTTGTCTTAACATGTTCTGTAAAAAATGAGTTATCCTTAAAAACATTTTTCCTCTTTGTTTTAGTATAGTAAATTCGTGGCAAAATTCAGATCATTAAATGAGAATGGTGTGTTTGGCTTCAAGTATTTTAACTGGTGGACTTCTCCATGTACATGAAACTGGAAATGTCCTCTCCCCATCTGAGCAGTGTTGGAGACCCCCCAAACCATAGCCTCTGTCACTAGGATTGTGATCATCATGCTAAAGGAATTATATGATTGCACTTTAAAGTTAGTGTAAAACATGGGCCTGATAATACTCCCTAGAATAATTTGTTTCTGTTTCTAGATTTTCTAATGTATTGTTGGTAGAATTGGTTACAAGAGTATAATATTAAATATAAGAGTCATCTAGAAAGGAAATAAATATGTAGAAACAAAAGCATGCAATCCTCATTTTTTAAAAAAAAGAATATTTTATATTCATGACTTTAATTCATCATTAAACTTGAATGATGGGGAGTGGAGTGCTGCAATTTAGCTGCTTTCCTATAGAAAAATGGCAATTCCTATAGGAAATGCCAATTAAAGAAGCTTTTCAATTTAGGTCCAGAGAACACATTTGTAAGTTATGTCATATTTACCTAATTAATGTAACTTAATGTGAGAATTCAAAGAGAACTAGTTTAAAATGAACTATCGTAATAAACTGAGAGGCACATTTAATAAAAGCAGTTAAAAAGTTTGTTAATCCTGATTTTATAAGGAATTATTCTTATTTTTTAGAGAAAATGATTCATGTGTAAAGGCTTCTTGAAGCTTTTGCACAATTGGTAAAGAAAGGCTGATAAGAATAACACAAAGCTCTTTGTTTTTATTGTAGTTGAAGGGAAAATTTGGGGCATACTTATGGAATAATTTGGCAGATTTAGCTTGCTTCAAATTCAGGAGTTCAGCATATACGTTTTGAAAGCTAGAATTCATTATTGTGCTATCACTGATCTGGCAAGCTTTCAAAAATAAAATATACTAAAAATACTTTAAAATTCTTCTCTCTGGCTCTAAGTAGGTTATGATATCTGCCTGAAGATTCTTGGTGCCCTAAAATAAATACCGATTATTTTTTCTTATATTTATGTGTCTTACATTGTATCTTTATACTTTTTAATTTAAAATATTTTCTTTTTGAATCTTTTTATGATTTGAAAATTTGCTATTAAACAATTTTTTAGAAGATTTCGTTGAACACCTTACATACACCTCATGTTGAAAATAGTACAGTGAAAATGGCATGGTTTTATTTTTCTTGCTACATGATAATAACCAAATCAAACAGTGTTAAAACTGTAGATTTGTCTTAATTAAACCATGATTAATGGTTTACTTAATTAAACTTACTTAAATGTGAGCTATGTGCTGTAAATCATTTTTCTTTATTTACATTATAGATCAATATTCACTGGCTTCATTTTCCTTTCTCTATTCTGTTATTAATACACTATTCTCCAAGTTGTTCAAATTTACAATTATACTTTGTCTAACTGTACTCTCATTTTCATAGCAGACACATTGTTCTTAGCACTATTTTGAATTTGGTAGGGCTGCATCTATAGCTATTTACTTTTGCTTCTTCTACTGCATTTAGTGGCAAGTTTTATATATAGCTGGCAATACAATTCAGTGAGAGGAAGTTAAATGCTTGCTTAATTTCATACCTTTGGGAATTGAGCTAGGAGTATTATTCAGATCTTTGCCATTGACTTGATTAGTAACTATTTTAACTGTGGCCTAGCATATAAAATTCTTTCTTTAATCTATTCAAAGGAAAAGATTTAGTGGATACTTCTTATGAGTCAGGAACTATATTAGGTGCTAAGGATAGAGTAGTAAGCAAAAATGTATGATAATTGCTCTGAAGAAGCTGGAAATCTTACAGTAAAATATAGATACAGTGAGTTCTAATAGTAAGAGAAGATAATTTTTTTAAAAACTTATGTGCCTGGCACTCTACTAAGCACTCTTCGTACATTATTTTATTTTACTCTTAAACTTGTTACATTCATGTATTAAAAAAATATGTTTTTTTAGATCAGAAATCTCTTTATTCTTCTGTTTCAAAATTTTTTTTTATTAATATTATACTTTAAGTTTTAGGGTACATGTGCATAATGTGCAGGTCAGTTACGTATGTATACATGTGTCATGCTGGTGTGCTGCACCCATTAACTCATCATTTAGCATTAGGTATATCTCCTAAAGCTATCCCTCCCCCCTCCCCCCACCCCACAACAATCCCCAGAGTGTGATGTTCCCCTTCCTGTGTCCATGTGTTCTCATTGTTCAATTCCCACCTATGAGTGAGAATATGCGGTGTTTTGTATTTTGTTCTTGCGATAGTTTACTGAGAGTGATGATTTCCAATTTCATCCATGTCCGTACAAAGGACATGAACTCATCCTTTTTTATGGCTGCATAGTATTCCATGGTGTATATGTGCCACATTTTCTTAATCCAGTCTATCATTGTTGGGCATTTGGGTTGGTTCCAAGTCTTTGCTATTGTGAATAGTGCCGCTGTAAACATACGTGTGCATGTGTCTTTATAGCAGCATGATTTATAGTCCTTTGGATATATACCCAGTAATGGGATGGTTGGGTCAAATGGTATTTCTAGTTCTAGATCCCTGAGGAATCACCACACTGACTTCCACAATGGCTGAACTAGTTTACAGTCTCACCAACAGTGTAAAAGTGTTCCTATTTCTCCACATCCTCTCCAGCACCTGTTGTTTCCTGACTTTTTAATGATTGCCATTCTAACTGGTGTGAGATGGTATCTCATTGTGGTTTTGATTTGCATTTCTCTGATGGCCAGTGATGATGAGCATTTTTTCATGTGTTTTTTGGCTGCATAAATGTCTTCTTTTGAGAAGTGTCTGTTCATGTCCTTTGCCCACTTGTTCATGGGGTTGTTTGTGTTTTTCTTGTAAATTTGTTTGAGTTCATTGTAGATTCTGGATATTAGCCCTTTGTCAGATGAGTCAGTTGCGAAAATTTTCTCCCATTTTGTAGGTTGCCTGTTCACTCTGATGGTAGTTTCTTTTGCTGTGCAGAAGCTCTTTAGTTTAATTAGATCTCATTTGTCAATTTTGGCCTTTGTTGCCATTGCTTTTGGTGTTTTGGACATGAAGTCCTTGCCCATGCCTATGTCCTGAATGGTAATGCCTAGGTTTTCTTCTAGGGTTTTTATGGTTTTAGGTCTAACGTTTAAATCTTTAATCCATCTTGAATTGATTTTTGTATAAGGTGTAAGGAAGGGATCCAGTTTCAGCTTTCTACATATGGCTAGCCAGTTTTCCCAGCACCATTTATTAAATAGGGAATCCTTTCCCCATTTCTTGTTTTTGTCAGGTTTGTCAAAGATCAGATAGTTGTAGATATGTGGCATTATTTCTGAGGGCTCTGTTCTGTTCCATTGGTCTATATCTCTGTTTTGGTACCAGTACCATGCTGTTTTGGTTACTGTAGCCTTGTAGTATAGTTTGAAGTCAGGTAGTGTGATGCCTCCAGCTTTGTTCTTTTGGCTTAGGAATGACTTGGGAATGCCGGCTCTTTTTTGGTTCCATATGAACTTTAAAGTAGTTTTTTCCAACTCTGTGAAGAAAGTCATTGGTAGCTTGATGAGGATGGCATTGAATCTATCAATTACCTTGGGCAGTATGGCCATTTTCATGATATTGATTCTTCCTATCCATGAGCATGGAATGTTCTTCCATTTCTTTGTATCCTCTTTTATTTCATTGAGCAGTGGTTTGTAGTTCTCCTTGAAGAGGTCCTTCACGTCCCTTGTAAGTTTGATTTCTGAAGTGAGAAGGGAAGTTAAGAGAAAAAAGAATAAAAAGAAACGAACAAAGCCTCCAAGAAATATGGGACTATGTGAAAAGGCCAAATCTACATCTGATTGGTGTACCTGAAAGTGACGGGGAGAATGGAACCAAGTTGGAAAACACTCTGCAGGATATTATCCAGGAGAACTTCCCCAATGTAGCAAGGTAGGCCAACATTCAGATTCAGGAAATACAGAGAACGCCACAAAGACACTCCTCGAGAAGAGCAACTCCAAGACACATAATTGTCAGATTCACCAAAGTTGAAATGAAGGAAAAAATGTTAAGGGCAGCCAGAGAGAATGGTCGGGTTACCCACAAAGGGAAGCCCATCAGACTAACAGCGGATCTCTCGGCAGAAACTCTACAAGCCAGAAGACAGTGGGGGCCAATATTCAACATTCTTAAAGAAAAGAATTTTCAACCCAGAATTTCATATCCAGCCAAACTGAGCTTCATAAGTGAAGGAGAAATAAAATCCTTTAGAGACAAGCAAATGCTGAGAGATTTTGTCACCACCAGGCCTGCCTTAAAACAGCTCCTGAAGGAAGCACTAAACATGGAAAGGAACAACCAGTACCAGCCACTGCAAAATCATGCCAAATTGTAAAGACCATCGAGGCTAGGAAGAAACTGCATCAACTAACGAGCAAAATAACCAGCTAACATCATAATGAGAGGATCAAATTCACACATAACAATGTTAACTTTAAATGTAAATGGACTAAATGCTCCAATTAAAAGATACAGACTGGCAAATTGGATAAAGAGTCAAGACTCATCAGTGTGCTGTATTCAGGAAACCCATCTCACGTGCAGAAACACACATAGGCTCAAAATAAAAGGATGGAGGAAGATCTACCAAGCAAATGGAAAACAAAAAAAGGCAGGGGTTGCAATCCTAGTCTCTGATAAAACAGACTTTAAACCAACAAAGATCAAAAGAGACAAAGAAGGCCATTACATAATGGTAAAGGGATCAATTCAACAAGAAGAGCTAACTATCCTAAATATATATGCACCCAATACAGGAGCACCCAGATTCATAAAGCAAGTCCCGAGTGACCTACAAAGAGACTTAGACTCCCACACAATAGTAATGGGAGACTTTAACACCCCACTGTCAACATTAGACAGATCAACAAGAAAGAAAGTTAACAAGGATATCCAGGAATTGAACTCAGCTCTGCACCAAGCGGACCTAATAGACATGTACAGAACTCTCCACCCCAAATCAAGAGAATATACATTTTTTCAGCACCACACCACACCTATTCCAAAATTGACCACATAGATGGAAGTGAAGCTCTCCTCAGCAAATGTAAAAGAACAGAAATCATAACAAACTGTCTCTCAGACCACAGTGCAATCAAACTAGAACTCAGGATTAAGAAACTCACTCAAAACCGCTCAACTACATGGAAACTGAACAACCTGCTCCTGAATGACTAATGGGTACATAACGAAATGAAGGCAGAAATAAAGATGTTCTGTGAAACCAACGAGAACAAAGACACAGCATACCAGAATCTCTGGGACACATTCAAAGCAGTGTGTAGAGGGAAATTTATAACACTAAATGCCCACAAGAGAAAGCAGGAAAGATCTAAAATTGACACCCTAACATCACAATTAAAAGAACTAGAAAACCAAGAGCAAACACATTCAAAAGCTAGCAGAAGGCAAGAAATAACTAAAATCAGAGCAGAACTGAAGGAATTAGAGACACAAAAAACCCTTCAAAAAATTAATGAATCCAGGAGCTGGTTTTTTGAAAGGATCAACAAAATTGATAGACCGCTAGCAAGACTAATAAAGAAGAAAAGAGAGAAGAATCAAATAGAGGCAATAAAAAATGATAAAGGGGATATCACCACCGATCCCAAAGAAATACAAACTACCATTAGGGAATACTATAAACACCTCTACGCAAATAAACTAGAAAATCTAGAAGAAATGGATAAATTCCTCGACACATACACCCTCCCAAGTCTAAACCAGGAAGAAGTTGAATCTCTGAATAGACCAATAAGAGGCTCTGAAATTGTGGCAATAATCAATAGCTTACCAACCAAAAAGAGTCCAGGACCAGATGGATTCACAGCCAAATTCTACCAGAGGTACAAGGAAGAGCTGGTACCATTCCTTCTGAAACTATTCCAATCAATAGAAAAAGAGGGAACCATCCCTAACTCATTTTATGAGGCCAGCATCATCCTGATACCAAAGCTGGGCAGAGACACAACCAAAAAAGAATTTTAGACCAATATCCTTGATGAACATTGATGCAAAAATCCTCAATTAAAATACTGGCAAACCAAATCCAGCAGCACATCAAAAAGCTTATCCACCATGATCAAGTGGGCTTCATCCCTCGGATGCAAGGCTGGTTCAATATACGCAAATCAATAAATGTAATCCAGCATATAAACAGAACCAAAGACAAAAACCACATGATTATCTCAATAGATGCAGAAAAGGCCTTTGACAAAATTCAACAACCTTCATGCTAAAAACTCTCAATAAATTAGGTATTGATGGGATGTATCTCAAAATAATAAGAGCTATCTAGGACAAACCCACAGCCAATATCATACTGAATGGGCAAAAACTGGAAGCATTCCCTTTGAAAACTGGCACAAGACAGGGATGCCCTCTCTCACCACTCCTATTCAACATAGTGTTGCAAGTTCTGGTCAGGGCAATTAGGCAGGAGAAGGAAATAAAGGGTATTCGATTAGGAAAAGAGGAAGTCAAATTGTCCCTGTTTGCAGATGACATGATTGTATATCTAGAAAACCCCATCGTCTCAGCCCCAAATCTCCTTAAGCTGATAAGCAACTTCAGCAAAATCTCAGGATACAAAATCAATGTACAAAAATCACAGGCATTCTTATACACCAATAACAGACA